>NC_000023.11:92462542-93087542 GCF_000001405.40 Homo sapiens
AGAAATACTGATTTCTTAGTATTTTCTTTGCCAAACTGAAGAAAATAATGGATCCAGCCCTCAAAATTTTGCTTTGGGAATTTCTCATCGTCATTAAAATTTGTATATTATCATAACTGCTTCATGTACCTCCCAAAGCAGTGTAACCAGTGCCTTAGTAGGAACTTTCAATGGACCATGAAACAATTTTTATTCCCACATTTATTTTTGAGAAAAGTTGAGTCCTCCATAATTCATATTTCTTGAGTTCTTTCTGGGAGTCAGCAAAATCTTTAAAAAGATTCTTTAAAAAAAGAATTTGTTATCTTAAATATCCAAACTAACTGAGAAGGATTTTAAATTGACATTTGTGTTGTTAGGATAGTTTGACAATGTAATTAGTGAAGTCAGATGGCCTGGAGAAAACCAAATGAAAAAATAATGTGATCATATATAAATTTTTCTGTAAGATGTCCAGTTCTGTATATCTCAGAATTATTCTTTTAATTTTAGCTACCAAAAGGAGTTATTATGATTGGCTAGATTCTCTTTATATAGCCATGAACAATTTAAAATATTAAGGCTAGATTTTGAGGTGGAAATTTTTGCCTTATATTTTTAGCAAAAAGGAACAATTATATTCTATTTCTCTTAAGGACTAAGTTAAATTGCTAATTAGTATTTTTCAATAGGCATTATCATTTTGTTGGATCTGCCAAAGCAAGATTTTATTTCTTAAAATATGATTTTCTCTTATTCTGCCCTTGTCAGTTGATGTGAACATGAGGGGGTAAATTGCATTTAGTATTCATCTAAATTGGAATTTTCCAAATGTATAATCTAAAAGCACTGATCTGTTGATACTCCCTGCAATAAAAGTTTTCCTTGAGCAAATAGTTTTGGATATATGTATTGTTTTCATATCTTGGAAATGATCTGTAAATGGTGGCATTTAATAGTATGTGAGTTCCTTGGTAATGAAAACATGAATTCTAATTCTACTTATGTCTCTAACTTGTTGTGTTAGTCTTAGATCTAAGTCATTTTATTTCTCTTGATGTCATTCTTCATGTGTATATTGAGGATGCTGAATCGGATGACTGTCTAAGGGCTCTGGTCCTTGACTTCTCTAATCGTTTTATTCTAGATAAAATTTAAGTTGTAACTCTGTGCTCTTTGAAGCGCGTAAACACTGTCAACATAAAAAAATGAGACTTGAAGGTGGTATCCATTACAGCCTTTGCAAAGATTTCCCTTGAATAAAAGGGCAGAAAATAGAGCCAATAGCTTGTGGACTAGGAAGATTTTGTGAAGAATAGGAAAAATGAGTTAATTTCAGAAATGGAAAAAAAAGTACAACTCTAGGCTATGAAAGAAAATAAGCCATCTGGTATTATGGCACTGCATGAGTTCAGTCAAGCAAAATTCTGTTAATGTAGAAAATGGTAATTGCATATTTTGTGAAAATGTTTCGATTCCTAAGGTTTTAGTTACCTCTATAATAAAGGCAACATTATGACTTTCGCTGTTGTCAATTTTCAAATTTATATTTCTTTGATCCAGTAGTAACCTAATTTTTATTGAAACTCAAGGCACAGAGGAATATGGATAGAAACTTTAATATACAGGGATACATAATTAATTTTATATTTGCAACACTTATTTCACTGCAAATAAGATGCTCATTATGTTAATCACATTGCAGCTTCTCTGTTTGTAGCTCATATGGTTTGGCTGTGTCCCCACCCAAATCTGATCTTGAATTATAGTCCCCATAATCCCCACATGTCACAGGAGGGACCTGGTAGGAGGTAATTGAATCATGGGGACAGTTACCCCCATACTGTTCTTATGATAACGAGTGAGTTCTCAAGAGATCTGATGGTTTTATAAGGGGCTTTTCCCCCTTTGCTTGACACTTCTCCTTCCTCCTGCCATGTGAAGAAGTGTGTGTTTGCTTTTCCTTCCACCATGATGGTAAGTTTCATGGGGCCTTTCCAGCTCTGTGGAACAGTGAGTCAATTAAACCTCTTTCCTTTATAAATTACCCAGTCTTGGGCAGTTCTTTATAGCAGCATGAGAACAAACTAATACAGTAGCCTTAACCTTACACACAATTTGAATAGAAAATTTGATTCGAGCTTCACTATTTTTGTAGTTCAGACTCTATGCAATCTACACAAGTACAAAACTGCTACAGTATATTAGTTTTGCACTCAATAGGAGATTCACTGGGGTGATTTGAATTATACATCAAGAAGAATTGAATCTTTTTTGCATATTTTGTAGAATTTTTTAAAATTAGCATTATTCAAAGAGGTATTGGTTTATTAATTTGACACCACAGTCTTCCGTACACTGATTTCATTTTTTTCATGCTGATTCTGCCATATCCTGTGACCTGCAGTATAAACTACTGTGTGGCTTTGCATAAGAAAATGAGAAACTTGTTCTCAAAAGTTAGCCTGTATCACGGTTGCATATGCTAGTCCATGCTATAGGTGGCATAGGCCTGTAGTCCTAGCTGAGATGGGATGACTGCTAGAGCCCAGGAATTTGGGGTTGTACTGAGCTATGATCTTTCCACTGCACTCCTGCCTGGGCTACAGAGTGAGAACATGTCTCTTAAAGAAACAAAAAAAGCCCATAAGAATAGGATAAACATTAGTTTTCAGGTGAATTGAATCTTGACTGATCAGATTTTATTTGTATTAGGAACTATAATAAACATTGTAATTCACTGAATTAAGGAGGAGATATATGCATATGCATAGTGATACTTACATGCAATATTATATTTCAATTGACTCTAGTAGTAAAGATATCTGATTATTTCTAAACAAATGTCTTTGAAAATGTTTTCACTTCTTATTTATTCCAAGAAATAACACTTTTATTTTAAAATGGCTTCATTAATGCAGCTTTATTACATGACTTTAAAATTTATGCATAATAAAACTGCAACTGTTACTTCTTTATTGAAGTAAATGGCAATTATAGAATGATGCATGGTACTTGATCAACAAAGGTTACGCCAACACTGTGAATTTTATGGTGAGTTCTATTGACCTATAAGCTCTTCAAACATCATCTAGTTATTTGGAATTCTCATTTACTTTTAGCCAGATATTTCTAGCTCATATTTAGTACTTAAAATTTGTTTTAGGAATATAAAGGAGATATTAAAATATGTGTGTATGCGATAATGTAGCATGTTTTGGTATTGTTCTCATGATAAATTTTAGTAATATTTATGAAACTCAAAGAGGAGATTTTTTTTCTTTAAAATGTATGTTTTCTTAATTTTGTGGTAAAAGAAGCCTAGTTATTTCTATTGTTTTAGTTTACTAATTAAAATATTTGCTAGTCATTAATTCAGAAAATAATGTTAAAAACTCAATTATACTCAAAGTAAGAATTTATGCAAACATAATTTTTTATTATTATTGAATTTGTGTAAGTAAAAATAATGATGCCTAAACTATCGTTTTTAAATTTATTAACAAATAAATTTAATCACAGAATATTTAATAGCCTAAAAACAATCTTCTTGTTAAAAACACACTTAACGTGTGAGATATGTTCATCTTCCATATTAGACAAATTATGTTTTAAGTTACACATTAGTCATATTATATACCTCGTCATTCATAATATAAAATTCGGTTGGATTATTTATTTTAAAAATTAGTTTCAGTCATAATGATTCACATAGACTATAGTATTTCAGATGACAAGGACTATGCTGACCTGTTTACCACAAACATCTTGGGCAGTGTTGATGCTTTAAAAATGTCAATGATAAACCTTTAAACCTTAATTAAAAATTACTCTGAGATTTAGAGATACATTTCAAGATGGGCCTTTAGCTTACACAAAAAAGTCCTAATAATTATAATGAATGCATTTCTTAGTGGTTGTTAGTATATAAGATATATATAGATATATATATATACTCCCTTACAGTGGGAAAATGGTTCCTTTTCTGGACCATTTCTCATGTGATGAATTCGAGAAATTCTTCACATTCAGTCTTAAAAGTTTTAAGCCAAATATGCTTATTGTTCTGAATTTTAAGGAAAATTAATCAATATTTGACTTTGGTGGTTTATAAACCAATTTTCACTTTTCAATTTGGGAACTAAAAGTCTTGAATAAGTTGTTAAAATGTGTTTGTTTTCTTTTTTATTGTTGTCACGTCCCTCGTTTTGCTTCTTTTATTTGTACCTTCCATACTATTAGAAATAAGTCCAGACCCATTACATTACTTATTTTTTTGACCTTTTTAGTTACCAAATTAGAAAGGATTTTTATCACTAAGCTCTAGACAACACTGAAATTGCAGTCTTTAAAAATGAAAAGCACGTACGTTATTACTTTTCTGTTTAAAGCAGTCTTTCTCTTTTTAGAGTTTTGTATATTTGAAAACTCTACACTTAAATATTACGAGTTGATTATGAATTCTAATTAATACAAAATTAGAGTGATTCTGTGTGTATGTGTGTTTGTGTGTTTCTTATCATTGAAGTAGAATCCTCATTTAAAGGGTGGGGAATTGCAAAATTCTATGTAGAAGATCAATCCTCCCCAAAGTGTTTTATGAAAGCACTATTTTAAAAAAATTTTATACTTCAGCTTGTATTACCATTAAATTACATTGCATACAGATGAAACACCTTGCAATGAGAAATAAATGTGCTGTTTGTCAGTGACACTTAAAAGTGTTGTACAATGCTCTTTTATTGATCCTTATTAGTGCATAGAAACATTACTTTCACCTCTATTTTTCTATTCTGCTTTATTCCATCTAAGAATTTCATGTCTTCAGTTTTGTAATATTCTAATTTTATTCAAAATAGATTTTTAACAAATTCAAAATGTTTATCTTTAAGCTTTTATCCATAATGGATATTATTAAATAATTCCTAAAATGCAGATGTGATCAGGAAATTATTTATTAATATTGGCTTTAAAATTTTGTAATGAATAAACTTGAGAGTCATCTGCCCAGATCAATACATATTTGGCTGTTTATAAACATACAATTATTTTGTTTAAAAATAGACTTTGCTACTTGTTCCAGGTCAAGCATGATTTCACAGTGTTTTGAAGAAAGTCAATAATGCAAGGCTTGAATTTATCTAGAAAATAATGACAATAATCTCTAATCCCTTATGTCCTAATTGTGAGAAATAATATAAAATTTTAGGTGAAGACAATGGTATTATAGAAAAAGTTTCTTAAACCATGATAAGAATAATTCTACTGGGCCATTCTCATGCTAGTGCCTGCTGATTTTGGGTTTTTCCTATTACTATTTTATATGTCAGAAGTTTGGAGACAGAGCAACCTGTTAAGTCAAAAACAATGTCTTTTCTTGCTCTACACTTATAGTAGGAGGTTGCATGAAAGAAACTGGTATGTCAGTAGAGGACTGTACTTAGCCATCACAGGCGACGAAGCTAGAAAATCTACTGAGTTACTGCAAAACGTTACGTTTAATAACACATTTCCTTTGTGGAAAGCACCAATCATTACTTCCCAGGAAGCCAACATATTGCATAGGCTTGGTCCAATTCTATAAAAATGTATTACAAAATACAAATGCGAAGGAGCAGCAGTCCTAGTGTGTCTCAATTATCACATTCTTTGTAAAGTGAAGTAGAAAATATATTGCAATACCTTACAAATTATATTTATTTAGGTATGCTAATATAATGTTGTAGAAATAAGAGAAAATATTTATTGTGTTTAACTTTATTAAAATTTCTTTTTAGCTTTCATACCTGGACTAAAGAAAGGTACAGTAGAAATCAACACAAACCATCACCATGTTGCATGTTTCATTTTAAAATGCAGTGCTGATTTGTGTTTAAGAACTGTTTACCTTTTTGCTTCTCATAAAACATCAACTGTTTGCTTCAAACACATTTTTGATACATTTAAAATATCTGAAATCTAGGAAGGGCATTCAGTCAGTTGGATATCTTATATATCTGAATGCTTTTTCTAAATTGTGTGTCATCAATCTTTAGATAATAAAATAAATGTGACTCTATAGTTATTTATTTGGCTTAAAGTAGTTGCTTTCAAATTACCTATGAATTTATTATTCATTTCTCTCCTCTGATAGTATAAGCATTTTCAGTATTTTGTTTGAGCAGCCATTAAAGATATAATTATATTTTTCTGTATTCTATTCCAATTTGATCTATAAATTGTATATGTTTTCTAAATTACTAACAAAGTTTACATTGTTTATGAATTTGTAAATAATATGTAATATGCATTTTCTTTGCCAAATTATAACACATGGATTACATGGGAACCTATGATAAGTTAAGGTTGACAGACAAAATATTTCTAAAAACATGGAGTTTAAGCAATCAGTTGAAAAATATATATATTTTTTGTGCTGATAAAATTTTAAAATGCTGCAGGATATATTGAATGTTCCAAATATATTTGCACTCATTGTGCATATGCACACATTTCTTTGTTGTCCACTTTATATTTGGTGATGTTTCTGTCCTATTGTTCCACTGTTCTTTATAACAATAATTTATTTCACTCATACACTTTTATCTTAAACTGTAATGTATAATACATTGATGTTTTGATGAAATAGAAAGAGCACTTAAAGAAAAAATTTTCCTGAAATCCGTCATAAACCTGAATTGTTATGTAAGGAAGAAACTTACCTTTAATCTTTAATTTTGACATATTAGCAATATTAACAACATACTTTATCAATTTTTGGTATTTTAAATGTAAAATGTTGCTTTTGACTTTTTACACTGTGTTGGGGTAGTTCTTCTGTTCTTCTATAATCAGTTCTAATGTCCATGATACATTTCTGCCTATCATCTGAATAATGAAATGTGATCTCATTTCTCCATCTTTGCTTTGGTTGCCTGTGCCTGTTGGGTAATGCTCAAAGAGTTTTTGCACACTCAGATTTCCTGAGGAGTTTCCCCAAAGTGTTCTAGTAATTTCATAGTTTGAAGTCTTAGAGTTAAGTCTTTAATATGCATTGATTTGATTTTTTTGTGTATGGCAAGAGATAGCGGTCTAGTTTCATTCTTCTGCATATGGATATCCAGTTTTCAGTTTTCCAGGAAGTATTGATTGAAGAAACTGTCCTTTCCCTAATGTATATTCTTGGAACATTTGTTGAAAATGAGTTTACTGTAGATGTATGAATTTATTTCTGGGTTTTCTATTCTGTTCCGTTGGCCTATATGTCTGTTTTTATGCCAGTACAATACTATTTTGGTTAGTATAGCTCTGTAGTATAATTTGACATCAGGTAATGTGATTTCTCCAGTGTAGTTTTTTTTTGCTTAGGATAGCTTTGGCTATTCTGCGTATTTTGTGGTTCCATATAAGTTTTAGAATTTTTTTTTCAATTAATGTGAAGAATGTCGTGATTATTTTACAGGGGTTTGCATTGAATCTGTAGATTACTTTGGGAGTATGAATATCTTAACAATATTTATTTTTCCACATACATGTAATATCTTTTCATTTTTTGTGTCTTCAATTTCTTTCATCAAAGTTTTATAGTGTTCATTGTAGAGAATTTCCCTTCCTTGATTAATTTATCATATTTTATTTGTAGCTATTGTAAATGGGATAAATTTCTTGATTCCTTAATGTTGGCACATAAACATGTTACTGGTTTTTGTATGTTGATTTTGGATATGAAATCAATATTCATCAGTGATATTGGCCTGTTTTCTTTTTCTGATATGTTGTTGGATTTTGGATACGAAATCAACATACAAAATTACTAAATTTGTTTATCAGTTCTAATCATTTTCTTGTGGACTCTTTAGGTTTTTCTAAATATAATATCATATCATTAACAAACAAGAACAATTTTACTTCTTCCATTTCAACTTGGATGCCCTTTATTTCTTTCTCTTGTCTGATTGCTCTAGCTAGGACTTCCAGTACTATGTTGAATGACACTGGTGACAGTGGTCCTCCTTATCATGTTCCAGATCTTAGAGAAAACACTTTTCGTTTTTTCCCCATTCAGTATGATACTAGCTGTAGGTCTGTTGTATACGCCCTTTATTATATTGAGGTATGTTCATCCTATAACCAATTCTTAGAGAATTTTTTTAAATGAAGGAATGTTGAATTTATCAAGTAATTTTTCAGCATCAATTGAAATAATCATATGATTTTTGTCTTTTATTCTGTTGATATGATGAATCACATAGATTGATTTGCATACATTGAGCCATCTTTGCATCTCTAGGTTAAATCCCACTTGGTCATGATGAATGATGTTTTCAATGTGTTGTTGAATTCAGTTTGCTAATATTTTGTTGAAGATTTTTGCATCAATATTCATCAGTGATATTGGCCTGTTTTCTTTTTCTGATATGTTGTTGGTTTTGGTATCAGGGTAATATTAGCCTCATAGAATAAGTTTTGTAGTGTTCCCTCCTTCTCTATTTTCTAGAATAGTTTGAATAGAATTGGTATTAGTTCTTTCTTAAATATTCGTTAGAAGTCAGCAGTGAAACCCTCTGGTCCTCAGCTATTTTTCTGCTGGAAGATATATTTTTTCTTTTTTTTTTTTTAACTTTTAAGTTCAGGGGTACAAGTGTAGGTTTGTTACATAGGTAAACTTGTGTCATGGGGATTTGTTGCACAGTTTGTTTCATCAACCAGGTTTTAAGCCTAGCACCCATTAGTTGTTTTTCCTGATCCTCTCTCTCCTCCCACCCTCCATCCTCCAAGAGACCCCAGTGTGTGTTGTTCTCCTCTATGTGCCCATGTGTTCTCATAATTTATCTCTCATTAATAAGTGAGAAAATGTGGTATTTGGTTTTCTGGCCCTGTGTTATTTTGGTAAAAATAATGGCCTTAGGCTCAATTCATGTTCCTGCAAAAGACATAATCTTGTTCTTTTTTATGGCTGCATAGTATTCCATGGTGTATATGTACCACATATTCTTTACCCAGTCTGTAATTGATTGACATTTAGGTTGATATCATATCTTTGCTATTGTGAGTAGTGCTGCAGTGAACATATGCATGCGTGTGTCTTTATAATAGAATGATTTATATTCCTTTGGATATATTCCCAGTAATGGGATTGCTGGGTCAAATGTTATTTCTGTCTTTAGGTCTTTGAGTAATTGCCACACTGTCTTCCACAGTGGCTGAAATAATTTACGCTCTCACCACCGGTGGATAAGTTTTCCTGTTTCTCTACAACCTCACCAGGATTTCTTACTATTTGACTTTTTTGTAGCCTTTCTGACTGGTGTGAGATAGTATCTCATTGTGGATTTGATTTGCATTTCTCTAACAATCAATGTTGTTGAGCTCTTTTCATATGATTGTTGACCACATGTATGTCTTCTTTTGAAAAGTGTCTGCTCATGTATTTTGTCACTTTTTAATGGAGTTGTTTTTTTTCTTTGTAATTTTTTTTAAGTTCATTATAGATGCTGGATATTAGACCTTTGTCAGATACAGAGTTTGCAAAAATTTTCTGTCATTCCATAGATTGTTTACTCTGTTGATAGTTTATTTTTGCTATGAAGCAGCCGTTTCATTTACTTAGATCTCATTCGTCAGTTTTTGCTTCTGTTGCAATTGCTTTTGGAATTTTTTTTATGAAACTTTTGCCAGCGCCTGTATCCGGAATGATACTGCCTAGGTTATCTTCCAGGAATTTTATAGTTTTGGGTTTTATGTTTAAGTCTTTAATCCATCTTGAGTTTATTTTTGTATATAGTGTAAGGAAGGGGTCCAGTTTCAATCTTCTGCATATGCCAGTTATGTCAACACCATTTATTGAATAGAAAATCCTTTCTTCAGAGCTTTTTTTTTTTTTTTTTTTTTGGTCAGGTTTGTCAAAAATCAGAGAGTTGTAGGTGTGTGGTCTTATTTCTGGGTTCTCTGTTCTATTCCATTTGCCTATGTGTCTGTTCCTGTACCAGTGCCATGCCATTCTGGTTACTATAATCCTGTAGTATAGTATAGTTTGAAGTCAGGTAGCATGGTACCTCTGCCTTTGTTCATTTTGTTTAGGATTACCTTGGCTATTAGGGCTATTTTTGGTACCATATAAATTTTTAAATATTTTTTTAAAAATTTATTTCTGTAAAGAATGTCATTGATAATTTAATAGGAATAGCATTGAATGTATACATTGTTTTAGGCAGGATGACCATTTTAATGATATTGATTATTTCTATCCATGAGCATAAAATGTTTTTCCATTTGTTTGTGTCATCTCTGATTTCTCTGAGCCATGGCTTGTAGTTCTCCTTGTAGAGATTTTTCACCTCCCTGGTTAGCTGTATTCCAAGGTATTTTATTCTTTTTGTGGCAAATGTGAATAGGCATCTGTTTGTGGCTCTCAGCTTAACTGTTGTTGATGTATAGGAATGCCAGCACTTTTTGCACATTGATTTTGTGTCCTGAGACTTTGGTGAAGTTGTTTAACAGCTTCAGAAGCTTCGGGGCTGAAAAAATGTGTTTTTTGTTTGTTTTTTTTTTTAGATATAGGGTCATGTCATCTGCAAACAGAGATAGTTTGACTTCCTCTCTGCTGGAAGATATTTATTATGGCTTTGAGCTCATTATTTGTTATGGATATGTTCAGGTTTTGGATTTCTTAATGGTTTAAACTTGATAGGCTATATGTGTCTAGGATTTGTCAATTTCTTCTGGCTTTTTCCATTTATTGGCATATAGTTGCTAATAATGGCCATTAATCATCTTTTGAATTCCTGTGGTATCAGTTGTAATGTCTCCTTTTACATCTCTGGTTTTATTCAGGTCTTCTCTCTTTTCTCTTAGTCTGGCTAAAGGCTTGTCAATTTTGTTTAAATTTAACAAAACAACCTTTTTATTTCATTGATCTTTTGTATTGATTTCTTTGTTTTGATTTCATTGATTTATCTTCTATTATTATTCTTTTTCTTCTACTAATATTGGATTTTGTTTGCTCTTGCTTTTCCTGTTGTTTAAGATGCGTCGTTAGGTTGTTTACTTGAAGTTTTTCTCATTTTTTAGTGTAGGCACTTACAGCTATAAACTTCCCTGTAAGTACTGCTATTGCTATATCCCATAGGGCTCAGTATGTTGTGTGTCCATTATAATTTGTTTCAAGAATTTTTTCAAATTTCTTTTTAATTTCTGCATTAACATACTGATCATTCAGCAGCATATTGTTTAATTTCTATGTGAGTGTATGGTTTCCAAAATTCCTCTTGTAATTAATTTCTAGTTTTAGTCCATTGTGGTGAGAGAAGGTGCTTGATAATTTTTGACTTTTTTGAATGTTTTAAGAATTGTTTTTTGAACTAACATATGACCTTTCCTTGAGAATGATCTATTTGCTGAGGAGAAAAATGTGTATTCTGCAGCAGATGGGTGAAATTTTCTGTAACTATTAGGATTTTTTGTTCTATAGTGAGGATTAAGTTCAATTTTTTTTGCTGTTGCTGTTGTTGTTGATTTTCTGTCTGAAAGGTCCAATGCTGAAAGTGTGGCGTTTAAGTCTCCACCTATTACTGTATTGGGGCCTATCTCTATCTGTGGCTCAATAATATTTGCTATATATATCTGAGTGCTGTAGTATTGAGCACATATATATTTACAATTGTTATATCCTTTTCCTGAATTGACCCATTTATCATTATATAATGACTTTCTTTGTCTCATAGTTTTTATATTGAAATATAATTTGTCTGATATAAGTCTAGCTACTACCACTCTTTTTTAGTTTTTATTGGCATGGAATATCTTTTACCATCTGTTTATTTGCAATGTATGAGTGCCTTTAAATGTGAAGTATGTTTCTTGTAGGCAATAGATTATATAGTTTTTTTAATCCATTAATCCACTCTATGCCTTTTGATTGGAGAATTTAGTTGTTTTTACATTAAATGTTATTATTAACAAATAAGGGCTTATTCTTGCCATATTGTTATTTGTTTTCTGTTCATTTTGTGGCCTTCTCTTCCTTCTTTCCTTCCTTTTTTCTTCTTTTAGTTAAGATGATTTTCTCTGGTGATACAATTTAGTTTTTTTTTTAAATTTTTTGTCAGTCAGTTATCTGTTTTTTGATTTAAGGTTACCATGAAACTTGCAAATACTATCTTATAACCCATTATTTTAAGCTAATAATAATTTAACACTGTATAAACAAACAAACATAAAAATGTAGAGAAAACTCATAAACACTCTACATTTTATTACCCTACTTTTTAATCTTTTGTTGTTTTTATTGATATATTGTTATACTGTCTAGGTCTTGAAAAGTTGTAGTTATTATTTTTTATTGGTTCCTGTTTTAATATTTCTACTTATGATAAGAATAGTTTGGCCGGGCGCGGTGGCTCACGCCTGTAATCCCAGCACTTTGGGAGGCCGAGGCGGGTGGATCACGAGGTCAGGAGATCGAGACCATCCCGGCTAAGACGGTGAAACCCCGTCTCTACTAAAAATACAAAAAATTAGCCGGGCGTAGTGGCGGGCGCCTGTAGTCCCAGCTACTCGGGAGGCTGAGGCAGGAGAATGGCGTGAACCCGGGAGGCGGAGCTTGCAGTGAGCCGAGATCCCGCCACTGCACTCCAGCCTGGGCGACAGAGCGAGACTCCGTCTCAAAAAAAAAAAAAAAAAAAAAAAAAAAAAGAATAGTTTACACACCAAAGTTACAGTGTTATAATATTCTGTATTTTTTGTGTATTTACTATTACCAGTCAGTTTTGTACCTTTGTATGAATTCTTGTTGCTCATTAACATTCTATTCTTTTTAATTGAGGCACTCTCTTTAGTATTTCCTGAAGGACAGGTCTGGTGTTGTTAAAATCCTTCAGCTTTTGTTTTTTGGCTGAAGTCTTTATTTCTCCTTCATGTTTAGAGGATATTTTCACCAGATATACTATTATAGAGTGAAAGTATTTTTTCTCCAGCACTTCTTTAAATATGTCATGCCACTCTCTCATGCCCTGTAAAGTTTCCACTGAAATGTGCTGCCAGATGTATTGGTGCTCCATTGTATGTTATTTGTTTGTTTTCTCTTGCTGCTCTTTCTAAAATAATCCTTTCTTTATTTTTGACCTTTGGGAGTTTGATTATTAAATGCTTCGAGATAGTCTCTTTTGGGTTAAATCTCCTTGATGTTCTTTGGGCTTCTTATACTTGGATATTGATAATATTTCACTAGGTATTGGAAGTTCTCTTTTATTATTTCTTTGAGAAAACTTCCTACTCATATCTCTTTCTCTACCTCCTCTTTAAGGCCAGTTACTCTTAGATTTGCTCTTTTGAGGCTGTTATCTAGATTCTGTAGTTGTATGTCATTACTTTTATTCTTTTTTCTTTACCTCTGTGTATTTTCAAATAGCTTATCTTCAAGCTTACTAATTCTTTCTTCTACTTGATCAATTCTGTTATTAAAAGACTGATATTGTTTGGCTGTGTCCCCACTCAAATCTCATTTTGAATTGTAGCTCCCATAATTCCCATGGGTTGTGGGACGGACCCAGAGGGAGGTAACTGAATCATGGGGATGGGCTTTTCCCATGCTGTTCTCATGATAGTGAATGAGTCTCATGAGATCTGATGGTTTTATAAAGGAGAGTTCCCCTACACAAGCTCTCTCTTTCCTGCTGCCATGTGAGATGTAACTTTGCTCTTCCTTGCCTTCCACCATGATTTTGAGGCCTCCCCAACCACGTGGAACTGTGGTTAAACTTCTGTTACCTTGTAAGTTACCTAGTCTCGTGTGTGTCTTTATCAGCAGTGTGAGAATGGACTAATACAAAGACTCTTATGCATTCTTCAGTATGTTAATTGCATTTTTCAGTACCAGAATTTTTACTTGATTCATTCTAATTATTTCAATCTCCTTGTTAAATTTATCTAACAGACTTCTAAATTTCTTCTCTGTGTTATCATTGAATTTCTTTGAGTTCCCTCAAAACAGCTATTTTTAATTCTCTGTCTGAAAGTTCACATATCTCTATTTCTCCAGGATTGGTCCCTGGTGCCTTATTTAGTTTATTTGGTAAGGTCATGTTTTCCTGGATAGTCTTGATATTTATGGATTTTCATCTGTGTCTGGGCATTGAGGAATAAGGTATTTATTGTTATCTTTGCGGTAGGGACTTGTTTGTACTCATCTTTCCCAGGAAGGCTTTCCAGATATTTCAAAGAACTTTGATGTTGTGATCTAAAATATATCTGTATTAGAGAACGCAAGAAGCCCGAAGCCCAGGACAACTTTTTAAGTTTAAGAACTAAGTAACTGTGGTTCTTGCAGGCTTGTATAGGTACTGCCTTGGTGGTTTTGGACAACATCCAGAAGAATTCTGTAGATTATCAGGCAAAAACTCTTGTTCTCTTTTCTTACTTTCTTCCAAAAAAAAAAAAAAAAAAATGGAGTCTCTCTCTCGCTCTCTGTTCTGAGCTGCCTGGAGTTATTGGTGGAATGACACAAGCACCTCTGTGACCACCACTACTAGGATTGTGCTGGGTCAGACCCGATGCCAGTACAATACTGGGCCTCACTCAAGGCCTGATACAACCTCAACTTGACTACTGCCTATGTTTTCCCAAGGCCCTGGGGCTCTACAGTAAGCTGCTGGTAAGGCCTTTCAGGCCTGTGTTCTTCCCTTCAAGATGGCGAATTTCCCCAGGCCCCAGGTATGTCCAGATGTGCCATCCAGGAGCCAGAGACTAGCATTAAATACCTTAGATGTCTAAGTGGTATTCTATTGTACGGCAACTGAGCTGGCACTCAAACCACAAGATGCAATCCTTCCCACTCTTCTTTCCTTTTTCCAAAGGTAGAGGAGTTTCACCCTGTGGCCACTGCCAACATGAGGCCATGGAGAATACTGCCAAGCTATTGCTGATGTTTCCTTTAGGTCCAAAGTCTCTTCAGTCAGCTTGTGATGATTGATACCTGGCCTGGGACTCACCCTTCAGAACAATGGGCTCCTCTCTCACCCAGGGCAGGTCCAGAAATGCTGTCCAACATCCATGTCCTAGATGTTGGACATCTAGGTCCACTTCGTGCTCTACTCCACTGTGGTGAGCTAGGACTTAAGGTCCAAGACAAAGTTCCCTTTTCCCTCCTCATTTCTCCATCAGAGGGAGTCTTGCCCCCTACACACACAGCAGGAAATGTGCTGATTGTAGCCTGAGTCCAGCAAGTCTCAGAATTTCACCCAAGGCACTAGAAGTATTGCCTGGGTATTATTGCTGGTCATTAATCTTCTGTGATCATTATTTGTATTTCTGTGGGGTCAGTGGTAATATCTTCTTTGTCATTTCTAATTGTGTTTATTTGGAACTTTTCCCTTTTTTTCTGTATGAGTGTACCTAGAAATCTGATATGGTTTGGCTCTGTGTTCCCCTCAAAATCTCATCTCAAATTATAATCCCCATGTTTCCAGGGAGGAACATGTAATCTCCATGTGTCAAGGGAAGGAGGTGATTGGATCATAGGAGCAGTTTCCCCCATGTTGGCCTTGTGATAATGAATGAGTTCTCACGAGATCTTATGGTTTTATAAGTGTTTGACAGTTTCTCCTTCACATGTTCTTTCTCCTGCCACCTTGTGAAGAAGGTACTTGCTTCCCCTTTGCCTTCTGCTATGATTATAAGTTTCCTGAGGCCTACCCAGCCATGTGGAACTGTGAGTCAATTAAACTTCTTTCTTTTAAAAATTGCCCACTCTCGAGTATTTGTTTATAGCAATGTAAAAATGGACTGTTACACAATCTATTTCACTAATTTAAAAAAAAACCTCCTAGATTCATTCATCTTTTGAATGTTTTTTCCTGTCTCATTTTCCTTCAGTTCAGCTCTGATTTTGGTTATTTCTTGTCTTCTGCTAGCTTTGGGCTTGGTTTGATCTTGCTTCTCTAGTTTTCTTTAGTTGTGATGTTAGGTGGTTCAATTGAGATTTTTTTAACTTTTAGATGTGGGTATTTAGTGCTATAAATTTCCACTTTAACACTGCCTTAGTTGTGTCCCAGAGATTCTGCTATATTGTATCTGTGTTCTTATGAGTTTCAAATAACTTCTTGATTTCTGCCTCAATTTCATTATTTACCTAAAAGTCATTCATGACCTGAGCAAATTATACAATTTCCATTTAATTGTATGGTTGTGAGCAATTTTCTTAGTCTTGCTTCCTAATTTGATAGTGCAATGATCTGAGGGAGTGATTCTTATTATTTCAGTTCTTTTGCATTTGCTGAGTAGTGTTTTGTGTCCGATTATGTGGTCAATTTTAGAGTATGTGCCGAGTGGCATTGAGAATAATGTACATTCTGTGGTATTTGGGTAGAGATTTCTGTAAATGTCTATTAAGTACATTTGGTCCAGTGCGGAGTTTAGTTCCTAAATATCTTCATGAATTATCTGTCTAATACTGTCAAAGGGTGTTGAAATCTCCCACTATTATTTTGTGGGAGTCTAAGTCACTTTGATGATCTCTAAGAACTTGTTTTATGAATCTGAGTGCTAATGTGTTGGGTGCATATATATTTAGGACAGTAAGGTCTTCTTGTTGAATTGAACCCTTTACCATTATGTGATGCCCATCTTTGTCTTTTTTCTATATTTGTTGGTTTAAAATATGTTTTTTCTGAAATTAGGATTGAAATCCCTGCTTTTTTGTTTTCCATTTGTTTGTATATTTTTTTCTATTCCTTTATTTTGAGCTCATGGGTGTCACTGCATGTGAGATGTGTCTCTCAAAGACAGCATAACAATGGGTCTTGGTTCTTTATGCAACTTAACAGTCTGTGCCTTTTAATTGAGAGCATTTAGCTTGTTTACATTCAAGGTTAGTACTGATATGTATGGATTTGATTCTATCATCATCATGTTAGCTGGTTATTCTGCAGACTTGTCTGTGTGGTTCTTCATAGCGTCACTGGCCTGTGTAATTCAGTATGTTTTTGTAGTGGCTGGTAACTGCCTTTCCTTTCCATATTTAGTGCTTCTATCAGAAGCTCTTGTAAAGCAGGTTGGTTGGTAATGAATTCCCTCAGCATTTGCTTGTTTGAAGATAATGTCATTTCTCCTTCATTTGGGAAGCTTAGTTTGGCCAGATATGAAACTCTGGGTTGAAATTTCTTTAAGAATGTTGAATATAGACCCTCAATCTTTTCTGGCTTGTGAGGTTTCTGCTGAGAGGTCTGCTGTTTGTATGATGGGGTTCTCTTTTTAGGTGACCTGACTCTTCTCTAGTTGCCTTTAATTTTTTTTTTTTATTTTGACCTTGGAGAATCTGATGATTGTGTTCGGAATGATTTTCTTGTAAAGTATCTTACTGAGGTTCTCTGAATTTCCTGAATTTGATTCTTGGCTTGTATAGCTAGGTTGGGGAAGTGACCATGGATGATATCCTGAAATATGTTTTCAAAGTTGCTTCCATTCTCCTCGTCTTTTTCAGGGACAACAATGCTTCATAGATTTGTTCTCTTTCCATAATTCCATTTTTTTTGGAGGTTTTATGTATTCCTTTTAATTCTTTTTTCCCTATTCTTGTCTGACTGTATTATTTTAGAAAGCTGACCTTCAGACTCTGAGATTCATTCCACAGCTTGGTCAATTCTGCTATTAATACTTGTGATTGCATTATGAAATTTTTGTAGTGTGTTTTTCAGCTCTGTGAGCTCAGTTATATTATTTTCTATAAAGACCTATTTTGTTTGTTAGTTGTTGCGTCATTTTATTATGATTCTTACCTTCTTTGAATTGGGTTTCAATGTACTCCTGCATCTCAATGATCTTAGTTTCTATTCATATTCTGAATTCAATTTCTGTCATGTCAGCTATTTCAGCCCAGTGAAGAACCGTTGCTAGAGAGCTGGTGTGGTCATTTGGAGGAAAGAAGACACTGTGGCTTTTAGAGTTGTCAGAGTTCTTGCACTGTTCTTTCTTGTCTTTGTGGGCTGATGTTCCTTTAGTCTTCGAAGTTGCTGTTTTGTGAGGTTTTTTTTTTTTAATCCTATTAGATGCCCTTGAGGGTTTGGTTGTGGTACAAGCTTGGTTCAGTCAACTGGCTTCATTTCTGGAAGAATTTGGGGGGCCAAGTCTCTGCTCCCAACTTCTATACTACGTGCTGTAACTCTGGGAGACTGGTATTGGGCCCTGTCTTTGTTCTCTGGCTCCTCAAAGTTAGGAACCCAATGTGCTCGGAAGGCTGAAATGCTCCCAGACTACTGATCACTACACTCTGATGGCTGGTGCCAGCCAAAACATTTGGTAGGTCAGTGGCAGTGGGATCTGTCCTTGTTTGCATGTGCCAGCAGCAGTGACAGTGGCAGCACTGTGTGGTACCTGCATGTTGGCTGTGGCAGGGCACCTAGTGGGTATTGGGGTACTTGTCTCCCTACACACATTCACAGCAGCGACAGAGGCAGCATGGCTCTCTAGGATGGGGATCCCCTCTGGTGACTGTGCATGTGGTCATACTGGTGGTGGTTTTAGCGCAAGGGCTGGACGCTGTCAGGTGCAGGTCTTTGTGCACCCTCTATGTGCATTCATGCAGGCAGAGGTCCCCACTCAGGGAATGTGAGGGTCTGCTGTTCTCTGTTCCTAGTTTCACTCTGGAAATAGCATTGGCACAGGGGCAGGGGCCTGGTAAAGGTGGGGCTGCTGGGCTCTGTGCCCACCAAGGCTCTGACTGCAATGACAGTACAGTGGGGAGAGAGGAGGTGGAGTGAACTCATGCTGGCAGCAGTGGAAGGGCAGGGTTCACACACACACACACCCCACACACACACACCCCACACACACACACACACCGAGGGGACACGGAATGCAAAAGCCACCTCACACACACTCACCAGCAAGGCAATATGGGGAAGGGCCGTGGGCCTGAGGGTAGGTGCAGTTGAGGGAGGGAGGGTGTGAGCTAGTGCATGGCCATGGGCTTTGCTCTGCTGGAGCTCTCTGCCAGTGTGGTGCAGTCCACCAGTGCAGGAGCTATGATGTGGGTCCCCAGGGCACCAGAGGTTGCACCGCAAAGAGGCAGAGTCAGGCTGGGCCTCTGGGACAGGCCAGCAGACCAAGGGGTGCGCAGGTTGGACCATCCCCTTCTGATGGGCCTGCAGAGTTCAGGTCTGACAGTTCCTCTAGGGATAAATTCTCCTATTAGAGCAAGTCAAGCCTGGGGGGTGAGAGTCCCTGACCATGCTCTGCTACAGACGCTCCCGCACCAAACCCTCTGCGCTCCTCACTGGATGAAAGGCTGCCCTTACTACTTCTCTAAGCAGCTCTCTCTGCCAACGCAAGTGTCTGTGGTAGTCAAGTGGTTTCCTACTGCTGGGATTCCAGAGGTCCATGGTGAGTGCTAATTGCTCCTTGCCAGTTCAACTTACCTGTTCCCTTAGAGTTACTGGGGGCCAGGAACGAGTCCTGCTGCACAGTAGCCCCTTGCAGTATTCCCAGCTTCCTCCCTCTTCAGCCCATTTTTGTCTTCCCTTTGTCCACTCTCAGTGCCTTTCCTCTGAAGATCTGTTAGGAGTGCAGCAGCTGTCAGGATCCCTCAGTGGCAGCCGTTCCACCTGGCTGCTTCTAGTTGGCCATCTTGCTCAGCTCCAATCATTTAACCTCTTAAAGTCTGTTTACTCATTTGTAAAATATAAATATCAATAGCAACTATCACAAATAATTTAGCACTGCCCCTTAGACATCGTAGATGTTAAATATTATGCTAATACAATAATAGCATTCTTCTTTTTCCATTATTTTTTTTTCTAGATTGAACTTTTATTGGCTACCCACTTAGCTTTTAGGCAAAATCAATTTCATTTTGTTTTTATTTCAAATATTAATAAAAGAGGCACTGCTTGTTTTCATTAACCTGTGAAATAATTTTCTATGAATTAGAAAATACAGCTGTGTGCATAATTCTGTTCTTTTATCATTATTAGTATTTTCAGCCACTTTTAAGAAACAGAGGAAATAATTTTTTTACGAGTTTATCAAATTATCTTGTAATTGTTAAATACACCTTGAAGTCTCCATTCCCATAACTAAATCTGGTTTGTCTTTTACCTTTAATTAAGCTAACCTCTCTGTTTAGTAATGTCTAACTGTGAAGATGATAAGCCAGGTACCAATGTTTAACTTGCATTTTTTTAGCATATTTTAAAACTTCAGTGAAGTCTTGATGTAAATGAATAGATGTATGTATATAAATCTATGGTTATAGTATCTGTTACTCACACATGTCTCATTAAAATTATTGGGAACATTCTTCCTTTACTTTGTTTTTCTCTTAGTCTTCAAAGTTTTATGTGTAGACTCCTTATAAATAGTTTAAATCAGATTGTTAGTAATAAAGAGGAATATCACTTTAAGAATCTGACAGCAATATTTGCATTTTAACATCCATGGGAACAGTATATTGTGTCTAACTTAAGTATCTGACACCAAACATTAAACATAATATTTCCTTTCTAATCTTATCCTTTGATACATTTTAGTGTATGAGGTATTTCAAGGAAAGATGTGAAACATGTAAATTAATTGTCTTTTTTATCCCTCAAAGATAACCAAGGTATTTATTAAATTCCCTGAAGCCGTATGACAAGACATACAGCTAAACTCAAACTAAATTATCTGGCTCTTGTAAGCTTTATGTTTGACATCATGATAATCCATATTTTGTTCTTTTACAAAAGTGATGCAATGAATTTATAAATTAACACAGAGACATTGGTTACAATAATTTCATAAAGACAAAGAGAAGCCTCACAATTGTGACACCGGGCTTGTTTGACATTCCTTGTACCTAAACAATTTATTACCTTTTACACTATAGTCAGAGGTAGTGAACTATTACTGGAAAAATGGTATTTTCTCCATGCATTGGAATTTGAATTATTCCTCAAAGGCAGTTCTTGCAGTGGGTAATGTTCCTCGTGTTGTCACTTGGCCAACAGACTGTACCTTGGCATGGGAAAATTTGTCAGCTTTTTCACATGTGACACAGATGTTGCTTTTAATGATGCATTTAAATAATTTTGCATAGAAAGGGAAGATAAGATTACATAAAAAGAAAAATAGTTATTCAAGACTTATGAAGGCTCAAGAAACTGGAGAGCCAATAATACACTCTGAATAAGGTCTATGATCTTTCACTTATGAAGAATTTACACCCAATTTTCATAAATTACATATCGATGTGTTATAAATTATGTACTTTATTTTATTTATAAAATTATGTCCAACATTTTGCTAAAGTTCATTATACAAATTCCGAAACAAATAATATTGTTTATTTTAGATTTGGTAGTTTAATGACGCCATTCATTTAACGTAAATATGTTTCATTGTGAAAGAACATGGGAAGAAGAATGACTTTGTCATACATATATTTTGTTACATTTGATCCAGCAATCCCACTACTGGGTATCTACCCAGAGGAAAAAAAGTCATTATATGAAAAGGATACTCGCACAGGCATGTTTATAGCAGCACAATTCACAATTGTGAAAATGTGGAACCAGCCCAAATGCCCACCAAACAATGAGTGAATAAAGAAAATCTCTGTGTGTGTGTGTGTGTGTGTGTATATATATAGTATATATATGTATATATGTATGTATATATATGTATATATGTATATATGTATATATATGTATGTATATATATGTATATATGTATATATGTATATATATGTATATATGTATATATGTATATATGTATATATGTATATTTATACATATATATGTGTATGTATATATATGTATATATATGTGTGTGTATATATATACATATATATATATGCTAGATCGAATGGTACATCTACTTTTAGTTCTTTAAGACATCTCCATACTGTTTCTCAAAGGGGTTGTACTAATTTAGATTCCCTTCAGCAGTGTAAAAGTGTTCCCTTTTCACCACATCCATGCCAACATCTATTAATTTATTATTTTTTCATTATGGCCATGTTTGCCAGAATAAGGTGGTATCATATATATATATGTACATACCATGGAACACTACTCAGGCATAAAAAGGAACAAAATAATGGCATTTGCAGCAGCCCGGATGGAATTGGAGACCATTATTCTAAGTGAAGTAACTCAGCAATTGAAAATCAAACCTCATATGTTCTCACTCATAAGTGGCAGCTAAGCTATGAGGACGCAAAGACATAAGAATGATACAATGGACTTTGAGGACTTGGGGGAAAGGGTAGGAGAGGGGTGAGAAATAAAAGACTACACATTGAGTACAGCATACACTGCTTGGGTGATAGGTGCACCAAAATCTCAGAAATCACCACTAAAGAACTTATTCATGTAAAAAAAATTTTTTTAATGTGATTGCTGTATAAAATGAGGAGGAAACATAAAAAAGGATGAGTATAAATTAAGACTTTAGATGAATATTCTTAAATTGTATTAAAACTGATTTCTATCAAAGACCAATATAAATTTTTGAAATTGTTTCTTTAAAAATTAATTATACATATTCATTTTCATACATTTATTAATACATATTTGTTTGTATTTACATATAAAATGAGGTCTGAGATTTTTCAGATAATAAGATTTCATAGTTATTTCAATAATTACTATTGTAGCAAAAATTATAAATATAGGCAATCATATTTGGAGCAATCTTTCATTGTTTATATGGCTCAAATTTTTAAGTATAATTAAATTCAAGTTTTTAAGTATATTTAAAAAGATGTCTAACATAAATATATAATAGTGTATTTACCCCAGAAACATTAGTAATTAATGATAAGAATAATGATGTAGGAAAATATCAGGAAGGCTTCATCTATTTTGTAAAAATGTTCACATGTTTTTATACATCATAAGAAGCACATTTACAATGAAGAATAATTTGGCCTTTATAATAATGTAACAAGATGACATAATTGCTCCTCACAATTAGAAGCTATCTTTAAGGTCTGAAAGGACATGCAATCTATCTGATTCGATGTATTATTTTTAGTAATCAATGAAATTTCAGTTACTTGTGATAATAAAGATAATATTATTTTTCTTTAAGATATAGCCTTGCATAATAATAGAAAGATTGATGAAATGGCCAGTTATGTTAAACTTAGAAGAAACATTTCTTACTAGAAAAGAACATCTTGTAGTTCTCGAAACTCATTTTTTTTCTGTCAACACAGCAAAAATTGAAAATATGTAAAAAGTCTTATTAAATGTAGAGCTGAAAATGTAGAGCTGAAAGCCTCTTCAGCCTGCCTATTGAATTAGCAAATACAAAATTGAGTACTTTGATTGATATCACCCTGCCAAAGATTCAGCCAAGAGAATTTGGGTAGCTTTATTAAAGCTGGGTTGGACGGTGAGTCTGAGCATTAATTTTTTATGTAGTAGAACACAGGGTCAAAGCTTGCCTTCTGGGACTGCCTTTCCTTGTATTATAATAGATTATCAGATTGAAAAATACTATCAGAATACAGAACAGAGTATAGAGATTAAGTGCTAGCTATTTATACATCAAGAAACATGAATTATTTTGATGGCTGTTGTTATTATGTAACATAACAGTAACTCCCCCAAATACCCAAACAATAAGAAAATGTAAATTATCTATTTTAACTGTTAACTGGACGGTGGAGGTGAGTGAGATTCACTGATTGAATGGTACAAAAGGCATTATATTTAACATAGAAAGTTGTAAATTTTTTACAATCTTATTTATGAACACTTGCATTATGGTTGAAAATGAAGGCTTTCATGAAAATAAGCCTATATAAATATATGAAATAATATGCAGGACACATGTGACCCTTATTTATTCCCCATTAGTTTTTTATAGTTTGAACGTCTAATAGTTTTGATTTTTTCATCTGAAAATGTGCAATAGTAACGTGTTAGAACAAACATTTGTGAAACACTTATATCACAAATGCTCAATATATATTGGTTTCTCATTGCAATAAATGACTGCAAAATCATTAAAAGTAAAAATCATTGACATAAATGCAAAGATGTGAAAAAGTAAATTGACTCTCACAAGTCACAATTTAAAATATCTATACACTTCTATTTTTAAATTTCTTTCTAGAATAAAATGTACTAACTCTATCCATTATGCTCCAACTACAATTGCATCATAATTAATAATTGATATATTTTCTCTGCTGTATCCATTCCATATATTTCCAGGAGAGCTATTTTGCTTGCCAAATATTGATATAAGCAAATAAACTTACCAGATATTTCTGATTTTTTATTATCACTCACCCAATCAAGGTACAAATTGAGAACAACATTTTTAGCATATATTAAGCAGAGGTAAGATCATCATCTTGTCAAAGAAGGATTTTAGTATATCTTTTTAGAGATAATGTATTGCACTTTTCCAAGTGTCATATAATACTTTGTTAAATTTTAAATTGAAGTATTACATTGTGAAGCCACAGAACTCCATGATTATAGATAAAGTGCTTTTCTTAGCAAAGCTTAACTGACATGACAAATATATAGTTTTTTATTATCTCTGAGAAATATGCTTCCTTTTTTTTTTTTTTTTTTTTTTGAGACAGAGTTTCACTCTGTCGTCCAGGCTACAATGCAATGGCATGATCTAGGCTCACTGCATCCTCCGCCTCCTGGATTCAAGCAATTCTCCTGCCTTGGCCTCTGGAGTAGATGGGATTACAGGCATGCACCACTACGCCTGGCTAATTTTTGTATTTTTAGTAGGATGGGGGTTTCACCATGTTGGCCAGGCTGAACTCTGAGAAATATGCTTTCTACTTTTTTGTTTAATTTGAACTTGAAAACAAAACACACACAACTTCCCAATTGGATTAGACTATTAACATTTCAGAAAGGATGTAAGAAAGGACTAGAGAGATAGTACTTAATGTTTTTAATTTTTTAAACTTTACAAACTTAATACTGTCATCCTATTGTTCAGTTAACATACCTGAATCCTAAATTTCTTCAGATTCTAAAACAAAAAGTTCCAGATGATTTTATATTACACTATTTACTTAATGGTACTTAAATCCTCATTAAAAAAAGAGTATGGTTGTTAAATCTTCCATTAGAAATTCTGAGCCTTTACTCTGTGTCAGGCCTTGTGGTAGGAGCTGGGCTTCAGAAATAAGTATACTGCAATCTGATTCCGGGAAATATTTAGATTCATAAATAGATAATTTTAACATAATATAGTAAGTGAAGATGGAGGTATAGAAAGGGTTTTCACCTCTGGAGAAATAAGAGGGGTATTTAGAATAGGTCTCTTAACTAAGAGGCCTAACATTTTTGTCTGTGAATCCATAATATTGGCAAACTAATAATGTGTACACACCACTGACAACAATACTTTATCCTTTGATGAATACCCTACAATGGTGTGATTGAATTGGCTTCCAATTAATTTCAAATTCTATATATCAAGAAAAGGTAGATATATACCAGATGGCGTCTCACTCTGTTGCCCAGCAGTGCAGTGGCACAATCATGGCTCACTGTAGCCTCGAACTGCTGGGCTCAAGTCATCCTCCTGCCTCAGCCTTCCCAGTAGCTGTGACTATAGGCATATGCCACCACTCCTGGACTTGGATAATGTTTTATTAGAATCATATAGCATAATGATATCTTTTGTTAACCTCTCAACATCAGTATCATCTTTGTGAAGTGAGAGCGCATCATCAGATTATAAGAAATGACAGGAGGACTGTATACTTGGGAAAGTTTTGTTCAGTGTCTTGAGAATTAACAAATATTTATTTTTCTAGAATAACTTGAATGTAAGCTCACTAGAATGTAAGCTCTATGATGGCAGCAGTCTTGTCTGAGTTGTTCACCTGTGTTTCTGTAGTTCCTTCAACAATATCTAGCACATAGAAGGTTTTTAATAAATATTCATTCAGTGAATTTCTACTTAATGTAGCAATCATTTGTCTATTCCCTTAGTAAAGTCTAATTGATCTAGGTATCTTACAAATATATACAAGACCTGGACATAATAACTAAGGTAGAATTTTTGAGCTAATTAGCTACTGGAAAACTCAAATTAGTAATTATATATATTTTTATTATATACCTGTATGTGTTATTATATATTTATACCTCTATCTATTAGACTCAGGCAAGCTTGAGGAAGTTGTTGTTTGTATTCTAAATTCTGTATTCAAAATAGTTTCAATCTGGCCTGCAGAAAAAGCTGAATTAGTCTCAATATAAATACAACAAAACGCTTATTGCCAAGGAGAGGCATATACCATGCAAATTCTGATCTGAGGGAATTTCAATTGTTTCAAAAGCCATGATATTTGGGTTCCTCTGGATTCTAGCATTACATAAACAGGAAGAGAGGTGAAAATAAGCAGTAGTGATATAAAGAAGTTTCAGGATGGCAATTTGAAATCACGTATTCCAGCTCAACTTTCTAGAAAGTGACACCTGCAGCTTTGTGGGGGTGTCTTCATGCACAAGCTAAATTGTACCTGTTCCAAATGGCCAGATGCACCTATACTCTGAATGTGGGTATACACCCACATTTACCAAGCATTTTAAAATATGCTCTTTAAAGCATAGTTTTGTATCCATTCTGATGACTTCTAGCCTGTAAACACAGGACCCGTGTTAATTTAACTTTTAGTATCACAATAGAATGGCATTTTTTAAAGTATAGTTATGATGGTATCATACAACCAGAAATCTAGATGTGAATGAGGTATTTCACTCACTTTTGACCTCTTCTGCTTTACTCCTATGTCCAAAAAAAGAAAACAAGGCATGGAGGTATATTTCTGGCATTATAGGTGGGTGAAAGGCGCCCACTATGAGCTCTGAGCCGAAATGTTTGCCACAGGCTTAAATAACTAATTAGGCTTGGGGAAGACAATGGCTACTTAGAGACATACACCTATAAACTCGGGCATATTTACGCTTGCATATTCATTTACCACAGAATTTATTTATCCGTTATCTCTTCTCTCATGATATTTCTGTATTTTTCTTCTTGGGCAGAGCCAAGTTTTGTGAGTTTATTTGGTCATTTTCTGCATGTATCCCGACTCCTGCTTTTTTTTTCCCCTTCAGATCCACATGCAGCTCAACTGAGGACATAATAATATATCTCTTCTTTCTCACTCTCTTCTGTTCTTACTATCAAAAATATTCCTAAACCATCTACCTCTCCACCTTTTTAATCAGTTTTACCTATTTCATTTTTGAAAATAAGAGGAATTATGCCACAAAATTTATATATATATATAAATTTTTATATATACACATATATATAAAAATTTATACTTACACATATATATATATATCCATTAAATTGCTAATATTATCACATCAGCCACTTTACTAAACAACATGATCTTACTTGGACCCAACAAATAATTAATTCTGGTATGTTATTTTTAACATCTATAATTATATAATAATAATAACACTAAGAACAAAAACAACAATAACGACATAATAGTTTTTGCAAATAAAATTGATATTCAAGGCAGAAAGATATACAACTTTGTAAGCATAGTAAAGCAATATAACCCTTCTCCTTGTAAAAAAGCAGAAAAAAGTTTTCCTGATACATAAACATAATAGTTTATAACTGATGCTAGTAGATGAAAGAATAGTCAATACATTCTTAGTACTTCCAATGCTAAGAACTTGCCCAAAAGAGATAGGAGAGATCCTTGTCCTGAAAGAGTAATGAGAACATCAGAGTCAAGTTAGTAGAGAGGTAAGGACATGAATTATTTTTGGAGTAGATCAACTAATTATATGATTTGTAACAATAAAACTTAAAATATAATTTGTATTTCCTAAATTTCTACAGGTTTTTCCCTTTACGTCACATATTCTGCGCTATTTTTCTTCCTTGCATTTATTGTGATGAAGCTGTCAAGTTTATGTCAGAAATAGGCGTTTACAATGAACAAAACCTACACTGTGAATCTGGATGCAGGATGAAGTTATGCACATCTAGGAAATAACATGCTACATCCTGTATCGATGATCCTGAAAGATCTTTGCATTTACAATGAACCTGTCATCAGTAGAACTTAAGCCAGATGTCAGAAAGAGAGTCCAGAGACCATGGTTCTCTATGTAATACACAGAATGGAAATGGCATGAACAGTGACACTGAACTTTTGTGCCCTGTCTCACTATCATGCGTGCCCAGGAGACCTTGTTCTAAGAGAAAAAGAAAGAAAGAAAGAAAGAGAGAAAGAGAGAAAGAGAGAAAGAAAGAAAGAGAAAGAAAGAAAGGAAAGAAAGAAAGAAAAGAAAGAGAAAGAAAGAGAGAGAGAGAAAGCAAGCAAGCAAGCAAGCAAGCGGGCATTTGGTCCTTAGGACATTTAGTGAAATGACAAATGGAAGAACAATTAATGACAACTGTGAGTTTTGGGGCAGATCGTAGGGAATCCTAAGCTGAGAATTTGACAGCCAAATGACTATAATTAACTACGAAAAGGTCAACTAGAAAAAACAAGGCACATACTTAAGCAGACTCTTGTTAAGCTTGTCTTGTGGTCTGTTTTGTGATCTATTTTCATATGAACTGAAACAGGTCTAACTTTCAAAAGGAAGAAAGGTAAAATATGAGTGACCATATTTTGTCTATTCATATTCATTTAAAAAATATGGCTTAACTGTTATTCCCAGAATCGTAGTTCAAATTTCATTAAAGTAGTTTAAAAGGGAAAGAGGAGGAGAAAGACAGCAAGGAGAAAGAGAATGCATACTACATAATAAATCGCACTTTGAAAATTCCAAGGTCCCTCGTAAAATTATGAAGAAGTGAAATTGAGCAAGTATAGTGCATTCCTCCCTGTATTGCATTTCCAGAAGTATGTTGTATAGTCCTAACAGCTTTATACAAGAGATTTGGCTTGTTGATATCTTGTATTCAGTCTCTATTTTTAGTTGTGTATTTATGTATTTATTTTTATTGTCTATATTTAAGGTGTTCAACGTGATGTTTTTGTACACCTCTGCGTAGTAAAAAGATCACTACAGTCAGACAAAAACATTAACCTACCCATCACATACCATAGCTACCATTTTTTAAATAGTAAGAGTGCTTAAAATCTACTCTCTTAGTAAACTTTTTGTATACTATACAATAATATTAACTATAGACCTCATGCTGTACATTATTAGAACTCTAGACCTATTCATCCTACATAGCTGCAACTTTTTACTCTGTGACCAATTTCTCCCCATTTTCTCCCTCTCCTTACGCCTGATAACCACTGTTCTACTGTTTATTTCTATGTATTTAACTAAGTTTTAGATATTAAATATCATTGAGATCATGCAGTATTTTTCTTTCTATGTTTGGCTTATTTCACTTAGGATAATGTCCTCTAGACTCATCTCTGTTGTTACAAATGGTAGTATATCCTTTTTTAAGGCTGAATAATATTATGGGATATCAAGAAGTCCCAAATTATTTATAGCACAAAAATATGGTTTATGTTGGCAATAGCTGGCAGGAAGCTCCCTGGTTTTGAATTTAATATAGGCAAATATGCACTAATCGGAAAACTGTAGTCTTTAATGGTGACAAATCATACTCTTTCAAAGTTTACATTTTATCATCAAACTTACATTATTTTAGCTGCTTATAAGAACTACTGTGAGCTGTGATTAATTTGCTTTCAATTTTTACATTTTCTGTATTTATTATTTTTTGTGCTAATTGGCTCTGAGCCTCTGGATACAATTTGAAGAATTAGAAACTACTTACATTTCTACAATAAAGTAATGAGCCACTTAAACTTTGATGTAACCCACATTATATTAGGAGACAATATTTTTATATCAGTGGCTGTGACAAACAAGTGGCTGTAATTCAATTAGTTTGAATTTGCATTTTCCAGCATAACAACCTTTATTGTGATATTATCTTCACTTCTGAGTAGCTAGATATGAAGTATTCAAATAAATTTCTATGCACATTTTTTATGTCACATAATCATTTTATTTTGTTCTCTCTCACAATTTTTCATAGTAAAACATGTTTGCTTTGGAGAAAGCTGTATTTTTTGTGCATTAATGAGCTGAAGTAAAACTATCATTATGTCATTGATTAGAAATTGAGGTAGCAAAATTCTCCCCCAGCTGGGTGCACAATTGTGGGAAAGTGTGTTTCAGATCCATCTCTGTGTACAAAAAGGAATGGAATGTACTTTGTCGAGATCATTAGTGCTGACTACACATATGTGAAAATTCAGAAGAGATAGGTGCTTGATGACAAATAGAACTTATGAAACAAGCATTAGTGGGACTAATTTTTATAGATAATTGGAACAAAATTTCCTAAACTTTTTCTTTCTGTTCCTTATGATAATCTCTTCTTTCATTTTCCAACAAGCCTGCTGTGCATTTCTTAAATTTATCTACCACATAACTGAATGACAGTTTAAAACTGAGATAAAGCTTGAGAATATGCAAACATCTTTATAAAACATACTTGAGAGCCCGTTATTTAATGTTGAATATTGTATGATTTTTCTAAATGTGAGCAAATAATATAATTATAATGTTTTCTTTTTTCAAACTCTGAATTATGTAAAACAAACATATATTTTGTAAGTATCTATTTAAAACACAGCTATATGGATGCACATTGCATATACTAAAAGGTCATAAATACAGATCACACTGTATGAGACTACAGTAAAGTTCAGTGAGATAATTTACTTTTACTGCAATGGTAATTTTTTTTTTAAATTGTAAAGTTTCATTTTAGTAAGAACTTCAAAGCAAGATGAATAAGCCCTAGAGATCTGCTGTACATTGTGTCTATAGTCAACAATACCATATTGGACACATAAAATTTAAGAAGGTAGATCTCATGTTGAGTGCTCTGACTACAATAAAGTACAATTTTCTTAAAAGTTGTTATCAGTAAGTTATAGCATTGGAATTGTAATGTAATGAACAGGGCAGTTCATACATCTTTTTTTTTTGGCCTCCTTAGAAGTCAATAAGGTAGTAATGTGTTCATTTCTAGGTCAAAACCCATTTTTAGGAACAAAGTTATGAGAAGCTTTCATTCAAGACTTAGACTCTGAAGAACGCAGAAACTAGAGAACTTCAGTAGTAAAACTTACATAATGTTTGCCCCCTTAACTTTTTTTTTTTTTTTTTTGAGACAGAGTCTCACTCTGTCACCCAGGCTGGAGTGCAATGGCATGATCTCGGCTCACTGCAACTTCCTCCTCTCAGGTTCAAGCAATTCTCCTGTCTCAGCCTCCTGAGTAGCTGGGATTACAGGTGCACACCACCATGCCAGGCTAATTTTTTGTATTTTAGTAGTGACGGGGTTTCACCGTGTTGCCCAGGCTGGTCTCAAACTCCTGAGCTCAGGCAATCCAACCGCCTCGGCCTCCCGAAGTGCTAGGATTACAGGCGTGAACCACCACACCCGGCTGCTCCGTTAATTTTTATATCCCTCTCTTGCCAACAGGTTTTTTTTTTTTTAAGGTTATTTTCTTTCCCTTCACAAGGCTATGTGATGTAATGCAAAGGAAAATGAGAAGCATCTGCTGAAGAGTTAAACACCCATACCAAAAGAACCATTTCGCTATTTTGCATATTATCTATTCTAAAGGTAGTTAAGAGATCCTCACCCTGAACTCAAACGCAATTCAAAAATTTCCTTAAACAAAATCAGAGTGCAATTATTGGACATGAAATAGTAAAGAGGTATAAGTTGTTTAGAACATTTTATTTTAAAATAACATGAAAGTCATGCATATATGGTCAGTCCTAAGTCCTTTTCATGTTATTTGTGATTCAAGAGATATATTTTGTCCTGGCCTCTCAATAGGATGTCAGTGCACTTTTGTCTTCTCTGCATGAACTGCCAAGCAGTTTAACAGATCAGAACATCTAGCCCCTGTTAGGAGTATTAAATATCACTGTCAGTTTATTCTATGAAAAATGAAGTGTATGTCAGCGGGGCTGTCATGCTATATGTACAAACAGTTGACCTTCCACTTTGTTTCAGGAAAGAGGCTGATATTTGATTTTCTTTTTTTTAATCAGCCTTGTTTTTGCCAGTGGATTTTTTAGGCCGGCACCACTGTAATCCATTATTTCTCACTGACAATACTGAATTTACATAAAACATTCAAGAAAATGCAATTGATCTACAGCTATGTCCTCTTTTTGAAATAAGGCAATAAGGCATCAGGGGCTGAATAGTTGTGAAAGCTCTTTGACCTGAAGTATCAGTAAATGCATAAGATTTATGAATAGTTCACCAGTATTTGTCAGCACAACAGAACATAAACATTTGTATTGCTGGGTGCTCATTTTACAGTTGTTTATAGAGACTACAGGGTGCCATTCTACTGTCGACGACTCTGCGCTAGATACAAAAGTATCACTACATTGGGATTGTATTTTCCTATAGCCAAGTAAATTCATGTGATAAGATGTAAACTGAGGCTCAAAGATATTAGGAAACTTGGTTGTAGTCATACAGTTTTACATGGAAGAATTGATATTTAAACCCTGATTTGCCATACCCAAGAGTTCTTTCCTCTGTATGGCATACCAGATTTTTAATAGTGAGGTTCCTTGAATATTTACATAAAATATTTATATACTGATACAATCCTTTCTTTATTTACTATTCTCTTTCATCAACTCAAGCGAATTGCTTAGCATAATAAAACCTCCATAAATCTGCATACCGTCTCTTTCCATACTGATTTCTCCAGTTGCCCCTCAATCCCAATGCTTTAAACAATCCAGATAATCTTAGGTTCACTTAATGATTCATGCGGCTTCATGTGCCTGCTTATATGCTATTCTGTTTGAATGTCCACTTTGAAAACACTTCTCATCTTTCAACACACAGTCGCAGTCAATTTTTTTTTTTTGTAATGCTTTCCATTTCTCCTCCTTGAGGTAGAATTGAGCACTCTCTCCTCTGTGACATCACTATACCCTATATGGACTGCTGTCATACCAGCTAAGATAAATTTATTATGTATTTTAACGAGTTTATTGAGAAATAACTGACAAATTACAAATTGTCCATATGTAAAGTATGCAATTTGGCATATCAGTAAACATTCGAAATTATCACCACTGTATTATTCCATTTTCATGCTGCTGATAAAGATATACCCGAGACTGGGAATAAAAAGAGGTTTAATTAGACTTTCAGTTTCACATGGCTGAGGAGGCCTCAGAATCATGGTGGAAGGCAAAAGGCACTTCTTACATGGCAGCAGCAAGAGAAAATGAGGAAGATGCAAAAGCGGAAACCCTTGATAAAGCCATCAGATCTCGTGAGACTTACTCACTACCACAAGAGCGGTATGGGGGAAACTGCCCACATGATTCAAATTATCTCCCACCGAGTCCCTCCCACAACACATGGAAATTATGGGAATACAATTCAAAATGAGATTTGTGTGGGGAGACAGAACCAAATCATATCAACCACGATCAAAATACTGAACATATTTATTATTCCTAGAAATTTTTTCATTTTCCCAGTACCTACTGCATTGACTACCATTTTAGATTTTATCAGTTAATTGGTAAATATGTATTGACTGAAATAACTTTCTTTGGCAATATAATTCTGTAGTATATATAAAGTAGGGGTTCATTGTCTATGATATAGATGAGATTGGATTTAATGCTTGAAAACATGCAATTTATATGAGAATCTTTAAAAATTAGGAAGTATAAGAGACAAAATATCAATTTCTTTCTCCTACATTTAAGAACAGGTAGTCTCTTCAAAATCCCAGAAGTTGAGCCTTAGCTGAGGTTTAGTGTTTTCTAAACAGGCTTAAAATGGAAGTTGTTTAATTATATAATAATTATGCAAGGAAAAATGTGGTGATGAAGATTAAACAACTCTTTTATGTAGGCCATCTAGGAATTAATCGTTGGAGGAAAAGTAACTCTTAGGTTTTAGAGCATCGATTAGTAAGCTACAGGTGTATCATTCCTAGCAGCTAGCAAATAGGTGAAGGTGGTTGCACAAGCCTTTTTTCAGAGATGTATATCCTTTGACTTTGGGACTACTATTAAATATGCCCACACAGAAAGCATTCCATGAGGACGACAATGGATTATGGAATATGGCAAAACCAAAATTATGTTAATGTAGAAACCAAAGTAATTCCACCTTTCTGGGGACAAGCCCAGATATGTAAACATACTGCTTATCTATCTACATTTATCTTTCACTATGAGTCCCTAAAATGTTATACCGCAGGTATGCTAAGTAACTAACTTCTAAGAATGCACTATAAACTCTTCTTACATGCCTTTGCAGTACCCTCACCTAGAATGCTTTTCCACCCATTCCCATATCCCTTTGCCTAGTTAGTTCTCAGTCATTAGCTCTAATTTTGAAGTTGACTCCTCTAAGAAGACATATTTGGCCAAATTACTTGAGACTCTTACCTTTGTGTTCCATAGCACTCTGAGATATTTGTGTTAAAGAAAAGCAGAGTTGGGCAATAGTTAAAGCGGTAAAGCAGATTTTATTCAGGAACTATTGTAGATGGAGAAAAGAGGCTTCAGTATGGCACTTGAGCTCAGTTCCAAATACAGCAAGGGCAAGTGGAGATTTATAGCCAAGGAGGAAGTTGTTGGGTGAAGCTTGGTGGATGGAAAAATTACTAAGTGTAGGGGAAATTCTGCCTAAATTGACCTAACGGTATTCTTGTGGAATCTTTCAGGTCAGGTGATATGGAAGGTAAGAGATTCTGACTAAAACTGGGCTAAGTAGTTCTTAAGACAAGGCTGAAGAACAAGGCCTAATCAAGAAAGGTCTTAAAGGAGCCTGACCAAAGTTTGGTCAATGAGAGACTCTTTGTTTCTATCATAACATTCATCACACTGTACTGAAATAGCTTTGTAAGAATTTTTTTTTTTTAACATATTCCCCACTAGACTGGAAGCTTCAGGAGGGTAGATTATTCTTTATTCAATATTGTATTCCTCACAAATAGCAACATGCTTGGCACATGCAATCAATGTTTGTTGAATTGAAATTAACTTTTAAAGTACAGAGTATAAGATAAATGTAAGTGACTATTTTTAAAATATATAGCTTTAGTGGTTGGTATTCATTAGGAATTAGATACTAGCATTCTACAATCAAATGATAAATCCTTCGAAGTATAAACTTCTGATTGATGTGTTTATATATATTTAGTAATTATGAAAATGGAAACTAGTTATTTTCTGATCTATCACTGAAACTTTTCTTAATAGTATGGCTTTGTTTCAAATAACCATTACAATAGAGAATGATCTTGTTTACATTAGAAACAAGGCTAATATAGGACTAAACAGCTGTCTTAAATTATTTGTAATCAAAATTTTGTCTGATATGCTGTCGTAAAGGTTGCTATGCCCTTATTTGTTTCATGCAGATATTGATCATTTAAGAATAATATCTGCCTGATGACAAAATGCCTGCTTAATTTGTTGAGAGAAAAGTCAAATACTTTTTGATGAACAGTTTATTAACTTTTTGCAATTATTTATTTATTGTTTTGTTATTTGGTAAAGACACACTCCCTGTTGGCTTAAACTGTAAACTATAGCAAGGATTTGCATACAGTTTAATGGGAATTCTATAATTTGACCGTTATTTCAGATATCCACAATTAATCATACCCTGTGACTTTTCCTTTTCTCTCTTTTAAGGTGATTTTATGAATGTATGCTCCTTAAAAGAGGTAGTTTTGCTTGTCTTTAGTTGAGTAACATTAGTCCAGCAACAAAATTAGCAAAAGTATAATGGTAACTTGCAAAGTTTCTATAACAACGATGCTATCCTATTGGGACCACATGGTATCACATATGTTATGCCAGATTACTCACTCTTAACAGACACCTGTGGTTCATTAACAAAATGTGCTGGAGTATCCCTAATTATACAAACAATTTATAGTTTAAAATAATTTTGCTACATTTTTATAGTAGGGGCTTCTTTTCCTTAAATATTCTGCTGCCCAGTTTCTTAAAACTAAAAAAAAATCATGACAAAAGAATGAAACTTTAAGTCAGGTTATTATATTGGCCATATAGTTAACTTTACTATATATTAGTAACTAACATATAGCTTTAAGTTGACTTAACCTACCTTTAAATCAATACAATAATGTAGCAATTATGAGGCTGTTGCAAACTATAAATGTATTGCATACTTCTACAATATGTAGCACTTAAAACTCATAAAATGTTTAAAAGCAAAGATCACACTCATACATAAAATACAACTCCACAATAATAAAAAATATAACATGAAGTAGTGATTGTAAAATACCCAATGAAAGATAAATCCCTTAACTTGAATAGCAGCCTATTTGTTGTTTCATTCATATTGTCATCAACAGTATATTATAATATTATAATATTATAATATCTATTATAACAAAACTTGAAATATCTTGAGTATATTCTTAGATAACTTGAGCGGCTGCAGATCAGCATAATATTTCCAGCTGGTTATTTAAAAGTGTCCTAAAAAGAAATCCGCAGACAGTTTTATTTGTTTACCACCTTGAAAATTCTTCCTAAATCTATTAAATATCAACTAATATTCATTCTAGTTCTTTTCATATTTTGTTTCTTTCTATTAAAGTCAAAATCATTTCAATAAACTGAACAACTTTTTAAAAATCAGAATATAGAAGTTCTGTGATGTTTGTCTCAGTAACTATGACCATTTACCTATAGGAAAAATTTACTCATCAATATGATATCTAAGTTAATTTAGATTTATGTTTCTTTATGTAAATAAATATAAAATGATTGAATATCTGATTCTATATTAATATAATTTTTCACTTGTAGTAATTTTTGCCTAGATAAAGGTGGTGGATTAAAAAAATAGGAAGACTAAAATAGATGGAAGTGCCTCTCCTCATCTGGAGTTTGAAAAAAAAAAACAAAAAAACAGTGGATAGTTACTACCATCACCTTTAATAAAGGACTTTAGAAATACCTTCCTGACTGGGTACGGTGGCTCATGCCTGTAATCTTAGCATGGTGGGAGGCCGAGGCAGTCAGATTGCTTGAGCCCAGGAGTTCAAAACCAGGCTGGGCATCATAGTAAAACCCTGTCTCTACAAAAAAAAAAAAAAAAAAAAAAAAAAAAAAAAAAAAAAAAAAAAAGCTATCCAGGTGTGGTGGTATGTGACTATAGTCCCAACTACTCACAAGGCTAAGGTGGGATGACCACTTGAGCCTGGGAGGTCGAGGCTGCAGTGAGCCATGATTATGCCAGTGCACTCCAGCCTGGGTGACTTAAAGAGACCATGTCTCATAAAAAAAGAAAGAATGAATGAAAGAAAGAAAGAAGAAAGAAAGAAAGAAAGAGAGAGACCTTTACCTCCAAAAGGAAGGCAAGAAGTAATTACAATTTTTCTCTGGCATTTCTAATGCTAGTTCTGGTCACTGTACTGTAAATATGTATTTTTTTTTCAATTCCAAATCCAGCTCTTCACTATATTTGCTGTGTAACACACACTTCTAGTGCAGATATTGTATTTTATAGGGGCTTATACAACTTTTCTTAAAATTGATACTAAGCTAAGACATTCTTTGACACACAGAATAAAATCAGACTTCCATTGCAATCAAGATGTAAAATGTTTTAAAGTTATTGCATTCTACTTTTTTCATATGACTATTAAAACAATTTATCTTTTAAAAGATCATATTTCAGGGATCTGAATTCTATTGTAGATATCTCTACTTAACAGAGTTTAATTTGGTGAAAATATGACACGAAACTATAAAAATCAACTGATTTCTCCTACCTTTTTTACCCTTTCCACAACATCAATTTCTACACTTCATCTAGAAAGGTATAAAATATAATGGAGGAGTAAATATATTTCCAGTTGGTTTTCTTTTAGGAAACACAGCAAAACCCTTTGTTTAACATCAGGGATGATCTAAAAGGAAATCCTGTAAGTGTGAGAGGCAATGTCAGACACTTGTAATAACATATAAGCCTGAGAGATGGAGGGAAGATTTAAGCAGAAAATTGAAGAGTATGCAAGATTAAGACATCCACTCAAAAGCACACAGCTATTTGCTCCTGAATGACTCTTGGGTAAATAATGAAATTAAGTCAGAAATCAATAAGTTTTTTTAAAGTAATGAGAACAAAGAGACAACATACCAGAATCTCTGGGATGCAGCTAAAGCAGTGTTAAGAGGGAAATTTATAGCACTAAATCTCAACATCAAAAATCTAGAAAGATCTCAAGTTAACAACCTATCATCTCAACTGAAATAACTAGAGAATCAAGAGCAAGCAATCCCCAAAGCTAACAGAAGACAATAATTAACCAAGATCAGAGCATAACTGAAGGAGACAGAGATGTGAAAAACACTTTTAAAAAAATCAACAAATCCAGGAGCTATTTTTTTGAAAAAAATAATAAAGTAGATAGACTACTATCTAGACTCATAAAGAAGAATAGAAAGAATAATCAAATAAACACAATCAGAAATGATAAGGGGGATATCACCACTGATCCCACAGAAATAAAAACAACTACCAGAAAATATTGTAAATCCCTCTATACACATAAACTAGAAAATCTAGAAGAAATGGATAAATTTGTGGACACATACACTCTCCCAAGACTGAAAGGAAGAAATTGAATCATTGACCAGACCAATAACATGTTCTAAAATTGAGGCAGTAATAAATAACCTACCTACTAAAAAATAAATCACAGGACCATACAGATTCACAGTGGAATTCTACCAGAAGTACAAAGAAGAGCTGGTTTCATTCCTACTAAAACTATTCCGAAAAACTGAAGAGGAGGGACTCCTCCCTAACTAATTCTCTGAGGCTAGCATTATCCTGATACCAAAACCTGGCAGAGATACAACAAAAGAAAGAATACTTTAGACCAATATCCTTGATGAACATCAATGCAGAAATCCTCAGTAAAATATTGGCAAACCAAAGCCAGCAGCACGTCAAAAAGCTTATCCACCATGATCATGCTGGCTTCATCCCTGGGATTCAAGGCTGGCTCAACATACGCGAATCAATAAATGTAATTCATCACATAAACAGACAAAAACCACACGATCATTTCAATAAATGCAGAAAAGGCCTTCGATAAAATTCAACATCCTTTTATGTTTAAAACTCTAAATACACTAGGAATTGAAGGAACAGACCTCAAAATAATAAGAACCATATATGACAAACCCACAGCCAATATCATACTGAATGAGCAAAAGCTGGACACATTCCCCTTGAAAACTGGCACAAGGCAAGGATGCCCTGTCACCACTTCTATTCAACATAGTATTGGAAGTTCTGGCCAGGGCAATCAGGCAAGAGAAAGAGATAAAGAGTATTCAAATAGGGAGTGAGGAAGTCAAATTATCTTTGTTTGCAGATGACATCATCCTATATCTAGAAAAGCCCATAGTCTCAGCCCAAAAGCTTCTTAAGCTGATAAGCAACTTCAGCAAAGTCTCAAGATATAAAATCAATGTGCAAAAATCGCTAGCATCCTTATACACCAACAAAAGGCAAGCAGAGAGCAAAATCATGAATGAACTATCATTCATAATTGTTACAAAAAGAATAAAATACTTAGAAATACAGCTAACAAAGGAAGTGAGGGACCACTTCAAGGACAACTACAAACCACCACTCAAGGAAATCAGAGAAGACACAAACAAATGGAAAAACATTCCAGGCTCATGGATAGGAAGAATCACTATTGTAAAAATGGCCATACTGTTCAAAGTAATTTATAGATTCAATGCTATTCCCATTAAACTACCATTGACATTCTTCACGGAATTAAAAAAAAAAACTATTTTAAAATTCATATCGAACTAAAAATGAGCCCAAATAGCCAAGTTAATCCATAGCAAAAAGAACAAAGCAGGAGGCATCACACTACCTAACTTCAAACAGTGCTACAAGGCTGCATTAACCAAAACATCATGGTACAAGAACAGACACATAGACCAATGGAACAGAATAGAGAACTCAGAAATGAGACTGCACACCTACAAGCATCAGATCTTTGACAAACCTGACAAAAACAAGCAATGGAAAAAGGATTCCCTATTTAATTAATAATGCTGGGAGAACTGGCTAACCATATGCACAAAATTATAACTGGACTCCTTCCTTACAACATATATAAAAGTTAAGATGGATTAGAGACTTAAATGTAAATCCCAAAACTATAAAAAGCCTAGAAGAAAATCTAGGCAATACCATTCAGGACATAGCAGAGGCAAAAATTTCATGATAAATCATCAAAAGCAATTGCAACAAAAGCAATAATTGACAAATGAGATCTAATTAAAGAGCTTCTGCACAGCAAAAACAAACAAACAAACAAACAAACAAAAACTATCATCCGAGTGAACAGATAGCCTACAGAAAGGGAGAAAATTTCTTAATGTAGCCACCTGACAAAAGTCTAATATCTAGAATCTACAAGGAACTTAAATTTACAAGAAAAAAAACAAACACCTTCATAAAAAAATTGGCCAAAGGACATGAACAGACACTTCTCAAAAGAAGACATACATGTGGCCAACAAACATATGAAAAAAAGTTCAACATTACTGATCATTAGAGATCCTCAAATCAAAACCACAATGATATACCATCTCATACCAGTCAGAATGGCTATTACTAAAATGTCAAAAAACAACAGATGCTGGTGAGGTTGTGGAGAAAAAGGAACGCGTTTACACTGCCTGTGAGAGTATAAACTAGTTCAACCACTGTGGAAGTCAATGTGACAATTCCCAAAGACCTAGAGGCAGAAATACCATTTGACTCAGCAATCTCATGACTGGATATATACCTAAAGAAATATAAATCATTCTATTATAAAGTTACATGCATGCATATGTTCATTGAAGCACTATTTGCAATAGCAAAGTCATAGAATCAACCTAAACGCCCATCAATGATAAACTAGATAAAGAAAATGTGGTACATATACCTCATTGCATACCATGCAGCCATAAAAAGGAACAGGATCTTGTGCTTTGCAGAGACATAGATGGAGTTGGAAGCCATTATCCTCAGCAAACTAACGCAGGAGTAGAAAACCAAACACAGCATGTTCTCACTGATAAGTGGGAGCTGAACAATGAGAACACATGGACACATGGTGGGTAACAACACACACTGGGCACCTGTAGGGTTGGGGAAGAGCATCAGGAAGAACAGCTAATGGATGCCGGGCTTAATATCTGGGTGATGGGATAATCTGTGCAGTAAACCACCATGGCACACGTTTACTTATGTAACAATCCTGCACATGTACCCCTAAACTTAAAATAAAAGTCGAATTAAAAATAAGAAAATTGAAGAGTATGACCATGAGGTGGGATGAGGGAGAGTTCTGGGCACCCAGGTTCAGAACAGCTTTTCCACAGTTTCAGAGCTAAACCTTCATGGTGTCTCTGAATGTCTTCATTTGAATCAAATGCTCCAAATCAGCAAACACCCAAGATCAAAAAAAAAAAAAAAAAGACTTCTTAAAAATGCATTCCAGAGCACAATATCTGTCTTCATATTATGAATGTTTTTAAAAACTTTTATTTTGAGTTCAGGGATGTATGTACAGATTTGTTATATAGATAAATTTTGTGTTGCAGGAGTATGGTGTACAGATTATTTCATGACTCACATAATAAGCATAGTACCTGATAGTTTTTCGATCCTCACTCTTCTCTCACTCTCCTCCCTTAAGTAGGTCCTGGTGTCTATTGTTCCCTTCTTTGTGTCCATGCATCCTTAATATTTAGCTCTTACTTGTAAGTGAGAACATGTGGTATTTGGTTTCCTGTTCCTGCATTAGTTCACTTAGGATAATGACCTCTAGCTCCATTCATATTGCTGCAAAGGTCACAATCTCACTTGTTGTTATGGCTACATAGTATTGGATCATGTATATGTACCACATTTTCTTTATCCAGTCAACCATATATGTACCACATTTTCTTTATCCAGTCAACCATGGATGAACATTTAGGTTGATTCCATGTCTTGGTTATTGTAAATAGTGCTGTGATGAAAATATGTTTGCATATGTTTTTCTGGTAGGAGGATTTATATTCCTTTGTGTATATACCCAGTAATGGGATTGCTGAGTCAAATGGCAGTTTTCCTTTAAGTTCTTTGGGAAATCACCAAACTGCTTTTCACAGTGGCTGAATGAATTTACACTGCCATGAGCAGTGTATATGCATTCCCTTTTCTCTGCAGCCTTTCAAGCATCTGTTATTTTATGGTTTTTAATAATAGCCTTTTTCACTAATTGTGGTTTTGATTTGCAGTTCTCTAATGATTAGTAATGTTGAGCAATTTTTCATATGCTTGTTGGCCAAGTGTATGACTTATTTTGAAAAGTATCTGTTCATGTTCTTTGGCCACTTTTGAATGGGGAATGCTTTCAGCTTTTGCTCAATTAGTATGTTGTTTTTTTGTTTGTTAATTTGTTTAAGTTCCTTATACATTCTGGATATTAGGCCTTTGTTGGATGTATCATTTGAATAAATTTTCTCCCATTCTGCATGTTGTCTGTTTATTTTGTTGATAGTTGTTTTTTCTTTTTTCTTTTTTCTTTTTTTTTTTTTTGTTTTTTTTTGCTGTGCAGATGCACTTTAGTTTAATTAAGTCACACTTGTCTTTTTTTTTTTTTTTTTGGCAATTTCTTTCGGTGTCTTCATCATTAAATTTTTGCCAGGGCCTACGTCCTGAGTGGTATTTCTTAGGTTATCTTCCAGAGCTTTTGTAGTTTTAGGTTTTACATTTAAGCATTTAACTCAACTTGGGTTAATTTTTGTGTATGGTATAAGGAAGGGGTCCTGTTTCAATCTTCTGGATATGGCTATCCAATTATCTCAACACCTTCTATTGAATAGGGAGTCTTTCCTCATTGCTTGTTTTTGTCAACTTTGTTGAAGATCAGATGGCTGTAAGTGTGTGGCTTTATTTCTGGGCTCTTTATTCTTTTCCATTAGTCTCTGTGTCTGTTTTTGTATCAGTACTATGCTGTTTTGATTATTATATCCTTGTAGTGTAGTTTGAAGTTGGATAATGTGATGCCTCCAGCTTTGTTATTTTTGCCTAGGATTGCTTTAGTCATTTAGACTCTTTTTTGATTCCACATAAGTTTTAGAGCAGTTTTTTGTTTTCTAATTCTGTGAAATATGTCATTAGTTGTTTGATTGGAATAGCATTGAATGTGTAAATTGCTTTGGGCACTATGGAATGCTTTCTATGTGCTGTGTCATCTCTGATTTCATTCAGCAGTGTTTCATAACTCTTGTTTTGGCGATCTTTCACCTCTCTGGTTACCTGTATTCCTAGATATTTCATTCTTTTTGTGGTTATTGTGAATGTTATTGCATTCTTGATGTGGCTCTCAGCTTAGATCTTGTTGGTATATAGAAATGCTACTTATTTTTGTACACTGATTTTGTGTCCTGAAACTTTGCTGAAGATATTTACCAGATATGGGAGCTTTTGGGCAGAGACTATGGGGCTTTCTAGGTATGGAATCATATGATCTGTGAACATAAATAGTTTGAATTAATGTTTGGATAAACATACATTCTTTTTTTAACATTATCTTTTAAAAACATTATCCTCTTTTTTTATTTGGATACATTTTCTTTTCTTTTCTTTTTTTTTTTTTTTTTTTTTTGCCTGATTGCTCTGGCTAGGACTTCCAGTACTGTGTTAAATGGGAGCAGTTAGAGTGAGCATCCTTGTCTGGTTCTGGTTTTCAAGAGGAACACTTTTAGCTTTTGCTCAATTAGTATGATGTTGGCTGTGGGTTTGTCATAGATGGCTCTTATTATTTTTATGTAAGTTCCTTCAATGCCTAGTTTGTTGAGGATTTTTTAATATGAAGGGATGTTTAATTATATCAAGAGCCTTTTCTGCATCTATTCAGATGATCATGTCATTTTTGATGTTCTGTTTATATGATGAATCATATTTTTTATTTCCATATGTTGCAACAACTTTGCACCCCAGGAATAAAGCCTACTTGATTGTGGTAAATTAGTTTTTGATGTGCTAATGGATTCAGTTTGCTAGTTTTTTTTTTTTTTTTGAGGATTTTTGTATCTAGGTTCATCAATTATACTTGCCTGAAATTTATTTTTTTGGTTGTGTTTCTGTCAGGCTTTGGTTCAGAATAATGCTAGTATCATTCTATAATTTTTTGGAATCATTTCAGAAGGAATGATACAAGCTGTTCTCTATACATATGTTATAATTCATCTGTGAATCCACCTGGTCCTGGGATTTTTCTGTTTGTTAGGCTTTTCATTACTGATTCAACTTTAGAACTCCTTATTGGGCTTTTCATGTTGCAATTTATTCCTGGTTCAATCTTCAGAGGTTTTATGTTGCCAGGAATGTATCAATTTCATCTAGATTTTCTATTTTCTGTGCATTCAGGTGTTCATAATAGTCTCTGAGGGTTTGTATGTCTCTGTGTTGTATGTCTCTGTGTTGGTATTAAAGCCCCCTTTTTCATTTCTGACTGTGCTTATTTGTATCTTCCCTCTTTTTTTCTTTGAGTCTAGCTAGTAATCCTTCACACTTATTTGTTCTTTCAAAAAACAAACTTCTGAATTCATTGATCTTTTGTATGTTTTCATGTGTCTCAAATTCATTCAGTTCATCTCTGATTTTTTAGTTATCTTTTGTCTTCTGCTAGCTTTGGGGTTGGTTTGCTCTTGTTTTTCTAGTTCTCTAGGCGTGATATTATGTTGCTAATTTGAGCTGTTTCTAACTTCTTGGTGTGGGTGTTTAGGGCTATAAACGTTCCTTTTAACATTGCTTTAATAGCTGTGTCCCAGAGATTCTGGTATATTGTATCTTTGTTCTCATTAGTTTCAAAGTGCTTCATCTTCCGGTTTATCCTTGCTACTGTCCTCGGTTGGGCTAGATTGGTGAGAGCTGACTCTATTTTGATTTTTTTTAAATAAGATGCAATATTTGGAAACTGACATTATATTCATTTAAAATCAAAATATGCAGGACAAAGTTCAGCTAAATCATCTGGTTTTACGTTTGGATACTAAATATGTGATTGATACTGAAAGAAAAACTTATGTGGGAACTATTGTTTGATGCTGGCCTTGAAATGAACAGGAAGAGGAAGCACTGCTTTGACCTAGCATGCTCCTAAGAGAATGTGAATTCAAAGGAAACTAAATAGGAAAATAAAATCCAAAAAAGAAACAAGAATATTAATATTGAACCACAGGAACATTTTTTTTTTAACAGAGTCCTCACTCTGTCATCCAGGCTGGAGTGCAGTGGCAGAGTCTTGGCTCACTGCAACCTCCACCTCTTGGGTTCAAGAGATTCTCCTGCCTCAGCCTCCCCAGTAGCTGGGATTACAGGCGCCCGCCACCATACATGACTAATTTTTTTGTATTTTTAGTAGAGACGGGGTTTCACCATGTTGACCAGGCTGGTCTCAAGCTCCTGGCCTCAAGTGATCTGCCGACCTCAGCCTCCCAAAATGCTGGGATTACAGGCGTGAGCCACCGCACCCAGTCCGATGAATTAAATTTTATCATTTATATGCATGAATAGAAAAAAGCATAGTATATATAGTGTTCAGTACTTTCTGCAGTTAAGATAGTAACTCTACTTTGTTTTTTTTTGTTGTTTTTTTTGTTTTTGAGACAGAATTTTGCTCTTGTAGCCCAGACTGGAAGGCAGTGGCATGATCTAGGCTCACTGCAACCTCTGCCTCCTGGGTTCAAGTGATTCTTTGCCTCAGTCTCCCAAGTGGCTGAGATTACAGGCACGTGCCTCCACACCCAGATAGCTTTTGTATTTTTAGTAGAGACGGGGTTTCACCATGTTGGCCAGGATGGTCTCGATTTCCTGACCTCGTGATCCACCTGCCTCAGCCTCCCAAAGTGCTGGAATTACAGGCGTGAGCCACTGTGCCTGGCCAAACCACAGGACCTTCTTAATACTAACACATTACAGCCCTTTCAAAATTTATAATGCTTTATTGATATTTTAAAAATGATATAAAGCTAAGACTTAAATAAACCCATTATTATAAATCAATATAAAAATAAATAGAATATGGTAAAATTAAAAATAGCACTTGGGACAGAAATACACCCACAATTTTAAGGTAATATGCCTGAAAATAATTTTGTATATAAAAAATTTTGAAATAATATATTTCTAAATTGCCTGAAGCACATGCAATTTTCTTATTTAATATTAAGATCATAAAAATTAATTTTAAAAGCTTTATTTCCTGCCTCAATGGATTATTTATCATTTGAAAAGTGAAGAGTTTTGCCCACATGAGACGTTGACCATTTATTCATATTGGCTATGAAAACAAAAGGTCTGGTATTAGCCACTGCTCTGCAATTATGATTGTTAAGCAAAAATTAATGTTTATATTGGGAAAAATACTTTACAGCCACCTATTTTTATTCACTCTCATAGCAATTTCCCTGGGAAACAAGACATCTCAAAATTAAAGCAGCAACAAGGAAATTGTTTATGAAGGTGAAGATGAGGAAAGCAAAAGTGACAGCAGTTACAGAAAGCAGCAGTTGCTCTTGAAGTTAAGCTGCTCTGTCACATACCATCAATTGGACCATTATCCAGTGCAGGAAGTCTGTAATAAATTGTAAGATTTGCTTCTTAGCTCAAATGATGGGATGGAAATTTTCACTGTAGATGATGTTGAAGTGGGGGTGCAGCTGAATGGGTATACCAGATTGGCCCACGTTTTAAATCCTACAATGATTGACACTCTGGCACTAGACATATAATTTCTTCAAATAAATTGTAACTCAAGAATCTGTTTATCCTGATTATTTAAGGATAAAAACATCACATAAAAAGTTTTAATAGTGACAAGAAATATTTTCTTTTCTGAGACATGTTCTTATAATTCTGCAAAATGATTTCTGTTTCAGATTCTCATCTTCTTTGAGATAAGTATTATTTGAAAGCAATCTGAGTTTCTTATTGATAACACCTTCCCTGTTATTTATTATAAGAGCTAATATTGTCTCAGTAATATTTTGCTTACTTGTTTGTTCTGCATTTTAAGAAGGGCAACATGACATATGTGGGGAAACGTGAGGATAAGAGTTAGGTGATCTGGTTTGTAGTCTAGATTCTGATTTACAGGTGATGCTTCATAGCAGTTACTTTGCATCCTTTCCTCTGGGCAAATAATTGTTCAGCTAGCCAAAAATCAGGTTCATAAAAGCTTCTCTGTGCAACTTATAAAATTATCGGTACAAAGAAACAACTTATTCTTGAGATAGCTTGTTAATTTTCCTTAGTCATATGCTCACTGGAGCCTTAATATCTTTTCCTTTTTCTGAGACTAATATTGAAATATGCCCACATTTATAATAAACAATTGGAGTGAGAATCTAGCTTGAAAATTATAGAATATTTAATAATGTAACAATATGTTGTCCATCTTGACATTTTAATTTGGAAGGTTATAATGGTCAGGCTTGTGTGAAAACAAACCTGCAGTATACAATTTCAGGGTGAGTGAAATAAAATGTTTATTTTATTCAGAACAAACCTGTATCTTGTTGTAGTTGAAATTTATAACTTACTGAGGACAACATTGAAGTGTAACTAACAGGGATCATTACCAGGCTATAACATCTTGTCTATAGAGGTATCCTAATCTGACACTGTATTTCATTCATTTGGTAATAACTAATGAAGGCTGTTTTCCCCTCTTCTTGAGTAGCAACTTGTGGATAAGAGAAGCACTTTAGCTGTGTCAACATGATTAAAAAAGTTAAATAAAAGAGAGGCAATCTTGCAAATGCCAGTCCCTGTATCTTTTAAAGTAACTATCAGTATAAATTCAGGAAAGGGTTTTTGTCTGAATTGTCCTGGTATAATAATTGCTACAAATCTCTACTTCTTAACCTATGAAGCTTTAACCTAAGGGCATTTAGTGCATTACTGTCAATTTTCAAGGCACTAAATTATCCCGAAGAGACCTTGAAAAGAGGACTATGCTGCTGCAGCAACCTCACTTATTATCCGGTAGGGATTCAGGTTTTGGGGTGGATTTGATTTAGTATTCCTAACAATGCCTCCTTGTGTTAACAGACTGTATCTTGGATAGTTCTAGAAGGTGCATGTTCTCTTAATAGAACTCTCCTGCTTTTGTATTCGATTAGATTATTAAAAAATTCAGTTTGTCTTATCCTAATTCATCTCCAGATTTTTGAGTACGACTTCCCCAAACACATCAGATTCACTCTGCTTTTAAATTACTGTGCATAAAAAGTATTATTAAATTATGGAAATTCATCCTCAGACTTTCAATTATCTCAAGTTTATCTCTAAGAAATAAACATTTAGCAATACCTTTTAAAGTTGCCAAATGTTCAGACTGCAGACAGAAGCGCTGAGTGTGGTTGGTGGTGCTATAGCACCTATAGTTTCCCCAGATGTAATTTAGGAATAGAAAAGGATGGCCTGTAGAAATTCCTTTTCTGACCAGTATCTTTACAGGTGGCCAATACACATTCATATGCAATCTCACTGGAGAGATTAGTACACCTGTGATATCTATTAGTGTCTGTGATATCTATTAGTATCTGCGATATAGGTCTGAGATGCATTTCTGTGGCAGCTGTGTAATTTTAGAATTCTCAGTAAATTGTATTGACTCCAGGAAGAGACAGTTGCATGGATGGTGTCATTAAAACATGTCACTGGAAGTTACTTACATCAGAAGGGACAACAGAGACGCTTAACCCTCACAATTGCATTCTTAGGTAGTAGGGGGGCAAATAGCCAATGTTAATGTGACTGAAAAAGAGCAGTTTTGGAGAGTCAGTCTGAGTTTGATTATTGTATTATTTAGTTGTTAGCCTAATTTGTTTCAACTGTGAAACTATATAATGCAACCAGTCTCAATGAAATAATTTTTTTAAACACTAAGTGCCATGCCTGTCACAGAGTATTTTCTAAATTATTGATTGTAGCTATTGTTTTTGTTGCTGTTAGCATTATGATTCCATAAAGTGAGATACAGAGAAGTTAACTGCACTAGATGAGACCAAAATCCAGTCTTAATTCAGTATGTTTCTACGTTGATGCATTCTAGTGAGAGAGATCAGTGGCAAGACACTGTTTGTGACCAGACTTTCTTATATTTTTTAGGAAACAATTCAGTATAGCAGAAAAAAGGCCTGAAATTCCACAATACATTATTTGCTTCCTGATGGTGTACATACTCTTATCAAAAGCTATCAAGGAACTTCCGCATTTCTGGAAGATGAGGGGGTGCCTAAGGGTATAACAGCTCTAGCTTCTTGATGGCAAACTTAGCAGAAATTCAATATGGCCTTTATCCGTGGCATCACATTGTAATGTCTTGTCTGTGCTTCTGCTTAAAAATATTCCTTGAAATATGGATTCTTATAAAATGATGCTGTGGGGGACCTCTTCCTCAAGTATAATATGTCCTGTTACTTGCTGTTAAGGCAATGTATTACAAATCAGAATTTTTGGAAGCCTTATCATTAAAGAAGCTGATTTCACATACCATATACTATATGAAGACCATACTGTCATAATAGTCTCTTTCTCTAAGGCACCAGCATATTAATGCACACACCTGTACTTTTATCAGTACCTCTCAGAAAGCAAAATAATTTTGTCTATGTGATTCATTGAATTAAATCAGTGCTTCCTCTTATGAAAAGACAGACACTTCATGGAAAGTTTAACAGCTTTTGATGACTACATTTTCAAGATCAGTAGATTGTAGCTCACATATTAATACTGGGAACTATTTGGGGACATAATATAATGATAATAAATTCATCAGAATTTTCTTCATCATGTTAAAATATTTTTAGAGAGCCAACTAAAATGTTTTGAGGAGACTGGGTTTATGAAATATGAAATTGAGATGAGTTTCTCCTAAGAAGTAAATTATTTAGCTAGGAGGAAATTACTAGAAGGATACTTAAATGATGATATGCAAAAGAAAGAAAAATGTCTAATTAAAATCATAGTATCTTTGCATCTATACGCCACAAAACTGAGCCAGCGTGTCACAGTGAGTGTACAGAGGGCTCGAGCACAATGGGAAGAGTAATTTTTTAAGTGAATTTATTAAATCAAAGTCTTTTAGATCATTTTGAAATAAAGCTTGAAATTTTAATACAAAGTAGAAGGCAACATCATGTAGTGGTTAAGACCATGGTTCTTGACTAAATTTTTACTCTCATCTCTGCAATTATTAGCTATATGGTCATGGGCAAGTTACTTAATTATGCCTCAGTTTTCTAATCTCTCAGGTGGAGATAATATTAGTACCTACCTCATGGAAATGCTTTGAAGAGTAAATGAGAGATGATGTATCCAATGTTTTTGGAAGAGTTCCTGGCATAGATTAGGTCTTCAATAAGGGTCAGCTATATTTAATATGAGGATTAATTGAGAGAGAATGATTGTAAAACATTTAGGGTGGTGCTTATTCAGTACAAGTTAGTTCTTTTATAGTTATAAAATACACAAATAGTATATTCGTATGCTTACTATTGTTAAAATCCGAACAAAAGTGGTAACTCAATGGTGAATGAATTTTTAATATACATGTGTACACATACCCATTGCAATTTGAATAACTTAAAAGTTTCACCTGTTCTTTCTAAAACAAAACCCACAAAACTATGCAAATTGTTATTTTACTGGTGATGACAAGAAGAAGCATTTCCAACTAAGAAAGTAACAACCTTTATATTGTGAGGGTGCTAAAAATATTACTAGCAAAAATAATGAAGAAACTTTGGAAGTAAAAGGGGATATGAGGCTTATGGAATTGATAAGAATAACGCATAGTGAGTAATTCCTTAATGTTTGGTATTACACAAAATGAGAATATTAGAATTCTGGCCACCACATAAGGTAAAATTTCATGAGGTTTTCTATTGGCTATAAAACATCTCAATGTATAAATATTATTTCTATTGAAAATCTTAACAACTCAGGCTTGAAATGAGGGTTAAGCTTCTGAAGATTCACTTATGTCAACATTTTTTTCATTTAAACTTTTCAATTTGAAAAGTACTTTTTTTCCTTTTGTATTGTTATTTTCATAAAGTTCTTCACATTGACTTCTTCATCTTTCAATACGTAGTTTTTTACAGATTCTTTGAAGTATAAATTATATACCAGGAAATTCACCTATTATAAATGTACAATTCAATGATTTTTAACAAATTTACAGACTTCTACAACCATCACCATGACCCAATTTTAGAACACTTTTCCTCACCCCAAGAAAGACTGTGGCCACCCCAATTCTGAGCAACCACTAGTCTGCTTTCTGTTCATATAGTTATATTCTGAACATTTAATATAAATGGAATTGTACAGTATGTTATCTGGCTTCACTTAGCATAGTGTTTTTAAGGCTAATCCATATTGTAGTATGTATCAGTACTCCATTACTTTTTATGGTGGACTAATATCCCATTGTATGGACATGACATATTTTGTTTATCCGCTCATCAGTTTGCCTTGTTTCTACTTTTTGGCTACTATGAGCAATTCTTCTATAAACATTCATGTATGAGTCTCTGTGCACAGACACTTTTATGTTTTCATTTCTCTTGGATATATACCTAGGAGTGAAATACCCAGTTCATATGGTAACTCTATGCTTTAAGACCTGCCAAACTGTTTTCCAAAGCAGCTGTGCCATTTTATGTTCTCACCAGCATTTTGTGAATAAGGAGGCGGAATAAGATCAGATAAAGTTTAGTTTTCTCAAATCGGTTTTGGTTATAATTATTTTAGGGCATCTGGCTTAACAGTTTGAAGTGATCAAAATTAATACCTTTAAATCGCCCACTGGGTGGCTCACGCCAGTAATCCCAGCACTTTGGGAGGCCGAGGTGGGTGGATCACCTGAGGCCAGGAGTTCGAGACCAGCCTGGCCAACATGGTGAATCCCCATCTTTACTAAAAATACAAAAAAATAGCTGGGTGTGGTGGCGTGCACCTGTAATCCCAGCTACTCGGGCGGCTGAGGCAGGAGAATAGCTTAAACCCGGGAGGTGGAGGTTGCAGTGAGCCAAGATCTCCCCACTGCACTCCAGCCTGGGTGACAGAGCGTGACTACATCTCAAAAATAATAAATAAATATTAAAAATTAATCACCCGGCCGGGCGTGGTGGCTCACGCCTGTAATCCCAGTACCTTGGGAGGCCGAGGCAGGCAGATCACAAGGTCAGGAGATCGAGACCATCCTGGCTAACACAGTGAAACCCCATCCCTACTAAAAATACAAAAAATTAGCCAGGCGTGGTGGCGGGTGCCTGTAGTCCCAGCTACTCGGGAGGCTGAGGCAGGAAAATGGCGTGAACCCGGGAGGCGGAGCTTGCAGTGAGCTGAGATCCCGCCACTGCACTCCAGCCTGGGCGACAGAGCGAGATTCCACCTCAAAAAAAAAAAAAAAAAGAAAAGAAAAGAATCACCCTTATCCTTCAAAACCGACTCTAACTCTTGTCATATGTATTGATTTATCTTATAAGAAAAGGTAAGTCTTCAAATAGTACTATAATACGTGTTTCAGGGAGATACATATTGAGCATATTTTTCGTTTATTTACTAGTCAATTCTCATTTCTTATTATTTCATAAAGAATATTTTTGCAAATACCCTAAGTTAATAAGTCTAGAATTCAAAGTCCAAATGTCCAAATGTTCTTATGTGAATTTAAAGAAAGGGTAGCCTTGACCCTGATTTCGAAGGTGGTGAAGCGGCCCCAGCCGCCCCCGACAGTCTGCCCGTTGCTCATAGATCTCAAGGAAGTTGCTGGGGGACCGGTAGGCGTCATTCAGGTTCTGCGGCTTGGTGATCAGCCACTGGGTGTCAGCCATGGACTCCGCCATTTCGCTGTAGCCGCCGCCGCCGCGGGCTCCCATGACACGTTATGGACTAAAACACAAATGATAAAAGGGTTACCTATTTACCGCTAACGCATTACCAGTCGTCCAACTGCTGAAGATAAGAAAAATGTATCTGTGTGTGTGTGTGTGGCATTTTAGCATTAAGTTTATAATGTACCCTTACTTTTAGTTAATAAAATATGTTTCCATCAAAAAAGGGTCATCTAATTAAAATTTCTTCATCTGAAAAAGCTACCCACCATATTGAAAGCAATGACAATTTTTTTCTGTACAATAGCAATAATAATAATAATTGCTCTAAGTAATATTACAAATTTAGTGTTATTACAAAGTACTTGGATACATGTTTGATATTTTCTATTGGAAAATGTCTTTCATTTGCAAATATACCTAGGGAAGCAGTAGGTCAAATGAAAAAGAAATTGTTCTCTTGCAATGTTATACTGCTCATGATTCAGTAAATGGGTATAGTTCATATCGTGTTCAAATAAAGAGGAAAGACTCATAGACCTTTTTCTGCTTATAAGCTTCTATTTTACCAGGTGAAGTCTTGATAATTCCATCAACCTTGGAACCTAATTAGAAAAGTGACTGATTTATATCTTCTCAGCTGTGTGAACATAATTCTGCCTATTGAATTGAGGGGTTGTTAATCCCTGGCAATCATGTTTGTGCCAACTTGACTGGTGATCTTAGACTATTTCCAGTCATAGGAGGTTGAAAAGCATGTGGATTTTAGAAAAGAAACAGGGAAAAGATGATGATTCTAAATAAAAACAGAACAGGACTAAACAAAAGTCTTGATATGATGAAGTTCAGACAATAAAAGATTCTGTGAAATGTACTGGTGAACCCTTGGGGAAATGAAGAAATAAAATGAAGCTTTTTCAGCTTGATTAATGTCTGACTTTTTGTTAACAGAAGTGGAATATGAGAATAGGTTTTATCTTCTAACGGAAAAAAGTATTTTGAAAAATGCTTTCTAGTTCACATAGTTTAGCAACAACAAAAATTTTAATATACAACGCTGAGACTAGTAAAAAATCAAATCCCAAGGGGGAAAAAAGATTACTGAATCATATAATTAAACTATAGTTTACATATAGGTTTACTATAAATAATTTAGAATTTCAAATATGATCAGTGTATTTTCCAAAGTATGCATTTGCATTATATTTATAGAGGTAATCAATCTGTCTTATAAAGACTCAGATTTTACAATTTTCTTAATTTCCTCCTGTGTTAGAAAATAAAACACACAATGTCAAACGACGACAACAACCTCAACCACAAACACAACCATCTAGATATGAAGGTTCATTTCAGAGAACAGTATCTTTCTAACATTTGGCATCTGCCATCTTCAGGACCATTGTAGAGAAAAGGGACTGACCTGGCAAGAGAAATGTAAGATAAGGTGATCTATGATAGGCACGACTGGGTGTTTTTCTGACAATGACTTGCTAAATAAAAGAATGACTTTTTGTGAAAGATTGTGAGAACGTAAGCCTGGATTGATTTATGTGAGGTATTGTCCAGGCTGAATGTGAACTAAATAATGTCTCACAGTACCCAAGATTTTATTAATTGTTTCCCATCAAGGGCAAATTGGAGAATAGATAACAATAATCTGAATGATTCGAACCTTCCCTATTCTACCCTATCCTATAACTTTTATCCTCCCTTCTTTTGTTGCAATTGTCTGTGCATTTAAAAAACCCAAAATACAAAAAACAGAGCTTGAGTGTGTGTGTGCGTGCATACCAAATTTCAAATGTGAGTTGGAATTGCATCAGAGATCTCTCTGAAAGCCAATTCAGGCTCTTGAGAAAATTGTCAACAATTAGTAGTGACATAGCTACATCACATTACCATTCTTTTGGTAAAGCTGGCAATGGTTTAAACTTTCCATAGCCTTCGTGCTAATTCAAACATGGATTGCTTTATGCCCAGTGAAATAAACTTTGAGATAAGAAAATTAATCATGTGAACTAGTTTTCAAGGGAAATACAGTGTACCAGAACACTGGTCTTAAATATATAACATTAAATAGCCAACTGTATAAAAAGGACTGCTCATTTTAAATGGGATTTGTGTCTTTATTAAATTTTATCTCATGGGATTTTTATTTCTGCCTAAATATATATAGCATTAATTATACGAAAATTAATAAAATCAAATTTATTTTCTAAAGTATTCACTTAATTCAGACATTTATGTGAAGTAGGCTTCCCCTTCCATCTTCTCTTCCCAGCTTCACTTCCTATCATGAAAAGTTACATCCATAAACTTTGGGTGAAATACTTCTTGAGCAATGCTACCTGATTCAATAAAGTTTTTTCTCTATTTGTAAAAAATGTTACTGTTTTCATATATCAAGTCCATCAAACTATACTCTGTAATTGTTGACTTCTGTGATTTTTAACAAATATTGTCACAGTGCAATGATAGCATTTTCATTCACAGGGGCTCAGCTCTGTCTTCTTTTGGTAAAAATTGCTTGCTCTAAGATGATAGATTAATCTCAAAATTGATGGATTGATTTCTCTTTTTTTATTGGTTGGTTTAAGCAAAACAGTATGTAAAAACTATCACATAATTTTAAATAGTTTTTTAAGTTGAATCTCTTTCCTATCTGCCCTAAACCTCTTTGTGTTAATTAATTCTGTGGGTTTAACTGAACTTTTATCTTGAAAAATATCAGTAAACTCATCCAAATTGAGAAGTAAATGTGATATGTTTTCCCTTTGTGAAATGTCTTTCCATGTTTGTCAAAATCTTCCTGTAAGTTTCATTTACTTTATCCTTACCTATCATGTGGATATTGTTATTAGAGCTTCCTTAGCAATAATAATCACAAAACTATGTGTGTGTGCATGTGCACATATATGAAGTATATATATACATACTCTGTAAACTCAATCCAGTGAATGTTAAGGAGTCTGCTATGGATCTACTTAACTGAGTCAATTTATCTTCTTGAACATCACAATCTTTGTAACGATTAAAAGGAGCCAATGTTTTATATTTTCCACTTGGTCCAGTGACCTACTTGACTTGCTTATGTAAGTCCTCTTTCCTCAACCTTACAAAAGGTAGAATAATCAGGGCCTTCAGGATTATATCCTAGCTTGGCCTGTTTAAGACCTTCTGCGAGCATGCTAGCAAAAGAAAAGTTCCCTAGATACAAATTAAATCTTGCAGGGAACATTCACTATGGCTTACCAATAAAATTTTTTTTTTTTTTTTTTTTTTTTTTGAGACGGAGTCTCGCTCTGTCGCCCAGGCTGGAGTGCAGTGGTGTGATCTCGGCTCACTGTAAGCTCCACCTCCCAGGTTCATGCCATTCTCCTGCCTCAGCCTCCCGAGTAGCTGGGACTACAAGTGCCCGACACCACACCCAGCTAATTTTTTTGTATTTTTAGTAGAGACGGGGATTCACCGTGTTAGCCAGGATGGTCTTGATCTCCTGACCTCGTGATCCGCCTTCATCAGCCTCCCAAAGGGCTGGAAAAAAATTTTTTAAGTTCTGATTCTGCTGCTTACTATACTGTTTGGCCTTGGACATTTTGAACCACATTTCTTCATTTGCAAAATGAGGACCATAATGCTTCATAAAACTTCATTTGTTGTGATAATACATTACACACGCCTAGTGCTTAATACAATGTATTGGCAGATGAAGAAATCCATATAGAGAAGATGAGTAACTCACTCAAGCTCACACAGTAGGCAGCAGTGGAATTGGGTGTTATCTCATTCATAATTGAAGCCAAACTTGTATTTATCCTTCTATTATACTAGCAAATAGACTTCTTTATTATCTCTATCAAAACATGATACAAAATTGATCTCTTCCCCTCTCCTAATGCCATCTTATATGTGCTTTATCTTTTTATTTTTACTTTATGATTAAATTAATATCATTCTGGCAACGTACTTAAGTATAATTAATTATGACTCCTTCTTTGCTCAAGATAAAAATATATCATTAGTGACTATGAACTCATCTATCAAAAAGGGTATTAACCTATCTGTTCTAATTAGTTCAATTTATTATAGGGATTAGAAAACAGAAATATCATAGTGACGTCGTATTCTTTGTTTTTTTGACTTATGACAGGTAAATCAAAAGTGTACCCTTTATTATTAGTTAATTTTTAATAATCTCAGTACAGTCAAATAGTATACTTCATTTCTTCAGTATGTCATATTTACAAGGATATACTTTGTCTTTATTCCTCTCATTCATTTTGCCTTCATATGCTCTTTTTAAGTACATTTTAATAGTAAAAGCCCCCAAAAACATGTAAATCTTTTGAGCTTTTGAGGGTTTCTGACCAAAGATAACAATAGTATCAATAGCTGTATCTTTGGAGATTTGAATTTTTAATATAATGGTTGAAAAATAATACTGACAAACATTAAGCACTTTCTTTGTCCTGTGGGATAGGGTGGAGGGAAAAACTGATTGGCTTCTAATTACATAAGAGAGGAGATAGGATAATTAGACACCACTTGTAAAAATAATTCCAAGTACAGGAAAAATGCTGATAAATACAAATCTTGTGGGGATAAAGGAGAGAAATAGAAAGGAATCAACATTAACACTTAACGGTATTTATAGAATAAGCATACCTCGACGATATTGTGGGCTCAGTTCCAGACCATTGCAATAAAGTGAAATACTGATAAATACAAATCTCTCAGATTTTTTTTTTTTTGGTTTCCCAATGCATATAAAAATTGTGTTTACATTAAGCTATAGTCTATTAAATGTGCAAGAGCATTATGTCTTTTAAAATGTATATACCTTAGTTTAAAAATATTGCTAAAAAATGCTGAAGATCATCTGCACCTTCAGGGGATAGTAATCTTGTTGCTGGTGGAAGGTCTTACCTCAATATTGATGGTTACTGACTGATCAGAGTGGTGGTTGCTAAAGGTTGGAGTGGCTGTGGCATTTTTTTTTTTTTTTTGTAGAAACAGGATTTTGCCATGTTGCCCAGGCTGGTATTGGATTCCTGGACTTGAGTAATTCTTCTGTCTTGGCCTCCCAAAGTGCTGGAAGTACAGGCATGAGCCACCACACCTGGCCTGGCAATTTCTTAAAATAAGACAACAGTGATGTCTGCTGCATCAATTGACTCTTCCTTTCACAAAAGATTTCTCTGTAGCCTGCCGTGCTGTTTGATAGCATTTTACCCATTGTAGAACTTCATTAAAAAATTGGAGTCAGTCCTCTCACTGCTGCCACTTTATCAACTAAGCTTACATAATATTGTAAATCCTTTATTTTTATTTCAACAATGTCCTCAGGATCTTCACCAGTAGTAGTTTCTATGTCAAGAAACCATTTTCTTTGCTCATCCTTAAGAAGCAACTCCTCATCTGTTAAAATTTTATCATGAGATTGGAGCAATTCAGTCACATCTTCAGGCTGCACTTTTAATTCTAGTTCTCTTGCTATTTCTACCACATCTGCAGTGATTTCCTTCACTGAAGTCTTGAACCTCTCAAAATTGTCCATGAGGGTTGGAATAAACTTCTTCCAAACTCCTGTTAATGTTAGTATTTTGACCTCCCTCCCATGAATCATGAATGTTTTTAATGGCATCTAGAATGGTGAAACTTATCCAAATAATTTTCAATTTATTTTACACAGATGTATCAGAGGAATCACAATTTAATGCAGCTATACCCATGGAAAATATATTTATTAACTAATGAGATTTGAATATCAAAATTATTCTTTGATTCATGGACTATAGAATGAATGTTGTGTTAGCAAGAATGAAAACAACTTTAATCTGCTCGCATGTCTCCATTAGAGCTCTTGACTGACCAGGTACATTGGCAATGAGCAGTAATATGTTGAAAGGAATCTTTTTTTCTCAGCCGCAGATCTAAACAGTTGGGTTAAAATATTCAGTAAACCATGCTACGAAAATATGTGCTGTCATTCAGGCTTTGATGTTCCATTTATAGAGTTCAGGCTCAGTTCATTTAGCGTAATTCTTAAGTGCCCTAGGTTTTGCAGAATGGTCAATGAGCACTGGTTTCAACTTAAAGTTGTCAAATGCATTAGCTACTAACAAGGGACTCAGCCTGTCCTCTGAAGCTTTGAAGCTAGGCATTGACTTCTTTTCTCTATGAAAGTCCTACATGGTATCTTCTTTCACTCTATGGCTGCTTCATCTACATTGAAAATCTGCTGTTTAGTGTAGCCACCTCCATGAATTACTTTAGCTAGATCTGGATAACTTCCTGCAGTTTCTTCATCAGCACTTGCTGCTTCACTTTGCACTTTTTTGTTATGAAGATAGCTATTTTCCTTCAACCTCATGAACCAACCCCTGCTAGCTTCAGCGTTTTCTTCTGCAGCTTCCTTACCTCTCAGCCTTCATAGAATTAATCTTTTCTCTGGATTAGGCTTTAGCTTAAAGGAATGTTGGGACTGGTTTGATCTTCTGTTCAGACCACTAAAACTTTCTCAATATTAGCAGTAAAGCTGTTTTGCTTTTTTGTAATTAATGTGTTAACTGGAATATAACTTTTACTTTTCTTCAAGACCTTGTCCTTTGCAGTCACAACTTGGCAAACTATTTGGTGCAAGAGGTCTAGCTTTTGGCTTATCTTGGCTTTTGACATGTCTTTCTCACTAAGCTTAATCATTTCTACCTTTGATATAAAGTTAGATATGCATGACTCTTTTTCACTTGAACACGTAAGATGCCATTTTATGGTTATTAATTGGCCTGATTTCAATATTGTTGTGTGTCAGGAAATAGGCCAGAAGAAAAAGAGAGAGATGGGAAAATGGCTGGTCAGTGGAGTAATCATAGCACACACATTTATTGATTGTTCGCCCTCTTATCTAGGCCTGGTTTGTGGTATCCAAAAGCAATTATAATAGTGACATCCAAGGCCACTAATCACCATAACAGATATAATAATAATGAAAACGTTTGGAATATTGTGAGAGTTACCAAAATGTGACACAGAGACCCAAAGTAAGCACACGCTGTTAGAAAAACGGCATGGATAGACTTGTTGGACACAAGGTTGCCACAGATCTTCAATATGTAAAAAACACATCTGTAAAGAACAACAAAGTGAAGTGCAGTAAAACGTGGTATGCTTGTAAATGTTATATTATTGTGTTTACAACATGCTGCGCTGAGCAATTTACAGATGTTATATCTAATTTTCAAAATAGTCCTTCTGAAGAAGAGGAATTACAAACTCACTGTGGAGTTTAAGAAAAAGTGGGTAAAATATTGTGGTGAGAGAGTTAATTAACTTTCCTACGATCAAAAATTATAAAGTGCCAAAACAAAAAATCAAGGCCAAGTCAGTCTGACCCTAAGAATAATGCTTCTCCCAGAACTTTACATCACTTGGATGAAATGTATCCAAGAGTTATTCTCAGCAGTTAAGATTTGGCCACTAAGAAAGTAAGGCTTTCTGACAAATCTGCCATAGATGGGCCATTCAGAGAGTGAGCTAAATATAAAGGAAAGAAAATAAGAGGCAAGGCCTCCTGCACTATTTTAATGATATGCACATCCTTTAAAATGTGTCTTATTTTAATGTCTTTTCCCCCAGAATAACATCAAAGCGACAGGCAATCCATTCTGTCGTTGCTATCCAATGTCATATCTATTTTTCTCAGCGATGCACTGCTTTTTGACCAAAATAATGATATTTATTAGTTTGGATGAGTCACCTTTTTTTGCATAGTACTCAGCCCACTGGCTTCTTTGAATCCCTTTCTAGATATACAGGGAATAGTTACTATTAGTCTAGCTCTAAAATTGTATATTATTAAATTGCTCCACAAATGTTGCATCCAGTCATTTCCTCTTCATTTTTCCCTCTTAAGGTGTTAGAGAGCTGTGAGCTACATTTTCTTTCTATAAAAAGCAAGAGTAACGTTAGACATCGCTCAGATCTCAGAAGAAAACATGTTGAATGACGATTGAAATTTGACATTAACTAGTGCTATTGCAGTCTTAACTGAAGGTCACAGGATATGTGACCACCAAAATTCCCTCCTAGACTCAGTGGTGGATGCCAGAGATTTTCTCCACTGTTTTCCTTATCTGCTTTCGTCACTCTGTCCCATAAAGTTCACAGGGCTTCTCTAAGGGAAGGGTCAGGCACTGTAATGAACACTTATCTTTTCTTTTAAAGACTTCCAGAGATAGAGGTTTTGCAGCAGTGAATCAGTATGCCTTTCTGGTAGTTCGCATTGTCATGAAATTCTTTCTTTTATTTTCACTTTTCTTACTCCCCAATCCAAAGCTGCTTCTCTTTTTGTTTTTCTTCTTTTTATTATCCTTCACCTCACAATCCATCATACATTTGTTTTTATGTAATTTTTAGCATTTTTTTTCAAATGAAATAGGCCATTTTAGATTCTTTTTTATGAATCAATTTTTCAATTAAGGTGAGTTCTTTCTGAGATCAGAATTTTTTTCTGTATGCAGTACTAGGGAGGTTACAAGCCATATGAGTAAACGCTTAGCACAGAAGACAAGAGATTGGTGTTCGAGAACATTTCAAAAGTGGCTTCAAATGCAAAACTACACAGAGCAAAATTTCTGTTTTCATTTATTACATATTATATGGAGTTAAATGTTAAATACTATTATACCTCAGTACCGTGATTCTGCCTTTATCTTCATTGATTTTAAACAAAAGATCTCTTTTCCATCTTCTCGCTTTAAGTTGCTCTAGAGTTGCGAATCGGGGTTTATAATCTGAAGCAAATACATCAAGACATAAATCAGGTTAATAGGGGAAAATCCAGATGTCCAAATTCTACTCTACGTCTTTTATCCAAAATTTGAATTATTTGCCTGTTCATTTTTCAGAAGCGACTTCTGCAAATACACATTATAGTAAAACGAATGAGACAAGAATATTTATTTTTCTGGCTTATATTCTGATTTCTGACATGTTATCTTCCAATATGGGTATCTACTGCCCATATTGATATCTACTGCCCATAGCAACTGCCCAGTTGTCAGTAACCCCATCCCTATTTTTGTACCCATTAAAAAAAAGATTTGTGTTTAGTTTCATTGGAGCAGTAGTTTTCAGCATGAATTTGACCTTTTTTTTTTCTAAGACCAATTACTACTTAAATTTATCATCTGGTATTCTGTTCTTTGTCCCTTCAATAGACTCTTGTTTCAATCTCTTGCCATTCTGTGACTTGCCATTCCCTTGAGATGTGATAACTAACTAAAGTTAACTTAATAGCAGCATAGAAAATTCAGAGAGTATCATCTGTACAAGTGTATGTGTATAGTAATACCTAAAATTTAGTACAGGGCATGTGCTTGTGTCTCTAATCAGGACCTTATGTTTTTGCTATGAGGAACTCTATGATTTCTAATAATTAATCCTCAACCTACCACAGAATTAACTCTGACAGTTGGGAACACCTAAATGTTTTCCCTACTCAGTTAATATAAAACAGTGCCAGAAAGGAATCCTTAAATGGAAACTTGGAAGAATATTCACAAACTATTACATGTCTTCAATCAACCCACAAAATGAACTTAAACCTCATTTTTATTAAATGAACTTAACCTTTGTATCTATGCAGTATTACAATTAACATTAGCATAACCCTCTTATTAATTTTGAATTCTTTTTGTCAACTGCTAGATTTTCCTTCCTGAATTATGTCTTTGTTTGCAACTTGTTTTTCTACTTTATAGACATAAGAACAATGTAAAGAAGATAAAAATAATTCAATGTTTTTGCAAAAGTGATACTGCATGAAATTACCAAAGTAAGACTTTAAAAAAAGTAGAGTTGGCTGGGCGCGGTGGCTCACGCCTGTAATCCCAGCACTTTGGGAGGCTGAGGTGGGTGGATCACCTGAGGTCAGGAGTTCGAGACCAGCCTGACCAACATGGTGAAACCCCATCGCTACTAAAAATACAAAAATTAGCCAGGAGTGGTGGTGCATGCCTGTAATCCCAGCTACATGGGTGGCTGAGGCAGGAGAATCTCTTGAACCCAGGAGGCAGAGGTTGCAGTGGGCCAATATTGCACCACTGCATTCCAGCCTGGGCTACAAGAGCAAAACTCTTTCTCAAAAAAAAAAAAAAAAAAAAAGTAGAATTACTATCTTATCAGTTCTTGGCCAACCATGTACACAACTGAATACTGAAAAGTTAATACATTCTTTATCAACCTTGCCTTACAAATATTATAACGATATCCTTTCTTGAAGCTAGTTTATTGAGTTTTAATTGATAACCATTTAAAAGAAAAATATTTCAATAATAATGCAAATTTCGTGAGGGCATGGAATTCATTCATTGGGTCATTTTCTTATTTTTTGCTCCAATTTTTTAAATTTTAGAAGATTAAACACGGAGTGCTACCGGGTGACCTAAGAATGAATTGGGATACAATACTAACAAATAGAATTCAGTACTTGGGCTCCAGATTCCCTGTTGCTCCCTGTAGCCAAATCTTTTTCAGGTATCAGAATATAATAGGTCAGTATCTGAACTTTGAAGAGTATCTGCCCTTAAAATAAAATTCATTCTTAATTCATCACGGGAGATGTATGTCCTTGTAGGCTGACTTTAGCATTTTTTTTCTTTTTTCTTCTACAACCTGCAACATAACATTTGGTATATGGTTCCAGTTCTATGATCATTAGCAGCCTTTGGAGTACTGTAGGTGGCAAAAATGAAGTGAAGAAAAGAAGAATTTTCAAATTCCTTCATGAAGCTAAGACTTTAGGAGAATTGAGATTTTTTAATAAGCTCTACTCTAATTGCTTGCTTAATAGTTCATGTTTACAATGGGGAGCCATTGTTCGCACACTACCCATCTGACAAGTGATTCATAACCAGAATATATAAGGAGCTCAAATAACTCAATAGGAAAATATTAATAATACCATCAGAAATGGGCAAAATATATCCATAGACATTTCTGAAAAGAAGACACCCAAATCTCATACAAGCATCTGAAAAAGTGCTCAGCATCATTGAACATCAGATAAATGCAAATCCAAACTGCAATGAGATATCCTCTCACCCCAGTTAAAATGGCTTTTATCCAAAAGGCAGGCAATAACATATGCTAGTGCAGATGTGGAGAGAAGGGAACCCTAGTACCGTGTTGGTGGAAATGTAAATTAGTACAACCACTATAGAGAACAGTTTGGAGTTCCCTCAAAAAAACAAAAATTGAGCTACCATATGATCCAGCAATCCCATTGCTTGATATATACCAAAAAGAAAGGAAAACAGTATATTGAAGAGACATTTGCACTCCTATGTTTGTTGCAGCACTGTTTACAATAGCTAAGATTTGTAAGCAACCCAACTTTCCATCAACAGATGAATGGAGAAAGAAAATGTGGTACATACACACAGTGGTATACTATTTAGCCATAGCAAAGAATGAGCTCTTGCCATTTGCAACAACACCTATGGAACTGAAGATCATTATGTTAAGCAGAAAGACAAACATTGCATGTTCCCACTTTTTTGTGGGATCTAAAAATAAAATCAATTGAACTCAGGAACGTAGAAAGTTGAAGGATGGTTACCAGAGTCTGGGAAGGGTAGCTGGGGTTTGGGATGAGGTGGAGATGGTTAATGGGCCCAAAAATACAGAAAGAATAAATAAAACCTACAATTTGATGACACAATAGCATCACTATAATCAATAATAACTTAATTGTACATTTTTAAATAACTTGAAAAGTGTAATTGGATTGTTTTAAATTCAAAGGATAAATGCTTGAGGGGACAAATATCTCATTCCCCATGATGAGATTATTTCACTTTGCATGCCTGTATCAAAACATCTCAGGTACCCCATGAATATATACACCTGGTATGTACCCACAAAAATTAAATAAAAAATTAGAAATTAAAAAAATAAAAGTATTATGATTTCAATTCCCATGAAGAATATTTGAAATTAGTGAACACATTTTTTCTTGCTAAATTACACATGGTATTATTAACATATCTTTAGAAAGGTTATAACTTATTTTAAAGCACTAGACACTGTCTCAAATGAGCCAGTCTTATTTACTATAATAAGCTAGAAAATTAGCCCTAAAATTAATTTACTTTAAAACATTTATCAGACCCTAAAGCTAAAAGAAAATACTTTTTAAAAGAGCAACGCATAAAATATATTCTCCTATTTAAAAATCCTGCCCATGAGAAGGGATCTAACATAATTGAGTATTTCTTGGGAAGAACATTTACTCATGTTTTCAAGATCCAACTGAATTGTTCAGCCCAAATATCTGAATTTTACTTTGCTGACCCCAGAACTAAGTTTCTTCATTTCAAGCAGTAATATCCAGCATATTTAAAAACAAATTATAGATTTATTATGAATAAATGAAAGAGTACATGAGTGAATTAAGTGGACCCTTATCTGACATATGTCAAGATAGCTCTTTTAGCATAAGGGGCATTCTACATTTCAGGGTGAATTATTAGAACTACTTCTAAATGTACTCTTATTCCCAAACACGAGTCATAAACAGAATGAGATTGATAACTGGGGGATTAATAGTGAAAACGGTCTCTTTATTTGATTAAAAGAATTTGTGTCATTTTTCTAGAACAGGAGTGTACATAATGTACCTAGCAAAATTAAAGAGAAGATTTAGTTTAAGAAAATAAAAATTATATTCACACACACATATACAGACATACGCACATGTGCATATCCTGCATGTATTTAATGAGTCCTAAGTTGTTTTATTTTTATTTATTTATTTTTTTGAGACGGAGTTTCACTCTTGTTGCCTAGGCTGAAGTGCAATGGCGCAATTTTGGCTTACCGCAACCTCCGCCTCCAGGGTTCAAGTGATTCTCCTGCCTCAGCCTCCCGAGTAGCTGGGATTATAGGCATGCACCACCACACCCGGCTAATTTTGTATTTTTTAGTAGAGAGGGGGTTTCTGCATGTTGGTCACGCTGGTCTCGAACTCCCGACCTCAGGTGATCCACCTGCCTTGGCCTCCCAAAAGTGCTGGGATTACAGGCATGAGCTACCACTCCCACCCAGCCTTGAGTCCTAAATTGTGATGGGAATCTTTAGAGAAATTCCAGTTCAACCCATTTCCATATAATCCTGACAGTGTTATTATATTTCTCTATATTTTAATAAGAATTCAAATTATTATGTCAAAATCTCTAAGAAAAGAAGACGTAGTGTTTTAATGAAGTTTTAAGTATGAAAAAAAGAACATTCAGTTGTCTTTTAAAAATACTACCTACAAATGCATACTGTAACTCTGGTGACAAAATGAGAATATCAGCATTAAGACCCAGAAAATAAGGTGCATGTTAAGCCCTATTATTTGTGACATTATTAATTGGTGAAAGATAAGTGCAGGATTGATAAAGGTCACAGAGGGATATGATGCATGAGATAATTAGATCCACATACTTTAAACAAACCCAGCCTTACATTAGATTTAGATCGCTGTCTGAACTAAAGGGTAGAATGCTTTAATGCACCACTTTATCCTGAAGCATTATATTTCACACTGTGGAAAGTTGCCATTTTTATGGGTTTATAGGATGAAAAAATTTTCTGGAGAAAAAAACACAGTAGGATTGATGTTTACCGAAATAGGCAGTGATTAGTGAGCAATCTGTGTTGATGTAACAAGCACATCACCATTGTTTGTTTCTGGATGAGTTATTAATGCTAGATGCATTAGTCATGGTTTCCATCATTAATTTAGATTTATTCCATGGCTGAAAAGGTTATTCTAACAGTGGAACATGCCTGTGATACCTTTCAGAGAAATGCTAATCACAGTCCACTGAATCTGTATGTATTATTTAGTGCCATTACCAATCCTAAAGCTTTCTAGATTTTTACTTCTCTATTATTTGTGTTCATAGATCTTGGTAATGCTATATAGCGTTCACACTATGATAATAAAGAGCAACTATAGGAGTTATAGCCAGTCTAGGGTCTTGCTCAGAGTAGCATTGAGATGGGAGAGAATGTGCAGAGGATTAAGGAATTTAAAATTATGAATAATTAGACATAAATAGCACAGAACAGGTCACACATCTGTTGGCTAAGTGTCAGTGATTGAGGAAAAAGAAAAAAATAATTACCTTACTCGAAGATCGATAAGCAGAGACCAGCATTTCCTAAAGTATGTTCTATTGAAGACTAATACAAGGAGATACTTTTAAAAGTAAAAATAAATAAATAAAGGTGCAGTGGTCTATTGTGTTTGGGAATAAGAACAGAAAACTGGAATTATCTATGACTTGAGTCAATAATGACATCCATTATTGATGATAACAGTTCTTTTCTAGGTTTGGTAGAAATAATAATCGAAAGTTACCTTATGTGAGGATTTACCAGAAATAAACAGTCAAAGGACTTCTCTATAAAATATCATTTCTTAGCGAGCATTGACCTCTTTTTTGTGACATATGGGTTTGTAAATTAAAAAGTATGTAATAGACCTAAGGATATAAAAACAAGTGATTCAAAATACTCTGATGAAAAGAAAAGAAACCTTTGAACCAAAGAAGTGGCTTTCAATTTAGATGGTTCTCAAAGACAGAAAACATTTTTTAAAGATTAGCAATTTTTGTTTATTGTTCTTTAAACCCCAAAGTCGAGGTGCAGATTAACCCTTCTAATTAGGCTTCATCTATGGGGGAGTACAAATTGTTTCAAAGATTCAAAATCATTTGAATATTTACTATTTTGCAAACAGCTGGATTCCCTTGCTCTTTTACCTGTAAAGTGTATGAATGCAAAACTTCTAGGAAATGGTGGGGAAGAGCATACACCCCCACCAAAACAGGCCTTGCATTGTTGTTATTTTACCGTTTATAAAAACCTTCCTACGATGATAGATTTAATCTATAGCTGTTAGGCAGGAGAAATCCCAGAGATGGGTGTTTGCAATACTAAGAGTAAGTTTAGCATTTTCCTAATTCTATGTAATGCATGCCCCTTTTAAAGATACTATGGCCTCTAGTACATAAGTTACAGTAATTCTTCACAATAGTTCGGTGCTTGAAGAATGAGATGGCAGACATTTTAAAAGATGTAGAAGGAATGCTTCAGCCACAAATATTCCAAAGATATAATATTTTATCACCTGGGTGATGAATATTTGAATCGATTGTTTTTAGCTTAAGTTTTTTTTCATCTCTTCTAAAACTGATTACCATAGAAACAATTGTATTAGTCATGAAATTATCAGATTTAGTTATCAGGTTGTTTACAAAACTTCAAGCATTGTAAATTATCTTTTCCATATGGAAAGTAATATAGATGGAGATCGTTTCAGTGCATCTTAAACTATATTGGTGGCCAATATAGAATGCAATTTTTTTTATAATTCTCAAGTTAATATAATACGGTATGTTTTTCTTAATCCTCATGTTAATGCATTATTTTCAAAAATTACAATTTTTATATTGCGAGAAACACTTCAATGAAGCTCCCACATGTGAGAAAAACACTAGAAATAGAAAGGCTTCCTTAAACCACATAAAAAATCAACTTAGTAGGAATGAAGCATTAATTTAAAAGTGCATGTGTGTGCACACACAGAGAGTTTTATCAACTCCTATGAGATTTCTTGTAAGAATTTAAGACTAAATGTGATGTCTCAAATTAAAATTAACTCTGTAAGTAAAACTCTGCAGTGTACCAAGAACAAAGGGTAAGGAATACATAGGTACTATCAAAATTGCCAGAGACTCCTTTCAGTAGAATGTCAGTGTTCCAATTTTTCTTAACTTTAGATGTCAAAGTTATTAGCTCCATAGGTGAATATAATTTCCTGTAATGTAAATAATTGACTAAAGTTTACTGTTTTTTGAACATCTGAACCCTGTGTGAAGACCGTTAGTGAATTTATGTGTTTAATTCATAAAGATATTTATACATATTATTAGCTTAAGCCATCTTATTTGCTATTAACAATGAGTATCATGCTATGAAAATTTCCTCAACCAGATTTTATGAAAAATTGACATATGAAGTTTTTTAATGAATATATTAAATAAGCAGCTAAATACTGATACTAATACTGAAAAAAAATGACAATATTTGACATACCAGAGAACTTGAAATGAAAAATATTAATATTAAGTGACTGACCCATTTATATAATCTTCCTTAGTTCTGAGCTTTTCTGGATTTAGTGAGAGCCTTATATTGTCACAGAAATAAAGTCAATTATATTTCAGAGAAAAAATCATGAAAGATCATGACCTAACAGTATGCCCAAGGGACTGGAAATAAAAATATCTTTGAGTTAATTAATCTCACTAGTGTGGATAATATAATGTGTACTTTCCATTGGTGTTGTAAGAATAAATAGAATTTCTGTCTTGTTACTATAATGTATTGGTGATGATAACACAGAGCCACCTCAATACTACAGGGACAAAGTGGACACTGGAGAAAATAAGGTCTAGTAAGTGGAATTTCATGAAAGAAAGATATACCAATAGAAATACATTTTAATTTAGGACCTCTGGTACCTTGAAAGGATCTGGTCTGCCTTTTTCTACTTCAAGTTGCCATTGTTTACCTGATGTATTAAGTTTGGCTTCTGATAAATGTAGTTCTTATTCTCCCAGAGTTACCTAGAGAAGGAGAGAGAGGACATCAATAGGAAACTCTTTTAAGACAGAGATTATTGCCTTAGCCTAAATTTCTATTAGATTTATTTTCTCCTTAAGAAATTAGAGACATAATGATATCTTTATTATTCAAATACAAGGAGTGGTTCTAAGGTTCCTTCATTTCTTAAAGAAAATTTTCTTTATTAAATACAATATACTAGTGGACACCATACAATCATTATCATCCACTAAGTCTATACTGCATTTAAGCATATATGAGAATAGACAGTAAAGACAAGATATGTTTAGTTGTTCTGAGAAGAATAAATTAGGAAAGAGTAGAAATGGAAGAAGAGATACAGGTTAGGTTCATGTAAAAAAACAACATGAAAAGTGAAAAGATGCTTACCTTTGGAAGCAGTGAGATTTAATAATATATTAAAAGGGATGTAGGATAAGTTGGGGAGTAATATATTTAACAAGAAGAAAGTTCTCCTCCTTCATTTAAAAAAAAAAAAGGAGAAGGCAAAGCAAGATGGTGGAATAGAAAACTCCACCAATTCTGCCCCTGTATTAGTTCCTTTTCACATGCTGATAAAGACATACATAAGACAGGGCAATTTACATAAGAAAGAGGTCTAATTGGGTTCACAATTCCACGTGGCTGGAGAGGCCTCACAGTCATGGCAAAAGGCTAGGAGGAGCTAGTCATGTCTTACATGGATGGAAGCAGGCAAACAGAGAGCTTGCGCAGGGCAACTCTTGTTTTTAAAGCCATCAGGTCTCATGAGACCCATTCTCTATCATGGGAATAGCACAGGAAAGACCCACCTCCATAATTCAATCATCTCCCACTGGGTCCCTCCCACAACACATGGGAATTATGAGAGCTACAAGATGAGATTTGGGTGAGGATACACAGCCAAACCATATTACCCCCACACAATAACAGGCTTTTTAGAACACCATATCATTTTCAAAACAGAATATAAATTAAATGTCTTTGGGAGGAAAAAGTAAAAAAGGTAAATTATAGTAAAACATAGCCATAATACTTGTGATGTTATCACATAATTTTATGTGTACAATAAAAATGTCCCTAATAAATATTTTGAATACCCTATAACAGGTCCTGCTCTAGGAAGTTGAGGTCTACCAGAGGACAAACTAGAAAAAAAAAATGTCCTACTTAACATAAAAGAGTATGCTATCAAGAAAGCTGAGGATGTTACAGATGGTCTCTCTGTGAAAGTAATATTTATGTTTATTCCTGAAGGTTTATTAACACTGGGTGTGTAGATGTGGGAAGGATTTCTAGGTGGAGAAAACAGCTTGTACAAAAGCCCTGAAATGAACATGCTTAGCATGTTGGAAGAACCGACAGAAGACCTGTGAATCCAGAGCAAGGATTTCAAAGGGGACAAGCACTTAAATTTTAGTGGTGAAAGAAAGACAATAAATATATAAGATAAGCAAATTTTATTATTTGCTAATTTGCTCTCTCAAATTTTATAGCATGTTAAAAGATGTTGAGTGCTGTATAGAAACATAGTGCAGAGTAATATTTGCTGTTCTGCAGCCTCCGCTGGTGATACCCAGGCAAACAGGGTCTGGAGTGGACCTCCAGCAGACACCAACAGACCTGCAGCTGAGGGTCCTGACTGTTAGAAGGAAAACTAACAAACAGAAAGGAATAGCATCAACACCAACGAAAAGGACATCCACACCAAAACCCCATCTGTAGGTCACCATCATCAAAGACCAAAGGTAGATAAAACCACAAAGATGGGGAGAAACCAGAGCAGAAAAGCTGAAAATTCTGAAAACCAGAGCTCCTCTTCTCCTCCAAAGGATCGCAGCTCCTCACCAGCAATGGAACAAAGCTGGACAGAGAATGACTTTGACGAGTTGACAGAAGTAGGCTTCAGAAGATCAGTAATAACAAACTTCTCTGAGCTAAAGGAGGATGTTTGAACCCATCACAAAGAAGTTAAAAACCTTGAAAAAATATTAGACGAATAGCTAACTAGAATAAACAGTGTAGAGAAGACCTTAAATGACCTGATGGAGCTGAAAACCATGGCACGAGAACTACGTGATGCATGCACAAGCTTCAGTAGCCAATTCGATCAAGTGGAAGAAAGGGTATTAGTGATTGAAGATCAAATGAATGAAATGAAGCGAGAAGAGAAGTTTAGAGAAAAAAAGGGTAAAAATAAACGAGCAAAGCCTCCAAGACATATGGGACTATGTGAAAAGACCAAATCTACGTTTGATTGGTATACCTGAAAGTGACGGGGAGAATGGAACCAAGTTGGAAAACACTCTTCAGGATATTATCCAGGAGAACTTCCCCAACCTAGCAAGGCAGGCCAACATTCAAATTCAGGAAATACAGAGAACACCACAAAGATACTCCTCGAGAAGAGCAACCCCAAGACACATAATTGTCAGATTCACCAAGGTTGAAATGAAGGAAAAAATGTTAAGGCAGCCAGAGAGAAAGGTCAGGTTACCCACAAAGGGAAGCCCGTCAGACTAACAGCAGATCTCTCAGCAGAAACTCTACAAGCCAGAAGAGAGTGGGGGCCAATATTCAACATTCTTAAAAAAAGAATTTTCAACCCAGAATTTCATATCCAGCCAAACTAAGCTTCATAAGTGAAGGAGAAATAAAATCCTTTACAGACAAGCAAATGCTGAGAGATTTTGTCACCACCAGGCCTGCCTTACAAGAGCTCCTGAAGGAAGCACTAAACATGGAAAGGAACAACCAGTACCAGCCACTACAAACACGTGCCAAATCAAAACCACAGTGAGATACCATCTCACACCAGTCATAACGGCAACTACTAAAAAGTCAAAATACAACAGATGATGGTAAGGTTGCAGAGAAAAGCAACACTAATACACTGTTGGTTGCAATGTAAATTAGCTCAACCATTGTGGAAAGTAGTGTGGTGATTCCTCAAAGAGCTAAAAGCAGAACTATCATTCAACCTAGCAATTCCAGTACTGGGTATATACCCAAAGGAATATAAATAATTCTACTGTAAAGACTCATGCACATGTATATTCATGGCAGCATTATTCACAATACAACGACATGCAATCAACCTACATACCCATCAACGGTGCACTGGATAAAGAAAATGTGGTATATATACATCATGGAATACTACACAGCCATAAAAAAGAATGAGGTCATGTCCTTTGGAGGAACACAGATGAAGCCGGAGGCCATTATCCTTAGCAAACTAACATGGGAACAGAAAACCAAATACCGCATGTTCTCACTTATCAGTGTAAGCTAAATAATGAGAATACATAGACATATAGAGGGGAAAAACAGACACCGGGGCATATCGGAAGGTAAAGGGTGAGAGGAGGGAGATGATTAGGAAAAATAACTAATGGGTACTAGGCTTAATACCTGGGTGATGAAATAATCTGTAAAACAAACCCCTATGACACAAACAACCCTGCAAATGTACTCTTGAACTAAAAAGTTATTTAATATGTAAATTAAATTAGATCATATCATGGAGTATTAGTCAATTAGAAATTGAGGCAAAGATAGGAATACGATCCAATACTGCCATATAGTACCAGTAAGAATACACATTTGAGAACACTACTCTAATTTAAATGTAATGATCTTAGATTCACAAAAATAATCTTCTTAAGTCTTTCCTATCCTAAAATTGACAAAAGATTTTAAGAAGCTTAATTACCTTATCAAAAATTTTGCATAAGCTTGGTGAATAAAATACATTTCAGAGTTCATCCTTTCAACTTGATATTTGGTCATTAAAAAGTATTTTGTTTTACGGGGTTTGATACGCCGTCTCCCTCATAAGTTTGTGTTCCTCATAGATGTGATCTCTCTACATATTTCTATATTACTCAGAGGTTGGTTTCTTCCTTTTTATTCTATTCTTTTTTCTATTTTTTTCTCTGTTTTGTCTGAACGTCTTATTTTTGAAATCCAGTCTTTAAGCTCTGAAATTCTTTCTTCAGTTTGGTCTGTTCTTCTGTTAGTACTTACGATTGCATTATCAAATTCTCGTAGTATGTTTTCCAGCTCTATCAGATTGTTTATGTACATTTTTATACAGGCTATTTTATCTGCCAGTTCCTGTATTATTTTATTGTGATTCTTAGCTTTCTTGGATTGGGCTTCAATGTGCTCCTGCATCTCAATGATTTTCATCTCTACCCATATTTTAAATTCTATTTCTGCCATTTCAGCCATCTCATCCTTGTTCAGAACTTTTGCTGGAGAGATATATACTGATTTTTTCTTTCTTTTTAGTATATACTCAGTAGTGGGATTGGTATACCATATGGTAGCTGCATTTTTAAGTTTTTGTGGAAGTTTCAGAATCTTCTCCATATTGTTTATAATAATTTTCATCTTAACCACCAACAGTGTACGAGGTTTCCCTGTTCTCCACAACCTCTCTAGCATTTGTTATTGCCTGTCTCTTGGATAAAAGCCTTTTTTTTTTTTTTTTTTTTTTGAGACAGGGTCTTGTTCTGTCACCCAGGCTGGAGTGCAGTGGTGCAATCATGGCTCACTGCAGCCTTGACCTCTCGGGATCAAGCGATCTCCCTGTCTCAGCCTCCGCAGTATCTGGAACTACAGGTGTATGCCACAATGCTAGGATAAATTTTGTATTTTTTGTAGAGACAGGGCTGTGCATGTTGCCCAGGCTGGGATAAAAGTCATTTTAACTGGGGTAAGATAATAACTCATTGTAGTTTTGATTTGCCTTTCTCTTATTATCAATTATGTTGAACATATTTTCACATGCCTGTTTGCCATTTGCATGTCTTCTTCAGAGAAATATCTACTCCAATCTATTGCCTGTTTTGAATTGCATTATTGAATTTTTTCTTATGAAGTTATTTTATCTTCTTATATATTCTGGTTATGAATCCCTTGACAGATAGGTGGTTTGCAAATATTTTCTCCCATTTTGTGAGTTGTCTTTTAACTTTGTTTATTATTTTCTTCATCCTGCAGAAGCTTTTTAACTTTACGTGATCCCATTTGTCCATTTTTTTTTTTTTGCTTCATTTCCTTGTACTTCTGGAGTATTACTTAAGAAATTTTGGCCCAGACCAATGTGCTGAAGATTTTCCCCCCCAAAAGTGAAAGAACTCTACAATGAAAGCTATAAAATCTAATAAAGGACATTGAAGAGAAAAATAAAAATAAAAAGATATTTCATGTTTATGGATTAGAATAATCAATATTGTTAAAATGTCCATACTACCTAAATTAATCTATTGATTCAATGCAATCTCTATCAAAATACCAATGATATTTTTCACAGAAAGAGAAAAACAATCCTAAAATTTATATGGAACCCTGTAATATTTAGATTAGCCAAAGCTGTCCTGAGCAAAAAGGAACAAAACTGGAGGAATCACCTTACCTGACTTGAAATTATACCACAGAGATATATGAACCCAAATAGCATAACACTGGCAAAAAAAAAAAAAAAACCAGACATATAGAACAATGGACCAGAATAGAGAATCAGAAACAAATCCACATACCTACAGTGAACTTATTTTTGACAAAGTTGCCAAGAACATGCACTGGAAAAAAGACAATCTGATTTATTTTTCCGATAATTAACTATTGGCATATAGAAAGGCTACTGATTTTTGTATATTGATTTTGTATTCTGTAAATTTACTAAATTTGTTCATCAGTTTTAATAGCTTTTGGTAGTGTCTTTAGGATTTTCCAAATATAAAATCATATCATCTGCAAACAAAGGTAATTTGAATTCTGTTTTACCGATTTGGATGTCCTTTTTATTTATTTGTTTATTTTCAGCAAATCAAATAATATTTGCTTTATATATATATGAATGCTCCAGTGTTAGGTACATACATATTTATAATTGTTATGTCTTTTATTAAATTTACTTCTTTATCATTGTATAGTGACCTTCTTTGTCTCTTCTTATAGTGTTTGTCTTGAAATCTATGTTGTTGAATATAAGTAAATATATTCTTGCCATTTTCTGGTTGCCATTGGCATAAAACAGCTTTTAGCCATCCCTTTATTTTCAATCTGTGTGTATCTATATCGGAGAAGTTTGTTTTTTTAAGGCAAGAGATCACTGGGTCTTGTGTTTTTTCTTTATTCTGACATGTTATGTCCTTTCATTGGAGAGTTCATCTATTTATTTCCTTGTTATTATTGACAACTAGAGACTTACTCCTGTCATTTTCTTATTCGTTTTCTGGTTGGTTTGTAGTCTCCTCTCTCATTCTTTTCTTTCTTTTACCCTTTTAGTGAAAGTGATTTTCTCAGGTGATATGATTTAATTTGTAACTTTTTATTTTTGTGTATTTGTTGTATGGTTCTTGATTTGAGGTTATCATGAGGCTTGTACATACTATCTTATAACCCATTATTTTAAACTGATGACAACATAGCAAAGATTGCATAAACAAAGAAGCACAAAAAGAAAACTAATAAACACTCTATACTTTAACTTTATACTCCCCCTTTTTAACTTTTTATTGTTTCTTTTTATGTCTTATTGTACTGTCTATGTTTTGAAAAGTGTTGCAGTTATAATTTTTGATTGGTTCATCATTTGACCTTTCTACTTAAGAGTAGTTTACATACCATGATTACAGTGTTATAATATTCTGTGGTTTTCCATGTCCCTACTATTTCCAGTGAGTCTTCTACCTTCAGATGATTTCTTCTTATGTATTAATGTATTTTGTTTCAGAATAAAGAACACCGTTTAGCATTTCGTGTAAGACAGGTCTCGTGTTTATGGAATCCCTCAGCTTTTATATGTTATTTGTTTCTTTCCTTTTGCTGCTTTTAGGATCCTTTCTTTATCCTTGACCTTTGGGAGTTTGGTTATTGAATGCCTTGAGGCTGTCTTCTTTGGGTTAAATCTGCATGGTGTTTTGTAACCTCTTTGTACTTGAATGTTGATTTATTTCTCTAGATTTGGGAAGTTTTCTGATATTACCTCTTTGAATACACTTTCTACCCCCATCTCTTTCTGTACTTTTCTTTAAGGAAAATAACACTTAGATTTACCCTTTTGAGGATATTTCCTAGATCTTATAGTTGTACTTCATTCTTTATTCTTTTTAATTTTGTTTCCTTTGTATTTTCCACTAGCCTGTCTTCAACTAAATCTTTTCTTCTCCTTGATTATTTCTGCTATTAAGATTCTCTGATGCATTCTTAAGTATGCCAATTGCATTAATCAGCTCTAGAATTTCTGCTTTATTCTTTTAAATTATTTCAATCTCTTTGTTAAATTTACCTGACAGAATTCTGAATTCCTTCTCTGTGTTATCTTAAATTTCTTTGAGCCTCCTCAACACAGCTATTTTGAATTATCTGTCTGAAAGGTCACATGTCCCTGTTTCTCCAGGATTGGTCCCTGATGACTTATTTAGTTCATTTGGTAAGGCCATGTTTTCCTTGATTATCCTGATTGCTTATGGACATTCATCAGTGTCTGGGCATTAAAGATATATATTTATTGTAGTCTTTGCAATTTGAGCTTGTTTTATATCTGTCCTTTTTGAGAAGGTTTTCCATGTATTCTAAGGGAATTGGGTACTGTGCCCAATAATGCTGTGGTTTTTGTGGACTCATAGAGGTGCTGCCTTGGTAGTCTTAGATAAGGTCCAAAAGAATTACCTGGATTACCAGGAAGAGTCTCATGTTGTCTTCCCTTACCTTCTCCCAAACAGTGCCTCTCTCTGTGTGCTGAGCCACCTGGAACTGTGGGCATTGTGATGCAAGTACCATGGGGTCACCACCACTGGGTCTGTGCTGGGTCAGACCTGAAGCCAGCACAACACTGAGTCTCACCAAAGTCCTACCGTAACCACTACCTGGATACCACCTATGTTGACTCCAAGGTTCTAGGGCTCTATAATCAGCAGGTGGTGAAACCAGCCAGGTTTCTCTTCTTTCATTTAGGGCAGTGATATCTCTCAGGCCCCAGACTTGTGCAGAGATCCTGTCTGAGAGCCAGCAATTGTAGTACAAAACCTTACAAATTTACCTAATATTTCATTCTACTTTGTGTAAGCTGGCACTCACACCACAATACGAAGTCCTTCCTGCTTTTCCCTCCTCTTTCCACAGGCAGAGGAACCCCTCCCTGTGGCTACTACCACCACCAGCCCATAAGGCGTTCTGCCACACCACTACTTATGTTCACTTAAAGACCAAGGGCTCTTCTAAGAGATTGTAGTGAATGTTGCCAGAACTATGACACGCCTTTCAAGGCAGTGAGCTCCCCTCTGGCCTAAAGCACGTCCAGAATTGCTGTCCAAAAGTCTAGACCAGGACTTGACACCAAGAGCCTGCTTGTTGCTCTACTCCACTGTGACCAAACTGGTATCTAGTGTGCAAAACAAAGTCTTCATTATTTTTCCCCCTGCTTTTTTCAAACAGAGAGAGTCTTTCACTGTAGCCAGCACCGCTGGGAATATGGCAGGTCACACTTGAAGTCAGTACATCTCAGAGCCCGAGGCCCATGGAGTACTCCCTGACTATCACTCCTTACTCTTCAGAGCCCAAGGGCTCTTTAGTCAGCAGTTTATAAATCCTATCAGAAGTGTTTTTTTCCCTTCAAGGCCACGGGTCTGCCTCTAGCCCAGGTTGATTCTAGATATGTCATCTGTGAGCCAGAATGGGGACCTCACAACTCTGCCGGTGCCCTCTACTTCTGTGGCTGAGCTGGCATCCAAGATGCATAAGAAAGGCCTCTTTTTTCTTTCCTTTTCTTAATCTGAAGAAAGGAGTCACTTTTACTGTTGCGAGCTGCACTGACTTGGCTTGGAAAAGGAGTGGCACAAGCACTCTCTTAGCTGCCCCAGCTGGTGTCTTCCTAGGTCACGTGCCACTTGAGTCCACTGGCTCTAAGCCCAGCCTAGCGCTTGGAGTTGTCCAGGAATTGTATTCCTTGTGTCCTACACTGCCTTTCAGGTTTACCTGGGACCCCAGAGCACTTTGGCCTACAGCAGTAAGGCTTGCTAAAAAAACTCAAGTTCTGACCACTGTAATGGGCGATTCCCTTCTTGTAAGGACTGGTCCAAATGCTCCCTCTGTGCAGGGTACTGGTTGATCCCAGCATGACTTTGCTCTCCACTGTGACAGGCAGCACCGAGTACAATGTAAAGTCCCTAGGTCACTGTGCTCTCCCTCCCCCAAGTGCACAAACTCTCTGTGTCACAGGGCCACTGCCAGTGGATGGGGAGGGGTGGTGTCAGCTATTTCAGACTGTTTCTCCTATCCTTTTTAATGCCTCTTTCAGTGATATGAATTTAAACCATGTACTGTGATTACTCACTTGATTTTTGGTCCAGTGATGGTGTTTCTCTGTGTGCAGATACTTGTTAAAATTTGGTGTTCCAGCGCAGGGGACAAATAGTGTAGGCTTTTATTCCACCGTTTTATACCACCCTCTTTAGATTTTTTTCTTAAGCTTTTATTTATTTTAAACAAGAAGTTCTTTAAAAAAATAACTCAATTAAAAAAAAAAACTATTCAACAACTACCCCCTTTCACTATAAAAAGGAGTTCGAGACCAGCTTGGTCAACATGGTGAAACCCCGTTTCAATACAAAAATTAGCCTGGCGTGGTGGTGGGTGCCTGTAATTCCAGCTACTTGGGAGGCTGAGGCAGGAGAATTGCTTGAACCCAGGCGGCGGAGGTTGCAGTGAGCCAAGATCGTGCCACTGCACTCCAGCCTGGGTGACAGAGTGAGACTCCTTCTCAAAAATAAAAATAAAAAGGCTATATATAATACTACACTTAAAATTATGTTGATAGGTGTATGTTTTCCAGTTCATACAATTCTCTGTATTACTTTTTTCTCAGGGAGATGTCAGTTTATTTCAAATGTACTTTATATAATTATATTTTATAGCATATTCTCACACTACATATTTAAGATGAAATTTGTAAATGTGATTAAATTTCGCTTAAAAATTCTTGAATTGAATAAACTGAAATTCAACACCTATTCCACTGAATTTTACTCTACCTGATGAGTATTTTGGCATTGCAGAGAAAATCTCTTTTTTTGAAAGGAACTCATTAAATATCACTTTTGCGTCAATATTAGGACCTTTTAATATGTAGTTGCACATTAGGAGATGATGAAGAGTTGCCTGCAGCTCTGCACACAAATACTAATCTTCATCCCAATGATTTCCAAACGTTTGACTTTACAATTATCTGTATTACCATACTTTATGTTATATTGTTGGAACACTGGGACCACTAGCACCTTTTAAAATGTCCATAAATTAGAATAAAATTATAATAAAACCACATTTTTATATTTTTTCCCAAGAGTTTATAATAGAAGACTAAGTTTTGTGGGATTCACAATATATTATCAATGTATGTTTCTTGAAAATCATTTAGAATGAGAAAATAATTTGAAGTCAACTAATATATAAGATATATGTCTCCTTTTAGATGAAAGATAAAACATTATTTTCTGTGAATGTAGGCAAAATAACTTCAACAAATGGAAATTTTTACCTTTAAAAAAGATTGTCATTTATTTTCTGGTAACTGTTGTACTCTGAAAAATCTAAAGCCTCTCTAGTGGCAGAAATCTACAAAATTCAATACAGGTTTAATATAAAGAATACATGATCTTTAAAAAAATGCAATGAAGAAAATATTGTTTTAGTCTCTTGAGAGCCATCTTTCTAGATTTTTCAAAGTATAGACAAAATTGAAGTGTTTCAACCAATTCTGTTATTAACAATCCTGAACAGGATTATTCATCATAAGACATCAAAATTCTTTAGCCTACAATTTTATCCTTTACAAAATATACTTCTTAAATCCAGATTATAACACCACTCACTTCCACTTTTCCATTTAGAATAAAAGGAACTAGTGAGATTATATGATTTCTACAAGTATTTAAAAAATATTCCAAATTACAAATCAGTGTAAAATCTCCTGAATATCAGGACACTGCATTTCTTAATCATACAATAATAATATTGTCCTTTAAAATTTTGGCTTTTAATAACTTTTTAAACTTTATTTTTAAACATTATAACTTCCTCTAGACATGTACTTCTCCAATCGTGATTGAAAGCAAATATTACATAAAATTGACTTGCAAAATATCACAGTAACATAGTTCTTAATACAGCACTATATTTTATTCATATCAACATCTTTTGACCCAATTTTTCTAAAAGAAGACGTTAAGAACTTGTTAAGAATACACATGAAAAGAGATTTTGTTTTTAATCCTACCTTTCCTATAAACCCTAGTAATCAGAAAGTAGAAAGAAATATCTAGCTAACTCATTTTTTAAAAACACTCTAAATAGACTAGAAGCTATGATATGAATTCATGAAATTGGTATCAGGGTCATTATTTATAAATAAAGTTTTGGCCGGGCATGGTGGCTCACGCCTGTAACTAGCTGGGCATGATGGCGGGCGCCTGTAATCCCAGCTGAGGGAGGCTGAGGCAGAAGAATGGCTTGAATCCGGGAGGTGGAGGTTGCAGTGAGCCGAGATCGTGCCACTGCACTCCAGCCTGGGTGACAGAGCGAGACTCTGCCAAAAAAAAAAAAAAAGTTTTATCATAATATATAGTCTAGAATAACAGAAGGAAATACTATACTCAAACAATCTAAAGGAAGTCATCAAAAGCCAATCTTATTTTTCAAACATGTTAAAGATAAATAAGAATATAGACACGCTAATATAACAATTTAAAAAATAACCACAAAACTCTGTAAGTAGGATGGATGATAGACAATGGAAGGAAGAAAAGAAGGGAGGTAATTTTAAAAACCATATACTTCAGACATTTTAATTCCCTTGTTAGATAAAACTAGTATGCTCGGGGGTTAATGTGTGGCAGTTGTCAGACACCTTTCACACCATGGACTAATTTATAGATAATTGGAATAAAACCCTGAGTTTCAAGCAGGTACCACTTATTTTTATTGAATTTCCCTTCTTGAGCATGATTCACACATACTTCACATTTGCCCATATACTGGCTAAGTAGGACAGCAAAATGCCTTAAAGAAATGTACCATTTTAAGAAGCTAGCTTTTTTTCTTAGGTGCATAAGTTATGCTTGGAGAAAATATAATTATATTTTCCTGCATAATAAATAGGTTTTATGAAAAACACAGCCTTTGGAGAATACAAGAGAAATTATTCACTATGTTTAACAAAACATGTAGCAAAACATTTTGCCCTTGATTTTCTTATTCAAATAGTGGGACTAGAAAAACTTTTGAAGACGTGTTAGATGTAGTTAGCCATTGAGGTACACTGAAAAGTCAGCACGAGTGCATGAGTTGGATTTTGTTATGATTATTTTGCTTTTGTTTTATTATTTTTTTTCTTACTCCCTTTGGTCTTGTCTTATGTGAACTCCCTTTGGTCTTGTCTTAGGTGCCATTGAAGACACCGTAAATTCAACCCCATCATATGGTTTCATTTTAACTCAGAAGGTTAGATATGTTCAGCACAAATAAAATCAGATATTCTCAGGCTCACCCTAATTAAAGGTCCTAATCTAATCAAAGCTTTCATGAAGAAATGTCTTTTATGGAGGAAATTTACTGGTGTGTATTAATAATGGAAGCACTTTTTTAAAGCAAGGAAAACTGGTATGAATACAATTTTTATATTAAATTTAGATGTCATGTTCTTACTGATGGTACAGACGACTACAATTGATATATCCAGATTCAAGCCCCTACAAAACACAGTCAGAGTATACTGGTACCTGTCTCTTCATACTGCCTTCACCCAGATTCTATGATTCCTTTAAGTGAACAGAAAGTCTATTCAGTAGGGTAGAATTTTAACAGCATAGTTGGAGAGCTCCTGCTGTCCAAATGCATGCTTCCATGTGGAGGCCTGGAATAAAAAGGCCATTATAGCTTTTGGTACACTCTGTGGGAGAGAGTAGGGAGAGAAGTTGTAATGATTAGCAAGTAAGTTTTGTGATTGGCATAAAAACTAGAGAGGCATAAAAGAATTTACTTTTGTGCATATTGTTCCATTTTTACCAGAGTGACTTATAATTTAGAGGCTTATTTATTCCAAAGACCAGTAAGAACTTACTACATAAGAGACATGTAGTCTATCAAATAAGGAGAGTGGTTAAAGTCTCGTTTTTAGTATCATTGACTTCGAAGGTTAAATTCCTTTTTTTTTTTTTTTTTTTTTTTTTTGTTTTTGAGGCGGAGTCTCGCTCTGTCACCCAGGCTGGAATGCAGTGGAGCCGTCTGGGCTCAGTGTAAGCTCCGCTTCCCGGGTTCATGTGATTCTCGTGCCTCAGGCTCCTGAGCAGCTGGGATTACAGTTGCCCGCCATCATGCCGGGCTAATTTTTGTATTTCTGTAGGGACAGGGTTTCACCATGTTGGCCAGACTGGTCTTGAACTCCTGACTTCAGGTGATCCTCCCCCTTCAGCCTATCAAAGTACTGGGGTTACAGGTGTGAGCCACCACACCCAGCCTCAAGGGTTAAATTCTTGAATTGATAATTAATTCCCTGATATGCTTACAGTTCTGTTTTTATGAGTACACATTTAAATAAAGCTTTTGCATCAGTCTGATCGAAAAATTAGTAGAATTAGTTTAAAGGTGTGATTACATCCAACATTTCAAGTTAAAAATATAAAATTGTGATCACACTTAATCCCTTTGGTTTACAAATAGCATTTTCTCTGATATCATTTTCTGCTAAATTGTATGATATGGTGTAGGGGAAGTATTATCACTAGCCTTCAGGCACTGTCAGTGTGTGTCTACGCCTTTTATTTTAAAAATGTGAACCCAATGATAAACTTCGAATATTCGATTTAATGTACTATGTGGTGAGCTGATTTTTACACAACAGAGAACCTTTGTCTACTCTTAGAAATAGAGCAAAGAAAAATATTTGAATTTTATATTTGAAATAATCTTAAGGATCATAGAGTCCAAGTTCTTTATTGTGTAATGGGAAAACTAAGTTTTAAAGCAGATGTGACTTACCCACAATCACACATTTATTCAGTTGTGGAACAAAGAATATAATCTGAAAGAAAAATTATTGGACAAATAATATCCATCTATCAGATTCTAGCCGGAATGGGGTTAACATCAGAAAACTCTATACTATCAGAGAAGACTGCATTGATTTAAAGTACAAATAATGTTATCTTCCATCGACATACATGAAAGACGAGTCTTAGAAAATTCTTATCTCTCTGTATATATAACACTTTTTTCAATAAAAATGTAAATCATATTACTTGTGTTTTATCAATTCTCATTTTGAGAATGGATAGCAAAAAAATTGAAATCTCATATGTTAATGCAAGGAAAAAAAATAAGGTCATGCCAAATTCCCCATTTTCTTCTACAAATTACAGATGTTATTTCAGTCTAAATTAAGTTGCTATGTAGTAATAATCCATTTAGGTAGAGAAAAATATCCAAGTTTACATTCATATTAGGAACTATGTAAAACATGTAGGTGTCTGATGAAATTTTGTGTTTCCTTGCAGTATTTCAAACCATACAATTATTTCATCACTGCCCTCCATTTACGCAAGTATATTCCCTTTAACTTAAAAAATAGTATATCTGAAAGTGAGCTTTAGATACTGCCCTTATATTGGGTCTATGTCTGCAGGGGCAAACAGACCACATATCATCTAGTCAGCACTCAATTATTATATTTCAAAGGCTTGTTGCCTGAAATACCCATCTTTTGTTCTCCTCACTGTGTCTTTGCAACACGCCTTAGCACAGTATCTTATTGACCTCCTTGGAGCACTAAGATCATTCACTGCATGGGAAGAAATGATTTTCCTCCTCAGCATGGACATATTTACTGCACCTTTAGGGAAGCCCAGCAAAAAAGAAGCAGCTTCCAGATAGTTTTGTTAGAAAATACTATTACAGAAATTCTGCATAAATTCCGTTTTAGGAATTGTTAACTCTTTCTGTGAATTTAAGCAGTATTAAGGTGATTTGGCAAGAACTGTGAAAATTAATGATTGATTTCTCTATTGGCTCATAACTGTCAAGATTCTTGGATAAACTATTTAGAACATGACATAAAAGATAAGAGATTAGTAGTAAAAGGAAACGGTTATAAAATAAAACATGTTGAAATAATAGCAGATATTTTTTAAATGTTGCTTACTTAAGGTAATATTTGTTATGGAAAGATGCTATCGAAATGCAGATTCTACTTCTCACCTGGAGTTTCTAAGGGAAGATTAAATTGTAATCTTAGAAAAAAAAATGTGAATGAATGTCTCTCTCTTCCTTCCTCCCTTTCTCCCTCTCTCTCCCTCCCTCGCTCTCCCTTCTTCCTCTTTTCTTACCTCCTTAACATTTTGAATGTTTCTAGTAACTTTTCTTATACCATTATGAGGATTTATATTTAGTGTGTATTTTTCCTGTCGAGGCCTTTAAAAGGTAAACATTTACCTTGAGAAAAAAATGATAGTTGTACATTTTTTTCTAATGGGCTTTTTCTTTTCTTTATTTTTTTATTTTTTTATTTTTTGAGATTGAGTCTTGCTCTGTTGCCCAGGCTGGAGTGCAGTGGCTGGATCTCGGCTCACTGCAACCTTGGCTTCCCAGGTTTAGGCGATTCTTCTGCTTCAGCTTCCTCAGCTTCTGGGACTACTGGTGGGCGCCATCATGGCTATATATATATACAAGAATTTTAACATCTATTAAAATGTCATTTTGGCAATACAGAAATTACATTAACATGTTTATTCTATTTTTGTAAAGTGTCAATAGCTTCAATATATGTAAAAGGTGATTAAAACCAAAAGCCTTTTTAAAAAGGAGATGATCTGGTTTCTTCCTTCCTCACAATCCAAGTTTAAATTGTGCATTGTCATCTATAAAATACTCTTAAAGGAAAGAACTCATTCCTTTCCTGCAATTCTATTTTTTTTAATTCTTTCTTTTTCTAAGTTTTGTTTGTTTGTTTGTTTTGAGACATGCTTTCAGTTGTCCAGGCTGGAGTGCAGTGACACAATCATGGCTCACTGCTCGCTTGACCTCCCCAGGCTTACGTGATCCTCGCACCTCAGCCTCCTGAGTAGCTGGGACTACCGGCAGGCACCACCACTCCTGGCTAATTTTTGTAGTTTTTCTAGAGACAGGGTTTCACTATGTTGCTCAGGCTGATCTCAGACTCCTGGGCTCAAGCAATCCACTCGCTTCAGCTTCCCAAAGTGCTGGGATTGCAGGCATGAGCCATCGCACGCAGCCCCTAAAATTCTCTTATCTAGCCTTCTGGCATCTTATCATCAGCATGTGGAATGATAGTTGCTGATGTTGTCAAACCTATGATAACATGATGAACTTCCCAGAGTTAATTTCGGTTAACACTAGCACCTTCTGAAATGTGAGCCAATTTCAATACTGCAATGCCAAGCTTTCCTTTCAGCCATTTTGCCCTTATCTCCCACAATGCTATAGAAAGTAGTGATCTTAAAAGATGACAGAGCCAACACCAAATGACATAAATTCTACTTAAAATGTTTGCTCATAGGATCAAAGAAGAAAAAGGTACACTTGTTTTTCAGTGATATGTTCGATCCATCATTAGAGAATATTGCAAGCATTACTAGAGTTATTAAAATTATTCATTTTAAATTATTAAAATTATGTCAGCTGAAACAGTCAAAACATAAATTAAAGGCTCAGAAGGTCTTTAAAAATATCTAATCAGTTTTGTTAATGTGTGAAAAAAACAGTGCAAGTGTCATTTATTGAAATCAGGCTTAAAGTGTACCATTCAACAGTTTAAAGCCTACACCAGGTACATCTGATCATTGTAGGACTAGATGCTATATAAAAAATGATTCACTATGTATTCTCACAAGGCACATTATGCAACTCCAAAATACTCTCTTTCAGTACTTTATGAGGGACACAAATGTGTAATTGTCAAATATGACAATAATGTCTAATTAAGAAAGTACATATACATATATAATATGTATATGTATGCACATACATTTGACTTTGCTTTTCTAACTTAAAATTTAACTTAATGCCTTATATTGCCTTATTTTGTAGCACTCATTTATAATTTCGTCTTGAACATGAAATGGACTTTCACTTCATTTCATTTGCTGCTTACTTAGAAAGTATCATGATTTCAGTTCAATGTGAAAATGCTACCTGTATTGTTCAACCTGAAATTAAGTGTCTCTGTTCAGTGCTTACATTTACTTTCAACACAGTTTCTTTATGTGTGTAAATGAGTTCTGAAATAATAGAAAAAATGAGAAGTTGCATGAAAATGATGAACATTTTCAAATTCGTGATCTAAATTCAGATTCACCGAGTTCCTCTGTAAAATACTTGTTAAGAAAACATGTATTTCTCACCATGAGTAGTGCCTTTTTTCCTGTGGTTTATCTATTTAGAACAAAACTTTAATGATTTATTTAATCTCTCCCTAAGATCCTTTTCACGATGGCGAAAGAGAGCAAAAAACATCTATGGTTCAGAATAAATAAAACAAAGTCATCTCACTGAAATATACATAAAAAGAAACTCAAGTATATTATTAATAGAGCAGCATATGTATTTTTATTTAATATATTTTAATAGACATAATAATTGAACATATTTATGGGGTACATAGTGATGCTTTGATACATACAATGCATAGTGATCAAATCAGGGTAATTAGCATATCAATCACTTAAAGCATTTATGATTTCTTGTAGTGGGAATATTCGAAATCCTCTCTTCTAGCTTTTTGAAAACATATCATAAATTATTGTAAACTAGAGTAATCCTACAGTGCTATAGAATGCTAGAACTTAATCTTCCTATCTAGTTGTAATTTTGTATCCTTTAATGAATGTCTCCCTCTCTCCTCTTCTCCCTACGCTTTGTAGCTTCTAGTAACCGCAATTCTACTCTCTACTTACGTGGGATCAAATTTTTAGTTTCCAAATATAAGTGGAAACATGCGGTATTAATCCTTTGTGCCTGGGTTATTTCACTTAGTATAATATGCTTCAGGCTCACCCATATCTGTGTATTCATTTAAAAAGCATATTAAATGTGCTATGAAATAAAGGGTTTGCATTTTTCCTATTGTAATATCATAAATATCTTCCTTGGATATCTAGGTACTCTCTCACTTATATAGTTAAAAAATAAACCCATGATTATTTTAGTATAAATTTCTGGAATAGTTTTCTTTCTGAATTTTTTAAATTTTAATTTATTTTTGTATATAGTAAGTATATATATTTATGTGATACCTTGGATATTTTGAATCAGGCATGCAATATGTAATAATCAAATCATGGAGAATGGGCTACCCATCTCCTCAAGTATTTATCCTTTATGTTACAAACCATCCAATTATATTCATTTAGTTATTTTTAAATGTATAATTAAATTATTATCGACTATAGTCATCCTGTTGTGCTATCAAATACTTGGTCTTATTAATTCTTTCTAACTATTTTTGCACTCATTAACCATCCCCATCTAAATCCCACCACACACTACCCTTCCCCGCCCTGGGTAATCATCCTTTTACTTTCTATTTCCATGAGTTCAGTTGTTTTGATTTTTAGATCCCACAAATAAGTTAGAACATATGATGTTTATCTTTCTGTTCCTGGCTTATTTCACTTAACATAATGATCTCCAGTTCCATTCATATTGTTGCATATGACTGGATCTCATTCTTTTTTATGGCTAAATAGTACTCCATTGTATATATGTACCACATTTCTTTCTCTATTCATCTGTTGATGGAAACTTAGGTTGCTTACAAATCTTAGCTACTGTGAACAGTGCTCCACAAACATAGGAGTGCAAATGTCTCTTTGATATACTGATTTCCTTTCTTTTTGGTATATGCCAAGCAGGGGAATTGCTGGATCATATGGTAGCTCAATTTTTGTTTTTTTGAAAAAACTCCAAACTGTTCTCTAGAGTGGTTGTACTAATTTACATTTCCACCATCAGTGTACTAGGGTTCCCTTTTCTCTACATCTGTGCTAGCATTTGTTATTGCCTGTCTTTTGGATAAAAGCCAATTTAACTGGGTTGAGAGGATATCTCATTGTAGTTTTGATTTGTATTTCTTTTTCATATACTTGTTTGACATTTGTATTTCTTCTTTTGAGAAAGTTCTATTTAAATCTTTTGCCCATTTTTTTTTGCTCAGATTATTAATTTCCTATAGACTTGTTTGAACTCCTTATATATTCTGTTTATTAATTTTTGTCAGATGGGTAGGTTGCAAATATTTTCTCCCCTTCTGTGGGTTGTCTCTTCACTTTGTTGATAGCTTCCTCTGCTGTGCAGAAGCTTTTTAACTTAATGTGATCTCGTTTGTTTATTTTTGCTTTGGTTGTCTGTGCTTGTACTCATGAAATTTTTGCCCAGACCAATGTCCTAGAGAGTTTCTCCAATGTTTTCTTGTTGTAGGTTCATAGTTTGAAGTCTTAGATTTAAATATTTAATCCATTTTGATTTTATTTTTGTATAGGATGAGAGGAGGGTCTAGTTTTAGTCTCCATACAAATATCCAATTTTCCCAGCCTCATTTATTGAATAAACTGTCTTTTCCCAAGAGTATGTTCTTGGCATTTTTGTCAAAAATGAATTCATTATAAGTGTGTGGATTTAATTCTGGGTTCTCTATTCTGTTCCATTGGTCTATGTGTCTGTTTTAATGCCACCAGGCTGTGTTGGTTACTATAGCAGTGTAGTATAATTTGAAGTCAGGTAAGGTGATTCCTCTGGTTTTTTTTTTTTTTTTTTCTCAGGATAGCTTTGATAATTTGGGAATTTTTGTGATTCCATATAAGATTCAGGATGATTTTTCTAGTTCAATGAGTAATGCCACCAGTATTTTGATAAAGATTGCATTGAGTCTGTAGATTGCTTTGAGTATTATGGATGTTTTAACAATATTAATTTTACCATTTCATGAACATGGAATATCTTTCAATTTTTTGGTGTCCTCCTCAATTTTTTTTCATCAGTGTTTTATAGCTTTCATTACAGAGATCTCTCACTTTTGGTTAATTCCTAGGTATTTACTTTTATTTGTTACTATTGTAAATGGGATAACCTTTTAAAATTTCTCTTACAGATTGTTCCTTGTTGGCATATAAAAATACTACTGCATGTTAATTTTTTATCCTGCAACTTTACTGACCTTGTTCATGAGTTCTAACAGTTTCGTTCGTGCAGTCTTAGGTTTTTCCAAATATAAGATCATATCAGCTATAAACAAGGATAATTTGATTTCTTTCACTCCAGTTTTGATGCCCTTTGTATCTTCTCCTGTATGATTGTTCTAGCTAGTTCTTGCTACTATGTTGAATTACAGCAGTGAAAGTGGGCATCCTTTCAAGTTTCAGGTGTTAGAGAATAGACTTTCCATTTTTCCCCATTCAGTATTATACTTGCTGAGGTTCTGTCATATATGGCTTTTATTGCATTGATGTATGTTCCTTCTATACCCATTTCTTTGAGGGTTTTTTAATCATAAAGGAATGCTAAATTTTTTCATATACTTTCAGCATCAGTTGAAAAGATCATATGGATTTTATCCTACCTTCTGTTTATATGATTTATCACATTGATTGATTTTTGTGTGTTGAACCACTCTTGCATCCCAGGGGTAAATCTCACTTGGTTATAATGAATAATCTTTCTATTGTGTTTTTGAATTTGGTTTGCTAGTATTTTCTTGGAAATTTTTGCATCAATACTCATCACGGATATTGTCCTGCAATTTTCGTGTGTGTGTGTGTGTGTGTGTGTGTGTGTGTGTGTGTGTTTCTTGATGTGCCTTTGTCTGCTTTTGGTATCAGGATAATATTGGCCTCATAGAATGAATTTGAAAGTATTCCATCCACCTCTATTTTTAAGAATTGTTTGAGTAGCATCCTTATTAGCTTTTCTTTACATGTTTGGTAGAATTCAGCATTGAAGTCGTCGGGTCTCGGGCTTTTTTAACTGGGATTTTTTTTTTTTTTATTAAGACTTTGGTCTCATTACTTGTTATTTGTCTGTTCGGGTTTCAGAGTTCTTCCTAATTCAATTTTATTGGGTTGTGCATGTCTTGGAATTTGTCTATTTCTTCTAGATTTTCCAATTTATAGGCATATAGTTGCTCATAGTAGCCACTAATGACCCTTTGAATTTCTTGCAGCATCAGTTGTAGCGTCTCCTTTAGCATTTCTAGTTTTCCATATTTGAATCTTCTCTTTTTTTATTAGTCAGTCTAGCTAAAAGTTTGTCAATTTGTTTAACTTTCCCAAAAACCAACTTTTTTCACTCATCTTTTGTATTGTTTTCATTTTAATTTTATTTATTTCTATTCTAATCTTTTTTTTCTTATACTAATTTTGGTTTGGAATGCTTTTGATTTCCTAGTTCTTTAAGACGCATCATTAGATTGTTTATTTGAAGTTTTTCTCCTCTTTTTTGATGTAGGCAAATATAGCTATAAACTTTCTTCTTAACACTGCTTTTGCTGTATCCCATAGGTTTTGGTGTTATATTTCCATTATCATTCAATAGGTGGAGTTTTCTATTCCACCATCTTGCTCCCCCTCCTTTCTTAATTTCTGGAGTTCTAGATAAACTTTCAAAACCACCCACTGCGTTACTCAGAATAGAGAATATGAATGTGTTGCAGAAGTGACAAAAATTCAGGAGTAAAAGCTTGGTAAATTCAGCATCTCATTCTCCATTATGGGAAAATATTCTTTATTTACACAGAGTCAGTTTTACTCAAATTGGAAGAATACTAGATCTTCACTGTTAATCAACCAAGAAAAAATTTTTTAATCATAGAACAGTCGGTTTTAGAGGTAGAATATGCCTTGATTCTTCTCAACATTTTTCACCAACGTATCTCTATCTGCAAAGAAGAGTTAACTGGCCACTCTGATGACCTGTAAGTTCCTCAAAACATACTATTTATTGTAAGTATTGTGTTTTAGTTGTGGAAAACAAAGATATTCTACATTCTACTCTTCAATGTCTTGTATACAGCAAGAAGAGGAAATGCCACCTTTCTATGCCATATTTTATGCATGCCACTTTCTTTAAATCAGTTAAAAGACTTGCATTATTTACAGCTAAACACTAAAATTTAGCCTGATATTCCAGGCCCTAAAGAATTTTTTAAAAATTACTATTATTATTTTTAAAAATTTTATGGGTACAGGGTAGGTGTATTTATTTATGGGGAAAATGGCATAACCTAGTTGAAGCCTTAAACCCCTTAGAATCAGAGGGACTTTATTAATTACATAGTTCAAACATATATATCTAACTATAACCCCTTTGATAATCCTCCATTTTTATAAACTATTCTTCAGCCTATAGCACTTAGCAACTCTTAATTTTTAAATTGATATATTATTAATTTTTGAATTGAATATCACCTCTTTGCTCTGAATTTTTTATTAACTCTTTAATGGCTACAAAAAATAATTGAAATAAGTTTGTTCTTATCATCTGTTTTCTGTTTTCTATAACTTACACCTATTTTTGTCATTTTCTATATGGCATATTCTTCTCCTAATGTGAACTGTGAACTAAGAAGGGTCCTGCAAAGGAGCCTCACTTTCTTCTTGGCATGCCTTTATATAAGCTAGCTCTTCCCACTGTCAACTTCCCACTTCCCACCAAACTTTCCATACTGTCTAAGGTTATTCTTTGTTTCCTTAGCCCTCCAAAGCCTCTCAATTCTCATTTTAGCACTTTCTAGTGTAATTAACTTGTTTACAAATGTGTATTCTCTATTATAATATCAGAGCCTGAGTAGCAGGGTTTCGCGACGTATATTTTTGTTTCTGCAATGCTTAACCCAACACCTGGTGCAACATAGGAACCTCATAACTTTTAAAATGCATGCTGAATAATAGTATCAGAAAGAATCTTAGAGATCATCCAGTTCTACATCTTCACTATTAAAGAAAATAAAATTAAGGCCCACACAGCAGAAGTGGTTTGCTAAGTTTATAAGGTTTAAACTTTGTTTGAAATGGAAGGGAATTTTTAATTCAAGTGTATAGTCTAAAACACAGAAGAAATATTTGACCTTCAGTACTTCTTTTAAATATGTACCTAGGATCTATCATGATGATATTTTAACATTCACATAAAAAAATTAGGTTTATGATAGGGAGGTTATTTTTCAACTTCTCAAAGGACCTGAAATTTTGACAGAAAAATGTCTAATATTTTCTGGAATATAATAATACTGTAATCCTGATATAACCAAAGGAAATACGAATCATACAGATTAGAGACTTCATGGAATATTTTAAAGTTTATTGTAGGCAGTGCTTGCAGTTTGGAGACGTCTGAGGTCTGAGATCTTAAACTAACACATTCATGACTTCAGATAAGTAGTGCTATGGCTATTGTATTTCCAAAGCCATAGTTTCCCTTATGAAACAGCTGCTTGGTATTTGGATAGCACTTGCATTACCATCCCTTCTATTCAATTTTAGAAAGGTTCTGTCCTTCTCTGATTAAAAGAATTATTGATCAAAAGTCTTATTTCATAAGCTATTATGACAGAGGCTCCTGGAAGGTCCTTTTGGCTAAACACATGTATTAGCTCATTCTCACACTGCTATGATGAAATACCCAAAACTGGGTAATTTGTAAAGGTAAGAGGTATAATTGACTCACAATTTCACATTGCTGTGGAGGCCTCAGGAAACTCACAATTATGGCAGAAGCCAAAGCAAGCACCATCTTTGCAGGGTGACAGAAAGGAGTGAGTGCTGAGCAAAATGTAAAAAGCCACTTATAAAACTATCAGATCTTGTGAGAACTCACTATCATGAGAACAGCATGGGGGTAACCACCACCATGAGCCAATTACTTCCCACTGGGTCCCTCCCATGACATGTAGGGATCATGAGAACAATAATTCAAGATAAGATTTGGGTGGAGACACAGCCAAACCACACAATTCCACCCCTGTCCCCACCCAAATCTTATATACTCACATTTCAAAACACAATAATACCTTTCCAACAGTCCCCCAGAGTTTTAGCTCATTCCAGCATTAACCCAAAAGTCCAAGTCCAAAGTCTCATCCAAGACAAGGCAAGTCACTTCTGCCTGTGAGCCTGTAAAATCAAAAGCAAGTTAGTTATTTTCTGGAAACAATGAAAGTATGGAAACTGGGTAATTCTATCTGTTCCAAGTGAGAGAAATTGGCAAAAACCAAGAGGCTACAGAACCTATGCAAGTACAAAACCCAACAGAGAAGTCAATAAATCTTAACACTCCAAAGCGATTTTCTTTAACTCCATGTCTCACATCCAGGTCACACTGATGCAAGAGGTGGACTCTCATGGTCTTAGGCTGGTCCACCCCTGTGGCTTTGTAGGGTACAGCCCTGCTCTGGGCTGCTTTCACAGGCTGGAATTTACTGTCTGCAGCTTTTCCAGGTGCACATTGCAATCTGTTGGTGGACCTACCATTCTGGGGTCTGTGACCCTCTTCTCACAGCTCCACTAGGCAGTGCCCCAAAGGGGACTTTGTGTGAGGGCTCCAATTTCACATTTCCCTTCTGCACTGCCCTAGAAGAGGTTCTCCATGAGGGCTCCACCCATGCAGCAAACTTCTGCCTGGCTATCCAGGTGTTTCCATACATCCTCTGAAATCTAGTTGAAGGTTCCCAAAACTCAATTTTTCACTCTGTGCACCAGAAAGCCCAACACCATGTATAATTCACCAAGGCTTGGGGCTTGCACCCTCTGAAGCAACTTCCTTAGCTGTATGTTGACCTCTTCTAGCCATGGCTGAGATTGAAGCAGCTGGGATGCAAGGCACCATGCCCTGAGGCTGCACAGAGAAGGGCCCTGGGCCCAGCCCATGAAACCATTTTTCCTTCTAGGCCTCCAGGTCTTTGATGGAAAGAATTGCTGTGAAGGTCTCTGACATGCTCTGCAGACATTTCACCCACTGCCTTGGGAATTAGCATTCAGCTCCTTGTTAATTAGGCAAATTTCTGCAGAAGGCTTGAATTTCTCCCCCAGAAAATGAAATGGATTTCTCCTTTCTATTGCATCATGAAGCTGAAAATTTTCCAAACGTTTATGCTCTGCTTCCTCTTAATGCTTTGCCACTTAGAAATTTCTTCTGCCAGATACCCTAAATCATCTCTCTCAAGTTCAAAGTTCCACAGATCTCTAGAGCAGGGGCAAAATCCCACCAGTCTCTTCACTAAAGCACAGCAAGAATCATCTTTATTCCAATACCCAAGAAATTTTTTATCTCCATTTGAAACCACCTCAGCTTGGACTGCATTGTCTATATCACTATCAGCATTTTGGTCAAAGCCATTCAACAAGTCTCTGGGAAGTTCTAAACTTTCCCACATTTTCCTGTCTACTTCTGAGCCCTCCAAGCCTCTATGAAGGTCCAAACTTTCCCATATTTTTCTATCTTCTTTAGAGCCCTCCAAGCTGTTTCAATCTCTGCCTGTTACCCAGTTCCAAAGTTGCTTCCACATTTTCTAATGTCTTTATAGCAGTGCACCAGTACCTTGGTACAAATTTACTGTATTAGTTTATTCTCACAGTGACATGAAAAAAAAAACCTAGGGTGAATAATTTATAAAGGGAAGAGGTTTAATTGACTCACAGTTCTGCATTGCTGGGGAGACCTCAGGAAACTTACAATTATGGCAAAAGGCAAAGCAGGCACTTTCTTCACAGGGTGGCTGGATGGAGTGAGTGCTGAGCAAAGGGGGAAAAGCCCTTTATAATACCATCAGATCTTGTGAGAACTCACTAACATGAGAACAGCATGGGGATAACCACCCTCATGATTCAATTATCTCCCGCTGGTTCTCTCCCACAGCATATGGAGATTATGGAAACTACAATTCAAAATGAGATTTGAGTGGAGACACAGCCAAACCATATCAACACATAATAAGTTTCACAGGTGACTCAGTATTTGAATATGCAGCATTCAAAACATCACAATTTAATCTTGACATTGTTCTTCCATCATAACGCAGGTTGAGTTGTTTTTTTCCCTGCCCATTTTTCTATGTGCCCAGACATATTGTAGAAAATAAAGTTGCTGAATGACTAGGTGAATGAGTTGTCTTTTAAAAAGGCACATGCTCATAGAAGAGTTACATTGTTACTAATAGCATAATATAAAAGAATATATCAAATAATGTTTAAACTCTCTGAAAATATGGAGTTCATTGGGAAGGAACTGGTTAAAGAGTAAGTTAGATTAAGACTTATGTGCTTGAAGTTCTATATGGAAACAAGAAAAAAAATAAGGTCATCCACTGCTACACTCAGCTTATGAGTGATTTGTCATGCTTTCCAGGACTAAGGAGATAAGATCAATTCTTTGTAAAGTATCATAAATCCTACTAAAAACTCTTGGAAAAATATTGGTGTAAACTCCTCTAAGTAGAAAAGATAAGAATAAATTTGAGATGATTAACTTTCTATCAAAACATTTTTCTTCCATTCTATAGACTAGTGTTTTGTTTATATTTGTCTTAGTAATTAAATAATTATAGATAGTTTCAGGATAACTTGCTGGTATCTTAACTTAATTGATCTTGATTAAGTAATCATGTTTATTTTAAGATATTAATTGCTATGTCAAGTAACAGTCAAACATAATTATCTTTGCTAGGTTTTAAAATTTGTTTCTAGCATTTAATATTTGAGAAATTATGAGTCATGTAATTAAATTTTGTTTAAAATTTAAGCTATGGGAACACTTTTTACATTTAATAATTATAATTTAAAATCCGTGCCAAAATTTCCATTGGGCATGTAGTTGATTTTACTTGTCATTGATTCAAAATAACAAGCAGCCACTTAGTAGATGTGTGGGAAGACATTTGGGTATTTTGTAATTAACTCAAAGGCTTTTGTATGAAAAAAGTGATGTCAAAAAAATCTGAAAATTATGTTCATGTGTATTGAGATGAGTGCATTGGGAAATTTATGAAAACAGAATCATTTGCAGGATTAAGAAAAAAGAATAAATAAAATGCTACATAATATGATCTACATTTCTGAATGTTTATGACTAATCAAATATTGATGCTTGTTAAATGAGCCTTTAAAAAAATACAAATAGAGCAAAGGAAGAGCAAGATTGTGAAATATAAGCCTAGGCTGTTTATCCCCCAAAAGGAATACCAAATTTTAACAAGTATCTTTACACACACACACACACACACACACACACACCACTGTCATAAGAACCAAAATTTAAGTGAGCAATCATAGTACATGGTTTTAATATCATATCATTAAAAGAGGCACTGAGGAGGGGAGAAGAGACAGTCTTGAATTACTGGTGCCACCTCTCCTTCATCTAATAGCAGAGGTCTTGTGGTGCAGAAAGAGAAACTGTGCACTTTAGGGAGGAATATTGCAGTGACTGGGGGACTTTACATTGAACTTAGTCCTGCCCTGTCATAGTGGAGAATGAAGCTGTGCTGGGCTTAGCCATCCCTTGCACATTGAGGGAGCATTTGGACCAGACCTAGCCAGAGGGGTGTTCTGGTGGTCAGAACTTGAGTTTCTCAGCAAGCCTTGCCATCACAAACCGAATTGCTCGGGGTTTCTAGGTAAACATGAAAGGCAATGTGAGACACAAGGAATGCAATTGCGAGGCAACTCCTAGTGCTAGGCTGGGCTTAGAGTCAGTGAATTAGAGTGGCATGTGACCTAGGCAGACACCAGCTGGGGCAGCTAAGGGAGTCCTTGTGCCACCCCTCTCCCAAGCCCAGACAGTGCAGCTCGCAACAATAAAGTGACTCCTTCCTTCTTCTTAAGGCAAGGAAAGCAAAGAGTAAAAGGGACTTTTATTATGCATTTTGGATACCAGCTCAGCCACAGTAGGATAGGGCACTGGGCAGAATTGTGAGTCCCCCTTTCTAGGCTCTGTCTCACAGATGACTTATCTAGATACAACCGGGGCTGGAAGCAAAACCATGGCCTTGAAGGGAAGGAACCAGTTCTGGCAGTTAGTCATAAACTGCTGACTAAAGAAACCTTGGGCTCTGAATAACCAGCAGTGACTCATGTAGTGTTCCATGGGTGGTGGGTTCTGAGATATGCTGGCTTCGGGTGTGACCCAGCACATTTCCAGCTGTGCTGGCTACATTGAAAGACTCCACCTGTTTGAGAAAAGCAAAAGGAAAAGTTAAAGAAACATTGTTTTCTACCAGCTCATCCACAGCAGTTGGAGCAACAAGCAGGCCCTTGCTTTCCTTGTGTACAGACCTAGGTTCTTGGACATCATTTATGGACCTGCCCTAGGCCAAAGGGAAGACCACTGCCCTGAAGACTGAGTGCTAGACCTGACAGCAGTCACCACAAGCTGACTTGGTCTTTAAGTGAACATCAGTGGTGATCTGGCTGAACACCCATGAACTGGCGGTGGTTATGGCCACAGGGAGAAACTCCTCTGCCTTTGTAAAGGGGATGGAAGATGTAGAAGGACTTTGTTTTCTTGTGTGAGTGCCAGCTTAGCCACAATGGAAGAGAACATCAGGTAAACTGGTGAAACTTTTGATGCCAAGTCCTGGCTCCTAGACATCACTGGACATCTCCAAGTCCTGGGGAAATCCATCACCCTTAAGAAAAGCGTCTTGGGCAAGACCCAGTGCTGTGCTGGCTTCAGATCTGGTGCAGCACAGTCTCAGTGATAGTGGCCATGGAGGTGCTTGCATCACAACATCCCCGGCCTCACATGGCTCAACACAGAAAGAGAGACTCTGTTTATTTGGGAGAAAGTAAGGGAAGACAATATGAGTCTCTTCCTGGTAATCTAGAGAATTCTTTTGGATCTTATTTAAGACTACCAAGGCAGTAGCTCTAGGAGTCCACAAAAACCACAGTGTTAGTGGGCTTGAAGCCCAAATCCTTTCAAATACCTGGATAGCCTTACCAAGAAGGACAATCCCAGGCTGTGAAAACTACAATAAATACCTGACTATTCAATGCTCAGACATTAATGAACTTGTACGAGCATCAACACCACCCAAGAAAGTTTGCCCTCACCAAATGAACTAAATAAGGCACTGGGGACCAATCCTAGAAAAATAGAGATATATGACTTTTTAGATAGAGAATTCAAAATAGCTGTGTTAAGGAATCTCAAAGAAATTCAAGATAACACAGAGAAGTTATTCAAAATTCTACCAATAAATTTAACAAAGAGATTAAAATAATTAAAAGGAATCAACCAGAAATTCTGGAGCTGAAAAATTCAATTGACATACTGAAGAATGCATCCATCTTTGAATCACAGAATGCATCAAGCAGAAGAAAGAAATAGTGAGCTTGAAGAAAGGCTATAAAAAATACAAAGTCAGATGGGACAAAAAGAATTAAAAAAAACAAAGAAGCATCACTACAGTATCTAGATAAATAGGCTCAAAAGCACTAATCTAAGAGTTATTGGCCTTAAAGGGGAGGTAGGGAAAGAGGTATAGGCAGAAAGTTTTCTCAAAGGGATAATATCAGAGAACTCCCCAAACCTATCAAAAGATATCAGCATTCAAGTATAAGAAGGTTACAGAGCACCAGGCAGATTTAACCCAAAGAAGACTATGTCTAGGCATTTAATAACCACACTCCCAAAGGTCATTGATAAGGAAAGAATCCTAAAAGCAGCAAGAGAAAAGAAACAACTAACATAAAATAGAGCTCTGTATTAGTTTATTCTTGCATTGCTATAAAGAAATACCAGAGATTGAGTAATTTATAAAGAGAAGAGATTTAACTGGCTCACAGTCATGCAGGTTGTACAGAAAGCATGATACTACTATATGCTCAGGTTCTGGGGAGACATCAGGAAACTTACCATCATAGCAAAAGGCAAAGGGGGAACAAATACCTCACATGGCAAAAGCAGGAGCAAGAGAGTGAGTTTAGAGGTGCTACATACTTTTAAACAACCAGATCTCAGGAGAACTCACTCTTTATTGTGAGGACAGTACTGAGGGAATGATGCCAAACCATTCATAAGAAATCAGCTTCCGTGATCCAATCACCTTCCACCAGGCCCCACCCCCAATATTGTGGATTACATTTTAATATGAGGTGTGGGCAGGGACAACTATATTATTCTGAAGCTGGCCTCTCCCAAATCTCATCTTCTTCTAACATTTCAAAATGCAATCACGCCTTTCCAATAATCCCACAAAGTCTTAATTCATTTCAGTGTTAACTCAAAAGTTCAAAGTCCAAAGTCTCATCTGCTTGAGTTTCTCTCCTGAAAAAGCTTTTTTTTTTCTCTGTGATATGGCCAGGCTGAAAAATTTTCAAACTTTTACATTATGCTTCCCTTTTAAATATAAGTTTCAGCTTTAAGTCATTTATTTACTCCCACATATGAACACAGGCTATTAGAAGCAGCCAGGCCAAATCTTGAATGCTTTGCTGCTGAGAAATTTCTTCCACCAGATGCCCTAAATCATCACTCTCAAGTTCAAAGTTTCACAGATCTCCAAGCCAGGGGCACAATGCAACCAATTTTTTTGCTAAGTCATAACAAAAGTGACCTTGGCTCCATTTCCCAATAAGTTTCTCATTTCCATCTGAGATCTCCTCAACCTGGACTTCATTGTTTATATGACTATCAGCATTGTGGTCACAACAATTTAACCAGTCACTAAAAAGTTTCAAACATTCCCTCATCTTCCTATCTTCTTCTGAACCCTCCACACTCTTCCAGTTTCTGTCTGCTACCCAATTCCAAAGTAGTTTCCAGATTTCAGGTATCTTTAGAAAAATTCCCAACTCCTTGGTACCGTTTTTTTTTTTTTTTTTTTTTTTTTTTTTTTTTTGTGAAATAGCTGACACTGGGAAATTTATAAAGTAAAAAGGTTTAATTGTCTCACTGTTATACAGGCTGCACAGAAAGCATGATGCTGGCATATGCTCAGCATCTGGGAAGGCCTCAGAAAACTTACAATCATGGTCAAAGGCAATGGGGGAGCAATTATGTCACATGGCAAAAGCATGAGCAAGAGAGTGAGGAGAGAGGTGCAACACACTTTTAAATAGCTAGATCTCAGAAATACTCACTCTCTATCAGGGGGATGGCACCAAGAAGGATGGTGTTAATCCTTTTATGAGAAATCTTCCCCCATGGTTCAATCACCTCCCTCCCTGGCCCCATCTCCAATATATGAGATTACATTTCAATGTAAGATTTGGGCCAGGAAGCACATTCAAATTATATCAAGCTCCAACAGGTCTGGCAGCAGACTTTTCCTGGAAACCTTACAGGCCAGAAAAGAGTGACATCACATATTTAAAGTACTGAAGGAAAAAACTTTTACTTTCAAATAGTATATCTAGTGAAAATATACTTCAGGCATGAAGAAGAAATAAAGACATTCCCAGACAAACAAAAGCTGAGAGATTTCATCAACACCAAACCTATCCTACATGAAATGCTAAAAGGTGTTCTTCAGTTTGAAAGAAAAATATATTAATGTGCTAGAAGAAACCATCTTAAGATAAAAAACTCACTGGTAATAGTAAGCACACAGAAAAACAGAATAGTACAACACTGTAATGATGGTGAGTAAACTGCTCTTAAGTAGAAAGACTAAATAACAAACCAATAAAAAATAATGATGAAAACGAGGAAACTACTAGAACTGATAAACAAATTCAGTACAGTTGCAGGATACGAAGTCAGTATACAGAAATCAATAGCATTTCTATATGTCACCAGGAGACAATCTGAAAAAGAAATAAAATAATACTCCCATCTACAATAGCCACAAGTAAAATTAAATATCTAGGAATTGGCAAAAAAAGTGAAAAGTCTCCACAATAAACTCATAAAATTCTGATAAAAGTAACTGAAGAGGACACCAAAAAATGGAAAGATATTTCGTGTTCATGGATTGGAAGAATCAATATTCTCAAAATGTCCATACTACCCAAAGTAATCTACAGATTCAATGCAATCCCTATTCAACTATCAGTCACGCTTTTTCACAGAAATAGAAGAAAACAATCCTAAAATGTATATGGTTTATCAAAAGACCTAAATAGTCAAAGCTATTCTGAGCCAAAAGGAAAAAAATGGAGGAATCACTTCACCTTGCTTCAAATTATACTACACAACTATAGTAACCAAAACAGTATGTACTTGTACAAAAACAGACACATAGACCAAGGGAACAGAATAGAGAACTCAGAAATAAATTCACACACCTACAGTGTACTAGTTTTCAACAAAAGTGCCAAGAATATACACTGAGGAAAAGCCACTCTCTTCAAAAAATTGTGCTAGGAAAACTTAATTCAGAGATGCTGAAGAATAAAACTAGACCCCTATCTCTAACCACATATAAAAATCAAATTATAATGGATTACATACTTAAATCTAAGAACTCAAACTATAAAATTACTAGAAGAAAATATTGAAGAAACTCTCCAAGACATTGATCTGTGCAGAAATTTCTTAAGTAATATCTCACAAGCACAGGCAACCAAAGCAAAAATGGACCAATGGGATTTGGTCATCAAATTAAAACTTCTGCACAGCAAAGGATACAATAAACAAAGGGAAGAGACAACCTGCAGAATGTGAGAAAATATTTGCAAACTACCCATTTGACAAGGGATTAATAACCAGAATACATAAGGAGCTCAAACAACTCTATACAAAGAAAATCTTATAATCTGATAAAATAAGAACAGAAGATCTGAATAGACATTTCTCAAAAGAATACATACAAATGACAAACAGGCATATGAAAAGGTGCTTCACATCACTGATTATCAGAGAAACACAAATTAGAATTATAATAAGATATTATCTCATCCCAGTTAAAATAATTTTTTTTAAATGTCAGGCAATGACAAATTCTGGTGAGGATGTGGAGAAAAGGGAAACCTCTTTCATTGTTGGTGGGAATGTAAATTAGTACAACCACAATAGAGAGTGCTTTGGAGGTTCCTCAAAAATAAAAAAAAAAAAGAAAGAAACAAAAGCTATTATATTATCCAGCAATTCTACTGCTGGGTACACACCCAAAAGAATGAAAACTAGTATATCTAATAGATATTGGCTCTCCCATGTTTGTTACAGAACTGTTTACAATAGCCAATATTTGGAGACAACCCAAGGGTCTTTCAACTGATAAATGCATAAAGAAAATGTGATACATATACACAATGAAGTACTATTCAGCCATATTAAAGAATGAGATCCAATCATTTGCAACAACATAGATGGAGCTGGAGGTCATTATGTTAAGTAAAATAAGCTAGGCACAGAAACACAAATATTGCACATTCTCATTTATTCGTGCAATCTAAAAGTCAAAACAATTAAGTTTATAGAGATAGAGAGTAAAAGGATAGTTACCAGTAGCTGGAAAGGGTAGTGGGGTTTGGGGGGAATGCTGGGATGGTTAAGAGAAACCAAAAACAATTAGAAAAAACGAATAAGACCTACTATTTGATAGAACAACAGAGGACTACAGTCAATAATAATTTAATTGTACATTTTATAGTAACTGAAATAGTATAATTGGATTGTTTGTAATACAAAGGATAAATGTCTGAGTAGATAGATACCCAACATTCCATGGTATGACTATTACACATTGCATGCCTGTACCATAATGTCTGATGTACCTCATAAATATGTACACCTGCTATTTACCTACAAAAATTAAAAATTTTGAACAATATGCTTAGTTCATATTAACCAAGGGTGGATATAAATTTTAGATATACTATAAATTTTTTGAAATGTTAATGTAGTGAGTCTGACTTTGTATACAAAATCTATATAGATATGATGTCAACAGGATTTCACAGGAAAAGTTCAATTAAAAAAAAGAAGTTGGCTTTTTGTGGTGGTTGCTGTTTTGGTTTGAGCATTACCAAGTAGTCGGCTCTATGAAATCCAAACGAATCCACCAAGTCATATCAATATCACAAATTTATTTAAGCTCTGGTAGACACAAGAGAGTAGAGCATGGACTTATTAACTATAATTTTATATTATTTAAACATTAGATGATCAAGTGAAATACATTTGAGAATGCAACAGCCAACTATCAAATCAAAACATGATGAATAAGTTTGTTCTATTAATATTTTATTGAAAATAGTGAGTTATCTTAACCTCTTTTAGATTTGTAATTAATGCAGAAAGGAAAGGGAAAATACAATTACAAATAAATGTTTAGTTATTTAAGCAAACATGTACATACACATCTGTCTAAGCATATTTAGATGAACTAAATCCAGATTTAGAAATACAGCCTTTGAAGAACCACCTGAATAAATGTTTTTCTACACCTTAAAATATACTTTATTACCCAGAGGAATATGATGAAACTAATGCTTAATGAAACTACTTACTCCCTCCAAAATGTGCCTACATTTCAATTGTATAAAAATGCAAAAAATCTATTTTCACTTTATTGTTACATATTTTAAAAGTACTAAGTATTTGAAGGGCACTGAGCATTTAACTTTAACCTTAACATCTCCCTTTTTGCCAGTTAGAAAAGTGATATGAACTTTTTATTGAGTTGTTGCACCCCACTGATTTCCTGAAATACTCAAAATGTCATGTATTTTGTAAATTTTAATATTTTGTTAAACGACTAGAATTACTCTAAAATGTCCTAAAGCAACACTTGGAAATCATCCTTCACCAGAGATAAGAAGTGTTCATGAGTTCTCTATTCTGTTCCATTGGTCTATGTGTCTGTTCTAGTACCAGTACCATGCTGTTTTGGTTACCGTAGCCTTGTAGTATAGTTTGAAGTCAGATAGCATGATGCCTCCAGCTTTGTTCTTTTTGCTTAGGATTTTCTGGTCTATACAGGCTCCTTTTTAGTTCCATATGAATTTTAAGATAGTTTCATTTTTAATTCTGTGAAGAATGTCAATGGTACTTTAATAGGAATAAGCATTGAATGAATAAATTATTTGGGGCAGTATGGCCATTTTCACAATATTGATACTTCCTATCCATGAGCAAGGGATGTTTTTTCATTTGTTTGTGTCCTCCCTGATTTCCTTGAGCAGTAGTTTGTAGTTCTCTTTCAAGAAGTCCTTCCTTCCTTCCTTTGTTAGCTGTATTCCTAGGTATTTTTCTCTTTGTAGCAATTGTGAATAGGAAATCATTCATGATTTGGCTCTTTGCTTGCCTGTTGTTGGTGTATTGGAATGCTAGCGACTTTTGTACATTGATTTTGTATCCTGAGACTGCTGAAGTTGCTTAGCAGCTTAAGAAGCTTTTGGGCTGAGATCATGGGGTTTTCTAGATACAGGATCATGTCATCTGCAAACAAAAACAATTTGACTTTCTCTCTTCCTATTTGAATACGCTACATTTTTTTCTCCTGCCAGATTGCCCTGGCCAGAACCTCCAATACTATATTGAATAGGAGTAGTGAGAGAGGACAGCCTTGTCTTGTGCTGGTTTTCATGGGGAATGCTTCCAGCTTTTACCCATTCAGTATTATATTGGCTGTTGGTTTGTTCTCACTTATACATGGGAGCTGAATGATGAGAACACATGGGCACATGGGTGGGAACAACACACACTGGGGCCTGCTGGAGGAGGAGGGTGGTGGGAGGGAGAGCATCAGGAAAAATAGCTAATGGATGCTGGGCTTCATACCTAGATGATGGGATGATCCATGCGACAAACCACCATGGCACACGTTTACATATGTAGCAAACCTGCACATCCTGTACATGTACCCCTGAACTTAAAATAAAAGTTGAAGAAAAAAAAGATCATACAAAAAGCCCTGGCTGACTTGAGTACTAGTTTGTGCACAGAGATGATGGTATTTCAGAGCAAATGTACTGAAATCTTCCATCCTCAATACACTACAAAAATTTTCATAGGCTGGGCCCAGTGGCTCACACCTGTAATCCCAGCACTTTGGGAGGCCAAGGCGGGCAGATCACTAGGTCAGGAGATCGAGACCATCCTGACTAACACGGTGAAACCTGTCTCAACTAAAAATACAAAAAAAATTAGCCCGGCGTGGTGGCGGGCGCCTGTAGTCCCAGCTACTCGGGAGGCTGAGGCAGGAGAACAGCGTGAACGTGGGAGGCGGAGCTTGCAGTGAGCCGAGATGGCGCCACTGCATTCCAGCCTGGGTGACAGAGTGAGACTCTGTCTCCAAAAAAAAAAAAAATTCATAGTAGTCATAGTTTTTATATCACTTTAGAGTCAATATTCAGAATAATTAGAAACTTAACAATAAAGCAAATTTCTCTACCACGCACAATAAAAGAAATATCCATGAGGAATAATAGAATAAACCGTAAGTCAATTCCAGAAAGAGCTCTGCCTTTTTGAGTAATATATTGATACTTAAGTATCACTAAAACTGTTCGAAGGCTATATTTAAATATCCAGAATCTTTAAATACTATTTATTCACTGCCAGCATCACTTTATTATGAATTCTAGAGGTAGTGTACAACCTGAAGTATCACAATTATGCAAAAAAAATTATAATAAAACTGAGAAGGAGTCAATAACGAAACATTCAAAGAAACCCAGCCAGTTACAGGACAGGCTATTTTGTACGTCTTTAAAAATACGCTACTGCATTGTTATCAATTTCTAAATTCCCAGTCTGAAGCAATGTAAAATTTACGTAGTTGTTTATCATTTTAAATGTTTACATGATAGAAATATTTTTAAAGTTCAATTCTCTCTCATGTTCAAAGATAATGGAACCTTTCCCTCAACTTTGCTCGGGAATCTTCACTAATTAAAATTTATATTTCTGGTTCATTATTGTTATTTAAATTTAAAGGAAAGAGTTGATAAATTGGTACATATTTATAATATAATTTATTCATTAATCATTGGAGAGGTATTGTGCTAAGAGTGAAAGAGTACAAAATTTTGAGCCATGGGCAATGACTTAAATCCTGTTTCTTTTGCTTAATTAGCTCTTTGGCCTTAGAAATTTATTTAACCTCCTGATTTTCAGTTTCTTCATTAAATACTTGATGAGTATTTGAATTAAAGTAACAATACTTACTTTATAGGGTTGCTGTTATAATTAAATAAAACATTGCAAGGCATGCAGCAGACACTGTATTTGACATTTATGTGGCTTTTAAAAAAATGTCATTAATCCTTTATTAAGGGCCACCTCAACACACTTGTGATTTATTTTGTTCATGGGTTAATGCACACTCAGATAAAATTGTAGAAAATACTAAACATATAGAAAACATTAAAAATAAAAATCACGCAGGTATAATCATTGCTAAAATGGTGGTGTGATACAGTGATTTATTACAATCATTTTATTATTTGATGTCTTCCTTTTTTTAACTTAACATTATACCATGAGCTCTTCCAATGTCATTAACTATTTTTTGATATTTTGATTTTTAATGGTATATTCCACTGTATGCCTTCCATTGTATTTTGATTTCTTTGAGTAAATTAACATTTGGAATTATGTGTTCATTGGCCGGGCACAGTGGCTCACTCCTGTAATCCCAGCACTTTGGGAGGCCGAGGTGGGCAGATCAGGAGGTCAGGAGTTCGAGACCAGCCTGAACAACATGGTGAAACCCCCTCTCTACTAAAAATACAAAAATTAGCCATGTGTGGTAGTGCGCACCTGTAATCCCAGCCACTCAGGAGGCTGAGGCAGGAGAATCGCTTGAACCTGGGAAGCGGAGGTTGCAGTGAGCCGAGATCGCACCATTGTACTCCAGCCTGGGTGACAGAGTGAGACTCAGTCTCAAAAAAAAAAAAAAAAAAAAAAACCAGAAAAAAGAAAGTATATGTTTGTTGAAATATAATATCTTGTGCTATTTTTACATGTTTCACATCAGTTTAACTGTGGTGGTAATCATTTAAATTTTGCAGGAGCTATAGTACATCAATGAACTTACATTCATATACTCTGTTGTTTTTAAATGATAGAGTTTAAGTTCTACCATATGCAATAAAATATTTTGTCTACACAAGTGTACAGTTATATTTTCAATGTGCATGTCTTGCTAGAACACATTTAATAGTAATCGTTGCCATATTTTGAAACTATATTAATCCATATTTTATGAAATACTATTATAGTTTATCAAGAGAAAAATGATGTTTTGTTTAACATAAATTACTTGATCATGTTAGTCTATTGAGCAACAGTTTGTAACCCCCTGTGAATCAACAGAATTTCTAAACAGCTAAATGAGTCACTGTTACTGAGGTTGCTCCTTTGAGGTGCCATTACAAAACTGTAACTCTTCACTGTATGCAAAAGTAATTAGGTGATCTTACTGATCATTATAGCATTAGGGTAGGAGGGAGAGAGAAGATAATTTTTTAAATGTCATGAAATTTAATACTGGGAAACCTGCATATTTTAGCTTTATTTCAGCTCAATTTTCTAACTATGCCTACCCCAGGGTACTCCAGCATAATATTTTTACCTTCCAACTCTCAAACAGCTCAGTTGGTGAGAAGATTGTTAATAACCATAATGAGTTATTCTCTGTCATAATCTAAATCTATCTTCTCAAGTCCAATTATTTTTGATGAATATATTCTGCTAACTTGAGCTTGAATGGAAGCACTGTTCTATAATGAATTAACTATAGACATAGAAACGGTATTATGGGGAATGCATATTAGAACATAAATAAGAAGAGAGAAAAAAGAATAAACACATAGATATGATTCATTTGAAGGCCTCTTTTTAAAAAATTGACATTTTTAAATTGAATTGTAAAGATAAAGAATATCTTTGACGAGTTTTTATAATTTATAGAAATTACCTTACATTGTTTTCAAATTGATGACAGAGCTAACTGAAAGGTTTTTGTAAAACCAGAATTAACCTTTACTTTTTATTCCTGGGCACAATACTGAATGAAGCACAGAATGAGTGTTTTAAATTAGCTCTCATTTGTTTTGATGACTGTTTTTTTCTGGGAAGAGCTTGATCACATGCTTACAATTTCCATTTATGTATTATAAGGAGCAATGTATGGCTGCTCTGTTTACTTTGTGACTTTGGCCAGGATACACAAACCTAATTACTATTTTCCATTAAGTTTTTAATTGCTATTAAATTAGTATTTTAGTAAATTAAAATTTAATTTATAAATTTAAGGTAAATAACACTTTAAAATAAAATAATATTTAGTAATTAAATATCAAATTAGTATTAAGGGAGATGAATTGGTGAAAAAATATGAAGTTGATATTTGATGATATAATAAGATGTAATAAAAGTGTGTGGAGTTTGTTGGAGCATAACTCAAAATTGTATGCAAAGAAAGCAGTCTGCGTTCTTTATTAACTATTTGGCATAATAAATATTGCAGGCTTACTTGAAGTCCCAGATACAAGAATTGCCGTAATGAGTCAGAATGATGTCGATTCTAAAAGAAAAGTGGTGCTGTATATGATCCAGTAATTTTATTTGATTTAGGCTAGGTTTAATAGGAATCCCTACTGAGAACTTGCTTATATTTATTGCAAGCTTCAACAGTTATTCACCACTATCACCATTCCTCAACCTTCCACCCTACTTCCTATGTTCTCAGCCTTTCTCTGCCACTAGGCTCAGTAGGAAGGAAGGATAAATGGCAAATGTTGGATGGGACCAATATTTAATAGGGTTGGTTAAATAGAATATTTGAAAATCGTAATATTAAACAAATGAACAATGAAACAATAAAATTTTCAAACTGTGTTTGATATGTGGAAAAAATAACTAAATTAGGCCTTCAAATTAAACTTGATTATATATGTGTAGATAAAATGTAGAATGAATTGTAAATAACATTCTGAAATGTGACTTAAAATGTCCTCTTTAACATTCTAATGCTGATTACATTAATTGTAATGTAGATTACAGTCGCTGTGTGCTCTCATTAGAAATAAAGCTTAAAAACTAAGTCATGTCACTATGAAACTTCTTATTGCAAATTATAAATCAGAAGTTTCTCTGCCATAGTCATTGATTTTATCAGAGTTGAGAGCAGTTCTTAGTAGGCACGTCTTATGTAATGGATGTGAGCAGCGGAAAACTAGTAAATACATCTGAGAATTGCCCAGTTGTGGCTTATATTCTAAAGAGCAGGAAGAAAAGTAATAAACTGCTTGACTGTCTGACTGCTGATGACCAACTGCAAGACTGGTTGAATTTTATGAATTTATGTCTAAAATATAGGAGTACATTTTTTCAGCAGCCAAAATGTTATTACTATTTTATTTGTGTAGTATCTTAACTATCCTTTAATCTCATCAAATAGTGAAAAGTAAATTAGAAAAGTGAAAGGCAATTTTTAAAAAACAAACTGAGGGCTGGGCCCTGTGGCTGGCCAGGCGCAGTGGCTCAGACCTGTAATCCCAGCACTTTGGTAGGCTGAGGCAGGTGGATCACTTGAGGTCAGGAGTTTGAGACCAGCCTGGCCAACATAGGGAAACCCTGTATGTACTGAAAATACAAAAATTAGCCAGGTGTGGTGGTGTGCACCTGTAATCCCAGCTACTTGGGAGGCTGAGGCAAGAGAATCCCTTGAATCTGGGAGGCAGAGGTTTCAATGAGCCGAGATCACGGCACTGCACTTTAGCCTGGGTGACAGAGTGACACTCCATCTCAAAAATAAATAAATAAATAAATATGAAATAAACAAGCTCAGGAATTTAGAGAATTAATTCATATTATTTTTCAGAAAAGATCTGAATGCAAGCTGTGATGAAATTCTGAAAAATTTTATTCTAACTTGAAACCAAAAATCATTCTACCTTCTGAATATGAATTGAATGCTTTTGAATGGGGAATGTACCACAACGCATGTTGTCCTTACTATCCCACAAGAGCAAATGGTAGTTAGACAAACACTGTGTTAGGAATGAGGAAAGTAGGGTTCTAGGCCTGCCTTTGCCATGATTTTTGAGCACTTGGGGAGGTGACTTTACTTTGCCTTGGTTTTCTATTCTGTAATATTACTAGATGACCCCTTAGGTGTCTTCAGTTCTTTTCAAGAAAGAAAAACAATCTTCAATTCATTTTAAGGGAATTGGTTTTGGAGGAAAAGCAATTGACCTGACATTTATTGAACAGTCCATAATAAAGTAAAATAGAAAAAATAAAGAGCTATTATTCAGCATTATTCCCTTTATAAGGTCAACTAAAAACTGACAAACTCATGCTTGAGTTCTGAGTGGACACTCATTTAAAGTATCATGAACCATGTGCAGCAATTATAGTAGGATGGTAATACATATTTATACCACAGTTCAGTTGTAAAAGAACTCTAAAGTCTTTACTTATGTTTGTAAAGAAATCAAAAAGCTATTTTAACCAAAAATCTTTTAAATAATTTTAATTACATAGACACTTCCATATTTATTTCATAAATACCCATTTTGTCTTTAAATTTTGCCAGTTTCATAGAAATAATAATAATAGAGTGTAACATAAAAATAAGGTAAAGTTTTGTAAGATCCTAATGTAAAGAAAATACTATAGGCTTTTCATAATTATAAATATGTGCTTAAGATGAGAATAACAGAGGCAGTCATGAGAATGTAAATTAGTCCTTTTTTATGCAGATTATCTTAGCTAAAATTGAACATTCCCTATTCCACAGAGAAAACTACAGTTTAAATGCATGTTCATGCAAAATAAGGTAGTTTTTAATGCTGTTAGGTATGATTCGTGTGCCTCATTTAAGACTGAATGGCTTTTCCCGGCAGAATTGTAGTATTTACAATGCATAAATCCTTTCTCATACTGCAAATACAGTGCAACCATTACCAACTTTGTGAGATAGGAATCCTTCCAAATTATTTCAGTAACAATGTGGGGAGTTAAGTGAATAACTTCCTCTTTTCTTTGGAAAACAGTTTCACTTTTAAGCACTAAAAGCATTCTTGTCATGCCCTGGGAAATAAACTTCCAATGCCATTAACTGTTCTGTCATATTGCAAATGGAGAGTCTGCTATTTCTTAAAATCAAGAATGAAAGTTTCAGCGAAATTAGTGAATGGTCATCTGACTAATTCTGGGGAGAAATAGTTACATTTTCTTTATATAAAAGATGTTCACTCTGATAATTTATGTTCAATTTATCAAGACCAACAAATGTGAAATACCTTCTTTATGTCGTATTAGCTCAGCTTGATAATACCCAAGTGCTAAGTTAATTACCGTAGTTATTAGAGTTTCATGGAGTAGAAACATGAAAATCCTTAGCCACAATTTAAATCACATTTTTAGGATGCTTATATATCTCCCAATACATGAAGAGAATATTTAGAAGACAGGAGAGCAATAATTCATTTTTTCAAAATAATATAATAAACCCGTCAGTTAATTTTCAATTATTGAAATGCCCTTCAAGTATTTTTAATATTGTCATCTAGTGGAATTAATTTAATTGTTGTTTCCTCATATCGAGTGCACAGGCATGAAGTGATTAGACTTACTAATTACTGGGCTAAGTAGTTGTTTATGTGATTTCAGTTATTGCACATACATTTACAAAAATTTGTTTTTGACAGGTAGTCAACTATATTAGATGTTTTGAGAGGTAGATGTTCTGCATTTGAAGATTACAAAAAATACTGTGTGTTTGGTTGGTAGTTTTTTTCACTTAACCCTTAGAAGTTTGGTTCAGCAGGCTAACATGAATACTTCAAAACTGAAAACATTTTGGAAAAAATGTCTCAAACATACGGTAATGCTATTATATGACTGTAAAAGTGCGCTGCTTTTGGTATTTTAGATAAGTTAAATATTCCAGAATGCTTAAAATATAAGAAAAACAAGTATGCCGTTTTTCATCACTTCATTCTATTTGGTTTGCTATATTATTTTATTTGAAATCAATCATACTATACATATATAGTTACTTAAATTTGGGCATATGCATGTACGTGTAAGATAATTTTATGAGTACATTATGTATGTAAATAAACAAATGCATAGTTTGAATATATCATGGATAATTTAATTATTTCATCTATGCCAATCTAGTATTACAGGCTATGTTTTATTTCTATTTTGTTATTAATTAAATTACACACTATTTAAATATTTTAACACCTTTCAGGATTTGTTTTTAATTTTTAATAATTTTTATATGGTGAAAATTTACTAATTTAAATTTTAAAAATTTAATAATTTTTATATGGTGAAAAATTATTATAAATTATTGAAAATAAGGTGATGTGCAAAAATAGACTTTGTGGTCTTTTTCACTTTTGTCTTTTACCTTAGGCTACAATTGACTTTATAAAATAATATATTATCATAGGTTCATTAGTAAAGTGTGAGCTTATTATTCAAAAGACTGTTGTCTACTATTATGTTTGTGTAGACTTATGACTGAAATGACTGATTGTATAACTATAGATTAAATTCAATTGTTACCATATTTACTTACTAACTCAACTTCCTCATTCTTCCCAAATTCCAACAAATATATTTTCAGAACACAATGAATCCAATTAGCTACACAGGTAAACTATACCAGTCTTTGGGGTCTGATCTGTTTTGTTGTTCCTTAACTTGACTCATCATTTCAACATATTGAAGCTTGTGACTCCTAGTATCATGCACTGACAAAAACTAGTTGGTCTTCCTAGAACGGAATTTTGTAGGTTACCTGGTGTGTATATATATATATATATATATATATATATATATATATATACACACACACACACACACACACACACCTGGGGTGTATATATATATATATATATATATATATATATATACACACACACACACACACACACACACAGGTGCTATATATACATATATATAGGTGCTCCAGGGTTGGGTTCATGTATATTTAAAATCATTACATCCTCTTGCTGAATTGACCACTTCGTCATTATGCAGCGACTTTCTTTGTCTCTTATAGTTTTTGTCTTGATACCTATCTTGTCTTATATAACTGTTCTGCTCTTTTTTTTGATTTTCATTGGCAGGTATATTTTTGGCAGATATATTTTTCTATCCCCTTATTTCCTGGCTATGTGCCTTCATAGGTGTGTTTCTTTATAAGTGTGTTTCTTTTAGACAACAGATCAATGAGTCTTTTTTTTTTTCAATCCATTAAGCCATTCTATGTCTTTTCATTGGAGAGTTTAGTAAATTTACATACAATGTTATTATTGATAAGTAAAGACTTGCTCCTGCTGTTTTGTTATTAGTTTTCTTGTGGATTTGTGGCTTTTTCTTTCTTTTTGCTTTCCTGTATTTTGTTTATTGAAGGTGATTTTCTCTGGTGACACAAATTAGTTTCTTGTTTTTAACTTTTTGTGTATTCTTTGTATGCTTTTGGTTTGAAATTACCACGAGGCTTGTAAATATCATCCTATAAGTGATTATTTCAAGCTGATAATAACTTAACACTGTTTGCATAAACAAAAAAAGCACACAAAAAGAAAAGTAATAAAAACAATGCCTTAATTTTGTTTGCCTGTTTTTTTACTTTCTGTTGTTTCTATTTATATCTTATTGTACTGTCTATGTCTTGAAAGTTGTTGTAGTTATTATTTTTTATTGCTTCATCATTTAGTTTTTTACTTAGGAAAACAGTAGTTTATATTCTACAGTTACAGTGTTATAATATTGTTTTATCTGTGTAATTACTACTAGTAGTAAATTTTATACTTTCAGGTGATTACTTAAGGCTTATTATCTTTCTTTTCTTTCTGACTGAAATATTTCCTGTAGCATTTCTTGCAGGGCAGTTCTGGTATTTATTATATTCTTTAGCTTTTGTTTTGTTTTCGTTGGATGATGTTGGTCTCATAGAATTAGTTGGGGAGTTGTCCCTCCTTTTCCATGGTTTGGAATAGTTTCAGAAAAAGTAGTAGCAGTTCTCCTTTGTACCTCTGGTAGAATTCAGCTGTAAATCCATCTGCTCCTAGACTTTTTTTGGTTGGTAGGTTATTTGTTACTTTCTCAATTGTAGAACTCATTATTGGTCCATTCAGAGATTCAACTTTTTTCTGGTTCAGGCTTGGGAGGGTGCATGTGTCCAGAAATTTATCAGTTTCTTCTAGATTTTTCTAGTTTATGTGCATAGAGGTGTTTATAGTATTCTCTGATGGTTGTTTGTATTTCTGTGGAGTCAGTGGTGGTATCCCCCTTATCATTTCTGAATATGTTCATTTGAATATTCTATTTTCTTCTTTATTAGTCTAGCTAGTGGTTTCTCTATTTTATTAATTTTTTTCAAAAAACCAGCTCCAAGATTAGTTGAGTTTTTGAAGAGATTTTTTTTTTTCTATCTTTTTCAGGTCCACTCTGATCTTAGTTATTTCTTGTCTTCTGCTAACTTTGGGGTTTGTTTGCTTTTGGTTCTCTAGTTCTTTCAGTTGTGATATTAGAATGTCAACTTGAGATCTTTCTAGTCAATGTGGGCATTTAGTGCTGTGAAATGTTCTCTTAACATTGCTTTACCTATGTCCCAGGGATTCTGGTACGTTATCTTTGTTCTCATTAGTTTCAAATAACTTAATTTCTGTCTTAATCTTCTTATTTACCCAGGAGTCATTCAAAAGCAGGTTGTTCAATTTCCATGTAGTTGTATAGTTTTGAGTGAGTTTCTTAATTTTGAGTTCTAATTTGATTGTGCTGTGGTCTGAGAGATTGTTTATTATAATTTCAGTTCCTTTGTACTTGCTGAGGAGTATTTTACTTCCAATTATGTGATCAGTTTTATAGTAAGTGCCATGTGGCAAAGAATGCATATTCTGTTGTTTTTGGGTAAAGAGCTCTGTAGATATTTATCAGGTCCACTTGATCCGGAGCTGAGATCAAGCCCTGAAAATTTTTGTTAATATTCTGTCTCAAAGATTGATCTAATATTGTCAGTGGGGTGTTAAAGTCTCCCACTAGAGTTGAACAATGAGAACACATGGACACAGGGAGGGGAACATCACACACTGAGGTCTATTGGGGGATGGGGGGCTAGGGGAGGGATAGCATTAGGAGAAATACCTAATGGAGATGATGAGTTGATGGGTGCAGCAAACCACCAAGACACGTGTATACCTATGTAACAAACCTGCACGTTCTGCACATGTATCCCAGAACTTAATGTATAATAAAAATAAATAAATAGATCTCTCACTATTATTGTGTGGGAGTCTAAGTCTCTTTGGAGGTCTCTAATAATTTGTTTTATGAATCTGGGTGCTCTTGGATAACTAGCTCTTCTTGTTGATTTGAAGCCTTTACCATTAGTAATGCCCTTCTTTGTCTTTTTTGATTACTGTTTGTTTAAATAATCTTTTTTTCAGAAACTAGGATTGCAACCCCTGCTTTTTTCTGCTTTCTATTTGCTTGGTAATTTTTTCTCTATCCCTTTATTTTGAGCCTATGTATGTCTTTGCATGTGAGATGGTTCTCTTGAATACAGCACTCTGGTGGGTCTTGACTCTATCCACCTTGCCATTTTGTGTCTTTTAATTGGGGGATTTAGCCCATTTACATTTAAGTTTAATATGGTTATGTATGAATTGGATCCTGTCATCATGATGCTAGCTAGTTATTTTATAGACTTGTTAATGTAGTTGCTTCATAGTTTCATTGGTCTGTGTACTTCAGTGTGTTTTTGTAGTGGATCATAATGGTGCTTCCTTTCCATATTTAGTGCTTCTTTCAGTAGCTCTTGCAAGGGAGACCTAATGGTGATGAATTCCCTCAGCAATTGCTTGTCTGAAAAGTATTTTATTTCTCCTTCACTTATGAAGCTTAGTTAGGCCAGATAAGAAATTCCGGGTTGGCAATTCTTTCTTTAAGAATGTTGAATATTGGCTCCCAATCTTTTCTGGCTTGTAGAGTTATCACTGAGAGGTCCTCTGCTAGTCTGATGGTCTTCCCTTTATAGGTGACCTGGCCTTTCTCATGGGCTGTCCTTAATATTTTTTTCCTTCACTTCCACTTTGGGGAACTGATGATTATGTGTCTTGGGTTTGATCTTCTCATGGAGTATCTTACTGGGGTTCTCCGGATTTCCTGAATTTGAATGTTGGCCTGTCTTGCTAGGTTGGGGAAGTTCTTCTGGATGATATCTTGAAGTATGTTTTTCAACTTGATTCCATTTCCCTCCTCTCTTTCAGGCACCCCAATCAGTTTTAGGTTTGGTCTTTTTACATAATTTGATAGTTCTCAGAGGTTTTATTCATTCCTTTTTATTCTTTATTTCTCTAATCTTGTCTGCCTGTCTAATTTTGGCAAGATAATCTTCAAACTCTATATCTTTTCTTCTGTTTGGTCTATCCAGCTATTGCTACTTGTGGTTGAATTGTGAAGTTCTTGTGTTTTTCAGCTCCATCGGGTCATTTGTTTTTCTCTCTAAACTGGTTATTCTGCATAACAGCTCCTGGAATGTTTTATCGTGGTTCTTAGCTTCTTTGCATTGAATTGGAACATACGTCTTTAGCTCAGCAAATTTCATTATTACCTACCTTCTGAAACCTACTTCTGTCAATTCAGCCATCTCAGCCTCAGTCCAGTTCTGAGTGCTTGCTAAAGAGATGTTGTGATAATTTGGAGAGGAGGCACTGTGGCTTTTTGAGTTTTCAGCATTTTTGCATTGATTCTTTCTCATCTCCATGAGCTTATCTACCTCGGATCTTAGAGGCTGCTGAACTTTGGATGGAGTTTTTGTGGGGTCTTTTGTTGATGTTGCTGCTTTCTGTTTGCTTGCTTTTCTTTTAACAGTCAAGCTCCTCTTCTGTAGGGCTGTTGCGATTGCTGGGGGTCCACTCCAGACCCTATTCACCTGGGACACTCCCACACCTGGAGGTGTCACCAGTGGAGGCTGCAGAACAGCAAAGATGGCTGCCTGCTCCTTCCTCTGGGAGCTTTGTCCCAGAGGGGCACTGAACTTATGCCAGCTAGAATGCTCCTATATAAGGTGTCTGGTGACCCCTGTTGGAGCATCTCATACAGTCAAAGGGCATGGGATCAGGGACTCACTCAACAAAGTACCCTGGATGCCCCTTGGCCGAGTAGGTGTTCTACACTGGGGAGGATCCCCCTCATCCGGACTGCCTGGACTTCCCAGAGCCAGCAGGCAGGAAAAACTAAGTCTGCTGATCCATGGAGACTGTGGCTGCCCATCTCATCAGGGGCTCTGTCTCAGGGATATCAGAGTTCTATCTGTAAACTGGCTGGAGGTGCTGAAATTTCGACAATGAGGCCCGACTCAGTGAAGAGGGATGGATCCTAGTCCCATCTAAAGAAGTAGTCAGGCCATGATCTGCCACAGCCACTGTGCGGTGCTGTGGAGAATTTCTTCCGGTCCAAGCAGCCCAGTCTCCCTCTCACAGGCCGGGAAAAAAAAGCCTACTGAAGCTGCAGTGATGGCAGTTGGCCCTCCCCCTGGGATCTCAGTCATTTAGGCACTCTCCAACCTGCTGCCACTGGCCACAACCCAAGTGGCTGCCGAGAGTCTGCACAGCTCTGTGCTTGGGACCCAAGGCCCTGGTAGCCTGGGCTCATGAAGGGATCTCCTGATCAGCGGGTTGCATAGATCCATGGAAAAAGTATGATTTCCCGAGTTCGGTAACACAATCACTCACTGCCTCTCTTGGGTGGAGGTGGGAGCTCCCCTTGCCCCGTGTGGCTCCTGGGTGGGCCATTGCTCAACCCTGCTTTTCCTCACTCTCTGTGGGTCATGCCAACAACCTAGTCAGTCCCAGTGAGAGAACCTGGATACTTCAGTTGAAGGTGCAGGATTCACTCACTGAGTTCATTTTTCTTGGTGAGAGCTGCTGACCACCGTTTCTTCTAATCAGCAATCTTGACTTCTCCTCCATAGTAGGATTTTTTAACATGTTTCATTTTGCAATTGATAGAATAAATAGAGAAAAAAATCTGTAAGAAATAGTGGGTCTAAACAATACCGTCAACCACATTGACCTACTTGGATACTTATACATAGACAAACACTATATCCCAAAACTATAGAATATGCACCTTTTTTTAAGTGCACATGGTACATTAACCAAGGTAGACCATTGATATGTTTTGGCTGTGTCCCCACCCAAATCTTATCTTGAATTGTAGCTCCCATAATTCCCACATGTTGTAGGAGTGACCCAGTGTAGGATAATTGAGTAACGGGGATAGCTTTTGCCCATACTGCTCTCATGCTAGTGAATAAGTCTCACGAGATCTGATGGTTTTATAAGGGGAAACCTCTTTCCCTTGGCCCTCATTCTCTCTTGCCTATTGCCATGTAAAACATGCCTTTTGCTTCCACCATGATTGTGAGGCCTCCCCAGCCACGTGAACTGTGAGTCCATTAAACCTCTTTTTCTTTATAAATTACCCAGTCTCGGGCATGTCTTTATCAGCAGTGTGAAAACGAACTAATACAGTAAATTGGTACTGAGAGTGGGGTGCTGCTGTAAAAATGCTTGCAAACGTGGGACATGACTTTGGTATTAAGTAACAGGCAGAGATTGGAACAGTTTGGAGGGCTCTGAAGCAGATAGAAAAATGTGGGAATGTTTAGAACTTCCTAGAGACCTGATGAATGGCTTCTAACAAAATGCTGACAGTAATATGGACAATAAAGTCCAGGCTCAGGTGGTCTCAGATGGAGATGAGGAACTTGTTGAACACTGGAGTAAAGGTGACTCTTGCTATGTTTTAGCAAAGAGACTGGTGGCATTTTGCCCCTGCCCTAGAGATTTGTGTAACTTTGAAATTGAGGGAGATAATTTAGGGTATCTGGCAGAAGAAATTTCTAAGCAGCAAAGCATTCAAAAGGTGACTTCAGTGCTGTTAAAAACATTCAGTTTTAAAAGGGAAACAGAGAATAAAAGTTCAGAAAATTTGCAGCCTGATGATTGATAGAAAAGAAAAATCCATTTTCTGAGGAGAAATTCAAGCCGGCTTCAGAAATCTGCATAAGTAACCAGGAGCCAAATGTTAATCCCCAAGACAACAGGGAAAATGTCTCCAAAGCATTTTAGAGACATTTGATCACAGACCTAAAAGCCTAGAAAAAAAAAAAAAAATAGGTTTGTGGTCCCGGCCCAGGGTCCCCCTGTTATGCACAGGCTAGGGACTTGGTTCTCTGTGTCCCAGCTGCTCTAGCCATCGCTAAAAGGGACCAAGATACAGCTTTGGCCATGGCTTCAGAAGGTGCAAGCCCCAAGCCTTGGCAGCTTCCACGTGGTGTTGAGCCTGTGAGTGCACAGAAGTCAAGAATTGAGGTTTTGGAACCTCCACCTAGATTTCAGAGTGTGTATGGAAATGCCTAGATGTCCAGGTAGAAGTTTGCTTCAGGAGCAGGGTCCTCATTGAGAACCTCTGCTAGAGCAGTGCAGAAAGAAAATGTGGGGTTGAAGCCCCCACACAAAGTCCCCACTGAGGCAGTGCCTAGTGGAGCTATAAGAAGAGGATCACCATCCTCCAGGCCCCATAATAGTACATCCACCAATAGCTTGCACCATGCACCTGGAAAGCCACAGACACTCAACACCAGCCCATGAAAGCATCCAGGAGGGAGGCTGTACCCTGCAAAGCCACAGGGGTGGAGCTGACCAAGATTATGGGAACTCACCTCTTGCATTAGCGTGACCTGGATGTGAGACATGGAGTCAAAGGAGATCATTTTGATGCTTTAAGATTTCACTGCCCCACTGGATTCTGGAATTGCATGGGGCCTGTAGTCCCTTTGTTTTGGCCAATGTCTTCCATTTGGAATGAGTGTATTTATCCAATGCCTATACTCCTGTTGTATCTAGGAAATAGCAAACTTCCTTCTGATTTTACAGTCTCATAGGTGGAAGGGACTTGCCTTATCTCAGATCAGACTTTGGACTGTGGATTTTTTTTTTTTTTTAGATGGATTCTCTCTCTGTCGCCCAGGCTGGAGTGCAGTGGTGTGATCTCGGCTCACTGCAACCTCCGCCTCCCAGGTTCAAGCGATTCTCCTGCCTCAGCCTCCTGAGTAGCTGGGATTACAGGCATGCACCACCATGCCTGGCTAATTTTGTGTATTTTTAGTAGAGATGGGGTTTCTCCATGTTGGTCAGGCTAGTCTCGAACTCCCAACCTTAGATGATCTTCCTGCCTTGGCCTCCCAAAGTTCTGGGATTACAGGCATGAGCCACTGCACCTGGCCTTGGACTGTGGACTTTTAAGTTAATGCTAAAATGAGTTAAGACTTTGGGGAACTGTTGGGAAGGCATGATTGGTTTTGAAATGTGAAGACATGAAATTTGGGAGGGGCAGGGGAGAAACGATATGGTTTGGCTCTGTGTTCCCACCAAATCTCATCTTGAATTGTAGCTCCCATAATTCCCACGTTATGGGAGGGACTCAGTTGGAGACAATTGAATCATGGTGGCAGTTTCCCCCATACTATTCTCATGGTAGTGAATAAGTCTCACAAGATCTGATGGTTTTAAAAGGGGAAACCTCTTTTGCTTGGCCTTCATTCTCTCTTGCCTGCTTCAGTGTAAGATTTGCCTTTCACTTTTTGACATGATTGTGAGGCCTCCTCAGCCACGTGGAACTGTAAGTTTATTAAACCTCTTTTTCTTTATAAATTACTGAGTCTTGGGTATGTCTTTATCAGCAGCATGAAAATGCACTATTACAACTATTTTCTAGGTTATTAAAAAACTTATTGAATTCAAATGAATTGAAAGCACACAGAATATGTTTATTTATGTTAATGGAATTAAAATATAAATAATAAGCTATCTTGGAAAAATCACAATATTTGGAAATTAAACAATATACTTTGATGAGACAATGATGAAATAAATAAAAAAGTAAGAAAATATTTTAAATGGAATTGTAATAAAAATAAAATATATCAAAATTTATGGGATGCAACTAACTAAAACAGTGTCCAGAGTAAATATTAAAACTTTAAATAATTATATTAGTGATGAGGGGAAATCTAAAATTAGTGTTGTAAGATTTTACATTAAGAAGCTGGAAAAATAAGTGCAAAATAAACCCAAAGCAAGGATAAAGAAATTATGAATTTCTCAACAATATAGAAAACAAATATTTAAGAAAATTAACAAGCCAAATGTTCATCTTTTGAAATATTTAATAAAATTTGATATACCCTCAGCTAGACTGATCAAAAAATATATGAAAGCAAAAATCACCATTATCAGTAATAAAAGAGAGTATCTTCTCAGATCCTACAGATGGTGAAAAGATCATCAGAAAATAATTATGAACAACTTTTTCCCAAAGAAATTAAACAATTTAGAAGAGATAGACACATTTATTGAAAGGCAGGAGCTACCAAATCTCTCTCAAAAGGAAGATACATAATCGAAATAGTTCTGTGTTTATTAAAGGGATTAACTTTGTTGTTAAAAATATTCCCCTAAAGAAAACTCCAGTTCTAGATGGCTTCTCAGGTGAAGTTTGGCAAATATTTATGAAAGAAAGGATAACAATTCTACATAAGTTGTTTTCAAAAAATACAAGTGGAAAGTAATCATGACAACTCATTTTTAAGGCCAGCATTATTCTCTTTTTTTCCTTTTTTTTTTTTTTTTTTTTTGAGACGGAATTTTGCTCTTGTTGCCCAGGCTGAAGTGTAATGGCACAATCAGGGCTCACCACAATCTCTGCCTCGGGGGTACAAGTGATTCTCCTGCCTCTGCTTCCAGAGTAGCTGGGATTACAGGCGTGTGCCATCATGCCCAGCTAATTTGTATTTTTAGTAGAGACAGGGTTTCTCCATGTTGGTTATACAGTCCCACGGGCTGTACAGGATGCAGGATGCTGGCATCTGCTGGGTTTCTGGGTAGACCTCAGAAAGCTTACAATCATGGCAGAAGGCAAAGTGCAGTCAGCACTGTACATAACTGGAGCAGGAAAGGGGGGTGCTACACACTTTTAAACAAGCAGATCTCACTCACTATCAAAAGAACAGCATCAAGAGGATGGTTTAGCATTCATGAAGGATTCATCCCCGTAATCCGATCACCTCCCACCAGGCCCCCTGCCTCCAACACCGGGGATTACAATTCCACGTGAGATTTGGGCAGGGTCACAGATCCAAACCATATTAATTGTCCTTTCCAAATTCAAAAGCCAAATGTAAATAGTGCTTTCTTTTTCTTTTTTTTTTTTTTTTGGGACAGAGTCTCGCTCTGTCGCCCAGGCTGGAGTGCAGCGGTGCTATCTCGGCTCACTGCAAGCTCCGCCTCCCGGGTTCATGCCATTCTCCTGCCTCAGCCTCCCGAGTAGCTGGGACTACAGTGCCCACCACCAAGCCTAGCTAATTTTTTGTATTTTTGGTAGAGACGGGGTTTCACTGTGTTAGCCAGGATGGTCTCGATCTCCTGACCTCATGATCCACCCGCCTCGGCCTCCCAAAGTGCTGGGATTACAGGCGTGAGCCACCGCGCCCAGCCAAATAGTGCTTTCTGAAGAATACTTTGAATCACTAAACCCAAAGCATGAGAACATTTTGCATCAAATGTGATATCAAAGTTGAGTGCATTATTTCAATAATACCCATAATATCATAAAATATAAAATGATGAATTAAAAGTTTGGCTTTTCTGTACATTCTATTTTAACTTTGGATAGCTTTGGGTGTTTAAAAATACTTTACAGTTACATGATAAAGAATAGTATGTAACATAATATTCAATAATATTATTCATGGGTTATTTTTAGTTGCTAAGGTAATTCAGAGGCTTTTAAAAAATAACAGGACTTAATTGCAATATTCATCAAATACTACTTCTAAAGAAGAAAAATAGACTTTCTACTGCCTATTGCTGACTGAACCACTGTAAGGTGGTCATTACACTCATTTTACTGATGTGGCAATAAACTGATAATACAAAAAAATGCTACACTTACTGGTTAATTAGAAATCCTACAGCAAATTAAAGTCACTTGTCATTGTTTAATGGTTGTTGATATCATGAGCTCTGTATTGCTGTACAGGCAGCATTTTAAAAAACAAAGAATATTTTTGTGCCACTGAGGACAGTTTGTTTCATTGACCGAGAATTGTGTTTTTTTCAACATTTTATTCTAATTGCAATCCTAAACTAGTAATAACAATTTGTTTAAACCTGATCTTTGTTAAACTAGGTAACCTATTTAATTTAGACTTCAAATTATATAAGAGTAAGACTATGGAAACTTGAATAATTTAACCTAAAATACAATTATGGAACTATGGATTGATTAATGGTCTGGTGTAGAATAAACATACTTTATTAACATAAAGTATAGCTGTATTTATACCTATAAAGTAGCAACATTTAATGATACTTTCTTAGAAAGTCCCCACACTCACCAAGTTCTTGTCTGCCTACCTATGTAGGTTCCAAATTACTAACTTGGTGATGATCGCTTAATTAAATTGGTGTCCAGCAAATTCCAGTAGATATTGTAGAAATATTAGGTGAAAATGGGATTACTCATCTTATGGTATTTTTTCCTAGTGTATCCTTTGGCTGCTCTGGTTAGTTCACATGAATAGATTGAAGTTATCAGTCTTCACAGATTATCCCCAACAATACAGAACTTAGTCACAGAAGTCTCTAATAAAAAGTTAAAATCTTGATTGAATATTTCAAATAACTCAGCTATGCATTTGTACCACATTTAACTAAACACTGATGTGTCAGACCATTAGATGAGTCATATATTTCTCATTTATTGTTTTGAAACGACCAAATGATGAACTCTACACAGAAGCCTTTTTTTTTTTTTTTTTTTTGCCTGAAATTAGCATGTCGGTTACAACCTGATACGGCCCTAAAACACAATATTGACAGTCTTCAGTGGGGCAATTGGGAAGCTGCTGAAAGTGCAAGAGATCAAAAAGAGAGATCAAAAGCAATTTTACAGCATCTTATTTCTTTTCATGAGAGTTCAGCTTAGAACATTAATCAAATAGTGTGTATAAGACCTTTATCATATGAAATTTGCTATCAGAGATTAACAGATACATTAAATGGAACAGTTTGACTGGAAATATTTGTATAATGAACATTCAATTCTGCTTCGGCATGACATTAAGAAAAACGTCTTTAAAATATATATTTGCTCTCAAATTGATAGCGATTAGAAAATAATAAGGAGCATCAGCAGAGTGCATTTAATCATGTCTGTGAACTTGATATCTGAATTTTGAAAGACTGGGATTTTCTCTATTACTTAAAACATATTCTACATCATCCAATTAAAAATGTGATTTAATAGATAGTTCTCAAAAGTAATCTAAAGGTTAAAAACATATAAGCATTTAGAAAGTAGAAAAATATTTGTCCAAATGAATTTAATATCATAAGAGCAAATTTTCCTTCTGAGCCGAAACAGATGAATTATGCTCTGACAGTGATCTTTATTGAATTGTGCTAAAATATATTTCGATATACTGTAATTTTTTCTGACTTCTTCTCAGTAAATGCAGATGGCAACAGTTCACTTGTAAATGGTTTCGAAGAAGAGATATTGAAGTAATATTCTCTGAAATCTATTCTTTGCAGATAGCTATTTCTATTACTCTGCTGTATATTCCATCTTCTCAGTGTACTCCATTGATGTGTGTGTTGCCAGAATTTTTGTCCATCATTTAAATAATAATCTCATTTCAAGTTTCCTTTTCATCATGATAAAATGATCAACTATATGACTGCATCACAATTTTCCTAGGGAAGAATTACTGTGATATTCACAGAGTAGTTTGCTACTGTGTGAGAGGCTAATATATTTCTCTAGGAAGAATATTCAATTCATAAAAATTAAATGTTATTAATGAGTTACAGAAGCCCTCAGAGAATGTTGTTTAAAGTATAATTAAATTGAACCTCGCTAATTCACAATGCATGTTATTTTGAACCTGCATTGAGTTAATTTGTGATGGTCCCATACTTTCTTCTTGAAAAATAGTTTTTAAGATAATTAAATGGGGTTGGTATTTAAGAAAGACTGTACAGTGTACTAAAAAATATATATTTAAAATAATATTTTAGCAACATTCATTCACATCGAAATCCTGAAAATGTTTATTACACTTCTGTCCTTTGTGCATTGTTTAAAATTGATTTACTAGTGGTTGGTGGATTTTCATATACTTGTGTGTGTGTGTGTATATATATATATATATATGGATGTACATATATATGTTTGTGTGTGTATATGTGTATATATATACATATAATTTAACAAAGAGCTTGAAATAATTAAAAGGAATCAAGCAGAAATTTTGGAGTTGAAAAATACAATTGTCATACTAAGAAAGCATTAGTCTTTTAATAATAGAATTGATCAAATAGAAGAGAGAATTAGTGAGCCTGAAGTCAGACTGTATGAAAATACACAGAGAAGAAAGAATAAAGAATAAATAATAAAAACCAATAAAACACGCCTACAGGATTTAGAAAATAGCCTCAAAAGAGCACATGTAAGGGGTATTGGCCTTAAAGAAGAGGTAGAGAAAATGATGAGGGTAGAAAGTTTATTCAAGGGGATACTATTGAATAACAGAGAACTTCCCAAACTTAGAGAAATATATCAATATCCAAGTATAAGAAGGCTGTCGAACACCAAGCAGATTTAACACAAAGAAGACGACCTCAAGGCATTTAATAATGAAATTTCCAGTGGTCAAGGACTAAAAAAAGATCCTAAAAGCACCACAGGGAAAAAGAAAATACAACGGAGCTCAAATACATCTAGAAGCAGACTTTTCAGTGAAAACCCTACAGGCCAGGATAGACTGGTAAGACAAATTTGAAGTGCTAACAGGAAACAAAACAAAACAACCAACAACAACAACAAAGAAAACCCTTCTACCCTAGAATAGTATGTCTGGTTAAAAATATTCTTCAAACATGAAGGAGAAATAAAGACTTTTGTAAACAAACAGAAGCTGACATATTTCATTAACACCAGACCTCTCCTACAAAAAATGCTAGAGGGTGTACTTGAATCAGAAAGAAAATATTAATAAGAAATCATTTGAAGGTACAAAACTGACTAGGAATAGTAAATGCACAGAAAACCGGCATATTATAACATTGTAACTGTGGTGTGTAATCTACTTTTAAGTAGAAAGACAAAATGATAAACCTATCAAAAATAATAATTTAGCAACTTTTCAAGACATAAACAGTACAATAACATATAAATATTAACAACAAAAATTTGAAAAGCAGGGGACAAAGTTAAAGCATATAATCTTTATTAGTTTACTTTTTGCTTGTTTGTTTATGCAAGTACTGTTAAGTTTTTACCACCTTAAAAAATGAGGTATAAGATAGTATTCGCAAGCCTCATGGTAATCTCAAACCGAAAAACATACAATGGATACACAAAAAATAGAAAGCAAAAAGCTAAATCATATCATCAGGGAAAATCACCTTCATTAAAATGAATGAAGCTGCCTTTCTAAAAATTGTATCAGTGAGACAATTACAAAAGTGAACAAGATCTGAGCTAATCTACCCCCCCATCTTACCTTTCCCTTAATTATTCCTGGGCTATTAGTACAAGGTAACTTTGAGAGACATTTAGTCTGTTGTTTAAATGATAATAGGTCTTACCCAAAACTCAACGAGGCTTTTGTAAAGCTAATGGGAGGCCATCAGTCTAGGCTGAGGAGAGGAGCCGAGTCCTGCTGAGGCGCAGACATGAAAGATTTTCAGCCATTAATCTGAAGATTATAAGATCTGCAGCTTCCTCAATTATTCCTACGATAACACCACTATTGTAGATTGGCCTTTTAAGATATATTTTTCTTTTTTTTTTTGCATATCTGACACCCATGGCTCCACCTGGACCAACCAACCCCACCCAATTTATCCTGCAAGAGGACAGCTATGACCCTCTATGATTTCGTTTCCACCCCAAGCAATCAGCAATGAGCACTCATTACCTGGCCACCCCCACCCCTTTCCCCAAACTGCCTTTGAAAAACACCTAACTGACGAGCTTTGGATGAGATGATTTGAGTATAAACTCTGACTCCCACATGGGGTGGCTGGCATCATGTCTATTAAACTCTTTCCTGCAATGGCATGGTCTTTCTTTATGCAGCAGGCAGGAAGAAACTCTTGGGAAGTTATAAATTTGGGGGCTCATCTGGGATCCCCTGACCACAGTTTGTTAGTCCCCCCACCAGAATGAGGAACACAGAGGTGATCTCTGGCAGCTGCTTATTTAACTGAAGGCTATCTCTGGTGCTGTCTCTGCTGATGAGGTGCTGTTGACCCACAGGGCTTGGGCCTAATTGCAGTGGAGAAATAGTCTGGAACCTACCTGGTGAACATGCTAGGCACTACCATCACCTCCACCCTTCCCCTGATCTATTGGCCTTACTAAGATGCACTGTAGCCCTGTCACAGGGACTGGCCCTATCACAGGGATTTTCAGATGGGGGAACTATCTCCTCAGTTGGGTGAAGAATATGGGACTGTTTGAAGGAATGCTCCTCTGGTCTGGAATCGGTTTGGAAGGCCTTCTGTTCATCTTTGTTGTGTGTGTTTGTATTTGTGGATGGTATCTCTGAAGAAATTGCTGATGAAAGTCCAGCAGGCTTAACTCAGAGAAGCCTCCTTATTTGTCTGGTCACATTTGGTAAGCCCTGAAGCAATTGTTAGTGGAAGGTCAACAGGCCTGACTAGGGGTGATTATCCCCTCTTCAAATTGCCCTACACTACCCATTGAATTCTCAGTCAGAGGTCCCTCCTCACTTTGAATGGATCAAAGAAAACAGGGAGCAAAGGAAATTGGTCAATATTGGGTGTTCAGCAAGGTGACTAATGTCTGTTTTGTTATGTGTATTTTGTGACAGCTGGGATGGAAAATGTTAATTTGGTTCCCCCAATGAGGTTTCCCCATGCAGCCCATCGGGTGGCATCTTGCAAAATTAAGAGGCTTTTGCCTAAGGCTCCATGAAATGGAAAAAGGTGATTTTCCTTTGTGACTATAGTGCAGTGAGCAGGGTCGCCAGGGCCCCAAGGGAAAGGGAACTTGGAAAACTGGCATGCCAGCAAAAGAAATAGAATGAATTTCTTACCAATCAGTCTTCTGGCTCCTCTCTCTCTTTGTGCAAACCAGTTGAGTGATCTGTAAAAATCACTGTTTATTAATGAGAAAAAGGATTTGTGAGGCAAGTCTGAGACTGTAGTGAATCTGGTGTACCTTGCACTATGAATTAGTCTTTCTATGCCATTCTGTCATAAAGAGGGGTACCGCAGAATAGAATGTGTATTTAGGACCCCTATCAGCTTGCTACTCAAGCCAGCCCTGCAGGTTGGTCAGTTACAAACTATGCTACAGATCCCTGGAGCAAAAACTAGATAAAGGTTTCTTCTTGTCTTGCTTTACGTCCTTGAGAGCATGACTTTATGACTATGTGGGGTACTCTCTTTTGGGCCTGTATCATCTGGAGGGCTGGAATATTTGAGTTTATGTCAGGTAGCCAGTCTGAGAGGACAAGCGGTCTGAGATGAATCAGCATGTTCTTCATCCTGAATATGCCAAGCCCCTGGGTGAGCTTTGTCTTAAAAGGCCTCATCTTTGTTGGGATTTTATCATCTTTTGCTATCTTAAGCCCATTTCTGAGAGTAAATTCTTGGGAATCATGGGGATCATGGGGATTATGGAGATGTCTCCTCTACTCTCTTTCTGGAAACACCTTTTGCTGATATGGTAAAAGCCTGGAAATTTGAGATCTAGACTTTACCAGACTTTTTGAATTGAGTCGCTATTGGAACTGAGGATACCATTAAAAGAAAAAGGTTAAATTAAAAGAAGGATCCATAATAATAACATGGTTCCTGAGCAGTTAAAATCCTTTGCAAGCTTGAAAATGTTCAAGACTCCCTCAGGGAAGAATAACAGCAGTCACCTTTGCTCTGGGTCAGTTGCTAACTCTTTACCCTCTCCAATTGGTGGCCTGGGTTCAGTTTTGGCTTTGGAGTGAGTCCTTTGAGGTTTAATACTTGTAGAAATTTTGCCATTTATTGATATTTTTTCCCTCCATGGAGAGCTTCTGGTCTTGAATTTTCTTTTATCTGAACTACCTTTGGGGAGATTCTAGATCTTGTAAAAATCACTTACCATTTCTTTGGAGACGCCTCGTGTGCCTGTTGCTAAGCTGTCCCCTTAGTAATGGCTTACTGATTTCACATAGGAGGTTCCCTTTAGTAAAAAAGATTCAAGGCCAGGCGCACTGGCTCACGCCTGTAATCCCAGCACTTTGGGAGGCTGAGTTGGTCAGATCACCAGGTCAGGAGATCGAGACCATCCTGGCTAACATGGTGAAACCCCATCTCTACTAAAAATACAAAAAATTAGCAGGGCTTTGTGGCATGCACCTGTAGTCCCAGGTATTGGGGAGGCTGAGGCAGGAGAATCGCTTGAACCGGGGAAGCGGAGGTTGCAGTGAGCCGAGATCGCATCACTGCACTCCAGCCTGGGTGACAGAGCAAGACTCCGTCTCAGAAAACAACAACAACAAAAGATTCAAATGCCAGAAATATTGGCTATTTATCCTGGCTAAAATAAAATATTTTAAAAGGATTTTTCGTTGGAGAGCTCCATAGATAATGGAGCTATATGCATGCAGATGTTGTTTTAAAGTCCCTGCCCTGCCTCTAAACACTTCTCAGTTGATGGAACTCTGTCTTGATTCTCTGTTTCTGTCTGTGTGTGTATCTACATGTATGTATGTAGTGTTTATTTAAAAGAGCTCTAATGAATTGGCTTAATGAATAATAAGCGCTTAGATCAAATTTCAGAAAGAAACTTTAACATGTTTTAGGTCATGTGACTGATAATCTTTGAAAAATAAAGACAGTTAAAAGATTACTGGTAAACTAAAATAAAAATGTTTTTAAAGTTTATACATTTGGTGTAAATTAGGCAGGTCAGATATGGTTTGCTAGATGCTTTAAGGTAATAAACGGCTTCTATGACTTTTAATAATTGTTGATTTGTCTGTTTTACAGTCATTAGATTCTAAATAAGGTCTGGAGACATATAGAGTTAGCCAGATTCCCTGGCTAGGCTGGGAAGAGTCAGACATTGTCTGCAGCTTTGTCTTTGTCATGGGCTCTGCAATGTTATACGTGGTTAAAATTGCTTGCTTACCAGGTTTTTTACCAAAACTAAAAGTTGCTAAGGGTTAACAGCATAGCATGTACTTGAGACTACTGGAAAAACAATTTTACATGCATGTTGTGAAAGGAAAGTAGAATTTGTTTTTGGTAAGAGGTTATAAGAAGGCATGGGAATTTTTGTTGTTGTTGTTAAAGGGCATGTAATTTTGTCTAGCTCAGAAGTTTAAAAAAAAACTTTCTTAAAAGAGTAATGGGACAAAACAAAGTTGAAGCAAGTTGCAAAGGGTTTGTGAAGGATTGATCTTGTAAATGAAGTTCTGTGGGTGTTAACAAATGGCTAAAATTTGAAGGAGATCATCTAGTTTTTCTGTAGGTTAAACATTAAAATAAAGTACACTAATGCTGGGCAAGAATCTGTGCCCATGTGTCTGAATAACATGTTTTTCTTAGAGAATGGACCTGCTGTTTAAGAGAAAATTGTAAAGAGTTATAAGAGGTTTCTGAAAATTTTACCTCATGGTCAAACTGATTAAGATGGTATAGATTTGTTTGTAAGATTTTATTAATAATTGGGTTTAACATCTATAAGACATGAATGCAAAGGTGAGATTTTGTGCTCTCTTTTAAACAATATTTTAGTGTATTATGAAAATATTATAAAAGATTTTTGTATGCCTTTTGAATAAACGACAGAAATTAGAGGGGGGAGAGAGAAGACATCCAGTTGTTTTCAAGCTGTCTTTATTGAGTCCTGTTTGGAAAGCTGAATCTCCCCTCTATCAGCAAGTAAAGAATTTTGCTTTTAAAATTTTCTTTAGTTATCCTTTTGGGCTAAATAAATGACTTACAGTTACTTGGGATTTGTTTTGTAATATCAAGTGTTTAAACATTTGATATTTGACAAACTTTCCATGGTCAAATTCTAAATTAAGCCCTTTTTTGATCTAATCAGCCTTTAGGAGCAGATATTAAATACTCTAAAGTCCAAAAGAGATATATTTGGCTTATTTGGTATATCAAAATCATACAGGAAGCATTGTCAAGTAGAAAATTGTGTTTGGCTTTCTTTTTTGGGCTGTATTTGCATAAATGTGTTATTGGTGTGTGTTCCAGAATTGTGTGAGATTCTTGTAATTCTGATATGTCTCAGTATATGTTTTTAGTAATAATTATGATTGTTATGTTATTATGTGCCACAGAGATGACCAGACTTTAATCATGGCTGTTTTGAGACTTTTTTCAGCCACAGTTGTTTTATTTTGATTTTTTTCAAGTTGGTTTTATAATCAGCTATAGGACTCTGACAGGTGCACTTGAATGCAGGTTTGTGATAACTTTGGAGATTGTGACATTAAAATAGAAGAAAGAACTTCCAAGACTCCCATAGGGAGCTAATGTGTATGAATATCAAGCAGAACAGGAATTAATTACATAGACTGAATTAATGAAAAACCAAAATAATCTTCCTACGAATTTGTTTAAAACATTGCTATTTTTTTTGTTTGTTTGTTTTGGAGTCCAGCAAACCTTTTTTTTTTCTTTTGAGATATCTACAGCTTTAAATAATTTGGCAAAGTACCCTCCTGTGAGCAAAATCTGAAGCATATTTCTCTCTCCCTGATTTCTCCAGAACTTGAAAACTATTTCCAAGTGTACTTAATTTATGACAGGTATAATTATTTGCATAAGTTCGATAAGAATCTTTTTTCTTTTGTAACAGGAAAAAATTGGAGACACTGGTTATTTTACCATGGCATTGAATGAAATGGCATACTTTTAGATTCTTTTAAGGAGTCAAAGTTGACTTATAGAGCCAATAAAAGTCCCTTGGGAAAACTGACCTCATAACTTGTCTACACAGTCCCTGTTTAGGAGTCCTGCCATGTGGTAAGTAAAGAATGTCACTTCCTGACAGGCCCAAAAAGCCCAAATTATCTTGGCACCTTGAGGTGAGAAATTCACCCAATTAATACAGTTATTTGTAAGCATAGATAAATCTGTGGCTACACTTAAAGGCTTTAAAAAAGTTTAATCTGAGATTTCCTATGGAATAAAATTCCAGCAATGCGAATTTAAAAAGGGACTGTGTGGTAAATAATTATTCTTGCTGACTTTATGCAAATACTCAGGCCAAGTATAGTAAGACTAAAACTTATTTTACAAATAAAGTAGTCTTGCTGTGATTTGTTTTTAGTAAAAACAAGGATTGGAGAGAGAAAAATTATATTTCAGAAAAAACTATAGTACACCTCTTATTACATTCTAGTCCCCTATTTTGAGTTTTTATAATTTTCTGCAACTTGGAATGAATACTAAATTCTTTCCAGACTACAAGTCTCCATACTAATGCTTTCAAAGTTTTGTTTCCTTTTTCTTTTTTGACTTGGCCTCAATAAAATTGTCACTACCTCTTTCCTGAGGCCCTGTAAGTTAAAGCTTATTGCTTGTAATACAGGAGAGAGAAAAATGTGTCAGATTGTTACTACTGTCCTCCTCTATACCTAAAGATGCTTTAAATCTAACACCTGGATAAATTGTACCCAACATTAACCTTTGTTTTTCTTCTGTCTCTATAAAACTGCCTCTTATTAAAATTAGTTTGCCTTCATAAAATAGAGAGGTCTAGCCAATCTGAAGTGCTACCTCCTCATGTGGGAAACAGCTGTTTGACTGAGCTGATCTAGTCTCAGGACTTAGACACTGACTCAAAAGACATTCAACTATACCAAAGATGGTATATTTAATTTGCTCTTTCCTGTTTATCCCCATCTGTCTTTCTAACAACCTATGGTTTGTTGTTCACTTAAGTGCTGTATTAGAACTGTGGGTGAGAATATTAATGTTTTTGTCATACACCAGTGAGTACGCGCAGATGGCTGCAAAGCAGCGGTTTTACTCATATTCTCCTGGGACCAACCTCCCCCAATTGTACCACCTGTCAGCAGGAAGAAGCCAGAGTAGTCATTGCTGTTTTTCCATCTCTGTGACCAACATCTTAAGAATAAGGTGAATAAAAGCCAAAGGGGGATTGAAACAACCTTTGCAAAAAATATATCAGTGAGAAAATTTTGACTATGAGGAACTATATGCCAAAAAATTGGAAAATCTGTAAGAAATGGATAAATTTCTGGGCAAATGCCACCTACCAAGATTAAACCATGAAGAACTCTAAAACCTGAACAAACCAATAACAAAAAATGAGATCAAAACTGTAATAAAAATTCTCCCAGGATATAAAAGCCCAAGACCTGATGGCTTCACTACTGAATTGTACCAGAAATTTAAAGAACTAAATCCAAGCCTGCTCAAACTATCCCTAAAAATAGAGGATGAGAAAATACTTCCAAACTCATTCTACGAATCTAATATTAGCATGATAACAAAGCCAGTCAAAGACATGTTAAAGTAAAAGAAAACAACAGGCCCCAATGTCTCTGATGAATATTGATGTAAAAACCTTAACAAAAAATTAGCAAACTGAATTAAACAATACACTAAAAAGATTATTTATCATGACCAAGAAGTCTTTATTCCTATTACACAAGGATGGTTCAGCATAAGCAAATCAATCATATCAATAGAATGAAAGAAAAAAAACTATGATTATTTCAATTGAAGTCAAAATAATTACATTCAATACCCCTTAATGAGAAAAACTCTGAAAAACTGAACACACTACAACATAATAAAAGCCATATATGACAGACCCACAGCTAGTATATCACGCTGAATAGTAAAATAATAAAAGCCTTTCCTCTAAGATTTGCAACGTGACAAGGATGCCCATTTTCACCACTGTTATTCAATATAATACTGGAATTCCTAGCTAGAGCAATCAGACAAGAGAAATACATAAAGTACATTTAAATTGGAAAGGAAGAAGTCAAATTATCTTTTTTTGCTGATGACATAATTCCATATTGGGAAAAAACTAAAGAGTGCAAAAAAACCATTAGAACTGATAAAAAAAATTAGTAAACTTGCACGATATGAAATAAAAATACAATAATCAGTAGCATTTCTATATCCCAACAGTGAATAAACTGAAATTGAAATTAAAAAGTAGTCAAATTAATAATAGCCACACATAAAACTAAATACCTAAGAATTAACATAACCAAAGAAGTAAAAGATCGCTATAATAAAAAACTATAAAACACTGACGAAAAAAATTTCAGAGAACACCAAAAAAGGTAAAATATTCCATGTTCATGAATTAGAAAAATTAATATTTTTTTAAATGTCCATATTACACAAAGCCACTACAGATTTAATGTAATCCCTATCAAAATACCAATGGCATTCTTTATAGCAATAGAAAAAAGAATCCTAAAATTCATATGGGACCACAAAAGACCCAGAATAGCCACAGTTATCTTAGGCAAAAAGAACAAAACCGGAGGAATTATATTACCTGCCTTCAAATTATGTTACAGAGCTATAGTAACCAAACAGCATAAACCTGACATAAAAACAGACACATAGACCAAAGGAACAGAATCGAGAACCTACAAACAAATCCAAACACGTACAGTGAACTCATTTTCTCCAAAAATGCTGAGAACATACACTGGGGAAAAGACAGTCTCTTCAATAAATAGTGCTGGGAAAACTGGATATTCACATGCTGAAGAATGAGACTAGATCCCTATCTCTCACCATATACAAAAATTAAATCTAAATGGATTAAAGACTTAAATCTAAGACCTCAAACTGTGAAACCATTAAAAGAAAACTATTAAAAGGAAACATTTGAAAAATGCTCAACATCAATCCAGGCAAAGTTTTCTGTAATACCCCACAAGAACAGGCAACGAAAGCAAAAATGTACAAATGGAATCATATCCAGTTAAGAAGCTTCTGCACAGCAAATAAAACAATCAACAAAGTGAAGAGACAACCCACAGAATGGAAGAAAATATTTGCAAATTACCCCCCAGACAAGGTTTTAACAAGCAGAACATTTAAGGAGCTCAGCTCAAACAACTGTATTAAAAAAAAGAAAAAAACACTAATAATTTAATCAAAAAATGGACACAAAATGTGAATATACATTTCTCAAAAGATGACATGCAAATGGCAAGCAGGCATATGAAAGTGTGCACAATATCATTGATTATCAGATAAATGCAAATAAAAACTACAATGAGATATCATCTCGCCCCAGTTAAAATGGCTTTTATCTAAAAGACAGGGAATAACAAAAACTGGAGAGGGTGTGGAGAAAAGGGAACCGCCATGCACTATTTGTGGGAATGTAAATTAGTACAACCACTATAGAGAACAGTTTGGAGGGTCCTCACAAAACTAAAAATAGAGCTACTATATGATTCAACAATTCTACTGCTTGGTATATACCCCAAAGTACAGAAATTGGATATCTCCACCCCTTTTTTGACAACTCTGTTCACAATAGACAAGATTTGGAAACAACCTAGGTGTTCCTCAACAGATAAATGGATAAAGAAAATATAAAATTTATACACAATGTAGTACTATTCATTCACATAAAAAATGAGATTCAGTCATTTGCAACAACATGGATAGAACTGGAGGTTATCATATTAAGTGAAATAAGCCAAGCACAATAAGATCAGCATTGCATGTTCTCAATTATTTGTGAGATCTAAAAATTAAAACAATTGAACTCATGGAGATAGAGTGTAGGATATGATTACCAGAGGCTGGGAAGCATAGTAGAGAAAGTGAGTGGGTGGCAGGGATGGTTAATCATTCCAAAAAGTAGTTAGAATAAATGGATAATGCCTAATATTTGATAGTAAAACAGGATGACTATAGTCAATAATAATTTAACTGTACATTAAAAAATAACTAAAAGAATATAATTAGATTGTTTATAACATGAAGGATAAATGCTTGAGGGGATGGATAACCCATATTTCATGGTGTGATTGTTACACTTTGCACACCTGTATCAAAACATCTTATGTGCTCTGATATGGCTTGGCTGTGTCCACACCCAAGTCTCATCTTGAATTGTAGCTCCCATAATCCCCATGTGTTGTGGGAGGGACCCAGTGGAGATAATTACATCATGGTGGCAGGTTTTTCTTGTGCTGTTTTTATGGTAGTAAATAAGTCTCAAGAGATCTGATGGTTTTCTAAAGGGCAGTTCCCCTGCACATGCTCTCTTGCCTGCCGCCATGTAAGGCATGCCTTTTTTCTTCTGCCATGATTGTGAGGCCTTCCCAGCCATGTGGAACTGTGAGTTCATTAAACTTCTTTTTCTTTTTAAATTACCCAGTTTTGGGTATTTCTTCATAGCAGTAAGAAAATGGACTAATACAGCAAATTGGTACCAGGATTAGGGCGCTGTTATTATATTAAGATACCCGAAAATGTGGAAGTGACTTTGGAACTGGGTAACAGGCAGAGATTGGAACAGTTTGTAGGGCTCAGAAGACAGGAAGATGTGGGAAAGTTTGGACGTTCCTGGAGACTTGTTGAATGGTGTTGACCAAAAAGTTCAGGCTGAGGTGGTCCCAGAAGGAGATGAGGAAGTTATTGAGAACTGGAGCAAAGGTGATTATTGCTATGCTTTAGCAAACAGATTGGTAGCATTTTTCCCCTGCCCTAGATATCTGTGGAACTTTGAACATGAGAGAGATGATTTAGGGTATCTGGCAGAATAAATTTCTAAGCAGTAAAGCATTCAAGAGGTAACTTGGGTGCTCTTAAATGCATTCAGTTTTATTCATTCACAAAGAAATGGTTTGAAGTTGGAACTTATGTTTAAAATGGGAGCAGAGCATAAAAGTTTGGAAAATTTGCAGCCTGATGATGTAATAGAAAAGAAAAACCCATTTTCTGAGGAAAAATTCAAAGCTGGCTGGGGAAAATTTCATAAGTATTGAGAAGCCAAATATTAATCACCAAAACAGTAGGAAAAATTTCTCCAGGACATGTCAGAGGTCCTCATGGCAGCACCTACAGTCACAAGCTGGGGGTGTCTAGGAGGAAAAAATTGTTTTGTGGGCCAGATCCAGGGTTTTGCTGCTTTGTGCAGTCTTGGGACCTGGTGCCCTGCATTACAGCCATGGCTAAAGGGGGCCAATGTACACCTCAAGCCATTGTTTCAGAGGGTTCAAGCCCCATACATTGGTGTCTTACATGTGGTATTGGGCCTGTGGGTGCACAGAAGTCAAGAACTGGGAATCTCCACCTAAATTTTGGAGGATGTATGGAAATTCCTGGGTGTCCAGGCAGAGTTGTGCTGCAGGGGCAGAATCCTCACGGAGAACCTCTGCTAGGGCAGTGCAGAAGGGAAATGTGAGGTGGGAGTCCCCACACAGAATCCCCACTGAGGCACTGCCTAGTGGAGTGATGAGAAAAGAGCCACCATCCTCCAGACCCCAGAATGGTAGATCCAATCACAGCTTGCACCATGCACCTGAAAAAGCCACAGACACTCAATGCCAGCCTGTGAAAGCAGCCAGGAGTGAGGCTGTACTCTGCAAAGCCACAGGGGCAGAGCTGCCCAAGACCACGAGAACCCACCTCTTGCATCAGTGTGACGTGGATGTGAAACATGCAGTCAAAGGTGATCATTTTGGAGCTTTAATATTTGACCACCTCACTGGATTTCACATTTTCATGAGGCCTGTAGTCTCTTCGTTTTGGCCAATTTCTCCCATTTGGAATGGGCATATTTACCCAATGCCTGTACCTCCATTGTATCTAGGAAGTAACTAACTTGCTTTTGATTTTACAGGCTCATAGGTGGAAGGGAGTTGCCTTGTCTCAGATGAGACTTTGGACCGTGAACTTTTGAGTTATTGCTGAATCAAGACTTTGGGGAACTGTTGGGAAGGAATGATTTGTTTTGAAATGTGAGGACATGAGATTTGGGAGTTGCCAGGGGCAGAATGGTGTGGTTTGCCTGTGTCCCCACTCAAATTTCATCTTGAATTGAAGCTCCCATAATCTCCACGTGTTGTGGGAGGGAACCAGTGAGGGGTAATTGAATCATCAGGGTGGGTTTTTCCCATGCTATTCTTGTGATAGTGAATAAGTCTCAAGAGATGAAAGAAAGAAAGAAAGAACAATGATGTGAAATAATTAAAACGCTAATACATTGCTGATGGGAATGTAAAATGGCGTAGCTACTAAGGAAAATGGTATGGTGATTCATAAAAAAAAAAAAAAATTAAACATAAAATTACCATATGACCCAACCATTCTACTCTGGGTATATACTCAAAAGTAGTTGAAATAGAGATTCAAACAGGTATCAGTACCCATATTCATAGCCGCATTATTCACAGCAGCCAAAAGTTGGAAGCAACCTAAGAGATTATCCTAAGAGCAAACAGCAAATGGAGAAGCACTTATTCTAGAAAATCTACTAATATTCTGCAAGAATAGTGAGAGCCTGTGGCATTTGAATCATAATCCATATCTCGCCACACAATTTAGTGTGACAAAAGCTTCATCCCTTCCAGGGTCATTCAAAAATGCAGAACTCCTTTTCCCTCCAACTCCAAGTCTAGGGTTAAGGTATCTTCCACTGAGGCACAGGCTTCCAGGATTTCTAACTTCTAACAGGTCTGTGTTGCAGAAGCTCTATTATAGGCAACAGTGGTTAAGAACATTGTGCCTAGTTGCCCATACTCCAATTCACTTATAGGGTAGAAATCCCATGCTGGGTTAGGCATGTTAAGAAGACCAGAGGATACTTCACCTGTCTGCTAAAAAGCAGGAGTATGCATCTAAAAGAAGCAGGCTACTGTCCTCATTTTTATCGTGAGAGCAGTGGCACACATATATTGCCCAGGGGATGATAAATACAGAGAGCTCCAAAGCTATCCTCAAGAGAAGGGACTCATTTGGAGCAAAGTATGGGGGAAGTTCAAGCTAAGGGAGTTGTCAAAAACAGTGGAGATTTTGCTGGTAAGGCAATAAGAAGAAGCCGATAGCTCCATGAGAGCAAAAAAATAAAAATTACATTAAAATTTAAAAGACTGTAGATTAGCTGTAGGTTTAGCAGAGACAATCAGGAAAAAGTGCAGAGAAAAAGCCCGCTTGGGTCAGAACCAACATCCAAATGTTGCCTTAAAGACTACCCCTGCAAAGGGGCTCAAATTTGATTGTATCAGACTGCTGAGCAATTTATGCCTTAGGACATTGCCGAAAACAATCAAGCAATCAGCCAGTAATGAGTGGAGCCTAACTGGCTGAGAACGGATACCAAATGAAGCAAGTAGTTTAGCTGAAAAATCAGGGAAAGAGACTGTCAAATAAACCTTAGCTAAAATTACTGACATCTCAGTGTATGTCCATATTTAAGGCCGTACCCTCTGATGCATGACATCAGAGGTAACACATTCAATGGGATATAGACTTCGCCAAATATTCTAGCCAAGTAACAAAACAAGCAAATAAACAACAACAAAATCAAGTCCCAGAGAGGGTAGTGGTATCAGTATTCACAATTGATGCAATATATAATCTAAAATGTCTAGTTTTTGATAAAATTATGAGGTATTCTGTGACAAAATTATGAGTTACACTGTGAGCTCTACATGAAAAAAGCAAGCAACAAAAACTAACTGTGAGAGGGCTCTGTTGTCAGATTTAACAGATAATAACTACAAAGAAGCCATTATAATCATATTCAAAGATTTAAAAGAAACTCTGCTTAAATAAGTAAAGGAAGGTAAAATGCCAATATTTTATCAAATACAGAGTATCAATAATGAAATAAAAAGCACAAAAATACCAAATGGAAACTCTGGAGTTGAAAAGTACAGTTATCAATATGTAAAATTGACTAGAGTGATTCAACAGTGCATTTGAACCAATAGAAGAATGAATCAGAACACTCGAATTTAGGTTGATAGATATTATGCAATCTAAAGAAAAAGAGAGAAAAAAGAACAAAGAAAAAGGCATATATTCAGATCTTATTTTTTATTCTATCTGACAATGTTTGCCTTGTTTTTTGTTGTTTAATCTATTTACTTCATTGAAGTAAAAAAGAAATAAAGAACAATTATGAGGAAAGTGGGTATCAGAAAGAAAGAAGAAAAAGGAGTGGAAATAATACTAGAAGAAATAATGTTATTAAATTTCTCAATTTGATAAAAGTCATATATACACAATAAATTTAATGAAGTCTGATAAACACAGAGATCCACACGGACACATTTCAGTAAAAATACTGAAAGATAAAGAAAATAAGAAAATTTTGGAGGGAAAAAAAAAGACTTTCAGTGGATACCAGAAGGCAAGAAGGCAGTGAAATAACAAAGAGTCGTAAGAAAAAAAAAAGGTAAGAAATAATTTTTTATCCAGCAAAATATTGGTCAGAAATGAAAGTGAAATACAAACCTTCCTAGATAAACAAATATTGAGACAATTTATTGCTAGCATATCCATGTTACATAAAATACTAAAGGAAATTCTTCCGACTGAAAGTCAGAGAGTCAAGATAGTAATTTGAAACCACATTAAAAAACACAATATTGGCAGTAAAAGCAATTATGTAGGTAAATGTAAAAGACAGTATAATTTTGTTTTTTCTTTTTTCTCCTCTTAATGAATTTGAAAAACCCTTGTATAAGACAAGACAAGACATATGCATCTATATATAAACAATTGTATAAGATATATACATATATAATTATATATACACAATTATATATAATTTTGTTCAGTCTATAACATATAGAAATTCATATACAATAATAATACATAATTACAACATTAGCACAAAGATAGGTAGAAGCAAAGTATTGGAGTAAGGAAATGATACCAGATTATAACTAGAATTCACAGGAAAAGAAATAAAAGAACAAAATTGTAAAATAGGAAGGTTAATAAAATATAATTTATAATTATGTACTACTCCCCTTTTATCAGCTTCATTAAAAATACATAAATTAATAATTATGGCAATGTAGTTATTGAATTTTTTACATATATATGTTACAGAAAAGTAAATAGTAAATATAGGTATATAGGAGTAATATCTCTATGTCCCATGGAATTAACTTACATTAAGTCAAAAACAACTATGATAAATTAAGATTCAAGCACTAGACACTAAGAGAATAACACTCATACACACATACACACACATATACATACCCGCACATGTATAGTGAAAAATATCATAAAAAGCATTAAAATATTACACTAGAATGTATTCACCTAATGCAAAAGAAAGCTGCAAGGAGAAACGGGGAAACCGTGAAACACATAGAAAATAAAAAGAAAAATGGCGGATATCAGTTCATGATATTAATAACAAAGTAAATGGATTAAACAACATAAAACAAGGCCAACAGTGTCAGAATACAAAATAAGATCTGAATATATGCCTACAGTATGCACAACCCAGATTCAATGCATTGAATGTAAAATTACGGAAAATCATTATACTATGTAAGTAAGAATCATGAGAAAGCTGAAGTGACTACACTAATATCCGGCAATAAAAGACTTTAAAATATGTTACCAGAAATAAAGAGGAACATTTTATCATGAAAAAATGGTCAAACTATCAGAAAAACATAATAACTACAAACATACATGCACCTAACTCCAGTGCCACCAAATTCATGGAGCAAATTTGACAGAATTGAAGAGAGAAATAGACACTTCAGTAATAGTTAGATATTTCTATATTTGTTTTTCAATAATGGAACAACTAGGCAGTAGATCAATAAAAAGAAGACTCAAACAGCACTCTAGCCCAACTAGAACTAGCAGACATGTATCTGACTACAAGAGCAGAATACATATACTATGAAACTGCACAGGCATGATTTTCCAGGATAGACTATATGGTAGGCTATAAAAGAAGCCTCAATAATTTGAAAAGATTGAACTCATCCAGAATATGTCTTTTGATCAAAACAAAAGAACATTAGAAATGAATAACAAAAGAAATTTGGAAAATTAACAAATATTTAGAAATTAAACAAGATCTTCCTAAGTAATAAATTGGTTAAAGAAGAAACAACAAGAGAAATTCCAAAACATTTAATGGTGAAATACTCAATGCTTTTCCCACAAGATCAGAAGCAAGACATAGGATGTCCATACTTACCACTTCTATTAAACATTAAACATTGTACTGGAGGTTTTACCACAAGTAACTAGGCAAAAAAAATAAATAAATAAAAGATACTAAAACATCCAGATTGCAAAGAAAGAAGTAGAATTATCTCTATTTGAAGATGATATGAGTTTCTTATACAGAAAATCTTACGAAATCTATTAAAAACTTGTTAAAACTAATACTTCAGCAGTGCTTCAAGGTATAAGAGCAATATATTAAAAATTGAGTGTATTTCTATATTCTAGCGTTAAACATTTCTTAAAAAAATTAAGAGAATCTCATTTACAGTAGAATAAAATGAAATAAAATGCTTAGAAATAAATTTAACAAAAGTCCTTCTTATCTTCTAAAAATTCTAAACTATTGGTGAAAGAAATTAACAATCTAAATAAGTGAAAAGACATCCCATGTCCTTAATTTGTAAGACAATATTATAAGATGCAATCCTTCACAAATTGATCTTCAGATTCGACACAATTCAACTTGAATTTTGCAGAAATAAGACGCTAATCTGGAGCTGGGTGCAGTGGCTGACGCCTGTAATCCCAGCACTTTGGGAGACCGAGGCGGGCGGATCACCTGAGGTTGGGAGTTCGAGACCACCCTGACCAACATGGAGAAACCTCGTCTCTACTAAAAATACAAAATTAGCTGGGTGTAGTGGCACATGCCTGTAATGCCAGCTGCTTGGGAGGCTGAGGCAGGAGAATTGATTGAACCCAGGAGGCAGAGGTTGCAGTGAGCCGGAGATCGTGCCATTGCACTCCAGCCTGGGCAACAAGAGGGAAATTCCGTCTCAAAAAAAAAAAAAAAAAAAAAAAAAGACGCTAATGCTAAAACCACGGGAATTTAAGAGAACTAGATTAGCCAAAATAATTGTGAAAAATAAGAACAAAGTTGGATAACTAAGCCTTTTCCATTTTAAAACGTTCCTCAAACCAATAGCAATCAATGGACAATTGATTTTCAGCCAATTAAAGTCAATAAATAATAAATAGTCTTTCCACAAGTGGCATTGGGATTGCTGGATATCCACATGCAAAAGGATAATTTTTAGATACCTTCCTTACAAAATGCATAGAAATAACCACTCCAAATGGATCATTGACCTTAATATGAGAACAGAAGCTATAAAACTATTAGAAATCACAGGAGCAAACCTTTATGACTTTGCATTAAGCAAAGTTTTCTTAGATCTGACACTAAAAGTACAAGCAACAACAAAAAAATACATTATACCTCATCAACTTCAAAACTTTTGTACGTCAAAGGATATCATCGAGAAAGTGAAAAGACAAACCACAGAATGTGAGAAAATATTTGTAAATTGTATATCTTATAAGAGTCTTATATTTAGACCATAAAAAGAACTTGTAAAATCCAACAATAGTAATGCAAAAGATATAATTTTTAAATGGGTAAAAAATACAAATAGACATATTTTTCCAAAGAATATAAACAAATTACTAGTAAGTATATCAAAAAATATTTAACTTCATTAGCAGTTAGGGATATGCAAATCTAAATCACAATGAGATAGCACTTCTTACTCCTAAGATTGCTGTAATAAAAAAGACAAATAATAACGAATGTTGGTAAGTGCGTAAAGAAATGGGAACATTCATGCATTTCTGATGTTTATGTAAAATAGTGCACCCAATTTGGAAAACAATTTGGCAGTTCCTCAAATGGTAAACAGAGTTGGTGTAAGACCCAGCACACAAACTTTTACATAAATGTTAATAAAAGCATTGTTCATGATAGCCAAAAGATAAAAACAACCCAAATGTCCATGATCCGATGAATGGATAAATAAGAAGTAGCATATCCTTATAAAAGATAATCTTGGGTAATAAAAAAAGAACTGAAGTACTGATACATACTACAACATGAATGAAATTCGAAAGCATTATGCTAAATACAACAGACCACTTACCCAACTGTCCGAATAAAGGATTGCATTTCTATTATATGTACAGTATAGGCAAATCTATTGAGACAGAAAGTAGATTAGAGATTGCTTAGGGCTCTGGAGTTTGACGGGAAATGGGCAGTGGCTGCTAATAGTTTCTTTTTGAAGTGATAAAGATGTCCCAGAATTGAGATGGTTGCACAATGCTGTGAATATACTAAAAACCACTGAATTTCTCATGTTAAATGGGTGAATTTGAAGATATAAACTACATCTCACGAAAATTGTTAAAAAGGACTAATTATAAATTATATCATTTTCCAGTGAAAATGACTTTGCATCAATTTCCTCATCACAAATAGGCTAGAAGCTCGATATTGAAACTATGATGTATTATTTTTTGTGAAATTTCAGGCTGCCGGATAAATTGCTTTTCTGATGACCAGGAAATTAAATTTTGTTTGAAAGTAAAGTTATATGTGTGTTCACGTATTTTCATGCCTGCAATTATGGTTTAATATTATCTGAAATATATAAAACTATATTCCCAACTATTTCTCAAATATAATTGTGCAAAAAATATAGAACATTTTAAACGTTAATCTCCTAGGGACACGTTTATTTTCAGTGAGCTCTAAATAAAGAAAGATAAATGGTTATCTAATGGGGAGCTATTAGTCTTACTATAACTTATTTTACATCCTATTCTTTGGTACTAAGCATGATAGGGTAATGACAGTCACTGGACTCTATAACAAATTGAATCTCTATTTTTAGTTTTTAAAATTATGTACAAAAACTTGAATTGCCATTATCACTCAGCAAGCACACATGTTCAGAGAGAAGAAAAAGAGAATTTTTTTTTTTCTTTTCTGGAGACCTAAGTGTGAAAACAAATTATACTAATCATTTATAAAGTTATTTGAAATTAACTAGTGGTTGCAACCCAAAGTTAAGAAAATAGTGAAGATTATATGGACAGTTTCTTTCTCTAAAAATAACCAAATTCTTCCTTCCTGTTCTGCTCTTCTCTTAATACCATGCACCTGAACAAAAATCATTATGTCATTTTTCTAGCTTTGTGAAGGTAGAAAATGTATGAGGCTAAGTGTCTTAGAAAACCTTTGTATTATCGTTTGTCCTATGGTTTCTGTAAATAAATGATATTCTTATCTTTTTAAATATTTCCACACATAATTTTCAAAATTATGTTTTGAATTTGATAACTTTGTATTAAAAATATTTCAAGCAGTGAGTCCACAAAGAAGCATGTATTATTTGGATGCAATACTATTTAATTTGATTAGGATATTTTTCTGGAAAAAATAATTCTGAATTGAATAAAGGAGGCAAAAGATAATTTATAAAAAGTATAATTTCTCAACAGTTGACATCACTCATTGCTGTTTTTTATATTTACGTACAATAAAATTCACTCATGTTCTATAGTTCTACCAGTTTTGACAAATGCATACAATCATGTATCTATCACCATTTTCATATAGAGAACACTTTCATTACTCCCAAAATTTCTTTGTGCTGCTCTGCTAGTCAACATTACCTGAATTCCCAGCTCCTGGCGATCACCGGTATGTTTTTCATCCCTATAAGCTTGCCATTTCCAGAATGTTATATAATAGGAACCATACACGATGTAGACTGTTGATTATGGCTTCTTTCATTTAACAAAATTCATTTGAGACTCATCCATGTTGCTCTAAGAATCAATATGCTTCTTTTTATTGCTGAGTAGTATTTCAGTGTATGGCTATGACACAGTTCATTCTTTTACCAGCTGAAAGACAGTAAGGGTCATTTCTACCTTTTGGTGATTATTAATAATGCTGTTTAACTTGCACATAAAAATTTCTACGATAACATACGTTTTCAAATATTTTGCATAAATATGCAGGACTGGAATTGCTGGGTTTTTTTTCTGTTTTTGTTTTTCAAGTGTATGTTTAGCTTTATAGGAAGTTGACAAACTGTTATCTAAATTCCCTGTGCCATTCTGTGTCAGCAGCAGCATCAATTGAAGATTCTAGATGTTTGGAATACTTACCAGCACTTGGTATTTTTAGTTTGTTCTTTTAATCACTCAAATAGAATGGTATCTCTTTGCATTTTAAATTTGCATTTCTTTAATGTCTGACTGTGCTGAGCCTCTAATTATATGCTTATCTGACATATTCATGTCTTCCTTGATAGTCTATACAGATATTAGCCAGTTTTTTAATTGAGTTCTTCATTTTCTTATTGTTATTTTTTAGTTTTTTAAATTTCAACTATTATTTTTGATTCAGGGGGTACATGTGCAGATTTGTTACCTGGGTATATTGGGTGACGCTGAGGTTTGGGGTATGAATAATCTCATCATATTCATAGTTGTTCAACCCTTTCTCCCCTCTCTCCCTTCTAATACTCTTCAGTGTCTATTGTTGCTGTCTTTATTTCCATGAGTACCCAATGTTTAGCTTCCACTTATAAGGGAGAACATGCGATATTTGGCTTTCTGTTGCTGTGTTAATTTGCTTAGGATAATGGCCTCCAGCTGCACCCATGTTGCTGCAAATAACATAGTTTGTTCTTTTAAAGACTGCGTATATCCTATGGTATATGCGTGCTATATATAAGAAATCCAATCCACCACTGATGGTCACCTAGGTTGACTCCATGTCTTTGCTATTGTGAACAGTGCTGTGTCAACATGCAAGTGCATGTGTCTTTTTGGTAGAACAATTTGTTTTCTTTTGGAGATAATACTCAGTAATGAGAGTTTCTGGGTTGAATGGTAATTCTGTTTTTTGTTCTTTGAGAAATCTTCAAAATGCTCTCCACAAAGGCTGAATTAATTTACATTCCCACCAACAGTGTATAAAAATTCTCTTTTCTCCCCAACTTTGTCAGCGTCTGTTGTTTTTTGGCTTTTTAATAATAGCTATTCTGACTGGTGTGAGATAGATTCTCATTGTGGTTTTGATTTGCATTTATCTGGTGAAGAATGATGAGGAATTTTTTTTATATGTTTGTTGGCCCCTTGTATGTCTTCTTTTGAGAAGTGTCTGTTTATATTTTTTGCCCACTTTTGAATGGAGGCTTTTGTTTTTTGCTTGTTGTTTGTTTATGTTCTCTACAGTCTAGATAGTAGACCTTTGCTGAATGTATACTTTGGGAACATTTTCTCCCATTCTATAGGTTGTCTGTTCACCTGGTTGATAGCTTATTTTGCTTTGCAGAAGCTCTTTAGTTTAATTAGGTCCCATTTGTCAATTTTTGTTTTTGTTGCAATTGCTTTTAAGGATTTAGTCATAAATTCTTTGCCAAGGCTAATGTCCAGAATGGTGTTTCGTATGGTTCCTTCTAGAATTCTTACAGTTATTGGTCTCACATTTAAATCTTTAATTCATCTTAGGTTAATTTTTGTATATGGTGATAGGTAGGGGTCCAGTTTCATTCTTCTACATGTGGCTAGTCAACTGTCCCAGCACAATTTATTGAATAGAAAGTCTTTTCCCCACTGCTTAATTTTGTCAACTTTGTCAAATATTAGATGGCTGTAGGTGTGCAACTTTATTTCTGGGTTCTCTATTTCTGTTCCATTGGTCTATGTGTTTGCTTTTGCATCAGTCCTGTGCTCTTTTTATTACTGTAGCCTTATAGTACAGTCTGAAGTCAGATAATGTGATGCCTCCAGCTTTGTTCTTTTTGCTTAGGATTATTTTGGCTATTTGGCTTATTTTGTGGTTCCATATAAATTTTAGAACAGTTTTTTTTTTTTCAAATTCTGGAAAAACGACTTTGGTAGTTTGATAGGAAGAGTGTTGAATCTGTATTTTGCTTTGGATAGTATGGCCATTTTTATATTTATTCTTCTAATCCATGAGCATAGGATGCTTTTTCATTTGTTTGTGTCATCTATGATTTCTTTTAGCAGTGTTTTGTAGTTCTTCTTGTACAAACAAACCTCTTGCTGCCTTGGTTAGATTTATTCCTAGCTTTTTTTTTTTGGCTATTGCAAATAAAATTCTATTCTTGATTCAGCACTCAGCTTTAATATATAGAAATTCTACTGATTTTTGCACATTGATTTTGTATGCTGAAACTTTGCTAAATCTTTTGTGTTCCAGGAGCCTTTCAATGTTCTTTAGGGTTTTCTACATATTGAATCCTACTGGCCATGAATAGACATAGGTTATCATCTTCTTTTCCTGATTAGATCCCTTTAGTTCTTTATCTTTCCTGATTTCTCTGTCTAGCACTTCCAGTACTGTGTTGAATAGGAGTACTGAAGATGGGCATCCTTGTCTTATTCTAGCTTTCAAAAGAATGCTTCTAGTTTTTGCCTGTTTAGTATGATGTTGGCTGTGGGTTTGTCATAGATGACTCATTACTTTAAGGTGTGTTCCTTCAGTGACTAATATATGAAAGTTTTTATCATGAAGAGATGCTGGATTTTATCAAAAGCTATTTCTGTGTCTACTGAGATGATCACTTTTTTTTTAAATTTACTTCTGTTTATGCGGTGAATCACATTTATTGATTTGCATATGCTGTACCAATCTTGCATCCCAAGAATGAAACCTACTTGATCACAGTCTTCACGGTCAATTAATTTTTTGAAGTGCTGTTGGATTCAGTTTCCTAGTATATTTTTTTTGACAATTTTTGTGTCTTTGTTAATCAGAGATATTGGCCTATAATTTTCATTTTTTGTTGTGTCTTTGCCAGGTTTTGGTATCAGGATGATGCTGGCCTCATAGAAGGAGTTAGAGAGGAGTCCCTACTACTAGAATTTTTTTTTAAATAGTTTCAGTAGCATTGGTAACATCTCTTTTTTGTATGTCTGGTACAATTTGGCTCTGAATCCATCTGGTCTGGGTTTTGTTTTTGGTTTGTTTGGTAGTTTTTAAAATTACTGATACAATCTCAAAACTCAGCATTGATCTGTTCACGGTTTCAATCCCTTCCTGATTCAATCTTGGGCGATTGTGTGCTTCCAGCAATTTCTCAATTTCCTCTAAATTTTCTATTTTGTGTGCACAGAGGTGTTTATATTTTCTGAGGATCTTTTGAATTCCTGTGGGATCAGTTGCAATGCCACCTTTGTCTATTGTGACTGTGCTTCTTTGGATCATCTCCTGTTAATCTAGCTAGTAGCCTGTCAATCTTATTTATTTTTTCAATAGTTTGTATGATTTCAATTTTTTTAATTTATTGAGACTATGCTTTATATATTCTGTATATACATGTATATTGGGTAGAGTATTCTGTGCATGTTTATTAGGTCCAACTGGTTAAGTGTCAAATTCAAGTCCAGAATTTCTTTGTTAGTTTTCTGTCTTGATGATCTGTCTAATGCTGTCAGTGGGATGTTGATATCCCCCAGTATTATTGTGTGGCTTTCTAAGTCTTTTTGTAGACCAAGAAAAACTTGTTTTATAAGAAGAAAACACTCCAATACTGGGTGCATATGTATGTGTATAGTTAAGTCTTCTTGTTGAATTGAACACTTAACCATTATGTAATACCCTTTTTTTTGTTGTTATTGCTTTAAACTCTGTTTTATCTGATATAAGAATAGCAACCCCTGTTCTTGTGTTCTGTTTCCACTGTAGATCTTTCTCTAGATCTTTACTTTGAGTCTATGGATGTTTATGCATGTGTGTTGGGTCTGTTGAAGACAGCAGACTGATAGGGCTTTTTTATGCAGCTTGTTACTCCATATCTTTTAAATTGGACCTTCAGGCCATTTAAATTCAAGGTTAATATTGATATCTGAGGTTTTAATCCTATCATGAAGTTGTTAGCTGTTTGCTTTGTGTTTCCTATTTTGTGGTTGCTTTATAGGGTCTTTGGGCTATGTATTTAAGTTTGTTTTCCTGCTAGCTGCTATGATTTCTATGTTTAGAACTTCCTCAATAATCTCTTATAAGGCTGGCCTGATGGTAACAAAGTTTTTCAGGGCTTGCTTGTCTGTAAAATCGTTTGTTTCTCCTTTGCCTATGGAACATAGTTTGGTGGGATATAAAATTCCTGGTTGGAATTTCTTGTTTTTAAGAATATTAAAAATTGGCCTCCAATTTCTGTTAGCTTGTAAGGTTTCTGCTGAGAAGTTCACTGTTAGCCTGATGGAGTTCGTTTGTATGTGATCTGACGTTTTTCTCTAGTTGCCTTTAAGTTTTTTTGTTGTTGTTGTTGTTGTGTGTGTGTGTGTGTGTGTGTGTGTGTGTGTGTGTGTTAACCCTGGACAGTCTTGTGACCATATGCTTTGGTGATACTCATTTTGTATTATATCTCTCAGATGTTCTCTGGATTTTTTGAATCTGGATATCTGTCTCTCTAGCAAGATCAGAGAACTTTTATTGAATTATTACCTCAAATATTGTTTTCCAAGTTACCTACATTGTCCACTTCTTCCTCAGGGATGCCAGTAATTTGTAGGTTTCTTCGCTTTACATCATCTAATATTCCTCAAAAACATTGCTTATTTCTTAAAATTCTTTTCTTCTTTATTTTTATCTGGCTATGTTATTTCAAAATACTGGTCTTTAAGCTCTGAAATTATTTCTTCTGCTTGGTACAGTCTATTGTTAAAGCTTTCAATTGTATTTTTTAAATTCCTTAAGTTAGTTTTTCAAATCCAGAAGTTCTGATTGCTTTCTTTCAAGATGTTTATCTCTTTCTTTATTTCCTGGATTGCTTTAGAAGTTATTTGTGTTCATTTTCAGCTTGTCTTGGATCTCACTGAGCTTCCTTGAAATCCATGCTTTGAATTCTTTATGTGATTTCTGCATTTACATTTTGGTTAAGGACCATTGGTGGAGGGGTACTGCAATTCTATGGTGATGTCACTGCATTCATATTTTTCATAGTGCTAGAATTCTTGCACTGGTTTCTTCTCATCTGAGAATGTTGGCACTTCTCATTTTTGTAATTTTGTGTTAGGATATTTTCTTTTGTTTTTTATTTCAGTATAACATTATTATTTTTTTTTTCTTTCCCTTTCCCTTTCCTCTCCTCCCTACAGGGTGTGACTGTAGTGAATGCTGGGTATGGTCACTTGTCTTTGCTTCTGTAACCCTATGTAGTTTCGTTGACAGGTTTTATATTGATGTGTGTAGTTCAACCTACAAGCCAGTAGATGGTACTTATGGGTGAGAGCTGGCTGTACCTGATGTGGCTAGGTATATACATGATCCTTGTTTACTGGGAGAAGCTCTCTCTCATCTTAGGCAATGGGCTGATCTGTGGAGTGCACAGTTGTCTGAGCTCCTTGCTCTGTCCTATGTTAGGACAGGTCCAAGATTAGCATGGCCTGCCTAAATGTCCCCTGATGTCAGGCACAAACACCAGCACTTAGCAAGGATCCAGTGGACAGCCACTAAACACCCAAAGGTGTGTCTAGGCATGGAGCTGGGAAACCTCCTCAGCCCCAAGTTCTCTGGACAGGGATTAGGGGAGGCCTAAATTCCTAATCCAGGTCGGAGAGCGAGTGCTCCACATGCCTAGAGATATGCCTGGGTGTGGAGCAGAGAGAGATGCCTGTTTGTGAAGCAGAGAGAACCACCCTTCACCAAGATCTCTGCATAGTAGGGGTGAGGCAGCTCCAGGTTGCTGAACCAGGTGAGTGGGTGATCTGAATGTCTGAAGATCTGCCTGGGCATAAAATGTAGAGGGCTTGACTGCACCATGATCCATGGCCAACAAGGGCGGGGTTGCTCAGGCTACTAGTCCATGTGAGCAAGTACTCCAAATTCCTGGAGATCTGTCTGCATGTGTTGTGATGAAAGCCCCACTGCACCACCATCTATGCACAGAAATAGGGGCAGGTAAAGCTGTTGATCCAGGTGAGGAAGTGCTTCAAACACCTGGAGATCTGTTTGGGTATTGAGTGCGAAGTGCCTGCTATACCACAATTTATGTCCATGAAAAGTGGGGCAACTCAGATTGCTGATTCAAGCAAGTGGGCGCTCCAGATGCTTGGATTTCTGCATGGAGGTGGAACGGAGAGGGCCCTGCTATACCACAATCTCAAGGGGAGCATGCTGGGGCACCCATTAATGGCATACGCAAGTCAGTTTCAGGTTGCCAGCTGGCCTTGAATGAAAGTCTCATCATCCAGGAGAAAACACAGCTATAGCAGCTCTTCTCCTGCCCCAGGGCTTCAACAGGGGAGTGTAAAATTCTGGTACCTACTGCTGTGGTGCTTTCTACAGTTCTGGCTATGGAAGCCCCTACCCTGCTCCAGAGCAGGTGTTCCAATCTCTGGCCTGAGATTAAAATACCTGCATGGCCATACTGCTAGGTCTCAAAGGAATGGCTGATTTTGTATGTGCCTGGATTAAAAATGGCATCCTGCTGTCAGTCCTTGGCCTGGGCAAATTTCTGTAGTTTTTCCTGGTGTTTTCCCCTCAGGTCTCCAAGCCTCTCCCCAGGTTAGCACCAGGACTTTAAAGAAACAAAATATTCTCCCTCCTCTTGGGTTGCTCAGATCCCCAGTAGAAAGGTGAGTCACAGAGGGAGGCTCTCTGTCTCTCTCATGTACTGGGGCTTCACTTACTTTTATCAACTGGATGCCATCACATGGACTGCTTTCCCATGTCCTCCCCGCTGGGGCCCCCTTCACAATACTGGTGGATTCTCATTTTTCTTCTTGAATTAAAGCTCACAAAGTTGATCTTTATGCACTATCTTGCTATTTCCAAGTCACTGAGGCATGATAAAAGGATTTAATCAGTCATCTTGGAAAAAAAATCTATTGTTAGTTTACATCCTTTTTTAAATATATAACTCCCTTGTCAGAAATGTGATTTGCAAATATTTTTACCCAGTCTGTAGCTTGCCTTTTCATTCATTCACATTGCCTTTTGCAAAGTAAATATTTTTAATTACAAATAAGCTCAACTTAGCATATTTTTAAAAATAAATTGTGCTTTTGATGTTGTAGTTAAGAATGCTGCCTAACTGATAGTCACAAAGATTTTCTCCAATATTTTCTAATAGAAGTTGTATAGTTTTACATTTTACATTTAGACTTTTGATTGATTCCAGGTTAATTATTTTATAAGATTAAAGATGTGGGTCAAGTTTTAATTTTCTGCTTATAACCTATAATCATTCTGTTGGCACTTGTTGAAAAGTCTATACTTTCACCATTGAATTCAGACCTTTGTTGAAAATCACTGTAGAATTTTGTGGATCTATTTCTGGACTGATTATTCTATTTTTATTAATCATTTTGTATTTATGATTTTGATAATATTACATTGTAATGATTAGGTACGTGCTATAGTAAATCTTGAAATCAGATCATGTGAGTCCACAAATAGGTTTTTTTTAATCAAAATTGGTTGGCTAATCTAATTCCTTTACCTTTCCCCATAAATTATAGCATCAGCTTGTTGATATCTGCAAAAACAGAAGATCCATCTAAGATTTCCTTTTTATTTAGATTATGTTGACTTTACGGATCAATTGTGGGACCACTGACATCATAACAATATTGAGTATTCCAAGCTAAGAACATGGTGTATCTCTCCATTTAATTAGATTTTCTTTATTTTTTTCATCTTTTTTTTTAAATTTTAAGCACACAGATTCCACACACATTTTGTTACATGTATACCTAAATGTGTCTGTGAATAGATACAGTGTTGTTTATTTTCAATCTGTATGTCTTTCATTTCTTTTTCTTGCTTTATTTCATTGTCTAGAACTTACAATATTATGTCACATAGGAGTGGTGTCAACCTTACTGTTTCTGATTTTTGGGGAAAAGTATTCAATACTTAACCTTTGAATATCGTGTCAGCTGTTATCTTTTTGTAGGACCTGCATGTCAATTTGAAGATATTCCCCTGTTTCTAATTTGCTAAAATTGAATAGTTCTACTAATATAAATTTTGATCTAGTTGGTTGATTATATTGCTCAAGTCTTCTATGCATTTACTGATTTTCTATTTTTTCCATCAAGTTCTAAGGAGTATTGTAGTCTCCAAGTATGACTGTGGATATGTCTATTTATCCTTTCATTTCTAGCTTATTTTGCTTATATTTTGAAGCTCTGTTGTAAGGTGCATACACACAGGATTGATACGTCTTCGTAGAGAATTGATCTTTTTATTGTCATATAATGTATTTCTTTATACTGGATAGCATTTCTTGCTCTCAAGTAAACTTTATATAGATATAGTAACTCCATCTCTATTTCACTAAAATTTGTATAATATTTTTATTGATGTTTGATATCTATTGACATTTGAAGACTATAGAGAAATTTCATAAAAAGAGTATTATAAACTATTATAGTTTACAGCTAAATACTTGGATCTCTAGTTTATTATGTTGCTAACTTGTATTTTAAGATGATTCCAGCAAATAAAGGATACCGAAATCACTTATTTTTGAAATAATTATGACTATATTTTATTCTTGAAACTAAGGCATATCTTAGAGTTCAATAAACTATACTTCCAAATTTATGTAATTTATTATTAGCTAACTATTTTTTAGCTATAATTAGTTCATTATATATTCTTATAATTTGTTTTCCAATTAATTTTGCTTTTATGTCCTCTCTCAGTGCTAGTTAGAAGCCATATTTCAGCTGACTTGCATGTATAGATGAATGATCATAGTTTCCTTGAGGGTCACAGATACAATAAAAAATACCTACATTTGGGATACTAGGCCAAAGGATGCCAATTATGATAATGAGACCTCATCCACCCACTCCAAGTCATTTATACTTCCCTAAGAATTACTGACAAATTAAAAATACCAACTCTATAAATAATGGAAGTCTTTAATGCATTTGTATATAGGTTGTTACCTTTTTTGTCACAATGATATTTAAGTGGCTAATAAAAATATGCCTTTGAAATATAAATTTTATTATTTTTTTCCTCACCCCAACAGCTGCAGAAATAACTGTTCAACCAACTGTGGAAGAGGCCTCTGACAACTGCACTCAAGAATGTCTCATCTATGGCCATTCTGATGCCTGCTGGATGCCGGCATCTCTGGATCATTCCAGCTCTTCGCAAGCACAGGCCTCTGCTCTATGCCACAGCCCACCACTGTCACAGGCCTCTACTCAGCACCACAGCCCACGAGTGACACAGACCATTGCTCTCTGCCACAGCCCTCCAGTGACACAGACCATCGCATTGTGCCACAGCCCACCACCGATACAGGTGTCTGCTCTCCACCACAGTCCTCCTCTAGTGCAGGCTACTGCACTTCACCACAGCCCACCATCAGCACAGGCCTCAGCCCTCTGCTACAGCCCTCCTTTAGCACAGGCTGCTGCAATCAGCCACAGCTCTCCTCTGCCACAGGTTATTGCCCTCCATCGTAGTCAGGCCCAATCATCAGTCAGTTTGCAGCAAGGTTGGGTGCAAGGTGCTGATGGGCTATGCTCTGTTGATCAGGGAGTGCAAGGTAGTGCAACATCTCAGTTTTACACCATGTCTGAAAGACTTCATCCCAGTGATGATTCAATTAAAGTCATTCCTTTGACAACCTTCACTCCACGCCAACAGGCCAGACCGTCCAGAGGTGATTCCCCCATTATGGAAGAACATCCCTTGTAAAGCTAAAATAGTTACTTCAAATTTTCAGAAAAGATGTATATAGTCAAAATTTAAGATACAATTCCAATGAGTATTCTGATTATCAGATTTGTAAATAACTATGTAAATAGAAACAGATACCAGAATAAATCTACAGCTAGACCCTTAGTCAATAGTTAACCAAAAAATTGCAATTTGTTTAATTCAGAATGTGTATTTAAAAAGAAAAGGAATTTAACAATTTGCATCCCCTTGTACAGTAAGGCTTATCATGACAGAGCGCACTATTTCTGATGTACAGTATTTTTTGTTGTTTTTATCATCATGTGCAATATTACTGATTTGTTTCCATGCTGATTGTGTGGAACCAGTATGTAGCAAATGGAAAGCCTAGAAATATCTTATTTTCTAAGTTTACCTTTAGTTTACCTAAACTTTTGTTCAGATAACGTTAAAAGGTATACGTACTCTAGCCTTTTTTTGGGCTTTCTTTTTGATTTTTGTTTGTTGTTTTCAGTTTTTTTGTTGTTGTTAGTGAGTCTCCCTTCAAAATACGCAGTAGGTAGTGTAAATACTGCTTGTTTGTGTCTCTCTGCTGTCATGTTTTCTACCTTATTCCAATACTATATTGTTGATAAAATTTGTATATACATTTTCAATAAAGAATATGTATAAACTGTACAGATCTAGATCTACAACCTATTTCTCTACTCTTTAGTAGAGTTCGAGACACAGAAGTGCAATAACTGCCCTAATTAAGCAACTATTTGTTAAAAAGGGCCTCTTTTTACTTTAATAGTTTAGTGTAAAGTACATCAGAAATAAAGCTGTATCTGCCATTTTAAGCCTGTAGTCCATTATTACTTGGGTCTTTACTTCTGGGAATTTGTATGTAACAGCCTAGAAAATTAAAAGGAGGTGGATGCATCCAAAGCACGAGTCACTTAAAATATCGACGGTAAACTACTATTTTGTAGAGAAACTCAGGAAGATTTAAATGTTGATTTGACAGCTCAATAGGCTGTTACCAAAGGGTGTTCAGTAAAAATAACAAATACATGTAACTGTAGATAAAACCATATACTAAATCTATAAGACTAAGGGATTTTTGTTATTCTAGCTCAACTTACTGAAGAAAACCACTAATAACAACAAGAATATCAGGAAGGAACTTTTCAAGAAATGTAATTATAAATCTACATCAAACAGAATTTTAAGGAAAAATGCAGAGGGAGAAATAAGGCACATGACTGCTTCTTGCAGTCAACAAGAAATACCAATAACACACACAGAACAAAAACCATCAAAATCTCATATATGAAATAAAATATATTCTTCTAAGCAAAGAAACAGTACTATTCATAGAAAACATTAGTTTTCTTCTGTTGTCTGTTATTTCCTTCTTGTATCCTCTTAACTGGCCATTATCTTGTATGTGCACATTTTATAAATGTACAGAAACATCACCAACTTAATTTTCTTCCATAGCAAAACTGAGAAAATACCTTGTTTCAGTATAACACTAAACCAAGAGACAATTGATGTTTAATGGGGGCGGTTGGGGTGGGGGGGGGAGTCAATATCTCCTATTGATTAACTTAGACATAGATTTTGTAATGTATAACTTGATATTTAATTTATGATTAAACTGTGTGTAAATTTTGTAACATAAACTGTGGTAATTGCATAATTTCATTGGTGAGGATTTCCACTGAATATTGAGAAAGTTTCTTTTCATGTGCCCAGCAGGTTAAGTAGCGTTTTCAGAATATACATTATTCCCATCCATTGTAAAGTTCCTTAAGTCATATTTGACTGGGCGTGCAGAATAACTTCTTAACTTTTAACTATCAGAGTTTGATTAATAAAATTAATTAATGTTTTTTCTCCTTCGTGTTGTTAATGTTCCAAGGGATTTGGAGCATACTGGTTTTCCAGGTGCATGTGAATCCCGAAGGACTGATGATATTTGAATGTTTATTAAATTATTATCATACAAATGTGTTGATATTGTGGCTATTGTTGATGTTGAAAATTTTAAACTTGGGGAAGATTAAGAAAAGAACCAATAGTGACAAAAATCAGTGCTTCCAGTAGATTTTAGAACATTCTTTGCCTCAAAAAACCTGCAAAGATGATGTGAGATTTTTTCTTGTGTTTTAATTATTTTCACATTTTCTCTCTGCAAAACTTTAGTTTTCTGATGATCTACACACACACACACACACACACGTGCACACACACACACATTTAAATGATATAAAAAGAAGAGGTTGAAAGATTATTAAATAACTTATCAGGCATCTCAATGGTTACTATCTATGTTAGTGAAAATCAAATAGGACTCAAAGTTGGATATTTGGGATTTTTCTTCTGACAGTATAATTTATTGAGTTACTAGGGAGGTTCTTAAATCCTCATATCTGGAAACTTGTGACGTTTTGACACCTTTCCTATAGATGATATAGGAATGAACCAATACGCTTTTATTACCCTTTCTAACTCTGATTTTATAATCAGACTTAGATTGTGTTTAGAATATTAAATGACTGGGCACCCTCTTCTTGGTTTTTACCAGAGAGGCTTTGAATGGAAGCAGGCTGAGAGTAGCCAAAGAGGCAAGGGGTATTAGCCCAGTTATTCTCCCCTATGCCTTCCTTCTCTTTCTAAGCGTCCACTAGGTCTGGCCTTGGAAACCTGTTACTTCTAGGGCTTCAGATCTGATGATATCTTTTTCATCACATTACAAGTTATTTCTCTGACTGAATAGACAGTGGTATAGGTTGACACAGCACACAAGTGGCTATTGTGATGTATGATGTATGTAGTCCTACAACTGCAAAACGTCTTACTGAACCAACAATCAAAAAATGGTTCTGTTTTAAAAAGGATTTTGTTTGATTTGAAATTAAAACTTCAAGCTGAATGACTTATATGAGAATAATACGTTCAATCAAAGTAGTTATTCTATTTTGTGTCCATATTCCATTAGATTGTGATTATTAATTTTCTAGCTATGGTATTACTATATCACACTTGTGAGTATGTATTCAAATACTAAGTATCTTATATGCTACGTGCATACACATTCTTTTCTTAAACTTTACCTGTGTTTTAACTAATATTGTGTCAGTGTATTAAAAATTAGCTTTTACATATGATATCTACAATGTAATAAATTTAGAGAGTAATTTTGTGTATTCTTATTTACTTAACATTTTACTTTTAATTATGTAAATTTGGTTAGAAAATAATAATAAATGGTTAGTGCTATTGTGTAATGGTAGCAGTTACAAAGAGCCTCTGCCTTCCCAAACTAATATTTATCACACATGGTCATTAAATGGGAAAAAAATAGACTAAACAAATCACAAATTGTTCAGTTCTTAAAATGTAATTATGTCACACACACAAAAAATCCTTTTCAATCCTGAGAAAATTAAAGGCGTTTTACTCACATGGCTATTTCAACATTAGTTTTTTTTGTTTGTTTCTTTTTCATGGTATTACTGAAGGTGTGTATACTCCCTAATACACATTTATGAAAATCTACTTGTTTAGGCTTTTATTTATACTCTTCTGATTTATATTTTTTATTATAATTATTATTTCTTATCTTTCTTCTTTTATATTTTTTGGAAACCAAATTTATAGTTAGTTTAGGTAAACTTTTTATTATGACCATTAGAAACTATTTTGAATGCTTCCAACTGGCTCAATTGGCCGGGAAAACATGGGAGCAAGAGAAGCTGAAATATATTTCTGCAAGAACCTTTCTATATTATGTGCCAATTACCACACCAGATCAATTTTATGCAGAGGCCTTAAAATATTCTTTCACAGTAGCTTTCTTACACTAACCGTCATGTGCTTTTAGTAAATATGATTTTTAAAAGCAGTTCAAGTTGACAACAGCAGAAACAGTAACAAAAAAATCTGCTCAGAAAAATGTATGTGCACAAATAAAAAAAATTAATGGCAATTGTTTAGTGATTGTAAGTGATACTTTTTAAAGAGTAAACTGTGTGAAATTTATACTATCCCTGCTTAAAATATTAAGATTTTTATGAAATATGTATTTATGTTTGTATTGTGGGAAGATTCCTCCTCTGTGATATCATACAGCATCTGAAAGTGAACAGTATCCCAAAGCAGTTCCAACCATGCTTTGGAAGTAAGAAGGTTGACTATTGTATGGCCAAGGATGGCAGTATGTAATCCAGAAGCAAACTTGTATTAATTGTTCTATTTCAGGTTCTGTATTGCATGTTTTCTTATTAATATATATTAATAAAAGTTATGAGAAATAAACATTCATTGTTATTGTGTGTGTTAATTCAAAACTCAAATGATTCACTTTATTTTAAATAGATTTTCAAATGTATATAGAAAATACCCTTTTTCAATGGTACATTTTGGATTTAGCATATTTTTGTTCACTCTGAAAACTCCTTCAATATAATTTCTGACTTGAACATAATTTCAATCACTTTTCAAAATTGCTGAACACTATTGTAGTGTTTCTGAACATTTATTTTGCATCGTTCAAGACAAGATTTAAGTGATATTTACTTATTCCAGATTAGATCTATTGCTTCACTTAATGTAAAAGTTACCTAAGGATTTCTCTGTACAACCATAGGAGATCCAGGTGAAATAAGTTTCTGGAGATGGTTGATAATATTTGTGGAACAAAATAACTTTACTCCTGGCTTTGTTTTCACTTTGGCTAAATGGAGAGAATTCATTGAAACCTCTCAAACTACAAGGTATCACTAAATATGTAACTGCATTTAGAATTTTATTAGCCCCAAATTTTGATTAAGAATTACATACTGCACAGTCCAGTGCTTTTTGTATTATTTTTTCTCACTCATATATTTATTATTGTGATATTAATTTATTCATTTTCACCAAGGGTTAGCTGGTGAAGAAAGAAAAACAGGAAAATTTAAATCAAGCAACATTTTAACCTCTGGCAAAAAGGAGATTGGGGTTTTAGAAGAAGTACAATATATGTGTAGGTTAATTTGTGTTATTTCTCATCTTCACTCCAGCCATTTGGGAAAAAAAAAATCTCACAAGTTGTTGTGACTTAATTTGTGAAGCTGACTGAGAATCACCAAGTTATATATAGATATTATCATAATAACCTTGGCAAGAACTCTAGAACCTGAGAAAGTGAATATGGTGAAAACATACTCTGAATAGGAGAAAAATACCCTACTGAAAAGGAGTATTACAAATTTCTTTTTTTTCAACAAGTGGAAAAATATGTGAGCTAATATTTGGCTTGATTAAAGACATTAAAGTTATTGGTCTTATTGTCAGAAATGGCCAAACTGACTATAAAATGTTGATGGACTAATGGCAATTGCTTCAAAACAAAAAATAAAAACAAGGACAATACCGATGCAGGCAATTCAGTTCAGAATTTTATTTCTGTATATTGGGTAACAAATTTAATATCCATTTCGAGTATCTGAGAATCAACACATGCATGAAAACAACCGAAGTTTAATTTGTGCACTAGCTTAACTCCTTTCTTATCTGTTAAAGTATTCTAAAGTTAATTGGGGTAAAACAGAAGCAAGATATATAGATGAAGAAAATGAAAAAATGAAAGTTTAATTTGTCAGCAATTTAGTTCTGAAATCTGGTCATATGATGTTTTCTTCGTAAGCTTTTTTGAACAGTTTTAGATTTACAGAAAAATTGTGATAATAATGCAGAGTTCTCAAATAACCTCACTCTTAGTTTTCCTTATTTTTAACATGGCATATTTGTTATAATTAATGAGCCAATGTTTATACATTATTATCAACTGAAGTCCATAGTTTATTCAGATTGCCCTAATTTTTACTATTAAGGACATTAGTCCTTTTCTGGTTCCAGAATCCCATCCAGGATTCCACATTACATTTATTTATTGTATCTTCTTAGGTCCCTCTGGACTGTGACACTTTCTTAGACTTTCCTTGTTGATAATGACCTTGACAGTTTGGAAGAGTACTCGTCGGGTATTTTGTAGAATGTCCCTTAATTGAGATTTTTAATGATAATTTTTCTTGTGTTTAGACTGGGGTTATGGGTTTTTGTGTGGAAGATTCCAGAGGTAGTGTATCTTGTCTCATCACATGCTATCAGGAGTAAGTGACAGCACATTTTGAACCTGTATAAGTTAGCATTTGGAATCATTTTGCTTTATGCTCAGGATTTACTCTTCACCACTGAAGCAGAGACTCACCTGTCCTCCCTAAGTTTGAAGTGTAGTACAATTCAGGACATGCTCCTTCCTCAGATTCCTACCTATCATACAGATGACAACCTTCCCATTTTATTTTACTCTCTCAGTCTCTAATAAAACAATTGAGAATAAAATATTAATAGAAACATATTAAGTAAATGTGTTTCCCTTTCCAAATTTACTAAATAGGAAATGAGTGGTGTGGTACGTCCCACTAGCAATGAAAATTTCGGAAATCATGGCAAACAGTGGAAGATCCAGAGAACCTATTGAGACCAAGGACGAATATAATCTGATAGGTCAACTTTTATTCTTGCTGGGCTGGTCACAAAATCAGATGGATTCTGACATGCTTTATATTTTTTTAGCATTGTACAAAAATTACTGATTATTATGTGATAGATTGATGCCTTGAAATTCAGGTTTATCTCTTGGGGTATATTTGCTAGCTATATTTGTCCAGGAAGAAATACTGTTGAAGATGTGTCTAATGAGAGAAAACTGTCGGCCTGTTGCTTAACTCTTTTTAAATTTTACACCTAAACCAATTGGCTCTTTGACACCACATATTTGGAAGTTACAAACATTTATTGTCAAACACTATATTCGAAGTGGAATAAGGGGCAGGGCATGGTGGCTCCTGACTGTAATCCCAGCATTTTGGGGGGCTAAGGTGGGTGGATTGCTTGAACCTAGGAGTTTGAAGCCAGCTTAGGCAACATAGCGAGACCCTGTTTCTACAAAAAATAAAAATAAATAGGCCTGGTGCGGTGGCTCACAGTTGTAATCCTAGCACTTTGGGAGGCCTAGGTGGGCAGATCACGAGGTCAGGAGATCGAGACCGTTCTGGCTAACACGGTGAAACCCCGTCTCTACTAAAAATACAAAAAAATTTAGCCAGGTGTGTTGGCGGGTGCCTGTAGCCCCAGCTACTCGGGAGGCTGAGGCAGGTGAATGGTGTGAACTCGGGAGGCGGAGCTTGCAGGGAGCCGAGATTGCTCCACTGCACTCCAGCCTGGGTGATAGAGCGAGACTCCGTCTCAAAAATAAATAAATAAGTAATAGCCAAGCATGGTGGCATGTGCCTGTAGTCCTAGCTACTCAGGAGGCCAAGGTGGGAGGATTGCTTGAGCCCAAGAGTTTGAGGCTGCAGTGAGTGATGATAGCGCTACTGCATTCCAGGCTGGGTGACACAGAGAGACCCTTTCTAAAAAAAAAATAAAAATAAAAAAATGACAATTAATAAAAAATAAAACAAAGTGGAAGAAGGAAGTGATTTTTCATAAACTAAAAGAAAAAAGTTGTGACGTTCAGTTTAGAATGCTTCTATAAGAACAGTTCAAACATATAGAGCATGTTGCATTTCAATAGCCCAAAGTAAGTTTTTTCCCCTGCATTTTCTATTAATAATAATAATTTAAAAAATAAATTACTGAAGCCGGGTGTGGTGGCTCATGCCTGTAATCCCAGCACTTTGAGAGGCCGAGGAGGGTGGATCACCAGGTCAGGAGATAGAGACCATCCTGGCCAACATGGTGAAACCCCGTCTCCACTAAAAATATAAAAATAAGCTGGGCATGGTGGCATGCGCCTGTAATCCCAGCTACTCGGGAGACTGAGGCAGGAGAATTGCTTGAACCCGGGAGGCAGTGAGCGGAGATCACGCCACTGCACTCCAGCCTGGCAACAGAATGAGACTCCCTCTCAGAAATAAATAAATAAATAAATAAATAAATAAATAAATAAATAAATAAAAATAAATTACTGAATGACGTACGTGAGTGCCTTTTAGAGGCAATGATGATAATATGTGTCACTATATATTTTCCTATGAAAGCATTCATACCGTATGACACAATGAAGCTAAGAACCTAAGTCATAAGCTGCTTATTTCTCACTACCGGAAATCACCCATCCTCCAGCAGATTGTAGTTCATTTCCATGCCTGGGAGGGAGATTTTATTTAAAGGTTCGGTCATTAGTTTCCTGAAAAGTTTTGGTTTACCCAGTTGTATCTAGTAAAGTGTCAAGAAAATTTTTAGTACACAGCCACCTGCTTCTTGCCCGGGAGTGACACTGAAAGAAGCTGAATTTTAATCCTAAAGGTTAAGAATTCAAAGTACTTGCCTTGCCGGCCACCCAAATAAAGTAAACATCTAATCAGCCTAATATGCTTATTTAAGTGTGCTAATGAACAAATTGAGTAATCTAAGAAATAGTCCATTTATTTAGAAAAATTTCATTATCTCACTCAGGGATAGAAAATGTCACAGTAGCATTTCTAATAGAGTCAACTGCACCAACTAATTAGTTATTAGGTAACTAAGAAAGGGTGTTGAGACTCTGTGACAGTTAATTTTATGTATTAACTTGGGTAGGCCACCGTATCAGACATTTGCTCAACCACTTGTCTGAATTGTTGTCAAGACATTTTTTAGATGAGATTAACTGTAAAACCAGTAGACTTTGAGTAAAGCAGATTACCCTCCATAATTTAGGTAGGACTCGTCCAATCAGTTGAAGGCCTTAAAAAGAAAAAGACAAACTTCTATCAAGGAAGAGAGAAATCTGCAAGCAGGCTGCCTTCAGACTTGAACATTAACACTTCTCTGGGGCTCCAGCCTGCCAGCCTACCGTTCAGACTTTGGGCTGGCCAGCCTCCTAAATCACATGAGAAAATTTCATAAAAGAAATTTCTTTCTTTTCTTTCTTTCTTTTAATCTTTCTTCTTCCTTCTTTTAATCTTTCTTCTTCTTTTTTCTCTTTCTTTCTTTCTCTCTTTTTCTTTCTGCTTATTTCTTTATTTCTTCCTGTCTCTTCCTTCTTTACTTCCATCCTCCCTTCCTCTACTATTCTTTTTCTTTCTTTTCTTTTCTTCTTTCTCTCTTTCCTTTCTATTTCCTCTCTCTTTCCTTCGTCTTTTCTCTTTTCTTTCTTTCTTTCTTTGTTTCTTTCTTTCTCTCATTCTCTCTCTCTCTCAAACCCTGACTAATATAGATTTGAATTTAAAAAAAATGAAACATCTTAACCAAGATCTGCCAAATAAGGTCAGGCCTAATATGATACTGTTTCATCCAATATTACTGTTCTGAGAAGTGTATTATTTCAGTATGTAGATGGTTTAGCTAGAATTCTATTTGTCTCCAGTTTAATTAGTGGTTAATTTCTTAGGCTCTTCCATCATACTAATCTACACTCAATTCTCAGTTACTCCACTTGAAAGCTGTGTTACCACGGTGCAATATTTACCCTTTGATCTTTTTTCTCGTTTATAAAATAAGGCTAGTGTTTGGTATACTGTGAAGAATAGTGGAAATACGTGATCTATGAACATTGGAGAGGGGAGGAACTATATGGTGAAGAAGAAAGTGAGAAAATCTTTCCTGTGGAGAGAAGCCTATACATAATTCACCTCACTAGACTACTGCCTTTTCCCATTAAACTAGAGTGTGAAATGAAGAAAATGAACTAGTCAATCCTACTTGGAGAGATTGCTTCGGACCTGAGACATCTGAAATCTAACCACCTGACAAGCTGTGGGTGCTGGTCACCTATTTTAGTCCATTTAGGATGCTGTAATAAAATAACTTAGACTGGGTAATTTGTAAATAGCAGAAACTTACTGCTAGCAGTTCCGGAGACTGGGAATTCTAAGAGCAAGGCACCAGCAGATTCTGTGTCTGATAAGAGCCCTTTCCTCTTGGATGATATCTTCTATGTCTCCTCACACAGCAGAAGTGTCAAAAAGGCTCCTCAAAGCGTCCTTTATGAGAGCACTAATTCTATTTATGGGGTAAAACCCTCAAAACTTAATCACCTTCTAAAGACCTCAACTCTTAATACCATCATCTCGGTGGTTAGGTTTCAATATATGAATTTTGGGGGGAAACAAATATTCTAAGTCACAGCAGTCTGCTCCTGAACCCACAACTTCATTTCCTTCTCATAAGCAAAATACATACATTTCATTCTAATAGCCCCCAAGGTCTTATCTCATTCGAGCATCAACTCAGAAGTTTAATATCTCATCCAAAGTCTCATCTAAGTATCACTTAAATCAGATATAAGTGAGACTCAAGGTAAGATTTATTCTGAAGTAAATTTCTCTCCAGCTGTGAATTTATGAAATTACACAAGTTATGTGCTCCCAAACTATAATGGTGGAACTCACACTGGATAGATAGTTCTTACACCAAAGAGAGAAAGAAGAAAAAAGAAAGCATAACTAGTCCCAAATAATTTCAAAACCCAATAGTGTAAACATTAAATCTTAAGTCTTGAAAATAAACTTATGTGATTCCATGTGCAGCCTTTTGTACACATTGAGGTGGGGGTTGGGTTCTCCACACTCTGAGCAGCCCTGCTTCTATGGCTTTGCTAGGTAAGACCCACAATGTAGCTCTCATGGGTTGAAGGTTGGTGCCTGCAGCTCTTTCAGGCTGCAATCGCATGGCCGTGGCTGTACTAATCTGAGGTTGTGAAGGTAGTCTTGTAACCATCTTTTCACTGGGTATTTCCCTAGTAGGGGCTCTTTTTGGTGGCCCTCATAGTTTCACCGGTCATTGCCCTAATGGGGGATTTCTACAGTGGCTCTACCACTTTAGCAGTTATTTGCCTGGGCCCTGAGGCTCTCCAGGGCAACCTTTGAAATCCAGGTGAAGGTAGGCGTGCTTCCAAAGCTTGTGCAAGTTGCACCTTCCTGGAGATGACACTGTGTGGATGCTACCATGGTTTAACACCTGTGCCTTCCAGTGGGGCAACCAGAGCTGCACCTGGGCCTGCTTGAGCCACAGATGGGGTGGCCAAAGAGTGCTTTGCTGGAATGTGGAGAGTAGAACTTTGTCATCATTGTGCCCCAAAAGCCCTGGCATTTTGGGCCTGTAATGGGTGGTGCAATCCCGAAGATCTCTGAAATGCTTTTAGGATCATTCTTCCATTGTCTTGATACAAAGCATCTGGCTTCCTTCTATTCATACTAATCTCCTTATCAAACACTCACTTGGCCACATCCTTGATGTTCTTTCCTGAACATTTTCCCACTCTTTAAAACATGGCCAGGCTGAGAATTTTCCAAACCTTTAAGCCCCCCCTTTCCTTTTGATTAAGAATTCCAACTTTGTTTCTTTTTTCTCACATTTTACTATAAGCAGTCTAGTAAAGTCATGCCATACCCTCAACCATTTGCTTAAGGATTTCTTCTACCAAATGTTCTATTTCATAACTCCTTCCCTGGGACACTATGATATGAACATAATTCAGCCAAGTTGTTTGCTGGTTTATATCAAGAATCACCTTTCATCTAGCTTTTAACAATCTTTCCTCATTTCAGTCTGATATTTCATGAGAATGGCCTTCACTGTCACAAACATTCTGGTGGTGATCACTTAGGTAATTTCTAAGAAGACTGAGGTTTTCTCTACAGCTCTCTTCTTATTTGAAGACTTCACCAGAATTTCCCTTTTTAGTCAGTTCACAGCAGTACAGGCTGCTTCTACCTTGCACTTCAAAATTCCTCCAGGCTTTACCCATTACCGAGTTCCAAGGTGCTTTCATATTTTTATGTATTTGTTACAGCAGCACCCCACTTCTTATAACCAATATCTCTCTGTGTCTATTTGGGCTACTATAACAAAATATCTTAAACTGAGTAATTTATAAGAAACAAATTTATTGACCATAGTTCTGGAGGCTGGGGAATCCAAGAACAAGGCACCAGCAGATTCTGTGTCTGATGAGAGCCTGTTCCTCTTGAATGGCACCTTCTTTGTGTCCTAACATGACAAAAGGGGTTAAAGTCTTCCTCAGGCCTCTTTTATAAGGGCACTAATTCCATTCATGAGTCAAAGCTTTAATGACCTAATTACCTCCTAAAGACCTCAGCCATGAATACTATCAGTGTGGTGGTTAGGTTTCAACATACAAATTTTGGGGAAGATACAGTCAGACCACAGCACTCACCTAAAGAACCAAAGAGTTTGTCATTCTTTATTGCTTTGAGGCACCATGTTTATAGGCATTTTCAAATACCTTACCTGACCATGACCATCACATTATGGCTAAAAATTTATAATTGCAACACTGTTAGTAAGGAAGGAAGTAGCCAAGGAAAGAATCAAGGGAAACAAATATTTCCGGAGTGAGCTAGTGAGACAAGAAAGGAAATAAGTGAGGCCTGAAAGAGAATGTTCATGCATCTGATGAGTATTTAGTGAGTGACTATAATGTAGCAAGCATTGTTATAGGTGATGAAAATACAATGTCGACAAGAAAAGCAGTGTCTCTGTTATGGAGCTTACCATCTAATGATATACTGGGGACAAAACACAACAAACGAGAACACACAGACACCTATAACAGAATGTCTGATGGTGATAAATGAATAAGGAAAATCAAACAAGGTAATATGATACAGGCTATTTTATCTAAGATGTGTATCAGTTAAGATGAGTTTAGCTCCACATAACAGAAAAACCCTAATGCACATGGCTTCAAAATGAGAAGCCATTATTTTACTTTACATGATATCCTGAGGTAAGAAAGTTTCTAATATGGTACATCCCAGCTCTGAATTTGTTTCTCTGTATTTCCATTGCTTTCTCCTATTGTTGTTTTTTGTCTTTATCTTCAGGATGATAGTAAAATTATTGCTGCAGTTTCATCGTTGCATCTGGACACAGCAACATTCTTAGAAAGAGGAGGACATATCCCTCTTTAAGAATGAGAAAAATCTATCTCAGGAGCCTTCCAGCTGACTATTTTATTGGCCAAAATGAAGTTGTATGCCCTAATTAAAACCAATCACTGCTAAACTGAGTGGAAGGCCATGAATAAATTAGACTATATGGAACAGATTTAGTGTAAGTACCATAACCACTTTTGAAGGTATTTGTGAGAAGACATTTGAGAAGACATGAGATATGAATCATAAAAAGAGGCAAATATGTGATGACTTGAGAGTGAGAAGATGTTATAGGTAAAGGAAACACCAAGAGTAATTTTTTGGAAGCCGAAGAGGAAAATAATATCAATGAAATGTGAGTATTTGGTTATATTAAATGCCAAAAATTTAAGTTAATGGTCTCTCACCACAAATGGACCTTACTGCTGGCCTACAACCCTATTGTATTAATTTGTTTTCTCTCCTACTTTTGTAGATTATTAGTCCACTCTCTCACAGCTGATGATCTTGTTTCCTATTTCAGTGAGAATATTAGAGCAACACAAATAGAATCTCCACAGCTCTCACCATCAATCCTTACTTTCAACTACTTGCATCTCTGACTATGTAGTCTTCTTTCTCTCCTGTTTTTATCAATGACCTGTTGAAACTCTAATTTAAGGTCAGTCACCGTAGATGTGCATTGGATCAAATCCTCTGTTGCCTACTTAAACAAATTGCTTCAACAGTCTTCCCCTATCTTCTATCATTAGCTTTTGTATCTTTACTGTACATTCTTATCACCATTAAAATGTGTAATTGTTACTGCTACTTAAAAAGTTATTTCCTGACCTTATTTCAGCCTCCAGTTCCTATTCCTTTTTTATCTTTCCCCTTCCAAAAAACTCTTTAGGGGAGCTGTTTTTAATCAATGTCTCTAATTAAGCCATTGATTGATCTCTAATCAGCTATTTGTCCCACAACTGTACCAAATTTCCCTTACCAAGGTAACCCATCACTCCATGCTGCTAAATGCAATGGCAAGTTTCTCAATTCTTACTGAAGTATTCAGAAACATTTGACATAGTTTAAGCATCCACATCATGCAAATTTTTCTTCACTTGACTTGTATGACACCAAATGTGTCTGGTTTTTCTTCTACAGCTCTAGCTGTTGCTTCTATTTTCAATTATGCTGGGTTCTCATCATATCCCCAAGGTCTTTTTCTGTTTCACGCAATCTGTTTTTCCCTGAGATGTAATTCATGTATCACAAAATGCATCTGCTTAAGGTGAACAATGAAGTGGTTTCAGTATATTCAAAAAGTTGAGCAACCATCAGTACTATATAACTCCAGAACACATTTCTTCATCCCTAAAAGAAATCTTTTGCCAACAAAAAGTCACTACTCTACATCCCCCGGTCCAAACCCTATGCAACCAATAATCTTCTTTCTGTTACAGATTTACAAATTGTGGATGTTTTATATAATTGGAATCACACAATATGTGGTCTTTTGTGATTGGCTTCTTTCATTTATCATAACGTTTACAAGGTTAATTCATGTTGTAGCATGTATGATTAGGTTGGTGCAAAAGTAATTGTGGATTTGGACCATGAATTTTAAATCATTATAACTAGGCTTAAGCACACTTTTATTAATCAAAATAGAAACCATTACAATCAGCTCATTTTTGCCAACAAGAAATAAGTATGTTTATTCCTGTAACATAAAAATCTGTGCTTTGGGATTCAATGAACTCTTGGAAGGCATTTTCTGCATCTTGCTGGTAGTGGAAGCATTTTCCATGCAAAAAGTTGTCGAGATGCTTGAAGAAGTGGTAGTCAGTTGGGGAGAGGCCAGCTGAATATGACGGATGAGGCAAAACTTTGTAGCCCAATTCGTTAAATTTTTGAAGCTTGGTTGCGCAAGCTGCAGTTGAGTGTTGTCATGGAGAAGAATTTGGCCTTTTCTGTTAACCAATGCCTGTTGCAGGCATTGTAGTTTTCGGTGCATCTCATCAATTTGCTGAGCATACTTCTCAGATGTAATGGTTTCGCTGGGATTCAAAAAGCTGCAGCAGATGAGACAGGCAGCAGACCAACAAACTGACCATGACCTTTTTTTGGTGCAAGTTTGGCTTTGGGAAGTACTGTGGAGTTTCTTCTCAGTCCAACCACTGAGCTGGTGGTCACCGGTTGTCATATAAAATTCACTTTTCATTGCACATCACAATCCAATAGAGAAATGGTTTGTTGTTGCGTAGAATAAAAGAAGATGACACTTCAAAACAATTCTTTTTTATTTTTGCTCAGCTCATGAGGCACACACTTGTCGAGCCTTTTCACCTTTCCAATTTGCTTCAAGTGCCGAATGACAGTAGGATGGTCGACGCTGAGTCCTTCAGCAACTTTTCATGTAGTTGTAAGAGGATCAGCTTCGATGATTGCTCTCATTTGGTCATTGTCAACTTCTGATGGCTGACCACTGTGCTCCTAATCGCCAAGGCTCTCATCTTCTTTGCAAAACTTCTTGAACCACCACTGTATGTTCATTACCAGTTCCTGGGCCAAATGCGTTGTTGATGTTGCGATTTGTCTCCACTGCCTTATGACCTATTTTGAACTTGAATAAAAAATCACTCAAATTTGCTTTTTGTCTAACATTATTTCAATAGTTTAAAATAAATATAAACTGCAAGTAATAAGTCATTAGCAAAAAAACAAAGCGAGAAATGTGCATTAAAATGATGTATAACATAACCACACTTATTTAAAAATGTATTCCAATATCAAATCACAAATTTCAACAATGCAAAAATCACAATTACATTTGCACCAACCTAATAGTAGTTTATCACTATTAAGGCTGAATAGTATTCCATTGTATGGAAAAACAACATTATGTTTACCCATTCCTCTGTTGATAGAAATTTGTGTTATTCCCACTTTTTAAATTATGAGTAATAATGCTGCTGTGAATATCCACGTGCAAATTTTTGTGAGGGCCAGGCATGGTGGCTCATGCCTATAATCTCAGCACTTTGGGAGGCCAAGGTGGGAGTATTGCTTGAACCCAGGAGTTAGAGGCAAGCTTAGACAGCAAAGTGAAATCCCATCTCTACAATAAATAAATAAATAAATAAAATAGGGAGCAAGGTGGCATGTGCCTGTGTTCCCAGCTATATTGGAGGCTGAGGCAGGATGATTGCTTGAGTCCAGGAGGCCAAGGCTGCAGTGAGCCATTTTTGTACCACTGCACTCTAGCCTGTGTGACAGAGTGAAACCTGGTCTCAAAAAACAAAACAAAACAAAACAAAAAACAAAAACCAAAAACGTGGATAAATGGGATTAGTTCTCTGGGTACATACCTAGGAGTGCAATACCTGGGTCAAATAGTAACTTCCTATCTAATCTCTGAAGAACTGCCAAACACTAATTTCCAAAGTGGCTGTACCATTATATATCCCCACCAGCAATGCATAAGGTTCACATTTCTCTACATTTTCACTAACATGTGATATTGTCAGTCTTCTTGATGATAGCCACCCTAATGAGTTTTATGTGGTCTCTCATTGTTTTTGACTTTCATTTCCCTACTGATTAAGAGTGGTCAGCATTCTTTTATGTGCTTATTGGCTATTTGTACATCTCCTTTGGATAAATTTATGTTCAAATTCTTTGTTCATTCTTAATTGGATTATTTGGATGTTTATTGCTGAGTTGTAAGAGCTATTTATATACTCTAGACACAAAATCATTACAAGATATATGACATGCATTTTTTTTTATTCTCTGGTTACATTTCGTGTTCTTAAAAGTGTCCTTTGAAACAGAACATTTGCTTTAGTTTATGTGCAGTGGAAATATCAATATTTTCTCTGGCTGCTTGATCTTTGATCTTTTTGAAAATTGTTTTCTACAAACAATCTTTTTAAAAAAATTCATAAGAACTTTAAAATAAGCTTTTAATTTTTTTGCCAAAAATAATGCCAGCTTAAATTTTGTTAGAGACTTTGTTCTAGCTATTGATCACTTTGGGGAATATTGACCATTTTAACATGTCTTATGATCAATTAAGCCTTCTGATCAATAAACACGGGATGTATTTCTTTTTAGATATTTTACAAAATTTTTCTTTCAATGATGTTTTGTAGTTTTCATAGTGCCAATTTTGTACACCTTTTGTTAAACTTATTCCTAGATATTTTATTGTTTTTGATGCCACTACAAATGAAATTATTTTCTTAATTTTATTTTTGAGTTTTTAATAGCCAGTGCATAGATATACCATTAACTTCTATGTATTGGTCATGTATCCTGCAATCTTGCTAAACTTCTTTATGAGTGTGTGTGTGTGTGTGTGTGTGTGTGTGTGTGTATAATTTTTTTATATATATGCAAGGTTATATCATCTGCATATACAGATGTTTACTTCTTCCTTTCCAATATGAATGCCTTTTTAAAATTTTTCTAGCCTGTTTTAGTTTGCTGATGCTGCCATCACAAAACACCACAGACTAGGTGGCTCAAACAACAGAAATTTATTTCCTCACAGTTCTGAAGTCCTGAAGTCCACAATCAAGGTGTTGGTAAGGTTTGGATGTATTTGGGGCCTCTTTCCTTGGCTCACAGATGATGGTCTTCTCACTATGTTCTTAACATTTTTTTCCTCAGTGCACAGACATCCCTGGTGTCTCTTTTGTGTTTCCAAACCCCTGCTTATAAGACAAGTCAGATTGGAATTGGACCCACCATAATGGCCTAATTTTTAACTTAATTACGTTTTTAAAGGTCCTTAGTCCAAACACAGTCACATTCTGAGGTACTCAAAGTTAGGACTTCAACATATGAACTTGAAGGGTATGCAATTCAGCTGATAATAGTACCTTGCAACCTCTAATACTGAATTCATTTATCAGATTTAGGAATCTTCTGGCAGAGTCTTTAGAGATTTCTAGGCATAAAGTCATATTATCAGCCAACAGAAGTAGGTTGACTTCCTGTTTTTTTTTTTTTTTTTTTTTTTGTCAGTTTGGATGTTCTTTATTTCTTTGTCTTGCCTGATTGCTCTGGGTAGGACTTTCAGTACTATGTTGAATAGAAGTGCTGAAAGTGGGCATCTTTGTCTTGTTCCAGTTCTGAAGGTAAATGCTTTCACTTTTTCCACGTCAAGTATGATGATGGCTGTGTGTTTGTCATATATGGACTTTATCATTTTATTGTATTATTTTACTTAATTATTTTAATATTTTGAGGTATGTTATTTCTATGTCTAGTTTGTTGAGGGATAAAGAGATGCTGGATTTTATCAAATGCTTTTTCTGGAACTATTGAGATGATCATATGATTTTTGTTTTTAATTCTGTTTATGTGATGAATCATATTTATTGACGTGCATATGTTAAAACATCCCTTCGTCCCTGAAAGGAAATCCAATTGTTCCTGGCAAATTATTTTTTGACATGCTGTTGAATTTCATTTGATAGCATTTTCTTGAGGATTTTTGCATCTATATTAACCAGGAATGTTTTCTGTAGCTTTGTTTTCCTTCCTTTGTTGTCATTTTCTGATTTTAAGATTAGGGTAATACTGGTTCCTAAAAAGCAGTTAAGGAGGAGTTCCTCCATCTCAATATTTTGAAATAATATCAGTAGCATTGGTAATAATTCTTCTTTAAGTGTCTAGTAAAATTTAGTTCTGAATGCATTTAGCCCTGGGCTTCTTTTGTTGTTGGCAGTTTCTGTTTGTTTGTTTTTTTGTTTGTTTGTTTGTTTTATTACTGTTTCAATCTCAATGCTTGTTACTGGCTTCTTCAGAATTTCTGTTTCTTCCTAAGTTAAGCTAGGGTGAATTATGTGTTTTCAGAAATCTAACGATTAGCTCTGGATTTTCTAGTTTGTTTGCATAGAGGTGCTCATAGTAGTTCGAATGATCTTTTGTATTTATGTAGTGACATTGTAATGTCTTTATTTTCATTTCTAATTCAGCTTATTTGAATATTCTCTTTTTTTCTTGGTTAATATACCTAGTAATTTGTCAATTTTGTTCATCTTTTCCAAGAACCAGCTTTTGTTCTATTGATCTTTTGCATATTTTGCTTCAATTTTATTTAGTTGTGCTCTGATCTGTGTTTTTTCTTTTCTTCTACAAGTTTTGAGTTCGATTTGTTTTTGTTTCTCTAGTTCCTTGAGATATGAGGTTAGATTGTCAAATTGTGATCTTTCAGACTTTCTGATGTAGGCATTTAGCAATATAAACATTCCTCTTAGCACTGCTTTTGCTATATCTCAGAGGTTTTGATAACTGTGTCAGTTATATAACTCATTTTGAATAGTTTTAAAAATTTGTATCTTAATTTCATTTTTAATTCAATAATCATTTAGGAGCAGATTGTTTAATTTTTATGTATTTGTATAGTTTTGAGTGTTTCTTTTGCAATTGATTTCTAGTTTTATTTTGCTGTGATTTAAGATACTTATCGCTTTAATACATAGTGCTGGGATAACTGGCTAGCCACATGCAGAAGATTAAAACTGAACTCCTTCCTTACACCATATATAAAAACTAACTCAAGATACATTAAAGACTCAAATGTAAAACCCAAAACTATAAAATCCCTGTAAGACAACGTAGGCAATACCATTCAGTTCATAGGCAGGGACAAAGATGTTATGACGAAGATTCTAAAAGCAATTGCAACAAAAGCAAAAATTGTCAAATGGAGTATGATTAAATTAAAGAGCTTCTGCACAGCAAAATAAACTACCAACAGACTAAACAGACATCCTACAGAATGGGATAACATTTTTTCAAACTGTCCATCCTACAAAGGTCTAATATCCAGTGTCTAAACTTAAGCAAATGCACAGGTAAAAAACAACCTCATAAAAAGTGGGCAATGGACAAGAACAGAAAATTTTCCAAAGAAGACATACATGCAGGCAACAATCATATGAGAAAAAGCTCAACATCACTGATTATTAGAGAAATGCAAATCAAAATCACAATGAGATACCATCTCACAGCAGTGAGAACGACTATTATTAAAAAGTCAAAAATAACAGATGCTGGCAAGGTTGTGGATAGAAAGAAATGCTCACACACTGTTGATGGGAGGGTAAATTAGTTTAACCATTGTGGAAGACAGTGACAATTTCTCAAAGACCTAAAGACAGAAATACCTTGTGACCCAGTAATCCCATTACTGGATACATACCCAAAGGAATATCAATCATTCTCTTATAAAGACATGCATGTGTATGTTCATTACAGCACTATTCATAATAGCAAAGACATGAAATCAACCTAAATGTCCACCAATGGTAGACTAGGTAAAATGATGCATATACCTTATGAAATACTATGCAGCCATAAAAATGAATGAAATAATGTCCAAGATAACAGCTGGAGGCCATTATCCTTAGAAAACTAACACAAGAACAGAAAATCAAATACAGGATGTTCTCACAAGTGGGAGCTCAATGATGAGAATACATGGACATGTAGAGGGAAACAACACACACTAGGGCCTATCAAAAAGTGGAGGTTGGGAAGAGGGAGAAGATCAGGAAAAATAATAATTAATGGTGATATGGTTTGGCTGTGTCACCACCCAAATCTCATCTTGAATTCCCATGTGTGGTGGGAGAGACCCAGTGGGAGGTAAATGAATCATGGGGGCAGGTCTTTCCTGTGCTGTTCTGGTGATAGTGAATAAGTCTCACAAGATCTGATGAGTGTACAAGGGGAAGTTTCCCTGCACAAGCTCTCTTCTCTCTGCCGCCATGTGAGAATGCGCCTTTCACCTTCAGCCACGATTGTGAGGCCTCCTCGGACACGTGGAAATGTAAGTCCATTAAACCTCTTTCTTTTGTAAATTGCCCAGTCTCACCTAGGTCTTTATGAGCAGCATGAAAACAGACTAATATGGTAAATTGTATGGTACCACTAGAGTAAGGCACTGCTGAAAAGTTACCCGAAAATGTGGAAGGGACTTTGGAACTGTGTAACAGGAATGGGCTGGAACAGTTTGGAGGGCTCAGAAGAAGACAGAAAAATGTGGGAAAATTTGAACTTCTTAGAGACTTGGTGAATGGCTTTGACCAAAATGCTGATAATGATATGGACAATAAACTCCATGCTGAGGTGATCTCAGATGGAAATGAGGAACTTGTTGGGAACTGGAGCAATGATGACTCTTGTTATGTTTTAGCAAAGAGACTAGTGGTATTTGCCCCTGCCCTAGAGATTTGTAGAACTTTTAACTTGAGAGAGATGATTCAGGGTATCTGGTGGAAGAAATTTCTAAGCATCAAAACATTCAAGGGGTGACCTGGGTGCTGTCAAAGGCATTCAGTTTTAAAAGGGAAACAGAGCATAAAAGTATAGAAAGTTTGCACCCCGACAATGGAAAAGAAAAGAAAATCCAATTTTCTGAGGAGAAATTCAAGCTGGCTGCAGCAATTTGCATATGTAAGAAGTAGCCTAAGGTTAATCCCTAAGAAAATGGAGAAAATGTCTCCAGGGCATTTCAGAGGGCTTCACAAAGACCCTCTCATCATAGACCTGGAGGCCTAGGAGGAACAAGTGGTTTCATGGGCCAGACCCAGAGTCCCTGTGCTGTGTGCAGCCTAGGGACTTGGTGCTCTGTGTCCCATTCACTCCAGCTGTGGCTGAAAGGGGCCAACATAGGGCTTTCACTGTGGCTGCACAGGGTGCAAGCATCAAACATTGGCAGCTTCCATGTGGTGTTGAGCCTGCCAGTGCGCAGAAGTCAAGAACTGGGGTTTGGGAACCACCACCTACATTTCAGATATATGGAAACACCTTGGAGATCTGATGAGTATATAAGGGGGAGTTTCTTTTCTCTTTTCTTGCTCTCTTTTCTTGTCTGCCTCTATGTTAGAAGTGCCTTTCAACTTCTGCCATGATTGTGAGGCCTCTCCAGCCACGTCGAACTCTAAGTCCATTAAGCCTCTTTCTTTTGTAAATCGCCCAGTCTTGGGTAGGTCTTTACCATCAGTGTGAAAATGGACTAATAAAAATGGGTACTAGGTTTAATACCCGGGTGATGAAATGATCTGTACAACAAACCCCCATGACACATTTACCTATGTAACAAACCTGAACATGTATCCCTGAACTAAAAGTAAATCTTTTTTTTTTTTTTTTTTTTTGAGACAGAGTCTCGCTCTGTCGCCCAGGCTGGAGTGCAGTGGCAGGATCTCGGCTCACTGCAAACTCCGCCTCCCGGGTTCACGCCATTCTCCTGCCTCAGCCTCCCGAGTAGCTGGGACTACAGGCGCCTGCCACCACACCCAGCTAATTTTTTGTATTTTTTAGTAGAGAAGGGGTTTCACTGTGTTAGCCAGGATGGTGTCGATCTCCTGACCTCGTGATCCGCCCGCCTCGGCCTCCCAAAAAAGTAAATCTTTAAAACAATATTATTTTCCCTTATAATTTTGAAATAAAAATAGAATATTTCTATAAAAAATTTTGATTTTGAAGAATTTATTGAGGCTTGTTGTGTGTCCTTTAATATGGTTTGTCTTGGAGAATGTTCTGTGTGCTGATGAGAAAAATGTATATTCTACAGTACTTGAATATAATGATCTGTAAATGTTTGTTATAGCCAGTTGTTCTAGAGTACAGATTAAGTCCAATGTTTCTTTGTTGACTTTCTGCCTTAATTATCAGCCTCATGCAGTCAATGGAGTGTTGAAGTCCCCCACTGTGATTGTGTTGTGGTCTCTTTACTCAGGTCTAGTAGTAATTGTTTTATGAATCTGATAGCTCAGAGATTAAGTGTATATATATTTATAATTGTGATATCTACTTATCAAGTTGATCCTTTCTTCATTATATAATGATCATCTTTGTCTTTTTTTTTTAACTGTTGTTGCTTTGAAGTTTGTTTTATCTTACAAAAGAACAGCTATTCCTGCTTATTTTTGGTTTCAATTTGTGTGAAATATCTTTCTCCACCCCTTTGCCTTGAGTATATAAAAATCCTTATGTCTTAGGTACATTTCCTGAAGAAAGCAGATATTTGGTTTACGTATTTTCAGCTAGTCTGCCTATCTGTATTTTTTTAATGAAATATTTAGACCATTTAAATTCTACATAAATACTGAGCTCAGAGGTTCCATGCCAGTCATCATGTTGATTTTTACCTAGTAACTTCGTTTTCTTCATTGTGGTATTGTTTTAAAAGACTGGTAGTTTTTATGCTTTCAGGAGTTTTTATTCTGGTGTGTATTGACCTTTTATTTCAAGATGTAGAACTCCTTTTAGAATTTATTGTAAAACTGATATAACATTGACAAATTTCCTCAGTATTTGCTTGTCTGAGAAACACTTTATTTCATCTTCATTTATAAAATAGTTTTGCTGGATACAAAATTCTTGGCTTACAGTTATTCAGTTTAAGGAGATTAAAGATAGGACTACAATCACTTCTGGCTTGTAAGGTTTCTGCTGAGAAGTCTGCAGTTAGTCTGATAGTTTTCCTTTTAGGTTACCTGGCGTTTTTGTCTCATTGCTCTTAGAATTCTTTCTTTCACATGGATTTTAGATAGCCTGATAACTGATAAGATAGCTTGTGATGCCCTTTTCTCAATAAGTCTCACAGGAGTTTAAGCTTCTTATATTTGTGTGTCTAAAAACTCTAGGGAGATGAGGAAAGTTTGTCTTAATTATTTCCTCAAATAGGTTTGTCAAACATTTTGCTTTTTCTTTTCCCTAAGAACACCTATAATTCTTAGATTTGGGCATTTTACATAATCCCATTTTTCTTGCAGATGTTGTTAATTTCTTTTAATTCTTTTTAAAAATTTTTTTGTCTGTTTGCATTAATTTGAATGCCTTGTCTTTGATCTCTGAAATTTCTTCTTCTACTTGTTCTAGTTGAATGTTAAAACTTTCCATTGCAGTTTGTATTTTCCTAATTGTTTCTTCTATTTCCAGAAGGTCTGATTGGTTTTTCTTCAAAGTAGCTATCTCTTTAGAAAATTTTTTATTTGGATCCTGAATTTAAAAAAAAAAATTCTTTATGTTGGTTTTAACCTTTCTCTTTTGTCCTCAAGTAAGTTAGTAACCAAACTTTTGAATTTTTATCTGGTATTCCAAAGATTTTATTTTGATTTGGATCTACTGCTGGAGAGTTATTTGGGGAGAAGGAATTATATAGGATCTTGTTTTTTCATATTGCTAGAAATACTTATTTGGTTCCTTCTCATTTGGGTAAACCTTTTCTTTTCATTATTTTGAATTTATTTTTTATTCAACTAGGTTTTCTATTTTTTTCCCCTTGAGGATGTGACATTAATGTTTATAGTTTATTGTCACCTAGTTTTGACTCTGGGTGATTTCATTGGAGAAGTCTCAATTTGAGTTCCTTAGTTATAGACAAATTTTGTGTCATGTCTTCTCTGACGCTGGTTGTGTTAGTGTTATGCTGGGTGTACGAGAAGGTTCACTGTCTCCTGTTTGGCTGAAGTGGCAGAGGCCTCATGAAGCTTATCTTGTTTCCCAGTGGTGTGCATTTTTAACCTTTTTCCCCAATATTTTTTTCACTGGGTTGGACAGTTCAGAACTCAGGCCAGTAGGAGTTGCCCAAGGATAAAACTCAGCAGTGGCTAAAGCAGGTGAGTAAATGCAAATACCCCAATGGTGGGAAGAGGTCCCAGCTTTTAGAGATGTTGCTATGAAAATTCTCAGTAAAATGCAATGTGGTATTTTAAGGGGGAAGAGAGGAAGCTACCGCAGCTCTTCTTCCAGGCCTCAGAAAAACAATTTGCCTCTCAATTACATTCCTGATCAGTGTTCTGGCTATTCAGATAAGGCAGGCACCTCTATTCATCTATAGGAAGGCTGCTGTTCCATGAAGAGAGAGATTTTGCCTTTACCTATAGTGCAAGCTGAACCTGTAAGGCACTTTTCCTTTGGGGATGCAGTCACCCTGAAGTGATCCAGAAAGGCTGCCTGCAGATGGGCCCATGCCAATTTCCCATGGTAGACACCTGAGTTGTAACTGCAGTGGTGGGCAAGGGGGAGAATAAGTCTTCTCCTCCCAGATCCTACACAAGAATGATGGGTGCTTAACTGTTGGAACCAAACCACAGTCTTTTCCCACTGAGCCCAGCATTGCACTTGTGCCTCCACTGAAGAAAACTTCCCACACATGGAAAATTCAGAGATGCAAAGCCTTTGGTCTGGTTTCTTTTATCCAATTGGGTGCTACCTTAATGTGGTATTCTCCCCATTCCCTAGGATTAGCAGTCCCTGAGGGCAAGACTACTGTGAATCCTGTTGCTTCTCTGGGCCTAGCTACCCAGTTGGGCTGCCACACTCTAGGCCAGTGCTGAGAAATGTCTGCAAGGGATCTGGTGATGTGACCTGTCCTCAAGTCTCCCAGCAGTGTTTACAAGCACCCTCTCTGATGCAGGTTGGAGGTGAATGATGTAGACTCTCAGATTTCCTTAATTATAAATAGCCTTAGCATGCTGGCTTTCTCAAATGCCAGCAGTAGTAGTATTCACATGCAGACTCAAGATCTCTTGTTCATCAGGGTGATGCAGGCATTGGAAATAGCTGAGGTTATGCAAATGTCTTCTTCTTGAGTGCTGTGTTACTGTGCCTGCAGATGTAATGGGCTTTGCTGGTTGGCCTCTAGCCAGGAGGTGGCAAGTGCAAAAGAGGACCACCTACAGCGAGAACAGTAGAATATGTTCTTGCTTCATGTTACCCACGGGAGGTACTCTGGTGCCTCAGGCAATAAGCAGAGCAATGGATATCCCAAATATCCCCGTCCATCATGTTACACTACCAGGGTGGTGAAGGGACAAAGCTGTGTTGGGGGTGTGTCAGGCAGGGCTGTCCTCTGGCTCCCAACGTGCAGCCACAAGCAGTAGTCCTAATGGAGATTAGATGGCAGTTCCCTGGCTGCTGGAGTAATGTTCCAGGGAGGAGCACAACTACCTCTGTTGCACAGAAGAATCTGCACTAAGAGCAGGGTATAGCAGGTGGCAGTAAGCTCCACTCAGCTACTACACACTTGGCAAGGCAGTTCTCATATCCAGAGTTATGCCAACAACAGCTATCTGGATTCCAGGTAGCCTGAGCTCAGAACTCAAAACTGCCCCAGGCCATAAGCCTTTTCCCAGGAAGACTGAAACTGTGGCTTCAGGCCATGCCGCTCTCTATATGCCCATGAAGCAGTGACACCCAGGGTCACGGAACTCCTGCACCTATGGCTGTAGCACACTTCCTGCTCTCCCCTCGGTTCTGGCCAATGGCATTCATTCCCACTCAAGATTACATCGCAAATCTCTTGTTGGGAGTGTCTCTGGACTGCAGCCTGAGCTAGCTGGCAGACTTCCATGAGGTCCCCTGAGAGGTAGGAACAGAAATGGCTTCTCTCCATCCTCACTGGATTCTAAGAGTGCAAACAAAGCATGCTGCTTCTCATATATTCTCCACTGTTCACTAAATCAGTTCCAGTGTGGGATAGAGTTATGGCCTTCCCGCATGGCCAGGATTGCCCGGCTACTTTGTGGGAGTGTATGTCACAGCAGCAGTGTCTCCATATTTCCTGCAGTGGAGACTCACGGTTTTCCTTCTGGTTCATATTGTAGGCTGCTGCCTGCTGCTTCTTTCAAAGAGTCTGTGGTTTTGTTCAGTTTTTCTGTTAATTTCTTGTGTTGCTTCTTGGAAAAAATTTCAAAACATGAACCTGTACACACTATTTTGTTTTACAAGTGAGAGAGGCATGCTAACAATACTGCTAATCTGACCCCTTGGGGATGAAAAACCCTATCTTTGCTGTTTTATTTGATTCTTTAATCAATTTACAATCATTGATTTTATTGATCTAATTCGGTTTATATCTGGCATTTAACTTGATGTTTTCTATATGTTTCATCTTTTTTTGTGGCTCTGTTCCTTTTTTTACTACATTGTTTGGCATTCAGTAAATATTGTCTATTGTAACATTTTAGTTCCTTTAATGATTTTTTCAATATATTTTTGAGTATTTTTAGTAGTTCCTCCAGAGTTTACTATACATCCTAACTTATGAAAATCTACTTCAAATTTATACAAAATAAGTTAAAAATAGAAATAGAAATGTTATTCCTATAGAACTCTATTATTTTCCCCACATTTTGTACTATTATTGTTACTACATCTATGTTATAAATCCAAAAATACGTTGTTACAATTTTTACTTTATATGATTTTATGTCTTTTAAAGAAGAGAGACGAGAATAGAATACATCTTTAAAGAGTTCACTATATCAACTTTCTTATCAAAATTTCTGCTTCCTTTCATTTGTTCCTGTGGGTGTGAGCTACCAGCTTGGTGTTCTCCCCTTAATTCAATGCAACTTTGCTCCTACTCACCTGCTTTGTGCTGCTATTGGAAAATATGTTGAATTTCTACATATTGTAGAACAATAATTTATATACATTTTTATGCAATTGTTTTTTAAAACTATTAAGAAAAGAAGAAATATGCTATTATACTTTCTTTTACAATATGTACAGAGTTACCTTTACCAGCACTCTATATGCTTTAAAATTAATTCGCATTTCTTCCTGGAGTCACTTGCTTGCAGACTGAAGAATTTCTTTAAGTATTTTTTTTAGGTGAGACTGCTAGTAGCAATTTTTTTTTTTTTTTTGAGACAGAGTTTTGTTCTTATTGCCCAGGCTGGAGTGCAATGGCATGATCTTGGCTCACTGCAACCTTCGCCTGCCGGGTTCAAGCGATTCTCCTGCCTCAGCATACCAAGTAGCTGGGATTACAGGCACGTGCCACCACGCCCGGCTAATTTTGTATCTTTTGTTTTTAGTAGAGACAGAGTTTCTCCATGGTGGTCAGGCTGGTCTCAAACTCCCAACCTCAGGTGACCCACCTGCCTCGGCCTCCCAAAGTGCTGGGATTACAGGCGTTGAGCCGCTGTGCTTGGCCAGCAATTTTTTCTTTTGGTTTCTGTTTATCTGGGAATATTGTTAGTTTGCCATTATTTTCATAATATAGTTTTGCTAAGATTTAAAATTCCTGGTTGATAGCATTTTTTTTAGCACTATAAATAAATCATTCCACTTCATTGTTTACAGTGAGTATTCAGCTGTTAATCTTTTTGGGGTTCCCCTATACATGATGAGTTTTCTTTCTCTTGCTGCTTTCAAGATTTTCTCTTTGCATAGGGCTTTCAACAGTTTCGCTATTATGTGTGTGGGTGTGAATCTTTGGGATACACCATTCAGAAGAAAATGTTACCTTGCAACATTTAATTGAATGTTCACCAGATTGTTTTCCATCAAATTTGGGAAGTAAGCCTCAACTTCCCATTTGATTCCTTTATTGGGTTTAACAATACTCAAAGGCATAAATTGCTCCACTGATTGATTAAATTACATGCTGTTCCCTTTACAGGTATAGTTTTTGAGGATGGTCTTTGAGGTTTCTTATAATCCCAGGAAGTGTCTTATTAGCTACCATTTTCTCTGGTTGTCTGGTAAAGTTCTACATGGTCTACAGTTTGTCTTGTTGCTCTCATGGAGCCAAAAGTTTCCTCTTAATTGCTTATGACCAAACTTTCTGTTACCTTCAACTTACCCTTAGGCGTGAACTTCTACACAGTCTGTTCTAAATATAGTCTTATAACTTTGGATGAGCTTCACAGTTTTCTGTTCTTACAACCTGCCTCCTTCCCTGTGTACAATTTTTGAGCCACTTCTCCAGAACTTGCTATGATGACAGTGACTCATTACTACCATAGAGGCACACCTGCTTTCTGACCAAGGTGGTAGGTGGTAGCTTCTGATTATCTTAGTTTGCCTTCTTTAGTGTGAAATCCTCACTTTAGGAGTAATTTGAAGTGAAGACAAACGGACCCCGGTATCCTTCATCTTCCACACCTGGAGAAGAGCTTGTATCTTATGAGTGGTGACTGGATAGTAGAAGAGAGCCTCAGAACTTTTAGATGCTATTGTTTGGAATAGAGCATCTGTATGTAACACAGAGCTGAGAGAAAAAGAAATGGTGGTGGGCTCCTCATCCCTGGAATACACTGTAACTCTAGACTGGAAGTTGAGGGAGAGAGAACCCTGAGTTCTTGGGCGACCCCACCATAAGTATGCCTCCTGTTATTATAAGCTGGAATTGAGGTGAAGGAGTGGGTTATAGTTCAAATGCCACAAGCATGCTCTGTTCTTGCCAAGATTTAGTAAATTTTCTTTAAAAAAAATTTTGTTTTCAAACTTACAGTATGCCTCTAGAATAATTTTCAGACACTTTAAATATTTGTTATTAAATAATTTATACCAGTTATGGTTCTTGTTTTGGGGAAAACTTCTCACTCTACTGTTTTGGAACTAAATTCTCTAAAATTTGTTTTTAAAATTTGAAGAAATGGCAAGTGAAAACAAAAGTTAATTCTTGAAAAATAAGAATGAAATAGGAAACTGAAGAGTAAGATAAGAAAAACAGTTAAAAACATGTCAAATAAGGGATGAGAAAGACAATATACTCACAGATTTTGAAGTTACTGAAACATTTTAAATGTGGAACATTATTCAAGAAATTTTGAAATCTGGAGGAAATTATTTTATTTCAAATATAAATTACCAAAATTGACTTTAAAATATTCTACACAAAGCTGAAGTAACTAAAAACAGCATAGTACTGATATAAAAAGAGACAAATACACCAGTGGAACAGAATAGAGAATCTAGAAATAAATCCATGTGTTGACAGCCAACTGACTTTTGACAATGGCACCAAGAACATACATTATGGAAAGGACAATCTTTTTAATAAATGGTGCTAGGAAAACAAGAAATCCATACTCAGAAGAATGAAACTAGACTCCTGTCTCTCACCTCATACAAAATCGACTCAAAATGGATTAAAAAGCTGGGTGCAGTAGCATAAGCTTGTAGTCCCAGCTACTCAAGAGATTGAAGCAGGAGAATCACTTGAGCCTAGAAGCTTGAAGCTGTAGTGCTCTATGATTGTACTTGTGGCTGGCTAGTCACTGCACTGAATTCTGAACAACAGAGTGTGACCCCATCTCTCATCTCTAAAAATATTTAAAAAATGGATTAAAGACTTAACATGAGAATCAAAACTATAAAACAACTAGGAGGATACATAGGTAAAATGCTTTAGGACACTGGTCTGGAAAAAAAAAATGTCCGAATAAGACCTCAGAAGTACAAGCAACAAAAGGGAAAACTGACAAATGGGGTTACATCAAACTAAAACACTTCTGCACAGCAAAGGAAACAATCCACAGAGTGAAGGCAAAACCTGAAGAATAGAAAAAATATATTTGCAAAATATTTATCTGACAAGAGATTAATATTCAGGATATAAACAGAAATCAACAGCAAAAAATACAAATAATTCAATTATGAAATACACAAATAATCGAATAGACATTTCTCAAATGGAGACATACAAATGACCAATAAGTATATTAAAGAATGTGCAACATTCTTAATTATCAGGAAATGCAAATCAAAACTGCAAGGAAAAATTATCTCGACACAGTTAGAATGGCTATTATCAAAGACAAAAACTAACAAATGCTGATGATAATATGGAAAAACAGGAATGCTTTCATACTGTCAGTAGCAATGTAAAATAGTACACCCGATATGGAAAACAATATGGAGGTTCCTCAAAAAAACTAAAACTGGAACTACCATATTAACCAGCAATTCCGCTACTGAGTATGTATCCAAAGGAACAGATATCTGCACTCCCATGTTTATTGTAGCACTCTTCACAATAGCCAAGATTTAGAATCAACCTAAGTGTCCATCAACAGATGAATGGGTAAATAAAATATGGTATATATAGACAATGAAATACTCTTCAGCCATAAGAATAAAATCCTTCATTTGTGGCAACATGGATGGAACTGGAGGACATTATGTTAAGTGAAATAAACCAGGCACAGAAAGATAAATACTGCATATTCTGTCTTATACGTTGGAGGTAAAAAAAAAAGTGCTCACATTGAAGTAGAAAGTACAATAGTAGTTACTAGATGCTGGGACGGAAAAGAGCAGGAAATACGAAGATGTTGGTTAAGAAAATACAAGTTACAGGTAGATAGGAGGAATAAGTTCTAGAACTCTACAGCCCTGTAGGGTTACTATAATTAACTATAACTTATTGCATTTTGTAGGAGATCTGTCAGGGTAGTGGGAGAAATTGTAGGAAGGGCTTTGCAAAGCTTTGGGGAAGAATGAGCCGAAGGCCCTGGTTCTTATCCTGGGGCAAAGGGCATGAAGTAGGTACAAAAGAATGCAGGGGAGTTTATCTGAATAGCTTGTTTACTCATGACTCCAGAAACCTGGCCATTAATCATCCATGCACAATTATCCACAAGTGTATTGACTCGAGGCCTTTGTCATTAAATATATACTGAATAAATGCCCACAGCACCAGCTGGTCAGGGCTGGGCTGCTGACTCTTTACAGCACCCTCCTTGGGGTCTGTAAGCAGCCGTGTCCCCTAGCCCTCTCTTTCACTGGGTATCTGTGTCTGAGTGCATTTGTTCATCCATTGTTTGGCCAGGGTCTGCGGGTCAGACCTGGTAGTTTTGTTTGTTTGTTTTGTTTTGTTTTGTTTTTGAGATGGAGTCTTGCTCTGTCGCTCAGGTTGGAGCACAGTGGTGTGATCCCAGCTCACTGCAACCTCTGCCTTCCGGGTTCAAGCGATTCTCCTGCCTCAGCCTCCCGAATAACTGGGACTACAGATGTGTGCCAACACGCCTGGCTAATTTTTTGTATTTTTAGTAGAGACAGGGTTTCACTGTGTTAGCCGGGAGAGTCTCTATCTCCTGACCTCGTGATCTGCCCGCCTCGGCCTCACAAAGTGCTGGGATTATAGGCATGAGCCACCATGCCTGGCCAATTTATTGTATATTTTTAAATAGCTAGAATAAAAGAATTGTCACATTCCCAACACAAGGAAACAGTAAATGTTTGAGGTGATGGAAATGCTAATTCCCCTGATGTAATCATTACACATTGTATGTATCAAAATATTACACTGCATCTCATAAATATGTACAATTATGTGTTAATTAAAATTTTAAAAAATTAATGTGGATCTAAAATCTGGAAAAATTAATTTATTTCACTGCAAATATAATTACCAAAACTGACTGAGGAAATGGTAAAATATCTAGACATTAAAGTAATCTCAGAAGACAGAGCAAAGGCAATTTAAATGCAATTTAAAACCAATTTCTTTAAAAAGAGATCAGGCTTAGATTATTTTGCAATTCAATTGCATATAACAGTTTGGGCACATAAAACCATAAAACTCCTATTTTTTATTTAGATTTGGTTCATGTACAAAAAAACGCTGTACATATTTTATGTATACATCTTGGTGAGTTTGAAGATAAGTATATGCCTATAAAATTATCACCATAAACAATGCCATAAACTTAGTCAAAACCTATAAAAGTTTCCCCTCTTTTTTTGTGAAAGGATATTTAACATAAGATCTACTCTTTTCACCAATTTTTAATTACACAATACAGTATTGATAACTACATGTGCTATTCTGTATAGCAGATCTCTAGGACTTATTCATATAGCCTAACTGAAAGTATGTACTCTTTGACCAACACGTCCCTTATCCACACTATACCCCAGCCCCTGGTAACCACCATTCTATTTTTTGTCTCTATGAATTTGCCTGTTTTAGATATCTCATATAAATGAATTCATATAGTATTTGTTCTTCTGTGTCTGTCTTATTTCACATAGCATGCTATCCTCCAAGTTTATTTACATTGTAGCAAATAATGGTAAGATTTCATTCTTTTTTAAGGCTGAATAATATTCCATTTTATGTATAGGTCACATTTTCTTTATCCATTCATCTGTTGATGGATATTTAGGTTGTTTCCATGTCTTGATCATTATAAATAGTGCTGAAGTAAGTACAAGAATGCAGATATTTCTGTAAAACTCCGATTTCAATTCTTTAGGGTAATATATTCAGAAGTAGTATTCATGGTTCATATGGTAGTTCTGTTTTTAATTTTTTGAGAATCCTTCATAGTAGCTATACTAATTTACATTCATACCAATAGTGTACAAGGGTTTGTTCTCTCTACATACTCATCAACATTTATTTTATTTTCCTTCTTTTATATTTAATAATAGCCAACCTAAGAGATGTGAGGTGATTTTTTTTTATGGTTTTGGTTTGCATTTTCCTGTTGAGCACCATCTCATATACTGTTGTCCATTTGTATGTCTTTTTTGGAGAAATGTTTATTCAGGTGTCTTACTAATTTTTAAATAAGTTTATTGGTTTTATATCTGCTACTAAGTTGTAGGAGTTTCTTATATATTTTGGATATTAAGCCTTTATCAGATATATGGCTTGCAAATATTTTCTCCCATGCCATATGTTTTTTTTTTAATTATTATTTTTTTTTATTTTGCTGGCTGTTTCTTGTGCTGTGCAGAAGCTGTTAAGTTTAATGTACTTCCCTTTGTGTATGCTTTTGTTTCCTGTGTTTTTGGTATTATATCCAAGAAATCATTGCTAAGGCCAATGTCAACACGCTTTTCCCTTGTGTTTTCTTCTAAGAAAACTTCCACATTATCCAAACTCATTCCATCTGTAAAAAACTATTAAAAATCTCCATAATTCATCATATGAAACTAAAAAAATTTTTCTACTTAAAACTAAAAACAGTAGTGCAAAATAAGAAAATGGTAGCAAATGTAATTAAAAACATAAGTGAAAAAATTTAAAACAAATCTTAGTCAATCAAATTGAGTAATAAATGAAGAGAATAATCCCATGATGTCTGATTATGTTTTATTTCTTAAATGCAAAATTTGGTGTTTTTTTTAAGAAAATCTGTCTAAAGAATTCACTCTATCAATAAATTTAAGGGGAAATATATGACTGCATCAATAGATGTCAAAATAAACATTCAACTAAAATAAAAATTTAGGTAGAAATTAAAAGGAACTGTGAAAATTGATAAATACATTTTGCCACAAAACTAGGAGCAAACATAGTTTATAATGCAATACGAATTTTCATTGCTGTCAGAAAAAGATTGATAGCTGCCATCCTCAGTATTATTCAACAATATTTTTGGAGATTTTAGCTGATGCAATGCAATAAGCAAATGAAACATTCAGTATAAATGTTGAAAAAATTTTTAAAAACTCAAAAATAAAAGTATTCTAGTAATTCAAAAGACACTTCTTTCTGTTATTAGAATTAAGACAATTTGATGGTACAATTATTATTAATTTTTTGTGATCAAATTTTTATCATAAAAAATCAATATATACATTTTTGTATACTACCCTACTAAAAACAAAAGAAAAATATCTCATTCACACTAATAACACCACCATCAAATACTTTGTAATGAATTTCAAAGAAATGGGACAAAATCTATGTGAATCTATAAAATTTAATAGAAAACATAAAAACAAATCTGTCTAAATGGAAGAACAAGCCATGGTCTCAGATGAGAAGACATAATACCATCAAAATATGAAGACCTTGTAATGTAATACATTTCTTTACTGCATCCAGTAATAATAACTGCCAATGGAGTTATTATTTTGGGAATCTTCATAAAAATATTATTCTTTTTATTTTACTTTAAGTTCTGAGATACATGTGCTGAATGTGCATGTTTGGTACATAGGTATACATGTGCCATGGTGGTTTTCTGCACCTATCAACCCGTCATTTAGGTTTTAAGCCCCATATGCGTTAGGTATTTGTCCTAATGCTCTCCCTCTCCTTTCCCCCCACCCACTGACAGGCCACGTTGTGTGATGTTCCCCTCCCTGTGTCCATGGGTTCTCATTGTTCACCTACCACTTATGAGTGAGAACATGTGGTGTTTGGTTTTCTGTCCCCATGTTAGTTTGCTGAGGATGATGGTTTCCAGCTTCATCTATGTCCCTGCAAAGGACATGAACTCATTCTTTTTTATGGCTGCATAGTGTTCCATGGTGTATATGTGCCACATTTTCTTTATCCAGTCTATCATTGGTGGGCTTTTGGGTTAGTTCCAAGTCTTTGCTATTGTAAATAGTGCTGAAATGAACATACATGTGCATGTGTCTTTATAGTAGAATGATTTATAATCCTTTGGGTATACACCCAGTAATGGGATTGCTGGATCAAATGGTATTTCTGGTTTTAGATCCTTGAGGAATTGCTGCACTGTCTTCCACAATGGTTGAACTAATTTACACTCCCACCAACAGCGTAAAAGCATTCCTATTTCTCCACATCCTTGTCAGCATCTGCTGTTTCCTGATTTTTTAATGATCGCCATTCTAACTGGCATGAGATGGTACCTCACTGTGGTTTCAATTTGCATTTTTCTAATGACCAGTGATGATGAGGTTTTTTTCATGTTTCTTGGCCACATGGGCAAATACTTCATAACTAAAACACCATAAGCAATTGCAACAAAAGCCAAAATTGACAAATGGGATGTAATTAAACTAAAGAGCTTCTGCTCAGCAAAAGAAACTATCATCAGAGTGAACAGGCAACCTTACAGAATGGGAGAAATTTTTTGCAATCTATTCATCTGACCGAGGTCTAATATCCAGAATCTACAAGGTACTTAAACAAATTTACAAGAAAAAAGCAAATAACCCCATCAAAAAGTGGGTGAAGCACATAAAATTACTTTAAAATTCAAGCAAATATTTTCTTAAAAATAAGATTAATAAGGAGAGAGAATTGCCTCACCAGATGTAAAAATTTACTATACAAATATAGTCCATGTGATATGATATGACTGAGACAGAAATAGAAAAATAGAACTTTGAAAGTTAAAGATTAGAGGGAAATAGATCCAAGTACATATATAATGTTAGGATTAAGCTTTACTCCAAGAGACCCAAAATACCAGTGGCTTTAAAAAGAAAATGTTGCTTTCCTCATTCATCTGGAGAAAAAATTTAAGTCTGGTATGCAATGCTACTGTGTCAGTGATATTGACTCCTTCTATCTTTTTTTTGTTATATTGTGTGGTCTCAATTCTCAAGGTCATTCATGATCCAAGGCAGCTGCTTCTGTTTCATTCATCCCACCTGGATTACAGTCTGCAAGAAAGAAAAAAAGGAAAAATAAGGGCAAAACTCCATCCTTTTAAGGTCACTTTCAGAGAAGTCTACATACTCACCTAGAATTTGTCTTAGCCATATGTAGTACAAGATCAGCCCGAAATGAAATATTTATTTTTAGGCAGTCATGTGCCTTGCTGACAAGTGGAGGATATCAAACTATAAAAGAAGGGGAGAACAGATATTGATAGACAACTAGCAATCTCTTACACATGTATGACACGGTTAGCATTTCAATTCTGTGGGGAAAATGCAGTGATCATCAACCTTGAACATGCATCAGAATCACTCTCTCCCTTGCTGGCTTTTAAGAAGAAAGCTGCCATGTTGTGAGCTGTCTTATGGAGAGAGCCACATGGGAATAAACTGAAAGCATCCTCTGACTGAAAGTCAGAAAGAAATTGAAGCTCTTAGTCTAACAGCCTGCAAGAAACTGCATATTGCTGAAAACCATATTAGTTTGAAATCAGATTCTTTCCCAGGTGAGCTTTCAGATGAGAACTCAGTCCTGGCCAACATCATGATTGCAGCCTTGCAGAACACCCAATAAAGCCATGACAAGAACCTTCACCAACAATAACTGAGAGATAATAAATATGTGTTGTTTTAAGTCACTAAGTGTTGGTAATATAGTTAGGTAGCAATAGAAAACTAACTATGCTAGATGTTAGTCATACTACTGCTATTTGAGGCCTAATTAGTTATTTAATATATTGTGTCACCACCCATGGCTATGTGTAACAAGGGAATTCATATATTTCTATAACCTCAAGTTTCCATAGAATATATTCCATGCAGACAACTTTCAGATATATAAACAAATTTATTCTCAATCTACTGCTTATTCATTCTTCTCCTAAGACAAGAAGGTCTCCTAATGGTAGATGGTATCCATTGGTCCATGGTTATTAATTGCATAGAACTAATGGCATATTCTACACCTGCACTGTTTAATATAATAGTCATATGGCAAACGTGGCTATTTATTTTTAAACCAGGTAAAACTGAATCAAATAAAAATTCAATTCTCTATTTACACTAGACCTTTTTTCTGCACTCCATAGCCACAGGTATCAATGGACTCATTTCATCATCAAGGCTAGTGGCTATCACATTGGAGACTGGAATTATGGGGCATTTTAATCATTATATAATTTTTTTATAGTTCTGGTCTATACTTAGGAGGAGAGGAAAGTGGTATGTAGAGATCTGTAGTTTTCCTCTTATCGTCTGCATTGGTAATAAAGCTGACATTTTCGTCAGTATCTTGTATACTGATACAATATTTTGTATCTAACTTTCAGTTGCTTTCCACCTTCGGGGGAAACAAGAATTTTCATGTAATGATCTCTTAAAATATGCTACTGTTCATTGGAACAAATATGTAGCAAGATCCTTAAGTCTTACCGCATATAAAAGCAAGTGCCAAATGGGTTTAATACCTAATAAGAAACAGAATAATATAGAGTATTACATCTATTTTAAGATGCATAATTATTTTTCATATTATAACTCATTTGAAATAGAATGTATCTTACAATCTAATGATGTCTTGCAATTGCTCACGGATAGATGGCAATCATGACATAGTTGCCATTGCCAACACAACTGTCAATTTGATTGTCATTTTGGGTAAAATAACTACATAGCTTTACTCCTTGAAATTTCATTCGGTAAATCATATAAAAACCACTTGATGATGAAATGAGTCCATTGATACCTACTGGTAAGACCAAGAAAAAGAACACATTAAAACTTACAGAATGGGTGCCTGAGGTTCCTAAGAAAATTAAGTAGATAATAGTGAAGTAACTGTTAATGACAAAGGGGTCAGTATTATGTGGCTAAATAATAAATAAATAATAAATCCATGACTGTGAGTTGAAAAAAAAAAAAGATTCAGAACAGTTGGACCTTTGGTGTAAAGAAATTATAACAGCATTTTTTTGAGACAGAATCTCACTCTGTCACCCAGGCTACAGTGCAGTGGCATGATTATGGCTCACTTAAACCTCATACTTCTGGGTTCAAAGGATTTTCCCACGTCAGCTTTCTGAGTAGCTGGGACTACAGGCACGTGCCTGCATGCTGGGGTACTTTAATCAATTTTCTCCTTATGTTTTTCTTTTCATGAATGTACAGGTGTACATTATAAAAACTATATCTAAATAAGTGTTTTAAAGTCTTTAATGAAATAAAGTAATAAATGATAAGAAAGCATTGTATCAGTTGGACTGCCAGTGCCATTTTCTTTCTTCGTGGTACACAAAATGAGATGAATCATAAAACTTATAGTATCTTAGACTAAAATATAAAACATAACAATGATAATGATAGTAATAGATATAATAAGAGTACTAAGTATTAATAGTAGTAGATATAACAGTAAATAGTAATATTAACATTAGGAGGAAATTTAGTAAAATGTTTATATAAACTTAGGATAAGATTGAAGAGAATGATTAGGCCAGTAAGTTAATCCATAATGCATAAAGCATAATATGGAAATTTTGGTTACCTAAATAAATAGCGTTTGGTAAAGATACCATAAACAAAGACAAAATATGAAGAATGGACTGAGCAGAAATATTGGAAAAATGAATGACAGAGTAAGATTTAACAACACTAATACAGAGAGCTCCTACAAATTGAAGTGAAAAAAAAAAACCAAAAAACTGTTAAAATATTCAATTAAGAGGCATTTTTTAAAAAAACCAAAACTGTTCTTTTATTTACAAAGACCATAATCTAGAAATTTCCTGCAGAGTGCAAAGTCCAAAGTGCTAGATAAAGTCTGAGTGCTGTTAGACACCCCAATCACAAGTAAGCAATAAAGGCCGGATATTACATATTTAAACAACCAATGTTTCTCAGTTTTAGGAAGAAAGCAAAAACACTGTTGTTCATTTGATAGAGACTAAAAGGGTGACAAAAGTCTTTCGCCAAAGACTTTACTACTTTACTAAATTTTTCAACTCACTGTAATTTTAAAAATAAAAAATAGTATACTATATATAGGGGAGTGTGGCAAGTTAAATATACCCACAGATTCTTTGATGCTACTGCCATTGAGAGGGAGATCTATAATACTGACTTTGAATTTGGGTGGATTCCCTAACTGCTTTGACCATTAGAATACAACAGACGCTATGCTGTGCCAGATTCTAGGCCCAGTCCTTAAAAGATTGGTAGGTTCCACTTCCTGCCCAGCAGAACACTTGCCTGGAGCCCCGAAGTGCTACTACTGTGCCATGGAGAAGACTCGCACAAGCTCTGAAATGATAGAAACAGCAAGTGAGCAAGCGAGTGAGCGAGAGAGAGAATAACTTAGATATGTGCAGCTTCTAGCCATTGCTGATATTTTGGACCCTCCAGAGATAACCAGCTGTTAGCTGAAAATCACTGAGTGACCTCAGTTGACATCATGTCTCGGTAGAGAAACACTTTTGTGAAATAGTCACTATTTCTGTGGATATTTATAGTGACCAGTAGGTCGCTATATCTCAGGGGGAAGCAGAGTTGTTGAATTTTGTATACACAATGGAATATTATTCAGCCATAAAAGAATAAAATCATGATATTGAAAATAAAATGGATGGAAGTGGAGGACATTATTTTAAGGAAAATAAGCCAGGCATAGAAAGACAAATATGTCATCACTCATACGTGGGAGTTAAAAAAAAAAAATGAACTCATGGAGATAAAGAGTAGAATGACAGTTACCAGAGGCTGCAAAGGGTAGCAGAGAAGGGGGCATAAAGTGGGGATGGCTAATGGGTATGAAAATACAGTTAGATGGAATGAATAAGATCTGGTATTCAGTAGCAAAATAGGGTGACTGTAGTTAACAGTAATATATTGTATAATTTAAAATAGCAAAAAGGGTAGAATTGGAATTTTCCTAACACAAATAAATGATAAATACTTGAGATAATGCATACCCCAATTACCCTGATTTGGTCATTATATATTATATACCTATATCAAAATATCACATTTACCCCATAAATATATATAACTATTATATACTCATAATAATAATTAAAAAAAAACATGTTGGAAATGGGAAGGCTTTCCTAATTTTATTTTATTTGAAATACAAGCCCTAGAATGTATATTAATTCCCTGGAACTGCCATGTCTATTTGGGAAGAAAATGGGATTTTCCAAATTAATAGCACCTCATGTCTCATTTTCTTGTATAATACTGCTTAAAGAGAGCTTTTGTTTCTCAACCTCTAGATAGTCTGTAAAGCATGACCTCTGTAATAGTTTTATTGAAATGCTTAGTCTGAATTGAATCGTGGTGAAACAATTAGGTGTATCCATGTTGTAGGAATTCTAAAAAGTAACTGCCCTGGACTCTTCAAGATGCCAAAAGACACGTACATGTGGAGGAACTATTTCTAATAAAAGGAGCCTAACAACTGTCTTAGTCCATTTGGGCCACTCTAACAAAATACCAGAAACTGGGTGGTCTATAAATAACAGATATTTATTTCTCAAAGTTCTAGAGACTGGAAAGCACAAGACTAAAGCTCCAGCATATTTAGTGTTTGGTGAGGTTCCACTTTCTGGTTGATAGACGGCACCGTCTAGTTGTGTTCTCACATAGTGAAAGGAGCAAATGAGCTCTCTTAGGCCTTTTACAAGGGCACTAAAAGCACATGCGAGCTCTGACCTCATGACGTAATCACCTCCCAAAAGGCTCCACTTCCTAATACATTCAATTTGTGGGTAAGGATTTCAGCCTATTTGGGGGAGACAAACATTCAGAACAAAGCAAAAACCAAGTGCAATGCCTGTTTATTGATTAGATTCTGGTTTGGGTGTGGGAGGTGACGAGGACTATTTTCTTGACCAAACTTTAATGAGGCTGATCTGAGCTTACTTCTCAACTAGGAAGCCTTGTCCTTGGGCTGAAAAGCCCAGTTTTAGCAAATAATTGTGCTGAGTCAGCTTATTGATAATAGCATTACCCTTGATACCTGTGGTATTATATATATACAGTGTGTGTGTATGTATGTATTTTGTATGTGTGTGTGTATATATATATATAAAGATTTTTTGTTTATGGTCCCTGGCTCATAATTCCCATAACCCTTGCTATAATTTGGGGACATTTTATGCCTCAGTAGCAAGCCTCGGAAAACAGATTCTGTCTTTCTGACCTTCCATTGCCCTCCCTCCACCTGCCCAAGGCAGGACTCTAGTCTAATTGTTGAGTCATAAGACCATTACTCCAGAGAGGGTCCTGCTTCATACCCTGGAGGAAGAAATGCTGCAAGGAGAGACCAGAGGAATCTGAAAAGACAGACCTTGCTGGGCTTCCCCACTCAGTCTATTAATATTAGATCAAAACTTTTTGCCTAATTACATTTCTGCTTGGTTGTCACTCATGCCTATCCAATGAAGTCTCTATAAAAGGCCCAAGAGGACAGGGTTAGCAGAGCTCCCAGATAGCTGAACATATGGAGATTCCTGGGGGTGGTGCACCTGGGGAGGGCATGGAGGCTCAATGCCACTACCCACTATATCTTTCCCTATGCATCTCTTTGTGCCTATCCTTTGTAATATCCTTTATAATAAAATGGCAAACATAGGTGTTTCCCTGAGTTCGGTGAGCTACTCTAGCAAATTAATCAAACCCAAAGAGGACATCGTGGGACGATCAACTTGAAGCTGATTAGTCAGAAGTTCCAGAGACCTGACTTGCTGCTGGTGTCTGAAGTGTGGGACAGTCTTGGGATGGAGCAATCAACCTGTGGAACCTGATGCTATTTCCAGATAAATAGTGCAGGAATTGAATTGAAGGACACTCGGTGTCTGTTGCAGAACTGATGGCTTGCTTAAAATAGGAAGAACCACCCCCCAACCCATCGATATTTGGTCACAGAAGTCTTCTGTGTTTATTGTTGTGCTGAGAGAGCAGAGGAAAAACAGTTGGAGTTTTTTTGCCACAATATCTAATCAAGTTTCTCTTCCCCTACCCTTGATATCTAATCAAATTCTTTTTAGTAATTTTCTATTCACTGACTCTCACCTTGCCCTTCGGCTGTGAATCCCCAGCTTCCCTTGCTGTATTTGAAGTTGAGCTCAGTTCTGTACTGAAATCTCTCCCCCTACTGCAATGGCTCAAATTAAATATGTCTTGCCATTTTTAACAAGTGTTCAGTACTATTTCCTTTTAATGGGTGGAGGGCAGCTCTACAGAATATTTTTGTGAATTTGAAGAAATTTTAACACATATTGTATTTTAAATGTGATTATTCTTTCAGTATTTTGGGTGTGGTAATGGTGTCTTGTGTGTCTTTATCTTAGGAGATACATGTTGAATATATATATATATATAATTTTAAGATATCTGAAACATAATTTCAAATGATTTATCTCCCCTCACAAATGTGTCCGTGTGTGTGTGTGTGTGTGTGTGTATGAGTGTGTACATAGATAAAAATTATAGGAAGCGCTCTCACTCTAGTATGCGTCACTTGTCCTGTAGAATTGAAAATTTACAAAATAAACTGTTGAAGAAAACAATAGTCTCTTGAAAACTATTAATAGTTGTTTATTTCATGAGAAAAACTTACGAACAAGAAAAGAAGAGAAACTGGATGCTTTCTTTTCATTTTATATCTTATTCATAATGTTTAGATTTTAAAAATAGCATTCACATATAACTTACTTCATCAAATATAATATGGCATTGATTCTAAGATGAATTATCTTATATACTTTTAAGAAAAAATATTCTGTCAAATAGACTATGACACAACAATTCAATGGTGATTGTGCATGACACAATGTTTTAATAATAATCCCACACTACACATGAATGGCTTATAATAATATCCTGTCATCGTAGTGGATTTTCTTTCATCTATTCCCAAGATATAAAAACTTATTTTGCCTTAAGATTCATTGCTTGTGGTGTGATTGGTAAACACTTTACACATGTGTCTGTAATAAAATTTAACAGAGCTTCATTTACTTGTGTGTTTCTTTCTTTAGTCTTTTAAGTAATCTGATTATTTCTTTGCATGAAAAATGAAACTGAACTCTGTATTGGAAACTATACTTCCCCTTCAGATTAGATTTCAGGAATAAAGAATATAATCACCCAGCTACTCAGAATTTTGCCACTAGACAGTCCTCAGCCGTAAGCTTTCTTCAGAATTGTCTTTGCTATAGACAGTTGCAACCTACACACTGGGAGAAAATATTTCCAAAACATATGTCTGGTGTGGGGTTAATATACAAAATTTGTAAGGAGCTAACACAACTTAGTAGCAAAAACAAAACAAAACAAAACAGAGACCTGATTTAAAAATGGGCAAAAGACCTGAATAAATATTCCTCTATAGAAAAGACAAAAATGAGTATCAGTTATATGAGAAGGTGCCCAAAATCACTAATCATTAAGAAAATGCAAGTGAAACCCACAATGAGATATAACTCCAACCTGCTAGGATGCCTATTATTAAAATATAAATGACAAATGCTGGAAAGGATGGGAGAAAAGAGAAATCTTGTACACTGTTGATGGGAACGTAAATTAGTATAGCTATTATGGAAAACAGTATGGAGGTTCCTCAATAAAAATAAAACCATCATTTGATCCAACATTTCCAACTCTGAATATACATTTGAAGGAAACGGAATTACAATCTCTGGAAGAGATGTGCACCTCCATGTTCCTTGAAGCATTATTCACAATAGCCAAGATACGTACATATATATATGATATACATGTGTGTACATGTATGCTTATTACAGCACTATTCACAATAGCAAAAACTTGGAACCAACCCAAATGTCCATCAATGATAGACTGCATTAAGAAAATGTGGCACACACACACACCATGGAATACTATGCAGCCATAAAAAAGGATGAGTTCATGTCCTTTGCGGGGACATGGATGAAGCTGGAAACCATCATTCTCAGCAAACTAACACAGGAACAGGAAACCAAACCGCATGTTCTCACTCATAGATGGGAATCGAACAATGAGAACACTTGGACACAGGGAGGGGAACATCACACATGGGGGCCTGTCGTGGGGTGGGGGAAGGGGGAGGGATAGCATTAAGAGAAATACCTGATATAAATGATGAGTTAATGGGTGCAGCACACCAACATGGCACATGTATACATATGTAACAAACCTGCATGTTGTGCACATGTACCCTAGAAATTAAAGTATAATAATAAAAATAAATAAATAAATAACTAAACTGTAGCTTTTTTAAACTCAGAAACTATATATATTCTCTTTCACTGTGTGGAAATGAGTGCAGAGTTTTGAAAAATAGATAATGATTATTCCCAGATGTTTACTCTTTCATACGAAATTTAGAGTCATTTTATCCAATCTTTAACTTATTTAATATTGGATTTTAACTGGAATCTTTCACTTCAAGTTGTTCAATCAACTGGCTGGCAAGTTGGAGCTGACTCGGAGTTCAGCTGAGTCTGTGAGCCACGGACTTTGGTTCCTCAGTCCCTCCTTAAGCGGGTCTCCCTGCATGGCTGCATGGATTTTCTCATGGTAAGTTGCCTGGATTCTGTGAAAAAGAAACGTGAGCAAAACAAACAAAAGTGTTATGGCTTATGCTTGAAAATCACAAATTGTCACATTTGACAATCAAAAGCAGAATCAAAGTTACATTGTAAAAAGATTGTAAGAAGAGATTGTGGCATATGGCCATTTTTGGATATACATTCCAACACACAGATTTAAGGTCAAATTGGGTAAAACTCTCTTAAGATTCAACTAAAAAGTCAAATAATTTAGAATAGCCAAAAACACGGACATACAGAGGCATGGAAAAACTAAGAAGGAGCTTAGCGTTCAAACATACCAAAACAACATGGTACTGGCAAAAGTATGAATAAATAGATCATTAGGACAGAAAGAGAGCCCAGAGGTAGATCCTTGTATATAATATTCAACCATATATAAAGCATTATTTTATTCAAATAGTGAAAGATGTTTCATTCAATAAATGGAATTAGCACAAGTTGTTATGTATCTGGGAGTAAAAAAATAGAACTTCTATGGAATATCATATTCGGAAATAAATTCCAGATATATTAAATATGTAAATGTAAAATCTAAAGCAATAACATATTTCGATATTTTAAATTATATATACAACCAATAACCTGGGAGGGGAGAATTTTTTAAGACAGGAAACACAGAAGCTATAAAAGAAAAGAAAGAAATGCTTGGCTATAAAAAATAATTTTTTTCTATGACAACAGATGCAATATAAAAAGTCAAAAGATAAATGATAAATCAGGAAAAATTGTATGCAAAACAGGGGACAGAACTTTTTTACTGAAAAGGTACACATTTTTCTAGTTAAAAAAAGACAAAAAGCTCAATAGAAAAATGAGAAAAATAACAATAACTATTGCTCTCCTAGGTAAGCATTCCTGGTAAGGATCTGTGAAAAATGATACTCTTATTCATTAGCAGTAGATTTATAAATTTTTATAATCCGTTTGAAAAGGTAAGCTTGTTAGAGCTATAAAAATTAAATGGAAATGTACCCTCATTCCTCTGCCACTCTTAATGTACTTGGTTCTCCCTCCTTCCTCCCTTTTCTGTCTGTCAGTTCCTCCCTCCCTTTCTCTCCTTTTCCCCCTCTTTTTTGCTCTCTTCTCTCATTCTGTTGGTCTATTTCTCTTTATCTTTTCTCTTTCAGCAATTATACATCAGGGAATCTATGTGATAGAAATACATTCACATAAGGAAAAATGCAGCACTTTTCATATTCATAAAACACAGGAAGAAAACAATGTGATTTTTTTTCTAAGGTGGTGAATTGGAGGCAATGTTAGCATGCCTCTCCCACTTGGAAAGACAAAATATGGCATAGAGATTCACACTATAAACGTTATTCCAAGAAGTAACACAGGAATTTAACTGGAAAACTGAAAGAAACCACAGACCCTTTGAAAGAAGCATCAGGCTGCAGCTTAGACTGTGAGCCAGGCAAAAAACTGCAAAGTCGCCAGAGTGTGAGAGGGAGACGACTGCCTCCAGGATATAGAGCCCCACTGGGGAACCTGACAATACAGCCCACAAGGGAAGGTCTTAATCCTACCCAGCACTGGAATTGATTTAGGGAACAGCAGGGGATATAAAAGTAGGAGCAGCAGCAGAAAGAGCCTTGTGGGCATTCCTTGTCTCCAGCACAGACCAAGGGAAGCCATTCCCAATTCTTTGTCACAGGGGACTTTTTGGAAGTAAGCTAGCTAACTCAGTCAGTGGTCACAGGTTGAGAAAAGCTTCCAACTAAAATACTTGCTATAATCTTGATTGGGGGCAAACTTCCTTGGCTGGAACCAGGAGACAAGCAGGAAGTGTACTGCAGCCATGAGTATAGGAGCTGGGTGTCCTGGCCTTGCAGGTGGACTGGGAGGGGTGTGGCCTGAAAGCTGAAGTTGCCGTCTCTGAAGGAAGGCTTATGGTTTGGTGCAACTTTGAGTTCTGAGCATAGACTGCCTGGAAATTAGCTATCTGCTGCTAGCAGAACACTGCAGGTGTGAGACATGCATTGCCAAGTGTGTAGGAGATGGATGGGGCTTACAGCCACCTGCTACTCCCCACTCCCTGCATGAGCTTTTCTGTGCAGCAGGTGCAGCTATTCTTCTCCCTAAAAAAGTACTCCAGTGGCCAGAGAACCACCCTCCCTACCCCCAAAAAGGCTGCTGCCTGTCCTGTATGTGGAAAGCCAGAGCACAGACCTGCCTGACTCAGCCCCCATCTGGCTTTGTCCCTCCACCTGCCCTGGTAGCTTAACACACACACACACACAAACATACACACACACACACACACACAATTTTGGGAGGTCTGTAACCCGACCCACCACGTGAGAAACCAGAATACCTCCCTACGTAATATAAGGCAAGCCCAAATTTCAATGCTATTACCACAGCTGGGGCTTTTTTTCAAGTGCCACCCCCTGGCTGGAGGCCAACTGATACAGTCCATTACAGCACCTGCAGGTAGAATAACACTGCACCTAGGAAGGAGAAAACTTGTGGATGACCTCAGCTATCATTATTGCCTGCACCACCCTGGCAGGAAGTCCTGAGTTTGTCCACATTACCAGTTCATTACTACTAAAACTGGCATTTGAGGAAAAATCACACTAAGGCTAATTATAACCAAGAATCACAGAGTCTACACCACTCCCCTGCCACCCCTATCAGAGCTGGTGCTGGTAGTCAGCACTGGGAGACTTGAAGATGGTCACATCACTGGATATCTTGCAAACATTCCCCAGCACCAACCTAGAGTGTGACAGCCCAACTGGGTGGCTAAGCCCAGAGAAGCATCAGTATTCATAGTAACCTGGCTCTCAGGGACACCCCATGGGACAAAAGAATCCAGACAGCAGGACTTAAGTCTGCTTAAGAAGTTTCAGGAGAGGCACAGTTGTAGTCCTGGGCTCAGTGGGTAAAGCCTGTAACTCTATCCCAACAGTCAGGCAGCCCCGGTGATCAGGAAGGGTCTTGTAGAAGGGAACTTCTTTTTCCTCATTCACCACTAAAGACACAGCTAGGGCTTCCCCCATGGGAGGTCAGTGTGTGTGCATGTATGTGTAGACAGCCTTTGTGGAACACTTCAGGGTGACTGCATGGCCAAAGGAGGAGCATCCTCCAGGTTCAGGCTTGCACAAGAACTAAAGCCACAGTGCCTCTCTACTTGGAAAATCAACATTCTTGCAGATGTAAAGAGGTGGCTGTGTAATCTGAATAGCCGGAACACTAGGTCAGAAGTGTGTCTGTGAGGTGGATCACTTTGCTAGTGGCCTGAGAGGGGAGGTGAGTTTGCTCCAACCCTTCCCCCTGACAAGAACCCAATGCATTCTACTGAGAGCTTCCCGAGGCATGTCTGTCAGTGCTTGGATCTTTGCCCACCATTACATATTTCAATTAGCTTTAGCCACAAACGGTTTCTACTCAGGGACACCACAGCTACTGGCCTGAAACCTGAACTATATAATGCAGTAAATGAAATCCTAGGGGAAAAATGAATAGATGTACACCATAGGGGAATGAGATATGCTTCAAGAGACCTCTGTCATTCCAATCGCGTAGGAAACAGTGAACTTGCTCAAACACTGAGCACATGGCTAATATAACCAGCACCATACAAAGACTCTGTAACCAAAAACCTCATACAGTCTTCATCCCTGAAAGCATAAAGAGCCAAATTAAGCTACAACAAACTAAAAGCATTAAAGTAATATAATTAAGGCAAAAAGATTACATGAAGCACAGACAAATCAAAAATAAACTCAACAATAATTAGAAGAAATACTAATAATATAATGTAATATAATAATTATAAAAATAATTATAAGACACATTTAGGGAATTACAAAATGCAGTGGATAATATTAACTATGACCTAAAACAAGTAGAAGAAAGAATTTCAGAGCACAAAAGCAAGGCTTTCAAATTAACCCAATTAGACAAAATTAAAGAAAAAAGGGTCAAAATAAATGAACAAAATCTTCAAGAAATATGGGATAATGCAAAAAGGCCAAAACTAAGAATAACTGGCATTCTTGAGGGAGAAGAGAAAGCAAAATGTTCAGAAAACTTATTTGAGGAAATAATTGAGGAAATCTTTTTTTTAGCTTACTAGAGATTTACATATTCAAGCACAAGAAGCTCAAAGAACTCCTGGGAGACTGATTGCAAAAAGGACATCATGAAGGCTTATAGTCATCAAGCCATCTAAAATCAACATAAAGGAAATAATTCAGAGAGCAGTGAGACAAAAGCATCAAGTAACCTATAAAGGAAAACCTCTCAAATTAAAAGCAGTCTTCTCAGCAGAAACCATACAAGCCAGAAGGGACTGGGGTCTCATCATTAGTCTCCTTAAACAGAATAGCTGTAAGCCAAAAATTTTGTGTTCAGCAAAACCAAGTTTCATAAATGAAGGATAAATAAAATCATTTTCAGACAAACAAATGCTGAAGGACTTGTCACTACCAAACTAGCCCTACAAGAAATGTTAAAAGGGGTTCAAAATGTTGAAACAAAAGTTTGATATGCACCAGACTAGAACCTCCTGAAAGCATAAAACTCACAGGGCCTATAAAACAATAACACAACGAAAAAAACATATCTAGGGAAAAATTAACATAATTACTAGAACAGTATCTCATATCTCAACATTGACATTTAATGTAAGTGGCCTAAATACTCCACTTAAAAGGTACAGATTGGCAGAATAGATTAAAAAAAAATCAAAACCAAATATCTGTCATCTTCAAGAGATTTACCTAACATGCAAGGATTTACATAAAGTCACGATAAAGGGGTAGAAAGAGATACTCCATGCAAATAGAAATCAAAAGCAAGCAGGAATATCTATTTTTGTATCAGACAAAACAGACTTTAAAGGAACACAAGTAAAAAAAAAAGACATTATTATATAATGATAAAAAATCAATTTAACAAGAAAGTATTACAATCTTAAATTTATATGCACCTAACGCTGGAGCACCCAGATTTATAAAACAATTACTACTAGACCTAAGAAAAGAGATAGACAGCAACACACTAATAGTGGAGGACAACAACACTCCACTGACAGCACTACACCAATCATTGAGACAGAAAGTCAACAAAGAAATAATGGGCTTAAACTACACTCTAGGACAAGTGGACCTAAAGATATTTACAGAACATTTTACCCAAGAATTTCAGAACTTACATTCTTCTCATCAGGACATGGAACATTCTCCAAGATAGACCAAATTATAGGCTACAAAGTAAGTATCAACACATTTTAAGAAATCAAATAAATATCAAGTAACTTCTCAGACCACAGTGAAATTAAATTAGAAATCAATTCCAAAAAGACCCTCAAAATGGTAGAAATGCATGGAAATTAAACAATTTGCTCCCGAATGATTTTTAGGTTAACAATGAAAACAAAGTGAAGATTAAAATAAATGATAATTAGCTGGGTGTGGTGGCATGCACCTGTAATGTCAACTGCTCCAGAGGCTGAGGTGGGAGAATCGCCTGAACCTGGGAGTCAGAGGTTGTGGTGAGCCAAGATCATGCCACTGCACTCTTGCCTAAGCAAAAGAGATTCCATCTCCAAAAATAAATAAATAAATAAATGATAAGAGTGACACTTAAAAAATTTTTTTAATGCCCACAGTGTAAATAGTGACACAAGATCTCGAAATTTCCCAGAAACAGCAAAAGCAATGCTAAGGTGAAAATTTGAAGTGCTAAATGCCTACATCAAAAAGTTTAAAAGATCGCAAATTGACAACCAAATGTCACACATTAAAAACTAGAGAAACAAGAGCAAACTAAACCCAAAGCTAGCAGAAGAGAAGAAACAACAAATATCAGAGAATAACTAAATGAATTTGAAACAAAAAAATACAGATCAATAAAATAGAAAGTTGGTTCTTTTACAAGACAAACAAATTTGATAGACCACTAGATAGATTAACCAAAAATAGAAGAATCAAATACCTTCAACTAGAAATAAAAATGAAGACATAACAACTGACACCACATAAATACAAAATATTATTTGAGACCATTCTGAACACCTTTATACATACAAACTAGAAAATCTAGAGAAAATGGAAAAACTCCTGAACATACAACCCTTCTAGATTAAATGAAGAAGAAATAGAAACCCTGTACAGATAAATAACAAGCAATGTGATGAAATCAGGAATTTAAAAATTGCCAAAAAAACAGTCCATTAGCAGATAAATTCATGGTTGAATTCCACCAGACATTCGGAGAAGAATTGGTACCAATCCTACTGAAACTATTCCAAAAGATTGAGAAAGAAACAATTCTCCATGGCTTATTCTCTGAAGCTAGTATCACCCTGATACCTAAACCAGAAAAGGACAAAACAACAACAAAAAGGAAATCTACAGACTAATATTTCTGATGAACATAGATGCAAAAATCCTCAACAAAGTACTAGCTAATTGAATTCAACAGCACATCAAAAAGATAATACACCAAGATCAAGTGGGTTTCATCCCAGGGATCCAAGGATACTTTAATATATAAAAGTCAATAGATTTGATACATCAGATTAAAAAGAAGTAAAAATATAAACCGTATGATCAACTCAATAGAAGCAGAAAGACTTCAGTCAAATTCAGCATCTGTTTATAATAAAAACTCTGAACAAACTAAGCATAAAAGGGACTTACCTCAAAATAATAAAGGCATATATGACAAAACTACAGCCAGATTCATACTCAATGGGGGAAACGTTGAAAGCATGAACAAACCAGACTGGAACAAAACAAGGATGCCCACTCTCACCACTTCTATTCAACAGACTACTGGAGTCTTAGCCAGAGCAATCAGACAAGAGAAAGAAATAAAGGGCATCCACATTGGATAAGAGGTAGTCAAACTATCAGTGTTTGTGAATAATATGACTGTATACATAGGAAACTCTAATGATTCCTTCAAAAGAAACTATTAATAGAGACAAAGAAGGACATTATGTACATAATTATAACAAACTCAATTCAATAGGAAATTATAACAATTACAGACATATATGCACCAACATCAGATGTCCTAAATATATGGAGCATAGATTGACCAGAATTGAGGGAAGAAATACACATCTCTACAGTAGTAATAGGAGACTTTGGTACCTCATTTACAATATTGTACAGAAAAACTACCCATAACTTCCATAAAAAAACTAGAAGACTCAAAGAAAAACTACTATTGGCCAATTGAAACTAACAGAGATATATAAAAATTCACTCAAAAATAGCAGCATACATTTTTTCTCAAGTGTTCAAGAAATAATACTGAGGATAAACAAAAAGAGAGTCTTAATAGATTTAAAAATATTTAAATTGTATTATGTATCTGTTTTGATCACAATGGAATAGAACTAAATCAAAAGCAGAAAAAAATTGAAAATCTATAAATATGTAGAAATTAAACACAGTTTTAAACAACCAATGGAACAAAGAATAAATTATAAGGAAAATTAAAATATATCTTGAAATGAAAATAAAAACTCAACATATCAAAACTTATGGAATGCAGTAAAAGTAGTACTAAGAGGTGCATTTATAGCTGAAAATGCTTTTATTAAAAAATAAGATATCAAATCCATAGCCTGAATATATATCTCAAGGAACTAGAAGAAGAACAAACTAAACACAAAGCTAGCAGAGGAAAGGATATAATAACAATTAAAGCAGAAATAAATAATTGAAAAACAATCGAGAAAACTGATGAAACCAAGAACTGGTTCCTCAAATAGATCAGCAAAATTGACAAAACTTTAGCTATATTGACTAAGAAAAATATAAATGTCTCAAGTAACTGAAAACAGAAATGAAAGCAGATAGTAAGACTGTTTTTATAGAAATAAAAAAGAGAACATAAATTTTTGTATGGTAAACTACATGAAATGAACAAATTCCTAGAAAACCACAAATATCAAAACTAAACTACTAAGAGATAGAAAATCACAAAAGACTTATTAGTAGTCAGGTGATGGCATCAATAATTACAAACATCCCAACAAGAAAAAGACCAGGAGAACATAATTTCACTGGTGAACTCTAGGAAACAATTAAAACATTGACACTAACACCCTTTAAAATTTTCCAAAAATGGAAGTGTAGAGAGTACTTCTAAATGCATTCTGTTGGTCTAGCATTATCCCAATATCAAGGCCAGAAAAAGATACCATAAAATAAGAAAACTATAAACCAAATTTCTAATAAATACTGATGCAAAAGTCCACAATAACATAGTAGCTAACAGAATCCAATCGCACACTAAAAAGATTATACATGTATACAGTTGACACTTGAACAACATGGAGGTTGTTCAAGATGTAACTGTATTCCTAGGATAAAGGGAAGGTTCAACATAGAAAAATGAACTAAGCTGAGAACCAAATTCAGAATGCACACTCATTCAGAATTGCCGCACAAGAATAAAAGATCTAAGAATACATCTAACCAGGTAGGGGAAAAATTTCTACAATGAGAATTAAAAAACAATACTCAAAGAAACCAGAGAAGACAAAAATAAATGGAAAAACATTCTATGCTCATGGATTGGAAAATACAACATTAATAAAATGGTCATACTGCCCAAAGCAATTTACAGATTCAGTGTTATTCCTACCAAACTACTTATGATATTTATCACAGAATTAGAAAAAAAAGTATTTTAATATTTATGTGAAACCAAAAAGAACCTGAATAGCCAAGGCAATCCTAAGCAGAAAAGACAAAGCCAGAGGTATCACATTACCTGACATCAAAATACAGCACAGGGCTGCAGTAACCAAAACAGCGTGGTACTGGTACAAAAACAGACACAGAAACCAATGGAACAGAATATAGACCCCAGAAATAAAGCCACACACCTACAACCATCTGATTTTTAACAAAGTTGAGAAAAACAAGCAACGGTAAAAGGACTTCAATATTCAATAAATGGTGCTGGGATAACTGGCTAACCATGTGCAAAAAATTGAAATTGGATAAATTCCTGATGCCATATACTAAAGTCAACTCAAGATGGATTAAAAACTTAAATGGAAAACCTAAAACTATAAAAACCCTGAAAAATAACCTGGGAAATACCATTATGGATATAGGATCTGACAAAAATTTTATGATAAAGATGCCAAAAGCAATTGTAACAAAAACAAAAGTTAACAAATGGGACCTAATTAAACTAGAGAGCTTCTGCACAACAAAATAAACTATCAACAGAATAAACAGACAGTCTACATAATGGGAGAAAATATTTGCAAACTATGCATGTGACAAAGGTCTAATATCTAGAATCTATAAGAAACTTAAACAAATTTAAAAGCAAAAAACAAACAGCTCCATTAAAAAGTGGACAAAGAACACAAACAGCCCCTTTTTAAAAGACATACACACAACTAACAAGTATATAAAAAAAGGTTGACATCACCGATTATTAGAAAAATGCAAATCAAAACCACAATGAGATAGCATATCACATTAGTCAGAATGGTTATTATTTAAAAGTCAAAAAATAACAGATGCTGACAAGGTTTTGGAGCAAAGGGAATGCTTATACACTGCTGATGGCTATGTAAATTAGCTCAGTCTTTGTGGAAAGGAGTTTGGTGATCTCCCAAACACTATAAGTAGAATTATCATTTAACCCAGCAATTCCGTTATTAGGTATATACTAAAAGGAATATAAATTGCTCCACCATAAAGACACAAAGACATATGCATGCATATATTCATCACAACACTATTCAAAATAGCAAAGAATGGAATCAACCTAAATGCCCATCAATGGTAACTGGATAAAGATAATGTGGTACGTCTACATCATGGAATACTATTGGGTTAGTACAAAAGTAATTGTGATGTTTGCCATTGAAAGTAATGGCAAAAACTGCAATTACTTTTGCACCAACGTAATATACGCTCATAAAAAAGAATGAAATTATGTCCTTTGCAGCAACATGGATAGAGCTGGAGGACATTATCCTAAGTGAACTAAAACAGGAACAGAAAACCAAATACCACATGTTCTCACTCATAAGTGGGAACTAAATATTGAGTCCATGTAGGCACAAAGAAGTGAACAGTAGGCACCAGGGACTACTAGAGGGTGGAGGAAGAAAGCAAGGTGAGTAACAGAAAACTACATATCAGGTGATACCCTTATTACCTGGGTGGCAAAATAATCTGCACAGCAAACCCTCATGACACGCAATTTCCCCATATAACAAACCTGCTCAAGTACTCCTTAACCTAAGTTACAAAAACAAACAAACAAACAAACAAACAAAAAACGCATTGGAAACTTAATCCTTATTGCAACAGTGATGGGAGGTGAGAACTAATGGAAGCTGTTTAGATCAAGAGAAGTCCACCTTCATGAATGCCTTATTGCTGATTATAAAAGGGCAAGTTTATATTTTGCTCTCTCCCATTATCTCTTTGCCCTTCCACCATAGAATGATGCGGTGAAAACACCATCAACAGACACTAACTCCTGTATCTTGGACTTCCTAATCTCTGAACTGTTTGGAAATAAATGTCTTCATATGTTATCCTGTGTGTTATATTCTTATGGTAGCAAAAAACAAAGACACAAGTCAATGATAGTTATTAGATAATCATCATTATAGTGTAACATTGTCTCACAGGGTCTATAATGTTTCTATGGTTTGAATGTCTGTTTCTCTAAATGTTATGTTTAAATTTGATTCACAGTTTTGGAGGTGGGGTCTAATGGGAGCTGTTTTTGTCAAGGTGGCTGGTCCCACGTGAATAGATTGCTGCCCTCCTTTAGGAATAAGTGAATTCCCGCTCCATTAGATTCTATGAGTTCTGGTTGTTGAAAAGAACCTGCCTCCCAACACTGCTTCTCTCTCACCCTGTGATCTGTGCACAATCTGGCCATCCTTCAACTTCCACCATAACTGGAAGCAATCTGAGGACATCAACCAATACAGATGCCCAATCTTGAACTTTATAGCCATTAGAATTGTAAGCCAAATAAATCTATTTTCTTGATATTATTTAATTTTTTGAATGTTTTAAGATTGGTTTTGTGACTTAACATACGGTCTATCCTTGAGAATGATCAATGTGCTAAGGAAAAAAATGTGTTTTGTGCAGCTGTTGAATGAAATGTTATATAAATATATGTTAGGTAAATTTGGCGTATAGTGCAGATTAAGTTGGACGTTTCTTTGCTGATTTTCTGTCTGGGAGATCTATTCAAGGTTGATAATGAAGTGTTGAAGTTTCCAGATATTATCATATCAGGATCCGTCTCTCTCTTTAGCTCTAATAATATTTGCTTTATACATTCAGGTGCTTCAGTGTTCAATGTATATATATATATATATATATATATATATATATATATATTTAAAATTGTTATATCCTATTACTGAATTGACACTTTTATCATTATATTGTGACTTTCTTGGATTTGTCTTACACATTTTGTCTTGAAATCTATTTTGTCTGATATAATTACTCCTGCATCTTTGGTTTATATTGAAATAAAATATTTTTCCATTCTTTTATTTTTAGAGTATGTGTGTCTTAATAGATGAAGTGTGTTTGTTGTAGGCAACAGATCACAAAGTCTTGTTTTTTCATCTATTCAGCCACAGTCTGTATTTTTTAATTTTTAAAAAAATTTTGTAGGTACATAGTACGTGTATATATTCATGGGGTACATGATGTGTTTTGATACAGGCATGCAATGTGAAATAAGCATGTCATGGAGAATGGGGTATGCATCCTCTCAAGCATTTATTCTTTCAGTTACAAAGAGTCAAATTATATTAAGTTATTTAAAAATATACAATTAAGTTATTTTTGACTATAGTTACCTTGTCCTACAAAATACTAGGTCTTATTAATTCTTTCCACTTTTTTGTACTAATTAACCTCCCCTCCTAACTCCCAACTCTCCACTACCCTTCCCAGCCTCTGGTAAGCATTCTTATAATATCTCTGTGTACAAATTCAATTGTTTTCATTTTTAGATCCCACAAGTAAGTGAGAACATGTGATGTTTGTCTTTCTGTTCCTGGCTTATTTCACTTAACATAATGATCTCCCATTTCATCTACCTTGTTGCAAATGACTTAATCTTATTCCTTTTTATGGATAAATATACTCTGTTGTGTATATGTACCACAATTTCTTCATCGATTCATCTGTTGATGGACACTTAGTTTGCTTTCAAGTCTTAGCTATTGTGAATAGTACTGAAACAAACATAGAAGGGCAAATATCTCTTTTATATACTGATTTGCTATTTTCGCGTATATACCAAGCAGTGAGATTACTGGATCATATAGTAGCTCAATTTTTAGTTTACTGAGAAACCTCTACACTGTTATCCATAGTGGTTGTACTAATTTACATTCCCATCAACAGTTTATAAAGACTCTCTTATCTCCACATCCTCATCAACATTTGTTATTGCCTGTATTTTTTATGTAATTCATTTTAACTGAGGTGAGATGTTATTTCAGTACAGTTTTGATTTGCAATTATCTGGTAATCAATGATGTTGAGCACCTTCTCATGTGCCTGCTTGTGATTTGTATGTCTTCTTTCATGAAATTTCTAGTCAAATCTTTTGCCCATTTTTTTTAATCAGATTATTAGAGTAATATAGAGTTGTTTGAGCTCCTTATATATTCTGGTTCGTAATCTGTTGTCAAATGGGTAGTGTGCAAATATTTTCTCACATTCTATGGGTTGTCTCTTTACTTTCTTGATTGTATCACTTATGTGCAGAAGCTTTCTAACTTGTTGTGATGCCATTTGTCTATTTTTCCTTTGGCTATCTGTGCTTATAGAGTATTACTGAAGAAATTTTTGCCCTAAACAATGTCCTGGAAAATTTTCCTGGTAGTTTTCTTTTCTTTTTTCTTTGTTTCAAGTTGTAATCAAAGCTTGTGTATAAGATTACTTTATTCCTGCATCTTCTCAATTGTTTCTTCCTTGTATTTGCCCTTTTGCTTTCCTACTTGGCAAGATTTGGCTTTCCGTTCACGGATATTTTTGCGGTCTTTGTCCAGTTTTAGCCTAGTGATAACCACCTTGCTGGGGTGAATGCCTACGTGGACAGTTGTGCCATTAGCCTTTTCCCGCTGCACCCGTTCAATGTAGATAGCATATTTCTTCCTGTAAACCTTGACTATTTTGCCAATTTGTTGACCTTTATAGTGTCCTCGTACAACCTGAACTTCATCATCCTTTTGGATGGGCATGGATCACCCGTTATACTTCTGTTTCAGCTCGTTGGAAAGAGGGGAAGACAATCTTCCCGTGAATGTAGGAAGGTGCATTGAAATGCCTTTTGCGACTCTTCCTTCAGTTGGAAGTCACAAAGGGATTAAACTTCATTTTGGCCGCTCCCTCTTCAGTGATGGATGCAAAAGGGAAGAGAACTACACACTCCTGATAGTTTTCTTGTAGCAGTTATGTAGTTTGAGATCATAGATTTAAGTCTTTAATTCATTTTGGTTTGATTTTGTATATGGTGTGTATTATTCCATTCTCATACTGCTATGAAGAACTACCTGGGACTGGGTAATTTATAGAGGGAAGAGGTTTAATTGACTCAGTTCCGCATGGCCAGGGAGGCCTCAGGAAACTTACAATCATGGTAGAAGGCAAAGGAGAAGCAGGCACCTTCTTTACAGGGCGGCAGGATGGAGTGAGTACAAGCAAGGGAAATGCCAGATGCTTATAAAACCATCAGACATGGTGAAACACTCTATGATGAGAACAGCATGGGGGATAATGCCTCCATGATCTGATTACCTCCACCTGATCCTGCCCTTCACACTTGGTGATTACACAGATTATGGGGATTAAATTTAAGGTGAGATTTTGGGTGAGGACACAACCAAACCACATCATTGTGAGAGATAGTTAACCAGTTTTATTATTCTGTATAAGGATATCTAGTTTTCCCAGCATCATTTATTGAAGGACTGTCTTTCCCTCAGCATATGTTCTTGGTATCATTGTCAAAAATGGTTTCACTGTAGGTGTGTGGATTTGTGTCTGTTTCATTGGTTTAAGTGTCTGGTCTGAGTTCCAGCACCATACTATTTTAGTTACTATAGTTCTGTATTATAATTTGACATCAGATAATGTGATTATTCCATTTTTGTTCATTTTCCTCAGCATACCTTTGGCTATCCTGGGTCTTTTGTGGCTTCATATACATTTTAGAATTAGTTTTTGCTAGTTCTGTGAAAAATGAATTTGTATTTTGATACAGGCTCTATTGCATCTGCAGATAGCTTTGGTAGTGCGTACATTTTAACAATATTGATTCTTCCAATCCATGAACATGGAATAATTTTCCATTTTATGGTGTCCTCCTTAATTTTTTATCAGTGTTTTATAGTTTTTGATATAGGAATCTTTCACTTCTTTGGTTAATTTCTAGGTATTTATGTGTGGCTGTTGTAAATGGGATTTCTTGTTTTGTTATTTTTTTTCACATTGTTAACTACTGGCATATAGAAATGTTACTCATTTTTTCTACATTGATTTTGTATCCTGTAACTTTACTGAATTTGTTTATCACTTCTAATAATAGTTTCCTTGTGGAGTCTTTAGATTTTTCCAAATACAAGATCATATAATCTGCAAATAAGGGCATTTTGACCCTTTCCTTTCAATTTGAATGCCCTTTATATCTTTCTCTTGTCTGATTGCTCTAGCTGGGACTTTCAGTACTATCTTAAATAACAATGGTGCCAGTGTACGTCCTTGTTGTGCTCCAGATCTTAGAGAAAACCCTTTCAGTTTTTACGCATTCAGTTTTTACGCATTCAGTATTATATTAGCCGTGGCACTGTCATAATGGATTTTATTATGCTGAGGTATATTCCTTAAATTTCCACCGTTTGAAGGTTTTTATTATGAAGATATGTTGAATTTTATCAAATGCTTTTTCCACATCAATTGAAATAATCATATAATTTTTTCCTTTATTCTGTTGATATGATGCATCGTATTGGTTGATTTGTATATGTTTAAACATCTTTGCATCCCAGGGATAAATCCCACCTGGTCATGATGAATAAACTTTCTTAGGTATTATTGAATTCAGTTTGCTAGTATTTCGTTAAGAAATTTTGCAACAATATTCATCAGAAATATCGCCCAGTGCTTTTCTTTAATTAATGTGTCTTTTTATAGTTTTGGTATCAGGGTAATACTGGCCTCATAGAATAAGTTTGGTCTTGCCCTCTATTTTTTAAAATAGTTTGAACAGAATTGATATGAGTTTTTCTTTATATTTTTGTTAGAATTCAGTAGTGAAACCATCAGGCCTTGGGCTTTTCTTTACTGTGAGACATTTCATTATGTATTTGATCTCATTATTTGTTAACGGACTGTTCAGGTTTTGGATTTCTTTCTGGTTAAATCTTGGTAAGTTGCATGTATCTAGCAATTTGTCCCTTTCTTTGAGATTTTCCAATTGTTTCCAATTTGTTTTAAGAATTCTTTTAACTTTCTTTTTTCATTGAACTGCTGGTCACTTAGGAGCATATTGTTTAAATTTCATGTATTGGCATAGTTTCAAAAATTTCTCGTTATAAATTTCTAGTTTTATTCCATTGTTGCCAGAGAAGATGCTTGATATTATTTCAATTATTTGAATATTTTAAGACTTGCTTTGTGACCTAACATATTGTTTATCCTTGAGAGTCATCCATGTGTTGAAGAAAAGCATGTGTATTCTGCAGCTGTTATGTAAAATGCCGTGTAAACATCTATTATATCCATTTGTTCTATAGTACAGATTAATCCTGATTTTTTTTTATTGATTTTCTGTCTAGAAGATCTGTCCAGTGCTGAAAGTGGGGGTGTCAAAGTCTCCAGCTATTATTGTACTGGAGCCTATCTCTTTCTTTAGCTCTAATAATATTTTCTGTGTATCGGGGTGTTCCCGTGTTGGGTGACTACATATTTAAAATTGTTATATCCTCTTACCAAATTGACCCCTTTATCATTATATAGTGACCTACTTTGTCTATTCTTATAGTTTTTGTCTTGATATCTATTTTTTTCTAATATAAGTATAGCAACTCCTGCTTTTTTGGGGTTTGCATTGGCATGGAATATAATTTTCCATTTTTTAATTTTCAGATTATGTGTGTCTATATAGGTGAAATGTACTCCATTTACACAACAGATAAATGGATCTTGTTTCTTCATCCATTTAGCCAGTCTATATCTTTTGATTAGAGTGTTTAGTCCATTTACATTAAATGTTATTATTGATAAGTAAAGACTTATTCCTGCCATTTTGTTATTTATTTTCTGGTTGTTTTGTGGTCTATCTTTTCTCCTTTTATTCTTTCCTGTCTTCCCCTAGTGAAGATGATTTCCTCTGATGATATAATTTAGTTTCTTGCTTTTTATTATTTATGTATTCATTGTATGTTTTTTGGTTTGAGGTTACCATGAAACTTGCAAATACTGTCTTATAGCCCATTATTTTAACCTAAAAACAACTTAATATTTGCATAGAGAAACAAACAACAAGCAAAACAATAACTAATACAAACTTGCCTTAACTTTTTCCTTCACCTTTTAAATTTTTGTATTTTCTATTTATATTTTATTGTACTATGTCTTGAAAAGTTGTTTTAGGTATTTTTGTTTGGTTCTTTATTTAGTCTTTCTACATATAATAAGAGTAGTTTACACACCACAGTTACAGTAGTTACAGCTTTACAATATTATATGTTTTTCTATGTAGTTGATACTACCAGTAACTTTTGTGCCATCAGATGATTATTTATTGCTCATTAATGTTTTTTATTCATTTAGTTGAAGTACTCTTCTGAGTATTTCTTGTAATATGGGTCTTGTATTGATTAAATTCTTCATCTTGTATTTGTCTGGGAAAATTATTATTTCTTTTTCATGTTTGAAGGTTATTTCACCAGATATACTATTCTAGGGGATACGTTTTTTCCTTCAGCATTTTAAATATGTCATGCCATTCTTTCCTGGCCTGTAAGGTTTCTACTGTAAAGCATACTTCCAGATGTATTGGAGCTCCAATGTATGTTATTTGTTGCTTTTCTCTGGCTGCTTTAAGACCCTTTTTTTCCTTGACCTTTAGGAGTTAGAGTATTAAAAGCTTTGAGATTAGTCTTCTTTGGGTTAAATCTGCTTGGGGTTGTATAACCTTCTTGTACTTGGATATTGATATATTTCTCTACATTTGAGATGTTGTATTTTATTATCACTTTGAATAAACTTGCTATCCCTATCCTTTTTCTACCTCCTCTTTAAGTCCAGTAGCTCTTATATTTACCCTTTTGAGGCTATTTTCTAGATCCTGTCGGTGTGCTTCATTGTTTCTTCATTTTTCTTTTTTCTCCTCTGAATGTGTATTTTCAAATAGCTTGTCTTCAAAGTCACTAATTTTTTCTTCTTCTTGATCAATTCTGCTATTAAAGACTCTGATGCACTCTTCATTATGTCAATTGCATTATTTAACTTCTCCAGAATTTATGCCTGATTCTTTGCAATTATTTTAGTCAGCTTTTTAAATTTATCTGATAGAATTCTGCATTTCTGCCCTCCGTTATGTTGAATTACTTTGAGTACTTTGTGTTCCCTCAAAACAGCTATTTTGAATTCTCTGTCTGAAAGGTCACATATTTCTATTTTCCCCAAATTCATTTCTGGTGCCTCATTTAGCTTATTTTGTGAGATCATATAGTCCTGAATAATCTGGATGCTTTTGGATGTTTATCTGTGTCTGGCTATTTAAGAGATAGGTATTTATTTTCATCTTCACACTCTGTGCTTAGTTGTACCCAACATTCTTGGGAAAGCTCTCAACATATTCAAAAATACTTGATTGTTGTAATCTTAGCTGCATGTGCATTAGGGGGAACCCCAAATCCAGTAAAGCTGTGGTTCTTGCAGACTTATTGAAGTACCACCTGAAGGTCTTAGATGAAATTCTTAAGAATTATCTGGATTATGAGGCAGAGACTCTTGTTCTCTTCCCTTATATTCTCCCAAATAAATGAAGTCTCTCTCTCTCTCTCTCTGTCTCTCCATTCTGAGCTACCTGGATCTGGTGGTGGGGTGTTACAAGCACCCCTATGGGCACCACAACTGAGACTGTGCTGGGTTAGACCCAAAGCCAACACAGCACTGGGTCTTGCCCAAGGCCTGCTATAACCATGACCTGGCTACGGCCTATGTTCACTCAAGGCTCTACAATCAGCAGCTGGTGAAGCCACCAGACTTGTATTCTTATCTTCAGGGCAGTGAATTTCCCAATGCCATGGTGGTTCCAGAGATGACATCTGGAAACCAGGGACTATAGTTAAAAAAAAACAAAAACAAAAAACCAAAAAAAAAACCTTAGAAATCTACATGGTGTTCTGTTGCAGAGTGGCTGAGTTGGCACTCAACCCATGAGATACAGTTCTTTTCTCTCTTCCCTCCCCTTTCCACAGGCAGAGGAGCCTCGCCCCATATCTATCCCCACCACAGGCCTATGGGGATTACTGCCAGGATACCACCAATATTCGCTTTAAGCCCAAGGGCTCTTCAGCAAGATTGAGGTGAATGTTGCCTGGCCTATGACTCACCTTTCAGGGAAGTGGGCTCCTCTCTGGCCCAGAGCAGGCTTTGTGATGCCATCCAAGAGGCAAGTCCTGAAATCAGGGATCCAAAGGCCTCACTTGGTGTGCTATCCCTTTGTGGCCTAGCTGAAATCTAAGGTGTGAGACAAAATTTTCTTTACTTTCCCCTATGTTTTTTTTCAAGCAGATGAAGTCTCTTCCAATAGCCACTATAGCTGGGAATGTGCTGTAGCAGAAGCAAGGAATCACCAGAAGTAAAAGTCTCAAAGTCTTACCCAAGGACCATGGCATGTACCACCTGGGTATCACTGCTTGTTATTCAGTGCCCATGAACTCTTTAGTCAGCAGGTGATGGGCCCTTCCCTTCAAGGCAGTGGGTTTCCTTTTGGCCCAGGGTGTGTGTAGAAATGTTGTCTAGGATCTGTCACCTGAAAATGGGACCTCACAACACTGACTGGTTCCCTATTTTACTGTTGCTTAGCTGGTATTCAAGAGGCAAGAAAAAGTCCTCTTACCCTTCTCTCTCCTCAAGCAAAATAAAGGGGTTTCTTTTGAGGTCATGAGCTGCACTTCATGAGTTGGGCATGGATGACACAACTACTCTGTTAGCAACCCCAGCTGGTATCTCAGTAGGTCACTCGCTCCCCAAATCTACTGGCTCTGAGCCTAGTTCAGCACTAGGACTCACCTAGGACTTGCAGTCCTTATGGCCTAGACTGTCCTTCAAATTCACATAGGGCCCCAGAGCAGCTTAGCTCGAGGTGGTGAGGCTTGTCAAATTTCAAGTGTCAACTACTTCAAGTGGAAAATTACTCTCAGAGTAGGGTTGGTTTAAATATTCCAGCCATGTTTTGGCATCAGCTGAGTTCAGTTGGGTTTTGCTTTCTGCTCTGACAAGGCAGCACTGAGTTCAAAGCAGTGTCTCACAATTGCTGCACTCTCACTCTCCCAAGCACAGAGATTCTGTCTCTGCACCATGCAGCTGTTGTTGTAGGATGGGAGGGTGGTGACATTTGTGATTCAGCACTTCTTTTCTAACCTTCTTAGTGCCTCTTTTAGTGATATGAAGTTAAAACCAGGTACTTTATGTGCTCACCTGTTTTGTGGTTCTTACGAAGGTGCTTCTTTTTGTGTGTAGATAGTTGTTAAATTTGCATCCTTGTTGGAGGGATGATCAGTGGAGCCTTCTTTTTGGCCATGTTGCTCTGCCTTTCTCCAAACCTTTTTTCTTTATAAATTACTCAAGCCTCAGGTGTTTCTTTATGGCAATACTATGCAGACTAAGACAAAATAATCCACATTTATTACACTATTTAATTTCTTTTCTGTTTACTTTACTAAAATTATTACAGGTGTTTTTTTAATGGTTTTACCCTTTTATATACCCTTCAGCAAATTTCTCTAGTATTTTATTGAATGCAAGATTGATCTCTAAGAGTATGTGATTTTTTTATACCTCTTTCTTCTTATATTGCATCTCACAACTGCTCAAATCAGTAATCCTTCTGACAAACTTTGCCGTAAAATGTATGTATTCTCAATTGCAACAATAAAACATACGCTTTGGAAAGTATTTGGCAACACACTGAGAAGGGTTTTCACAAACATGACTAGTTAAGAGTCTATGTCTTATGGAATTCAACATAGTCTTTTCATTGTAGAGGTCCTGTGTTTACTAAGGTATCTAAGAGCACCAAATGTGCTATTTTCCATTTTGTGTGCCTGGTCAGTCATAGAAGTATAACCATGTTAAAAAGATTAGAAACATTGGAATGTCTCTGAGAGTACTTGAGGATAAACCATAAATAGAAGGCTTTTTACCTGGATACAGTTACCTAGATAATCCCAGGGAAAAGAGCTCATTGTAAATTCATAGAAAAAATGTAGTTTTATGTAACTATGCTTGTCAGCACACTAATTTCTCTTGTCAAATTCAGCAAGATTGCCCCTTATAGCATGCTGTAGTTACCTGGCATTAGTATGCCTATGATTTGAAAAATTATTTTCCCTGAATATTTTTCCTGGCTTACTCAAATGAAAGACTTGTGAGTGAAGTAACAAATTATTAATAATACATGCCATAAAGTAAAACATATTCTTTTTCAGATCTCGATTTATTAATCAAGAATAAATGAATGCATCTGAATTATTTTAAAAAAACCTAAAATTATACAGATTGTACTCAAATTGAGTATTTTCAATATTCTATTCAAAATATAATGAAAGGCATCACTCTTCACATTAACCTATACATTTATGAGGAAGCAGTCAGGTTCTCATATGAAATATTTAACATTGTATCTTGTATGAATTAAAATGAAAAGTATGTCTTATATATTAGAAATTTTGCATCAAGTTCAGACTGGAGAGTCAGCTGCTTTGGCCTTATAAGATAGACCTCAAGGGGTCAGATTCCAAAGCTTGTCATTCTCTACTACCTCAGCCAAGCTTCAATCAGTGTTGCTATAATTATGTGATAGCATTCCATATTAAGTACTATTTATTACCTCTTGTTGATTCTCAATGACTGCTTGACAACTGGCCTTCTTTAAGTGTTACACATAAAAAATTGAGATTTTGATTTAATCTATAATGCTTATGAGAGCGTACCAGGCTTGTGCCATGCTAAATTAGGGTGTAAAAATCTAGGGTTAGAGGTAACCCACTTTTATAATGTCCAGTATTTATTTTGCTCTAGACCCTCAGTCTATAAAAATGTATATTCCAAATGCATCTTAATTGAGTTTGTACTGTTATTGGTTAATTACTTAATTTGTTTTAGTTTCAAAATTAGTTGAATCCCACTATACCAAAGATAAAGACAAAATTGGGATTATAAACTTCTTGTTTTATAGTAAAATAATGGGTTGCTGTGGAGATTAAATTATTTGGGGCATGCAAATCATAGTGCTTTACAAACAGTAATGGTGGCTGGTGCACTTCTAAATATAATTCGCTCATCTACATTTATACAAAACTGTTCTGCCTTGCTTTAAAAGTTCTACCATAGGTGCCTTAAAATACATGCTTATACTGTTTCTTCCAGGATAGAAAACCCATTTCTGTAAGGGTTCTATGTCTGTTGTCTTACTTTTTTTTTTCCAAATTTGTAAACAATTCTTCCTTTCACAACCAGTTCTGAAACCCACAAAAGTCTTACAATGTCATTCAAGATGAGAAAATATCTTGGAATGGACAGGCTCACTTCTATACTTGAAGAAGTTGTTGGAGTACCTGTAGGCAGAGTCTTCCACTACTCTGACTGATAGACAAGTTTGCACTCCATCATGTATGTTCTAAGTACTCAGCCTCTCTAGAGGTTTTCAATCCCAATTATTACTTTTTCTACTAGATAAGAGAGTTTTTGAGAGAGACACTGGGTTGACGACAGGGAATTGATTGAAAGTATGAATATTAATGAGTAAATTTCCCATTCAATCTATCCTAAAAAATAAGTACTGCCTCCACATCTGGAAGTGCTAGCTTCCAAATATGATACATTGTTCCAGTTAAAGAAAACTGAGCTATCTTAGAGTGAAATTTTCTGAGTTCTTGCATTTGAACATTCATCAACATAATGACCAAATCTCTAATCAAAGGTCTCCCTAAGCTTACATGTAAGCAAGCTCGATTGACTTATACAGAGCTTCTTAACAGTTTTTAGTTCCTCATTCTTAACTATGAACATATATTCTGACTTTTGAGAAAAATTGGAATACAAAATGTCAATAAAACAACAACAATAATATGAATCATTGATGGAAAATTTCTGGAGATGTCAATAGGATTCTCACTGAACAGTTATCAGAGTACTGATCAGTTCATGCTTGGGAGGAAACTACTCAAGGCAAAAGAACTGCCCAATAATATGAATAAAACAATTTATCCAACCCAAAGAAAGTAACAGATATTTGATTTTTTGTCTAAAAACAAACAATAACTTGAAAAATATATGAAAATAACACTTTTCAAAACATTGGAGCTCAGGCAATGCATGACAATAATTCCCCAGGTTACCACCTTCTGAGAGTTTCCCAGATGCAGCTCAGAGACAGGGAAGCCAGGGGAAGCCCAGCAGACTCTCACAGTTGAGGAGATATGCCTGTAAGTCCAGAGAGAGCAAGGTGGCTACAGTTTACAAGGTAGAGTAACTTAGAGGAAAGGCCTACACAGAGAAAACACTTAGAAAATCACAATAGGATCATCACTGAGTATTCATCAGAGTACTGTGAAGTTGATGCGTGGGAGAAAACTACTCAAGACAAAAGAATTGCTCAAAGGAATTAGAGGATAGAATACTTGGAGCTCAGACAAGGCCTAGAACAATGCCTATTCTTACCAGCTGCACAGGTCAATGTCATAATTCACGGAGCATTAGGTAAAGTGTTTTTTTTGTTTGTTTGTTTTTTAGACAGAGTTTCGCTCTTGTCACCCAGGCTGGAGTGCAATGGCACGATCTTGGCTCACTGCAACCTCCACCTCCCGGGTTCAAGTGGTTCTTCTGCCTCAGCCTCCCAAGTAGCTGGGATTACAGGCGCCCGTCACCATGCCAGACTAATTTTTTTGTATTTTTAGTAGAGAAGGGGTTTCACCATGTTGGCCAGGCTGGTCTTGAACTCCTGAACTCAAGTGATCCACCCGCCTCGGCCTCCCAAAGTGCTGGGATTACAGGCGTGAGCCACTGCGCCTGGTCAGGTAAAGTATTTTTAGAAGTCTTTCCTTTGGATTAGAGATAATAAGCCTTGCATAAAATGTTGTTTAGGTCCCACCTAACAAACCTTAAAAAGCATGGATAAAGCTGTTTATGAAATAAAACTGCATCCCAGAATAAAGCTTGAGAAGAATTATAGAATAGAAAAATCACCACCACATCAAGCAAGTGGAAGGATTGAATATTATGTAGAGACAAGAAAAATATTCAAAAAGACACAAATCAAATCTGAAAAATTAAAGAATACAATGTCTCAGATGATATTCTGGATGAATGGCAGATCAGACATTACAGAAGAAAAGATAATTGAACTTAAAGTCTTATCAGCAACTATCATAAATGAAACTGGAAAAAAAGGAATAAAAAATGTGAACTGGGAGAAAACTTTAACCTAGGAAACATGTTAAGTGGACCCCCAAAGTTGGAGAGTGGGGACAGAGAGAACATTTGAAGAAAAATATTTGAAATATGGTCATGACAAGCCATATGTTTCTGTCAAGAACTGTAAAGGGTCTGAAATTTTACTCAAACTTGTTAGGTGAGCACAATTTTGGGCCAGCTGAATGGGAAGAAGACTTGAGACTCCTGGATCAGCAACCAAGAACAGTTTATTATTCACAACAACAACAGTAGTTAGAGTGTCACCATTTTTTGCACTGCTTTCTTGAGCCCCAGTTCTCACAGGGTGATGCAATAGAAAGCCAGTTAATATCTCCTCTTACAGGAGAGAAATCTTGAGTTTATGAAACTAACACCTTTTATAATGGGTTCTCTATATGTCTTCCTTTTGCTCCGGAGGGAAACAGTCTCAATCTTTCAAGGCTGTTCTCTACACACATCCTTGAAATGTTAGTTTGGAAAAAGGGACACTTAGTACCTCATTCACAAGACATGCAGAAACTCAAAAGGTAGTACCTCATTCACAAGACATGCAGAAACTCAAAAGATCTATTGAAAATTATCTCCCAAAATTACTATCTAAATTTAATAAAATTTGAAAAGTCAGTTCCTTAGGTGCATGAATCACCTTTTAAGAGTTCAATAGTCACATATGGCTAGAAACTGTCATATTGACAGTGAAGATATGGAACATTTCCATTACTGAAGAAAATACTATCATATAGAATGGTTGTACATCATATAATAGCAATAATAAGGTGTAATAATAATAGTAGCCCTATAAATTATGGGTTATTATCTGCACTTTACAGATGAAGAAACTATGCCTTAAGAAAGTAAAGCAACTTACTAAGTTAATATGTCTAGCAGGTGTCAGAGTTTGGACTGCATTAAACTAATTTCTTATACTGCTTTCTATAATGCCTGTGGCAGATTGTATGTTCAAGTAATGACTGCAACAATATTTATGATCCCACATGCTCTTCTAGATCCTTGCTACTATCCTGTCAAGAAGTGGAGCCTAGGGCTGGGCGCGGTGGCTCACACCTCTAATCCCAGCACTTTGGGAGGTTGAGGCGGGTGGATCATGAGGTCAGGAGTTCGAGGCCAGCCTGCCCAGCATAGTGAAACCCCGTCTCTACTAAAAATACAAAAACTTAGCTGGTGGTGCGCACTTGTAATTCCAGCTACTCAGGAGGCTGAGGCAGGAGAATCACTTGAACCCAGGAGGCAGAGGTTACAGTGTCCTTGAACTTGGGTGGGCCTTTGTTACTGCCCCAATGGAAGTGATATTACATACAGTGTAAATGATGATATGTAAGGTTAACTGTATCCTTGAAAAGATGTCATATCTTTAACAAGATGATAGAGCTTCTACATGGCTCCCTTTTGGGACAATAGCTCCTGGAAGTCAGTTGCCAGGCTATGAGGAATCCCAGGTCACATATTTATATCTTTTAGCTGAGGCCATTATTGAGTTCCCAGGCAGCAGCCAGAATTAACTCATACACATGAATTACGAAGCCTTCTAAATGTCTCCAGCCCCAGTCACCTTTGGATTTTAGCCCGGGAGATCCACAAAAATAATTATCGACCTGATCTAATCCTAACTTATATTTCAAATCATAAATAGTAATAATAAAAATAAGTTTGTTTCATGTTATTAAGCTTGGGATGATTCCTTATGCAGCAATAAATCATTGAAACAATGTATCTTCAAACCAATTATTTAAAAACCTTTTTTTCAGCCAATGAATCAATATTTGTTTGCTTTATTCACTGGTGCATTCAACAAATGAATATATACGTGGGTAATTTCTTGTATAGCCTGTGTCACATTTTGTAGAACTAGAATTAAAAAGAAAAAGTCAATTTATGGCTTATATGAAAAAATATACATATTTAAAAAAGAAATTTTATCTAAGCAAAATTGTTTCTCAAGTAGCTCTGTACATTTTTTATGTATTGTCATATTTGGGTTTCATACCCTAGACTTCTGTCTTTCATTTATTTATTCTGGTTGATAGGTAAGTTGCCTTATCTGCATTATTTCTAAAGATGTGAAAAATTATTATGATTTTTAAATGTTAAAGTAAACATACCTCATACTTTTCACTAAAATGCAAAATATTGTAATAAAATAAATGACAAATTTTTCAAAGAAACATGAAGCATAGTCAATAAAACATACAACTTTATTAAATCTCTATGTTCTAGAATCAATTTTTGCATTGACGTATATTCATAAGACACCTAGAAAATACCTTGTTAATTTTCATAGATTTAAACATTTCACAGGTTTAATTTTAGTAAGCTGACAATTTTCTAGAGGATATTTTTATTTGCAAATACAAATTATTTACAGTTAAACTTTGAAATTGGATATTCTTTCCAACTTGATCAATTCTTAAAGAACTGAGAAAAGTCTCAAAATAAAATGGGTTAGAAATAGTTTATATGTTATTGCTTTAAAATCATTTCAAGTAGTTATAATGCACTTTCACAGAAACATCATTTTGCCTGAAGCATACAGGAGGGACACGGAATCAGGAACGAACAGAATGGAGGCCCCTGGAGCTATGTTTATAGATCCTTGCTCATTTATTGTGCAATTTATTCACTATAGCTTAAGGGACAAGCAAGCATTCATCACCCACTGCTCCCATCATTTTCAAGGCTGTTCAGTAGATAACACAAATGCTAAGCAAACAAGTCTTTTGATCCATTTCAATCTACTTCTGATTTTTCTTTTAGGTAACAAAAGTTTATTGATTTGACTCTATCTATGTGTTTCTATCTCTATGTCTACATCTAAAATTTTTCCATCTGTGTCTCTATTTACACATAAAATTGGAAAAAACACCACCCTTGGAGTATTCTCTGAACAGGGACAGAAAGTAAAATTGTTTGGTACAAAAGGGATTCCCATCTAAGAGTTTAATATGTGTGGAGTCTTAAATAGACAAAGGAGTTAGGCTGGTGAGAGATGGGAAAAACAAAAAGAAAAAAACAGATAAGCTCTAAGTACGCCTTTCTTCACGGTTCAGGTCATATAGACCTCCTGTGCAAACAACTGACAATCTTCCTGAGCCCAACTATCATTAGACACCTACAAGTTAGGTCACCGCAACCTTAGCATTTTTAGTACTGCACAAAGCCCTCTTCAGCAGACAGCATAAACACTATTTTATAAAATTTCCACCGAGCCTTTGTTTCCCGGCAGTCAGTTTCTGCTGGCCTTCCCATTGCCTCCTTGCAAACTATTTTCCTAATAATTTTTCTAATAAATCTGCCTTTCTTTACCTACAACTGTCTTGGCAAATTCTTCTATCCCCATGCCACCGGCCCAGATAGTTGTCGTTCACCTGTAATATTTTGGTGGCCCATTAGGGGACTTTCTTTTCACGGGGAACTCTCTCCCCTGTCTCTTTCCCTTTCCCAACTTGGGACCCTCAGCAGACAGCGTCTAAGCATGAGCCAATTGCAGGTCACTGATTGGAGCTACACACAGGTGGGACCAAAAGGTGTCTATGTGGAAGTGTCTGACCACCATCACCCGTTTTGGTCAAAGGACCTGAGTTTACTTATTTTTTTCTGTCTTCAGCAGCCAGTTTCTTGCATCCCTCTGGCAATTAAACCTGTTTTCCTTATATATTACCCAGTCTCAGGTATTTCTTTACAGCAGCATGAGAACGGACTAATACAGTAAGATGATACAGCAGAGAGTGGGATACTGCTATAAAGGGACTGAAAAATGTGGAAGTAACTTTGGAACTGGGTAACAGGCAGAGGTTGGAAGAGTTTGGAGGGCTCAGAAGAAGACAGGGAGATGTGGGAAAATTTGGAACTTCCTAGAGACTTGTTGAATGGTTTTGATCAAAATGCTGATAGTGATATGGACAATGAAGTCCAGGCTGAGGTGGTTTCAGATGGAGATGAGGAACTTGTTGGAAACTGGAATAAAGGTGACTCTTGCTATGCTTTATCAAAGAGACTGGTGGCATTTTTTTGCCTCTGCCTTAGAGATCTGTGGAACTTTGAACTTGAGAGAGATGATTTAGGGTATCTAACAGAAGACATTTTTAAGTGGCAAAGTGTTCAAGAGGAAGCTGAGCATAAAAGTTTGGAAAATTTGTAGCCTGACCATGCAATAGAAAAGAAAAATCCATTTTTATGGGGAGAAATTCAAGCAGGCCACAGAATTTGTATAAGTAACGAGAAGCTGAACATTATTTCCCAAGCTAATGGGAAAAATGTCTCCAGGGCGTGTCAGAGACCTCCATGCCAGCCCTCTCCCATCAAAGGCCCAGAGGCCTAGGAGGAATACATGGTTTCATGGGCCTGGCCCAGTGCCCCCCTGCTCTATGCAGCCTTGAGACATGGTGCCCTGCGTATCAGCTGCTTCAGCTTCAGGTGATTGTAATTACCTGAGGCCTCCCCAGCCATGCTGAACTCTGAGTCAAAAAACCTCTTTTCTTTATAAGTTACCCAGTCTCTGGTATGTCTTTATTAGCAGTGTGACAACAGACTAATACAGAGGGCTCTGATTGTCTCACAGCTGTATGTAGTAGAGGATCTTCACTTAGTGCCTGAGTGGCTTTGACTCTGGAGAGGCGGACCCATGGAGAGACACCTCGGAGATTTACAGCCATTGGGGTGGTAGGAAGAACTCGATATGGCCCAGTCCAGATGGATTCTAAAGGCCTTTCCTCCTATGCGAGAGTTTTAAGATACACCCAGTCCTCAGGCATCAGTTTAGGCTGTGTGTTCTCTGGAAAAGAGGGATTGGGTTTTAGACTATGAAGATTTTGGTAATGGTTAATGGTTTTGATGGTTTGTCCTAAGAGATATCACATGCTGTGTGAAATAATGACTTTCTGGATCTAACAAGAGGTCTGTTTGTAAGAAGGGCCTTCCATAAAGAACTTCAAATGGGCTGAGATGGGTTTCTGAATTTGGGGTAATGCAAGACCTTAAGAGGGCAATAGGGAGCACAGCGGGCCGTGACTGTTCAGTTTCCTGTATTAGCTTTGTGAGATGCCTTTTTATGGTTTGATTAGCTTTTTCTACTTTTCCAGAGGATTGTGGATACCAGAATGCAAGCAAGTTGTATTTCATTTGAAGGGCCTTAGCAACTTCTTGTTTTGAGAAATGAAGGCAGGGCCATTGTCTTACGGAATGAGTAAGGGAGCCCAACACAGGGAAGAATGTGGTCCAAAAGGGCCGTGGTGGCTTCTAATGCCTGTTCAGTTTTGGTGGGAAAGGCCTCTATCCCCCCAAGTATCTACAAAGACTAGCAAGTATTTAAGTTCCTTGCATTGGAGGCATGTGTGTAAAATCTAGCTGCCAATCTTCTCCTGGTAGGGTCCCTCATCTTCGAATGGAGTAGAGGAGAGGAGGAGATTTGTGGGTCCCTTCAGGATTCATTTTCGCAGCATGTGGCACAAGCCTGCAAGATGGCTCACTGAAGATTGGGTTATTCCTTTACCAATAAACAGTGGACTTACTAAGTTTTGGAGGGCTTTGGCCCCCACATTAGTTGATTTGTGTTAAGCTTTTTAAATGTTTCCATTGTGAAGCTCCTGGAACGAAAGTCTGCCGTTAGAGCTTTTTAGCCAGCTTTCTGAGGTATGAGAGAAGCCTTTCACTAGAGCCCTTTGGGTTTCTTTCTGTGAATAGCGTGAGACAGGAGAGTGGGGTTAGGAACCAAAACTGCCTGAAGGGGCAGCCTGGCAGCTGCTTTTGCTTAGTCATCAGCTCACTTGTTCCCAATTGAGATTTCATCACTGCTTCCCTGATGGGCTCTGCAGTGAATGATAGCTACCTGTGCAAAAAGCAAAATTGTCTCTAACAGAATCATGATTACAGGAGCATGTCTAATCGGAGAAGTTTGGTCTGTTGAGAGTTTCCTTTTTCACCAAATGGCTGCATGGGCATGTACTACATGAATGCATAGGCTGAGTCTGTGTAAATATTAAATCTCATGCCTGGTCCTAATTGTAAGGCTTGAGTAAGGGCAATAAGTTCTGCCTTCTGGGCTGAGGTGGTGCTGCCTGGTACGGGCCTTGATTCTATAACTTCAGTAAGGCTAACAATTGCATACCCTGATAACTGGCTACCTTCCAACATGAAACTACTGCTGTCTGTGAACCAAGTGGCCTCTAGATTGGTAAGGGGGGTGTCTTGGAGGTCTGTTCTGGTGCTACAAGTTAAATCAATAGTTTGTAAGCAGGAGTGTTTAAGTGGTCCATCTGCATTTGGAGATGGTAACAGGGTGGCAGGATTAAGAAACTGACGTGGCTTAATGTTTAATTATGGTGTTTGCAGTACTGATTGATATCTGCTAATTCCACTATTAGAGACCCAGTGAAAGGGCTTTGAGGTTAAAATATTTGTTACATTGTGTGGTGTATATATTATTATTTCTTGGCCCAGAGTTAGCTTGGAGACCCCCCTCAACTAATAGGGTCACAGATGCTAGTGCATGGAGGAATGGAGGCCAGCCCTGTGCCAACCAATCAGGGTTCTCTGATAACTGATTGGTCATTGGAAGGGATCCAATGGCTGGGTTAGGACCATTTTCAGGGTACAGCCCTACTCCTGGCTGCTTTCATGGGCTGGCATTGAGTGTCTGCAGCTTTTCCAGGCACATGGTGCAAGTTGTTGGTGGATCTATCATTCCGGGGTCTGGAGAACAGTGGCCCTCTTCTCAGAGCTCCACTAGGCAGTGTCCCAGTGGGTACTCTGTGTAGGGGCTTCTACCCCACATTTTCCTTTTATACTAACGTGGCAGAGGTTCTCCATGAGGGCTCTGGCCCTGCAGCAAACTTCTGCCTGAATATCCAGGCCTTTCCATACGTACTCTGAAATCTAGGCAGAGGTTTCTTAACCTCAATTCTTGACTTGTATGCACCCACAGGCCCAACACCATGTGAAAGCTGCCAAGGGTTGGGTCTTACACTCTCTGAAGCAATGGCCTGAGCTGTCTGTTGGCCCCTTATAGCCATGCCTGGAGTGGCTGGGATGTAGGGCACCAAGTCCCAAGGCTGCATACAGTAGTGGGTCCCTGGACCTGGCCCAGGAAACCACTTTTCCTTCCTAGGCCTTGGAGTCTGTGATGGCAGGGGCTGTTGTGATGGTCTCTGACATGCCCTGGAGACATTTACCCCATTGTCTTGGTGATTAACATCCAGCTCCTCATTACTTATGCAAATTTCTGCAGTGGGCTTGAATTTCTCTTCAGAAAATGGGATTTTCTTTCCTATCCCATGATCAGGCTGCAAATTTTCCAAACTTTTATTCTCTGCTTCCTCTTGAATCCTTTGCTGCTTAGAAATTTCTTTGGCCAGATACCCTAAATCATGTCTCACAAATTCAATGTTCCACAGATCTCTGGGGCAGGAGCAAAATGCCACCAGTCTCTTTGCATAGCAACAGTGACCTTTACTCCAGTTCCCAACAAGTTTCCCATCTCGCTCTAAAACCACCTCAGCCTGGACTTTATTGTCCATATTATTATCAGCATTTTGATCAAAGCCATTTATCAAGTCTCTAGGAAGTTCTAAACTTTCCCACATCTTCCTGTCTTCTTCTGAGACCTCCAAATTGTTTCAACCTCTGCCTGTTTCCCAGTTCCGAAGTTGCTTCCACATTTTTGGATATCTTTATAGGAGCACTCCACTCCTGGTACCAATTTCCTGTATTAGTCCATTCTCATGCTGCTAACAAAGACATATCTGATAGTGGGTAATTTATAAAGAAAAGAGGTTTAACTGACTCACCATTCTGCATTCGGCCTCAGGAAACTTACAATTATGGTGGAAGGGGAAGCAAACACATCCTTCTTCACATGGTGGCAGGGAGAAGAAGACTGAGTGCCCAGTGCAGGGGGAAGCCCCTTATAAAACCATCAGATCTCCTGAGAGCAGGATGGGAGAAACCGCCTGCATGATTCATTTGTCTTCACCTGGTCCCACCCATGATATATGGGGATTTGGGGAACTATAATTCAAAATGGGATTTGGGGAACTATAATTCAAAATGAGATTTGGGTGAGGACACAGACAAATCAGCCTCTATCTATTGTTTAGACAAACTCAGACTCTGAGTTGGATTCAGGTAATACTAACCCTAATTTTCAACTCTAGCTTCAAGGAGTTTCTTTTTCCTTACTCCCTTAACTTTCCTTAAAAATCAATGAAATCTACTTTTTTCCTGGCTTCTTTACTTAATTACAGCTGTAAACTGCATCCTGGTCATTACTTTCATTGTTCTGCACTTCAACTGCCTTTTTACATCTGGATGCAATAATATTCTCCTTTCTCCTTGAACTTCACTCTTTAAGAATAAGCATGCCAATGACTCAACCACCATAACATAGTCTGGCTACTGTAGCTAACAATTAAAGCTATTACTGAGTCCTCTGAAATTTCTGGTGGGGATCCCAGATAGTTAATCTATTTATTAAATTAGCAAACAGATACTCATCAAGGCAGTTTGCACTCTATCAAGCACATAAAAACATGCAAGCGCTGGTGGACTCAAGGCAGTAATACCAACTTTGAGATTTGGGTTTATCTAATCAGCCATATAATTTAATGTCACAAAATCAATACCACATACTATAGGAAAAATAGCATAAAATTTTCAGTAAAAACTTCCTTCACTTGGATTTTCTGAAGAGATAACCAATTAGAACAATTTCTAAAAACCAGATGCCTAAACAATATTTTATCCTTGATGACCTTGTTTGTAACTGTGCTTTCTAAATTACCAATCACCAAAGGAAGGAGGCATGAACTTCAAGGTTATAATTTACAGAGATCCCAAAAACATCATTTAATACCAGGGCTTCCTGCTTTCCCAAGAAATCTAGAATATTTTGATCTCTCTTGAAGTTGACGGAAATTAGCCCAATGGCTTTTTAAAACTTTATTCTTAGAGCTAACTCTTTTTACTCAATTCTATTACAGGCTCACAGTAATTATCCAACTGCTTCACTTAAACAGCTTCATCCTCTTGACATTAATACTATTATAAGGGAAGTAGGATATGGTTGCTATTTGCAGGGGGATTTCCAAGATTACCACCCAGATAAAATTTCTTTATATTTGTCCTAGTAATCTCATATACCTCCATGCCACAACCACAATATACCAAGGTACTAGGTGTTTGTTTGTTTTTCTTATACTCTGTACAGTCCTTCTCCTTTCCTGTCTCCCTGAATTCACTATATATTGTCACCTTTAACATGTCAGGCTTCATCCTAGTTACTTGGATATCTCTCCAATTAGCATTAACACTTACAATGAACCTTACTCTGCCAAGTCTTGTGGATTACACTGTACTTGAAGGGACTCACAAGCTATTAAGGAAACAACATTCTCTGTGTGCCAAGGATTGTTGGTTTTGTTTACTATTAGTCCCTGAAAGGTATGATTCCACATTCCCTATTTATGCTCAGAATTTCATCCCTTTTAACACCACCTTGTATCCCAAATTCCTGTTTTCCCACTCCCACAGGACCCTAAAAAGCATACATAAGGCATGGTAGCTTCATTCTCTGCCTATTTAAGTCAATACACAACCAAGCTAAAAACATAAACCCTCTCAAAGGACTGGTTCCCTGACCCAAGAGAAAATCCCCTGTTGTAGGCCCCCTTTTTAAACAAGTCCAATTCAAACATTAAGCTTTTTTTTTTAAGCAACAGAAAACAAACATTACTTCAACCCTGTTGGTAATGTTCCTAAACCCCTTTGCAACTACACTGTAACTATAAATTGTACCAATAGAAAATATGTATCAGGGGAAAATATAATTTGGTACCAGTTAGAATATCAGGCCTAGCCAACCTCAATGCCCCAAATCTCCAAACTATAAACTATCACTTCTGTACAGTGAGGCCCTCTCCAGACACTTGTCCTGATGTAACTCCATGGCAAAATGGCAAGGTTATGAATTCCCCTAACAATTGCCTACAAATTCTCATGTTCAGCAACCCCAAATCTCAGATTTTTCTAGACTCTCAATGCTTTCAGTTATTCTGGGAAAACAAAATCCACCCAAATGCAAACTATAATATCCAAGCCTTACAGCCTCTTACAACTGCTACTCTAGCTACCTCATACTTGTTCTTCAGGTCAGAAGGCCAAAACACACTTCGTTTCTTCACTCTAAGTTTAATATCTTGCCTTAAATCTGAGGAAGCATTCTTCCTCCATAAACAAATGCATGTATTTGTCTTCCAGCCAACTGAACTAGAACTTGTACACTAGTTTACTTAGCCCTAGACATCCAAATTGCTCCTTCCAATCAATTCCTTCCAATCCCACTTTATAGTTCTAGCAGAGAAAACTGAGCAATCCATCTGATTGCCCTGTTCATTGGCCTAGGGATTGCCATTGGGTTAAGCATGGGAATAATAGGTATGAGCCTCACAGCCCATACTTATTATACCCTCTCAATGGAACACCCCACCAAGCTCAAACATATCTCGGACACCCAGGAAGTCCTCCAAAATCAGGCCAACTTCATAGCACAAATTGTTCTCCAAAATGGCTGTGGCATAAATCTGCTTACAGGAGCCCAATGGGGTATTTGTTTAGTCCTTGAATAGGAATGTTGTGTTTATGTTAATCAGTCGGGAATAGTGCAGAACCATGTCCAAAAAAAAAAAAAAAAAAAAAAAACCATGTCAAGCTGCTGAAATAGAAAAAAAAAAAAAAAGCATCACAAGAATAGTCTTCATGGATATCTACTTTGGGATGGTTCTCCTGGTTCCTCTCCTTTTTGGGGCCACAAACAGGTATTTTATTCTTCCTTCTTTTCAGTCCTTGTATCTTCAACTTACTTGTCAAATTTTCTAGATCTTGTGGGCATGCTTCAATCTCTTTATTCTTTTTTCTTTAGTCTCCTTTGTGTACTTTCAAATAGCCTGTCTTCAAGCTCATTAATTCTTTCTTTGCTTGATCCGTTCTGCTAAGAGATTCTGATGCATTCTTCAGTATGTCAATTCCATCTTTCAACTCCATAATTTCTGTTTGATTTTTTAAATTTATTTCAATGTCTTTGTTAAATTTATCTGATATTATTCTAAATTTCTTCTCTTTGTTATTATGAATGAGTTTCTTAAAAACAGCTATTTTGATTTCTGTGTCTGAAACAACACGTGCATCCATTTCTCTGGCATTGTTTCCTGGTGCTTTATTTAGTTTATTTTGTGAACTTATTGTTTCCCGGATAGCCTTGATGCCTGTGGGTGTTAACTGTTGTCTGTGCATCGAGTAGTTATGTGTCCGAAATTGGTGGGTTCTTGGTCTCACTGACTTCAAGAATGAAGCCGCAGACCCTCGTGGTGAGTGTTACAGTTCTTAAAGATGTGTGTCCGGAGTTTGTTCCTTCTGATGTTCGGACGTGTTCGGAGTTTATTCCTTCTGGTGGGTTCGTGGTCTCGCTGGATTCAGGAGTGAAGCTGCGGACCTTCGCGGTGAGGGTTACAGCTCTTAAGGTGGCACGTCTGGAGTTGTTCGTTCCTCCTGTCCGGAGTTGTTCATTCCTCCCGGTGGGTTTGTGGTCTCGCTGGCCTCAGGAGTGAAGCTGCAGACCTTCATGGTGAGTGTTATAGCTCATAAAGGCAGCGTGGACCCAAAGAGTGAGCAACAGCAAGATTTATTGCAAAGAGCGAAAGAACAAAGCTTCCACAATGTGGAAGGGGACCCAAGTGGATAGCCACTGCTGGATCCAGCAGCCTGCTTTTATTCTCTTATGTGGCCCCACCCACAACCTGCTGATTGGTCAATTTTACAGAGAGCTGATTGGTCCATTTTGACAGGGTGCTGATTGGTGTGTTTACAATCCCTGAGCTAGACACAGCGTGCTGATTGGTGTGTTTACAATCCCTGAGCTAGACACAGCGTGCTGATTGGTGCATTTACAATCCTTTAGCTAGACATAAAAGTTTTCCAAGTCCCCACTAGATTATCTAGACACAGAGCACTGACTGGTACGTTTACAAACCTTGAGCTAGACACAGAGTGCTGATTGGTGTATTTACAATCCTTTAGCTAGACATAAAAGTTCTCCATGCCCCCACCCGACTCAGGAGCCCAGCTGGCTTCGCCTAGTGGATCCCGCACCAGGGCCACGGGTGGAGCTGCCCGCCATTCCCATGCCATGCACCTGCATTCCTCAGCCCTTGGGTGGTTGATGGGACTGGGTGCTGCAGAGCAGGGGGGTGGTGCCCATCAGGGAGGCTCGGGCCGTGGGGCAGCCCACCATGGGGGGGCTCGGGCATGGCGGGCTGCAGGTCCTGAGCCATGCCCCGCGGGGAGATGGCTGAGGCCCGGCGAGAATTCAAGTGCAGCGTGGATGGGCCGGCAGTGCTGGGGAACCCGGTGCCCCTCCACAGCTGCTGGCCCGGGTGCTAAGCCCCTCACTGCCTGGAGCAGCAGCACTGGCTGGCCACTCTGAGTGTGGGGCCCACCGAGCCCACGCTCACCCAGAACTCACGCTGGCCCGCAAGTGTCGCTCCCAGTTTCCCGCCCGTGCCTCTCCCTCCACACCTCCCCGCAAGCAGAGGGAGCCAGCTCCAGCCTCTGCCAGCCCAGAGAGGGGCTCCCACAGTACAGAGGCAGGCTGAAGGGCTCCTCAAGCATGGCCAGAGTGGATGCCGAGGCCAAGGAGGCGCTGAGAGCGAGCGAGGGCCGTCAGCACATTGTCACCTCTCAGTTAGGTATTTACTGTAGTATTCTCAGTATGTGCTTGTTTGTGCCGTCCCTCTTGGGAAGGGTTTCAAGACATTCAAACAGACTTGAATGTTGTAATCTAAACCATATGTACATTAAGGGGAACACCAAATTCAGTAATGCTGTGGTTCTTACAGATTCATGGAGGTACCACTTCTTGGACTAGGATATAATCTGGAAGAATTCTCTGGACTTCTCGAGAGAATCTTGTTTATTTTCCTTTCTTACTTTCAAACAAATGGAATCTCTCTTTCTATATGTTGAGCCACCTGTAGCTGGGTGTGGGGTGACACAAGCACCCCCATGGCCACCACCACTGGGACTGTTCTGGGTCAGACCTGAAGCCAGCACAGCACTGGGTTTTAGCAAAGACCTGTTGTAACTACTACCTGCTTACCACCTATGTTCATTCAAGGTCCTGAGGCTTTAAAATTAGCAGCTGCTGAAGCCAGCCAGACTTGTGTCTTTCCTTTCAGGGAAAACAGTGAGTTCTTCTAGGCCCTGGGCAGGTCCAGAGATGCTGTCTCAGAGCCAGGGACTGGAGCCAAAAACTTAGGAATCTACCTGGTACTCTGTTCTACTGTGGCTAAACTAGCACTCAAACCACAAGACAAAGTCCTTCCGACTCTCCTCTCCCCTTTCCATAGTTAGAGGAGTCTCACCCCATGGCCACCATTACCACAGACCCTTGGAGAGTACTGTCAGGTTACCGTTGATGTTTCCATAAATTCCAAGAGTTCCTCAGTCATCTTGTGGTGAATTCTGCCAGGCCTGGGACTGGCCTTTTGGGGCAGTGGGCTCCCCTGTGGCCCAGAGCATGTATGGAAAGACCATTCAAGAGCCAATGCTTTGAATCAGGGATCCCAAGCTCCCTCTTGGTGCTCTTCTACGCTATGATCTAGCTGGTATCTAAAATGCAAGATAAATTCCCCTTTACTTTTCCCTCTGCTTTTCTCAAGCAGGAGTCTATCCTCATAGCCACCAGAGCTGTGAATGTGCTGGGTCTCACCAGAAGCTTGCACACCTCAGAGTTTCACCCAAGGCCCATGGTGTGTAAAATTTGGATCTTGCTGCTGGTTATTCAGGAACAAAGACCCTTTGGTCAGCAGGTGATGAATAGTGCCAGGACTTGGTTCTTCCCTTCAAGGAAGCAGGTTTTCTTCTGCTCCAGTGTGTTTCTAGAAATGTCCAGGATCTAGGGCCTGGAATGGGAGCCTCACTACTCTGCCCAGTGCTATATCAGACTGTGGCTGAGCTGGTATTCAAGTTGCAAGACAAAGTCTTCTTTACTCTTTCCTCTCCTCTCCTCAAGGAGAAGGAAGGCATCATTTTCATTGCTGCAAGCTGAACTGTGAGGAATTTGTAGAGGGGTAGCACAAGCACTCTCTTAGCCACCCTGGTTATGTCTCACTAGGTCATGTGCCACCTAAGCCCGCTATCTCCAAGTCCAGCTCAGCACTAGGGCTTGCCTAGAAATTACAGTCCTTGTGACCTAAACTGCCTTTTAAGTTTATTTAAGACCCCAGAGAAATTTTAGGCCATGGTGTCAAGGCTTGCTGAAACTCAAGTTCCTATCACTAGGATGGGTGAATCTAATCTCCTCTGCCTAGGGCTGGTCTAAATGCTCCCTCCATGGGTAGTTGTCAGCTGAGTTTAGCACAGTTTTGCTTTTCTGTGTGACAGGGAAGCACTGAATTCAATGCAATTTCTTACAGTTGTTGCACTTTGCCTTCCCCAAGTGAAGCGGATTCTCATGGCCACACAGCCACGGCCAGAGTATTCGGGAGGGGTAGCATCAAAAATTAAGACTCTCTTTCCTACCGCCTTTAGTACCTCTTTCAGTGATACGAAGTTAACACTATGTACTGTGATTGCTTACCTGATTTTTGGTTCTTATGAACGTCCTTTTTTTTGTGTAGATAATTATTAAATTTGGTGTTCCTGTGGAGGGTAAAATTGGTGGAGGTTTCTATTTAGCCTCCTTGTTCTGCCCCTTTGCTAGATGTTTATTTTCATGTATAAGAGCAAAGTTAAGCCTGCCAGTTTTGCTATTGTACAGGCACATCTTTATAGAAAAAAATGTTGCGGAAGCTTTCTTTATGTGTATCATCTTCTAGCCTATGATAAACCAGAAGTAAAAGCTACCTTCCACAGCTTATTTTCCTGTTTGCAAAAAGGAAAGGCAGTGGCTAGTGCATTTCGAGGTTAAATAAAACAATTCATAGTGTTGATTGGTGTTTATATAGTAACCTAAGAAAGATTAATTACAAAGAAAAATAAACAAAGAAATAAATAATAGTTAATTGTTTAATGTATACCTAACTTATCACTCTTCATTGACCTACAACTAATAATTATTATTTAAAACAAACAAAATAGATTTTTAAAACCTGCTGCTTTATATGACTTTCATTTATCTAAAAACACATGGTTTACACAGTAACACTGAGATTCAATCTTTGATAAATCACCGACTAAGGAAGAAAAACTTCTGATTCTTCATGTTTTACTTTGCATATAAATTGCCTCTTGAATATTTCCACATAAATCAGAATTATAATTTACAACCCAGAATAAAATGGACTAAATATATTTACTTATTCTTTCTCTGACAGAAAAGCTGCCTAAACAGAAACACCATTGAAGAAAAAAGAGATTGCAGTCTTCTCTGTTTCTGCCATGTTGAAGCTTGGATACATTGCTTTTGTGTCTTCTGTAGAAGAAATCATTTGATTTGTTTATTTCTTTTCTCTGCAATATGTGAAAAGTAAATGTTGGTGGTGTCTAGTTTATTTTAAAAAAAATAGTGCATTCCTCAATGCAGTTGGAAGGGCTAAGATTTAAATAACATTGAAAATTATAACTGAAATAAAGCAGAATTCCTGACTTTTCTATTGTTCAGTAAGTTCTATTGATTTCCTCTGTGATATCTTTGGCAGGCAGAGTCTCCCTTCATTATTCTAAATTTGGTGAAATAAAAATTGTATTAGTTTTTAATAAAATTATGTATCTGGGTACAGAATTTCTTTGGGTAGGAACTGTCAACAGTGTCTCTACATCTCTATGTATCTATGTATCTATGTATCTATCTATATCTATGTCTATATCTATCTGTCTATCTATCTATATCTCCCCTATTAATTTTCTTTTTCTAGAGAACTCTAATTAATATAGTGATGCATTTTGGACTGTGCTATAAAAAATATTAGGGGGCAGCCCATAGTGTAGCTCTATTTGTTGCCACTCTGGTTCTACTCAAGAAACTATTAGACTTCCTTCTCCCTTCATGTGGACTAACAGATGTTTTACACTTCCAGTTTATACATAAGTCTTACTTATTTGAAGTTTTCATTCAACTAAATGATTCCACTGATTACTTTCTATTTATAATAAATCTGTTAATCACTAGAGGGAACACAGACACAAGTAAGATCATCTAGAGTCTCAAAATGCTCAGATACTAGCTGGGATGAAGTTGGAGGTGGATCTATAAGGTGGGAGTGGAAGGAAGGCTGATAAGTAAAAAAATGTAAAAATAAAAAATCCGGATGGAGACAAGTGGCACGTAAAAATGTTCAAAATGATATGGAAACAAATGAAGACATGATTGCATCTAATTAGAGGGATCAAAAGTGCTTTCATTAAAGAGGTGGTGAGATACTATTGCAGAATTTTGACATGTGACATTCAGGGTGGGGATATAAGACATTCTAAAAGGATGGAGTTAAATATACATGGACAAAGCAAAACATGAGGCAGAAAGCACCCAGTATGTCTGTGGTGTGATGCTTTGTAGAGAATCTAGCAGATTAGACAATTAAAAGCCTGAAAATATAGTTTGAAACAAAATGAGAAGAGTCTTGAATAGAAAATTGAGGAATTCTGAGTTAATTTTATAATTAGCTGTGGAGAAATGAATGTGTTTGAGTAGGTCAATACTTACTGAAAGGAAATTATGCTGATAGCAGGGTGGTATAATTTATAAGTTGGGAGGCAGAAGACATGGAGATCAGTTAAAAACCTCTTACAATAGCACATGACTGAGTCAATCAAGCCTGAATTTGAGTGGTGGCAGAGGAAACGGAGAAGAATAAAGAGTTTTTTTGTGGAAACTAAAATCAATACAATTCAACAACTGTTTGGCTATAAGGAATAGTAGATAGGGTGGAATCAAAGATGATAAAGAGATCTCAAGCCTGGTTAGAGCTGTTAGAATAAACTAAGTATCAGGAAAATGAATTACCTTGAGCACAAAAATGAGGATTTCAATTTTCAAAATGTTGAATTTGTTGTGCTCATGAGGTAGAAATAATCAGTGAAGCAGTTGGATGTGTAGGTCTCCTGATCTAGAGAGATGTTAGGACAGAAGATAGAGATGTAAGAGTCATTTACATAGAGGTGATAGTTGAAGCTATGGATCTAGATATATTTTCTGATTAATAGATTCTAAAACAAAATGTGAATAAAATCTTAAGAAATATACAGAAGTAGTAGAATCCATATTGCGGGTAAGAGTCATCAGGACATATCTAGCAAACGTCTAAATAGCTCATGCGATGGGCACACAAAGTGTATTTGTGTGAGTAAAATTTGAGGAAACAGCTCGGATAGAGTTTGGCATGTCCATCAAACTGGTGAGCTCTTCCAATAGTAGTCTTCTGTCAGGGAGGCTTAAAAACCCTATGCTTGATCCAGTAACAATACTTAGTTAATTTAGGTAATAATAATCTAAGTAAAACATTGTGTCCTCAGTATGAATTTTGAGAAGTGGTAAAGTCTACTTGTTAAGAATATAGTTTCTAGAGCCAAAGTGTGTGGGTTTGAATTCCTGCCTGTCACTTACTAGCTGGGTTACTTTGAGCAAGTATCTTAACTTCTCTGCTTCTTAGTATCTTCATTATTATTATTATTATTATTATTATTATTATTATTATTATTAAGACAGGGTCTGGCTCTGTCACCCAAGATGGAGCGCAGTGGCGCTATCTCGGCTCACTCCAACCTCTGTCTTTGGGCTCAAACCATCCTCCTACCCCAGCCTCTCAAATAGCTGGGACTACAAGAGTGCACAACCATGCCCGGCTAATTTTTGAATTTTTGGTAGAGATGGGAATTCACCATGTTGACCAGGCTCGTCTTGAACTCCTGAGCCCAAGTGATCCACCCGCCTCGGCCTCTCAAAGTGCTGGGATTACAGGCGTGAACAACCACACCTGGCTGTCTTATTATCTTTAAATGTATAATTGGGAAAATAATACTACACCAGAAGTTAGTTGTAGTAATTTAAAAAGTTAAAATACAGTAAGTATATAAGACAGTTCTTGAGACTTGTTAAGTCCTTAACAAATGTTTGCCATTATTATGTTTAGTCTCCTCACCCTAATTCAGTTAGATTGTCTGAGACCTATGGAGAGATCTTTCAATGAATGTTCTTTAAGATATAGACACACAAGAATAATTCTTAGGAATTTCTACAACAAATGGTAAAAGAAATAAGGAGTTACTCTTCATCACACTGCCATGCAAACCTTTTTAGCTTTGGCAACTGAAAGATAACTGTTGTGCCTAGCAGATCAAGTAGAAAGACTACAATAACCAGAAAAGCAGGGGCATCGTATCAGTGGCAACAGTCTGTTCTATGGTACTGAAGTAATGCCTGCTGCAGTAGGCAGAGCGGCAACCATTAGAATTAGAGAACTACTGTACTTAGCTGAATGGCAGTGATTATTATGTAGCACCTAAGAGAATAATGCAGATACATTGGGAGTGGAGCACTCATAAGGTTTTCTAAAAAATTATCGGGGCACTCATTGTAGGGAGACTGGAGTAAACCTTGTCAGCAAATGTGATAACAAGATAGTGCAATTTGTGTTATATATATTTAGCAGGCTGACAGAGTAAGAGAAGCTGCAAAAGGATACAGAAGAGTCAGTCAGATAGAAATGAGGAGAATATAGTATTATAGAAGGCAAAGTAAGAGAAATTCCTGGAAGTATGGCATTATCAACAGGGTCAAATGCTGCAGAAATGTCAAGAAGAATGAATACCAACAAAGGTGATTGGATCCGGAAACCGGAAACTCATTTGTAGTATCTCATAAGGCAGTTTCAGTAGAGCAGTGGTGTAAAGAGACTGATTGTAATAAGCATAATTATAAACGGGTGGTGAGAAAGTGAAGAAAATTGGTGTGAAATCTTCTCTAGAGGAAATGTGGAACTATGAAAAATAGACAAGATAGTACGTTGAAGAGGTGATAGGAGTTTGTAAATGATTTTTTGGTTTAGGAAGAGCTGAGCCATGTTTGTAGACACAGAAGGAAAACCTGACACAGGGAGATTTTAAAAATTCAAGGAATAGGGGCCGGGCGCAGTGACTCACGCCCTTAATCCCAGCACCTTGGGGGGCCGAGGCAGGTGGATCACGAGGTCAGGAGTTCCAGACCAGTCTGGGGCCAATATGGTGAAACCCTGCCTCTACTAAAAATACAAAAATTAGCTGGCAATGGTGTCGCGCGCCTGTAGTCCCAGCTACTTGGGAGGCTGAGGCAGAAGAACCGCTTGAACCTGAGAGGCGGGGGTTGCAGTGAGCCGAGATCGCGTCACTGCACTCCAGTCTGGGCGACAGAGCGAGTCTCTGTCTCAAAAAAAAATAAAATAAATAAAAAATAAATAAAGGAATAGAAAGACTAATAAATAGAATATAATACCAAAGAGAGAGGCAGGTAAAAGCTTCATTATTTTATATGTATCTATTCTAGTGGAAAGGAACAGAGTCTCTCAATGACTAGTTCAAGTTATAAGCATAATGTAAGGAGACATATGCAGAAACATGTACTGAGACTCATAAAAAGCCCAAAAGACATTGGTCATATTTCACAGAGATAGGAATCATAGCATATTTCTGAGACTATATTATGGACTGTCAAAGACTATTCTAGAAATCTCTGCAGCAATTTAGAATGGATTTTCAATTTAATGTTCAATTATTAATTTAACTCAGGTACTCTTCTGGTTTTGATATTTTATTTGTATCTATTCATGTCATATTCTATGCATTGATTTTTTTACCCCATTCAATATATTTCTTATTTGAGCTGATATTAACCAGATTTACTATGCATAACTCACCATACCCCAATATCCCCAAATTTGTTTTTTTCACGAATTCATTTTGTGTGTAAGATTGATGTCCTACAAAATTAGCCCCAATTTACTCAAAATTTCCGTGTGCTTATCATTTTGACCCATGAACTTTATTATTTCTCATGGTCCTTCTTGCCTTTTTGCCCCTCTTTGTGCATAGTTTCAGTCTTACTTCCCCATATTAACTATCCCATTCTCTTTGGACTCCTAGTTTAAGTTCCTTAAAACATAATCTGATTGGACCAGTTTATCTATATTTAGCCAGAATTATTTATGTTTTGTCATCTCATGGGCTACTGATTAGTATAGGAAATGGCTTTTCTTGGTCAAGTGACCATTTGTAGTCTAATCTCCTGTTTTGGCGTACTGGTTGTAGAGAAGCATAAAGTGAAACATCATGTGGGAAGAACATAATCAAGAAAAAACCAGGGGTCACTTCCTCCAGCAGGAGTCTTGCTCGCAATCGTGCGTAGAATGAGCTTTGTCCTAGTAGGCATTATGCTTGGCTGATTGAAAACATCTGTGAATTAAATAAATTAACACAGAAAACCTAAATCTATTTCTGAAGTGATTTTGTCTTTTCCTCTTTATTTTCATCAATAGTGTCTTAGCTTACATATTATTTTCATCTCTTATTAGGACCTTTGCTAACTTGCCTAACTGTTTCTCATCTTTTCTTCATAATAACCTATTGTCCAAATTAATTTTTGAGTTTTATTTTAAAAAACACATAATAGATAACATAACTCTCCTATTCAATATATTTAATGTCAATGAAAGTTAGCATGTTGAAGTGCGATGTGTATTCTATTCACTTGACGTGTAGTTGTTTAAAAATGTTCTTCAAGTAATAGATTACTGTTATCATCCTCCTTTATACACAAGGATATTGATACTCAGAAAATTCAAATAATCTGAGCAGATGAATAAAGTTAGTAAGCGTTGCAACTGGAATGTAAACCAATATTTATTGATTCTGATACCAATTCAATATTTATTATTTTAAACTCTATCCTACACAACTTTCCATTGTCTGCAGAAAGAAGTTCAACATTCCTACAAATTCATACATAGTTCTTGACAATTTTCCCCAAGCCACATTTAGAGGCTCATTTTTTTCCTCTTTCTCTCATCATGTGGCTACCCTTCAATATAATCATACTAAACTTCTTGCAGTTTCATAAATACACCACTTTAAAAATATATCTCCTGTTTATTCCAAACATCCTAGGCTGGAAATGTTCAAATGACAAAATTCAAAGTTATTTGTAGTGTGATATTTTTAGTACTACAGTAACTGGAAATATATATCTCCAGATATTCCTTGCAACTACGGTTATGTCGGCTGTACGTAGACAGAATTCTAGCTGCTCTCTCTGGCCCCAAGATTTCATTCTTGGTTACTGAATCAAATATTAATCTAGGTATGGTTGCAAAGGCATTGTATAGGTGTAATTTAAGTCTTAAGTTAATGGACATTAATATATGGTGATTATCTGAGTGAACACGACCCAATCAAGTGAGCCCCTCCTTTCTTTTAAAATATTTATTTGACAAAGATTGTATGCATTAGAAGTGTACAACATGATGTTTTGATATATGCATATATTTTGCAATAATTGTTGCAATCAAATAAATTAATACATCTATCAACACAGATAGGATCCATTAGGTTCCCAGAACATGATAGTCTTATAACTGGAAGTTTATACACTTTGACCATCCTTCATTCCCTCCAAACCCCAGCTCTTAGCACCCACCATTCTGCCCTCTGTTTCTGTAAGTTTGACTTTTTTAGATTCCACATGTATGTGAGATTATACAATATTTTTCTTTATGTGTCTAGCTTATTTTGGCTAGCATAAAGCAAAACATTTTGTTTAAATGTAGAAAAGAATATCGAAAGGCTTTGAAGCAGGAGAAAGATTTAATGGACTCACATTTCTGGCTTTGAAGAGGAGCAGGACCGTGTGCAAGGACTAGAGAGTGGCTTCTAGGATTTAAGAGTGACCCCTGACTGACAGCCATTAAGGAAATGTGGACCTATGTCTTACAACCTCATGAAGCTAAATTTTGCCAACAACCTGAATGAGCTAGAATTACATAGGTTTCCAAACCATCCAAACCTGAACTCAGACTGACATTTTGATGCCAGCCTTGTAATATGCTGAGCAGAGAAATCAACTATGACATGACAGATTTCTGAACTACATAAATGCGGGCTAAAAAGTGAATGTTGTTTTAAACCGTAGTAACTTGTTATGTAGTAATAGAAAGCTATCATAGAGTCAAATTAAGTTTTACTAATAAGTTGCAGTTACGTAAGATTTGAGGGCTGAAATAAGGCATAGACCTTCCAAAATAACTTTTGCCATTTTCTGGCTGGCAAACAATGTATGTGAAGATTCTGTTGTTCAATTTCCAGTTTTAGCAATGAAAGTGGCAGTTACAGCAATAATAATGGACTAACATTTTTTAATCTGTTTATAAGCATCATGAGTGTTGAGAAAAATACAGGCTATCATGGTGGCTAGATTTCACATCTCATTTCCTAGACAGTCATGTTCCCAGACAGGACAAGGTTTGGCTGCTTGTTCTTGTGGTCCAATAACAAGACGCAGACAGACTGGGAAAGAAGGGAGTTTATTTCTGCAACTGGCTACAGACAGAAGGTTGGAGTAACTCACCAGACCAACTAAAAGTTACAAGGTTTTTCTTCAGTGCTCATATAAATTCAGACCATATGCCTATGTGTGAGAGTGCACCTGCAAGCCAAAGTGTTTCACCCTGTTTAATCTTTAACTAGGGGCTGGGATCTGAAAAATTACTTTAGAGCTTTGGAAGAATTACTTAATCTAAAGTGGATCCTGGTACAAGGTGTACAAAGTGTGTAAGAACTTTTCCATTATTTCAATCAAACTCTAAGTTCTGAGGAAGCCCAGGTGGGGTGTTAAATGCCTTGTTTTACATTCTAGCCTTTGTTCTAAGGTGCTAGTTTCTCCAGTTCTTTAGTGTTTAACTTACACTTTTATCAGAGTAACTGAAGGGTGTTGGTGAAGGCTGACCTCTCTGGTTCCTCATGGCGACCCGGCCTACCACAGTTGTAGTAATTATAGTAGTAGTCATAGCTTCCTAAACATTCTTTCTAATCCCTGGATCATGGCTTCAATAAGATTACATTAAAGCTCATGTTTTAGGGCCAAGCTTTCTGATTCCTTACCTTTGTGATTATGATGAAGGTAGTAGTGATTCTGACATATTTTCTTAGGAGTAGTAGGTATTGTTTCTGGAGGTACAGCCTTAATCTTTACTCTCTAATTCTTGCAGTAACCTCATAAATACTAAATTTATTATGTTCAATTTCTTTTTTTTAAGTGACTTCTATTACCTAAACTGAGCCCTGATTGATACTACAGTGCTTGATACTAGAAGTAATTATAGGCAATAAAACTTCAAAATTGGTAATCTAGTATTGGTTATCTGGCCTTGGCATGTATAAAGCTATGACAATCCTGTTACTATTGGAAAATGTATCACTGTTAGTTCATAGGACACAGTGGCAAATAGTTACGGTTTTACTGATAACTGTAATGAATAGCAATTGTGATAGACTGTTATTTTTGGAATGAATAATCTAGGTTTGAGGGTTAGATGTTTGTTTCTGACCGTAGTAGAGAGTTTAATGAAAGAAAATGCTGACTTCAGGCTTATAAAGTTTTGGCTTAGGATTTCTACCTTAAGTGCAGTGAACCTGCACTGGCTTATGGCAGAGATAATGAAACAGAAATCTCAGTGACCATACACAACAAGGAATACAAACTTCGCAAAAATAGTTTGGAAAAATCACTGAACAAATGTATAATGGCATCTCTCAGCAAGCAAAAATATGCAATCCCTTAGGAATAAGAAAATATGATTTCCAGAATTGCCAAATTATGATATTCAAAATGTACAGTTCCAAACAACAGCAACAATAATAAAATTACAAAGCATACCAAAAAAAAAAAAAAAGAAAAATGAAACACATAGCCCACTCACAGGAAAAAAATTGACAAAAACCATCTCTGAGGAAGCCCAAACATTTGCATTTATAGTAAAATACGTTAAATAAAATGTCTGAAATATGCTCAAAGAGCAAAAGGAAAGCATAGAAAATGAATTTAAGGTATTTGGAAGAACGATGTCTGAACAAACAGCAAACGTCAGAAAAGAGATAGAAAGAGCTTTCAGACAGTGGAACCTATGAAGGTTCCTGGAGGGTGGTGTATTAGTCCATTCTCACACTGATATAAAGACGTACCTGAGGCTGGGTAATTTATTTAGAAAACAGGTTTAATTGGCTCATGTTTCTGTGGTCTGTACAGGCTTCTGTTCCTGGGGAGGCCTCAGAAAGCTTATAATCATGGTGGAAGGTGAAGGGGAAGCAGGCATTGTTTTCACATGGCCAGAGCAGGAGACAGAGAGAGAGAAGGGGGAGGTGCTACACACTTTTGAATAACCAGATCTCATGAGAACTCTATCATGAGACAGCACTAGGTGGATGGTGCTAAACCCATAGAAATCAACCCCATAATCCAATGACCTGCCACCAGGCCCCAACTCCAACACTGGGGATCGCAATTCAACATGAGATTTGAGTGGGGACACAGAACCAAATTATCAGATGGCACACCTGGTGAGGGCATGAAAGCTTTGTACTCCTTTCCATATGCTTTGCCATATGCATCTTTTTATAAGATGCTAGCCACAGAGGTGAGCTGGCTTGGGTAGAATAAGGTTCCAACTGAGCCAGATAATTTCAGGTCATGACCGCCACACTTGGCCACATTTGTCCTGTTGGTTGAACCCAGTGGGCCTCTCTGCCATGGCCAATCTTTTGGGATATCCTTTATAATAAGATGGAAGATATAAGTAAATGTTTCCCTGGGTTCTGTAAGCTGATCTAGCAAATTGATCGAACCAAAGGAGGGGGTTACGGGATCTCTGATTTATAACCAGTTGGTAAGATGTACAGGTAAAACAACCTGGAGCTTGCAATTGGCATGTGGAGGGGGAATACAGTCGTGGGGATTGAGACCTCAGCTTGTGGGATCTGAGACTATATTCAAGTAGACATTGTCAGAATAGAACGGAATTAGAGGAAACCTAGCTGATGTGAACTGTAGAAGTGATTGCTAGCTTGTTGGTGGAGAGAAATCCCCACACATTTTGTCACAGAAGTCTTCTGTGTTGATTGTTGTTGATGAGAGAATAGAAACTGCACTTTGAGTTTGTGTGTGAGTTTTTTCTACTCTCAACTGAGTCAGTGAAATGGGGTTTACTAGAAGAGTCCTGGCTCACAGAAACAGATGGTTTGGGACGAGAAAGAATAAAAGGGTGGTGATAAGGAATCTTTGATTCCTTAGGGGACATGTGGTCACCATGGTTTGGAGCCATGGATGTGCTGCAATTAGTTACTAAAGGTAAAATTTACCAGTGGAATTCAGAGATGAACCTAGCTCCCATGGACTTGGTTCTGTAAACCAAAAATAAAATAATAAGGTTCCCCCAACCATATACATGAATTACTCTCTTTGGCCAAGGGAATTCCAAAGTTAACCTGAGAAACTTGTTCAGGCCATGATGGTAAGGTGAAGCCAGACATGACTCATTACACCCTCCTCCCTTTTGGAACTACTGATAGAACAGATTCTTTAAGTCTAATAAGAGATATTTACAATCTATTCTGTCTGAAGCCTGCTACCTGGAGGCTTCATCTGCATGATAAAACCTTTGTCTCTAAAACCCCTTATCATAACCCAGACATTCCTTTCTATCAATAATCGCTCTTCCAACCAATTGCCAGTCAGAAAATCTTTGAGTCCGCCTATGACTTGAAAGCCCTCCACTTCCAGTTGTCCCCCCTTTCTGGACCAAACCAACGTACATCCTAAATGTATTGATTGATAACTTATTTCTCCATAAAATGTGTAAGACCAATTTATGGCCAGACCACCCTTGGACACATGTTCTCAGGACCTCCTGAGGGCTGTGTCACAGGCCTTTGGTTACTCATATTTGGCTCAGAATAAATCTCCTCAGAGATTTTACAAATATTAAATTTTTTCACAACAGTTCACTAGATGCATTAAAAAATACAACCTATTAGTTAAAAAAAAAAAAAGCAAAACATTCAAGCCCTTGGTTGTTATCTGTGAAAGCTGAAATGAAACTAAAAGAGAGTACTGAGTAAGACCTTTATTCTATCACAAGCACAGATTTCAGTGAGTCTGAGCTTTAGCCACTAGCCTCTAAGCTGATGCCCAAGGTAAAAATTATGCAGGGACAACAGACAGTACTTCTAAGACCTGTGGTTACTAAGAAGGTAGTCAATGTGGGGGAAGGGAAAAACCAAGTAATGATTGGAACCAGTGGGTATAGTGTGAAAAAAAATTGTTTCATTTTGTAAATCTGTATCATCAAATTTCTGAGAAGCCTTTACTAAAATGGATTGTGAGAGTGTAACTGGCCAGTGGGTTTTTCTTGTCTGTTGCCCAGAGTGAGCAAATTTATCAAGACAGGGAAATGCCAATAGAGAAAGAGTTTAACTCACGCAGAGCTGGCCGAACAGGAGACTGGAGTGTTATTATTACTCAAATCAGTCTCCCTGAAAGTTCAGAGACTGAGTTTATTTTAAGAATAACTTGGGGGGTAGCGGAGAGTAAGTGGGGAGTGCTGATTTGTTGGGTCAGAGATAAAGTCATAGGGAATCAAGGCTGTCTTCTCGTGCTGAGTCAGATTCTGGATTGTGGCCACAAGACCAGATGAGCCAGTTTATTGATCTGGGTTGTGCCAGCTGACCTATTGAGGACAGGGTCTGCAAAATATCTCAAGCACTGATCTTGGGTTTTACAATAGTGATGTTATCTCCAGGAGCAATTTTGGGAGGTTCCTCATCTTGCAGCCAGAAGCTGCATGACTTCTCAACCATAATTTCTAATTGTGTAGCTAATTTGCTAGCCCTGCAAAGCAGTCTAGTCCCCAGCCAGGAAGGGAGTTTGTTTTGGAAAATAAGCTGTTATCATCTTTGTTTGAAAGTTAAACTATAGACTCAGTTTTCCCAAAGTTAGTTCAGCCTATGCCCAGCCCAGGAATGGACAAGGACAGCTTAGAGACAACAAGCAAGATGGAGTCAGTTAGGTCAGATCTCTTTCACTGTCATAATTTTCTCAGTTATAATTTTTTCAAAGGCAGTTTCACTGGGGACCTAAAGCTTTTTTACACAAGAGGGGATAAAATGATCTGGGGGTGGAGAAGAGAAGTTCCTAGGACTAGAATATAAAAATGTAAAGGTTGATATAATTATAAAGGTTGGAATGCCTTAACAGGTTTTATGTAAAGAAGTCGTGTCTCCTTTAGCTAAACATTTTATGAAACTGGATATTATATCTGAGTGGGGAACACTTTTCCTACCTAATATCATAAAACAAAAACCAATTGATAAAGTTCTAATGGAGGTTACAGGTGGGAAAGTAAGAGTTGATAAAATGAAAAGTTTATAGGCGAGTTTGTACATGTGAACATGATTTATATGAAGTGGTAATGTCTCCTTTACTTGATTGTATAATGAGCATGGACATTGTATCTGAATGGGAAATCTCCTACCCAGTTGTGTAAAATAGAAGAAATATAAATATGCCAATTTAGCAATATTAATTGGACATCATGTTAAACAGAAATCAGCAAGATTTTCTGAGCCCACACAATGTAGAATAGAAGCTGGAGTTCTGGTAGGAATAAACTCTCCCTTTAATAGCCCTCTGTGCAGTGAGAGAAAAGAAAAATAGCTCAGAGCAATCTGAACTGTGTGAGGTATGCAGAACCAAGAGAAAATGAGTACAGGATTTTAGTCATCTCCCTCTGCTCACACTTATGCCTGGAGAAAATTTTTAAAAGTCATTTTGTTTCTGAATAGCTGTCTCACCCATTATTTTTATGTTCCTGGAATTCGTGATAAAAAGAACAATGTATAGCTGATCAATAGCTTATGTAATTTTAATGTAAATTCCGGGGAAACAACTCAGAAACTGACTCTTCTTTTCTTTACAAATCCACCTGTAACTGCTGCCAATTGAAGTTGTCCTGCCATATTCAGGACAATATGAATCTATGCTCTCAGGGTGCAAATTCTCAATTTTGGACCCAATAAAATCTCTACTTTTGTTAATTTTGCCCCAGCTTCTTCCATTTAGGTCAACAAGTGTTAGCAGAGGTAGAGCTTATGGCAAAAGCGGGTGAGTGCCTCTCTGTGATGATTACCTGGAAGTTTGGATTAAAATCTTTTTACTTGCAGGACATTTGGTGCTTTACTATGGGACATTAAGTGAAGCTACCCTTTATGACTGAAATGAAGCTCCCCTTCATTTTATAAACCTCGAATACCAAACTATCTTGGGTGATATCAGAGAAATACTCTAACATAGTAGCAGTGGCCAGAAGAGTTTCATAATAAAACTGAAATTGTTTATACAGAATCTTGCTACCTGGGGAATCCAAAAAGAAGATACTCTTGAGCAGGAAACCTCTTTTTCCCTAGAAATGACTAAGAAACTCTGTCCAAAGCTGCTGGATTCTATCAAAAGTTTGAAAGTGCCCTATAAACAACCCTCTTCTGACTAACAAAGAGCTGCTTGGGATGTAAATGACAATTCTGAGGTAAACAGCTGACATCCTATTTGGAAGGATGCCAGTCTGATTAAAGAAGGTAATGCCCACTTGCTCACTGCTAGCGCAGCAGTCTGAGATCGACCTGCTAGGCAGCAGCCTGGCAGGGAAGGGGCGTCCGCCATGGCTGAGGCTTGAGTAGATAAACAAATGAGACTTGAGTAGGTAAACAAAGCCTCTGGAGAAGCTCAAACTGGACGGACCCCACCTCTGGGGACAGGGCATAGCTAAACACAAGGCAGCAAAAACATCTGCAGACTTAAACGTCCCCGTCTGATAGCTCTGAAAAGAGTTGGGGTTCTCCCAGCATGGTATTTGAGTTCTGAGAATGGACAGACTGCCTCCTCAAGTGGGTCCCTCACGCCCAAGTAGCCTAACTGGGAGACACCTCCCAGTAGGGACCGACTGACAACTCATACAAGCCGGTGCCCTTCTGGGACAAAGCTTCTAGAGGAAGGATCAGCCAGCAATATTTGCTGTTCTGCAGCCTCCACTGGTGATACCCAGGCAAACAGTGTCTGGAGTGGACCTCCAGCAAACTCCAACAGACCTGCAGCTGAGCGACCTGACTGTTACAAGGAAAACTAACAAACAGAAGGGAATAGCATAAACATCAACAAAAAGGACATCCACACCAAAACCCCATCTATAGGTCACCAGCATCATCATCAAAGTCCAAAGGTAGATAAATCCACAAAGATTGGGAGAAACCAGAGCAGAAAAGCTGAAAATTCTAAAAACCACAGCGCCTCTTCTCCTCCAAAGGATCGCAGCTCCTCACCAGCAATGGAACAAACCTGGATGGAGAATGACTTCAACAAGCTGACAAAAGTAGGCTTCAGAAGGTCAGTAATAACAAACTTCTCCGAGCTAAAGGAGGATGTTTGAAACCATTGCAAGGAAGCTAAAAACCTTGAAAAAAGATTGGACGAATGGTTACCTAGAATAAACAGTATAGAGAAGACCTTAAATGACCTGATGGAGCTGAAAACCATGGCATGAGAACTATGTGACACAGGCACAAGCTTCAGTAGCCGATTCGATCAAGTGGAAGAAAGCGTATCAGTGATTGAAGATCAAATGAATGAAATGAAGCGAGAAGAGAAGTTTAGAGAAAAAAAGGGTAAAAATAAACGAGCAAAGCCTCCAAGACATATGGGACTATGTGAAAAGACCAAATCTATGTTTGATTGGTGTACCTGAAGTAACGGGCAGAATGGAACCAAGTTAGAAAACACTCCTCAGAATATTATCCAGGAGAACTTCCCCAGTCTAGCAATGCAGGCCAACATTCAAGTTCAGGAAATACAGAGAACACCACAAAGATACTCCTCGTGAAGAGCAAACCCAAGACACATAATTGTTAGATTCACCAAGGTTGAAATGAAGGAAAAAATGTTAAGGGCAGCCAGAGAGAAAGGTGGGGTCACCCACAAAGGGAAGCCCATCAGACCAACAGCGGATCTCTTGGCACAAACTCTACAAGCCAGAAGATAGTGGGGGGCCAATATTCAACATTCTTAAAGAAAAGAATTTTCAACACAGAATTTCATATCCAGCCAAACTAAGCTTCATAAATGAAGGAGAAATAAAATCCTTTACAGAAAAGCAAAGGCTGAGAGATTTTGTCACCACCAGGCCTGCCTTACAAGAGCTCCTGAAAGAAGCAATAAACATGGAAAGTAACAACCAGTACCAGCCACTGCAAAAACATACCAAATTGTAAAGACCATTGATGCTAGGAAGAAACTGCATTAACTAATGGGCAAAATAACCAGCTAACATCATAATGACAGGATCAAATTCACACATAACCATATTAATCTTAAATGTAAATGGGCTAAATGCCCCAATTAAAAGACACAGACTGGCAAATTGGGTAAAGAGTCAAGACCCATCACTGTGCTGTATTCAGGAGACCCATCTCACATGCAGAGAAACACATAGGCTCAAAATAAAGGGATGGAGAAAGAGTTACCAAGCAAATGGAAAGCAAAAAAAAAAAAAAAAAAAAAAAAAAAAAAAAGCAGGGGATGCAATCCATCTCTGATAATATAGACTTTAAACCAACAAAGATCAAAAGAGACAAACAAGGCTATTACATAATGGTAAAGGGATCAATTCAACAAGAAGAGCTAACTATCCTAAATATAGATGCACCCAGTACAGGAGCACCCAGATTCATAAAGCAAGTCCTTAGAGACCTACAAAGAGACTTAGACTCCCACACAATAATAATGGGAGACTTTAACACCCCACTGGCAATATTAGACAGATCAACCAGACAGAAGGTTAACAAGGATATCCAGGACTTGAACTCAGCTCTGCACCAAGCGGACATAATAGACATCTACAGAACTCTCCACCCCAATCAACAGAATATACATTCTTCTCAGCACCACATTGCACTTATTCCAAAATTGACCACATAGTTGGAAGTAAAGCACTCCTCAGCAAATTAAAAGACCAGAAATCACAACAAACTGTCTCTCAGACCACAGTGCAATCAAATTAGAACTCAGGATTAAGAAACTCACTCAAAACCGCACAACTACATGGAAACTGATCAACTTGCTCCTGAAAGACTACAGGGTAAATAATGGGACACATTTAAAGCAGTGTGTAGAGGGAAATTTATAGCACTAAATGCCCACAAGAGAAAGCAGGAAAGGCCTAAAATCGACACCCTAATACTACAATTAAAAGAACTAGAGAAGCAAGAGCAAACAAATTCAAAAGCTAGCAGAAGGCAAGAAATAACTAAGATCAGAGCAAAACTGAAGGAGATAGAGATACAAAAAACTCTTCAAAAAAATCAATGTATCCAGAAGCTGTTTTTTTTAAAAGATCAACAAAATTGATAGACTTCTAGCAAGATTAATAAAGAAGAAAATAGAGAGGAATCAAATAGACACTATAAAAAATGATAAAGGAGTTATCACCACTGATCTCACAGAAATACAAACTACCATCAGGGAATACTATAAACACCTCTACACAAATAAACTAGAAAATCTAGAAGAAATGGATAAATTCATCGCCACATACACCCTCCCAAGACTAAACCAGGAAGAAGTTGAATCTCTGAATATACCAATAACAGGCTCTGAAATTGAGGCAATAATTAATAGCCTACCAATCAAAAAAAGTCCGGGACCAGACGGATTCACAGCTGAATTCTACCAGAGGTACAAAGAGGAGCTGATACCATTCCTTCTGAAACTATTCCAATCAATAGAGAAAGAGAGAATCCTCCCTAACTCATTTTATGAGGCCAGCATCATCCTGATACCAAAGCCTGGCAGAGACACAACAAAAAAAAGAGAATTTTAGACCAATATCCCTGATGAACATCGATGCGAAAATTTTCAATAAAATATTGGCAAACCAAATCCAGCAGCACATCAAAAAGCTTATCCACCATGATCAAGTGGGCTTCATCCCTGGGATGCAAGGCTGATTCAACATACACAAATCAATAGATGTAATCCATCACATAAACAGAACCAACGACAAAAACCACGATTATCTCAATAGCTGCAGAAAAGGCCTTTGACAAAATTCAACATCCCTTCATGCTAAAAAGTCTCAATAAACAAGGTATTGATGGGACATATCTCAAAATAATAAGAGCTATTTATGACAAACCAACAGCCAATATCATACTGAATGGGCAAAAACTGGAAGCATTCCCTTTGAAAACTGGCACAAGACAGGGATGCCCTCTCTCACCACTCCTATTCAACGTAGTGTTGGAAGCTCTGGCCAGGGCAATCAGGCAGGAGAAAGAAATAAAGGGCATTCAATTAGTTAAAGAGGAAGTCAAATTGTCCCTGTTTGCAGATGACATGACTGTATATTTAGAAAACCCCAGTGTCTCATCCCAAAATCTCCTTAGGCTGATAAGCAACCTCTGCAGAGTCTCAGGATACAAAATCAATGTGCAAAAATCACAAGCATTCCTATACACCAATAACAGACAAACAAAGGGCCAAATCATGAGTGAACTCCCATTCACAATTGCTACAAAGAGAATAAAATACCTAGGAATCCATCTTACAAGGGATGTGAAGGACCTCTTCAAGGAGACCTGCAGACCACTGCTTAATGAAATAAAAGAGGATACAAACAAATGGAAGAACATTCCATGCTCATGGATAGGAAGAATCAATATCGTGAAAATGGCCATACTGCCCAAGGTAATTTATAGATTCAATGCCATCCCCATCAAGCTATCAATGACTGTCTTCACACAACTGGAGAAAACTACTTTAAAGTTTGTATGGAACCAAAAAAGAGCCTGCATCGCCAAGACAATCCTAAGCAAAAAGAACAAAGCTGGAGGCATCACATTACCTGACTTCAAACTATAGTACAAGGCTACAGTAACCAAAACAGCATGGTATTGGTACCAAAACAGAGAGATAGACCAATGGAACAGAACAGAGGCCTCAGAAATAACACCACACATCTACAACCATCTGATCTTTGACAAACCTGACAAAAACAAGAAATGGGGAAAAGACTCCCTATTTAATAAATGGTGCTGGGAAAACTGGCTAGCCATATGCAGAAAGCTGAAACTGTATCCCTTCCTTACACCTTATACAAAACTTAATTCAAGATGTATTAAAGACTAAAATTTTAGACCTAAAACCATAAAAGCCTTAGAAGAAAACCTAGCAAATACCATTCAGGACATAGACATGGGCAAGGGCTTCATGAATAAAACACCAAAAACAATGGCAACAAAAGCCAAAATAGATAAATGGGGTCTAATTAAACTAAAGAGCTTCTGCACTGCAAAAGAAACTACCATCAGAGTGAACAGGCAACCTACAGAATGGGAGAAAATGTTGGCAATCTACCCATCTAACAAAGGGCTAATCTCCAGAATCTACAAAGAACTTAAACAAATTTATAAGAAAAAAACAACCCCATCAAAAAGTGGGCAAAGGATATGAACAGACATTTCTCAAAAGAAGACATTTATGCAGCCAACAGACACATGAAAAAATGCTCATCATCACTGGTCATCAGAGAAATGCAAATCAAAACCACAATGAGATACCATCTCACACCAGTTAGAATGGTGATCATTAAAAAGTCAGGAAACAACAGATGCTCAAAAGGATGTGGAGAAATAGGAATGCTTTTACGCTGTTGGTTGGAGTGTAAACTAGTTCAACCACTGTGGAAGACAGTGTGGCGATTCCTCAAGGATCTAGAACTAGAATACCATTTGACCCAGCCATCCCATTACTGGGTATATGCCCAAAAGATTATAAATCATGCTACTATAAAGACACATGCACATGTATTCTTATTGCAGCACTATTCACAATAGCAAAAACTTGAAACCAACCCAAATGTCTATCAATGATAGACTGGATTAAGAAAATGTGGCACATATACACCATGGAATACTATGCAGCCATAAAAAAGGACGAGTTCATGTCCTTTGCAGGGACGTGGATGAAGCTAGAAGCCATCATTCTGAGCAAACTATCACAAGGACAGAAAACCAAACACCACATGTTCTCACTCATAGGTGGGAATTGATCAATGAGAACACTTGGACACAGGGCGGGGGACATCACACATGGGGGCTTGTTGTGGGGTGGGGGGCAGGGGGAGGGATAGTATTAGGAGAAATAGCTAATGTAAATGACTAGTTAATTGGTGCAACAAACCAACACGGCACATGTATACTTATGTAACACATCTGTACTTTGTGCACATGTACCCTAGAACTTAAAATAAAATAATAAAAAAAAATTCTAATGCCCTAAATCAAGTCAAATATGATAGACTGATATAGAGATTATTTTTACAGGAAATGCACCAATAAAACGAACAAGTTTAACAACAACAACAAAAAAAGGTAACAGCAACAACAAAATAACCCTGGTGGGATGAACTGCATTCTGTAAAATAAATAAATTAATAAATAATAAAAGCCCCTGTGCTTGGGTTTTTGTTGATTCACGGGCAGTGGCCAATGGCTGGGCCACATGATCAGGCAGAAGGGCAATGAAAATCTGGCTTATTAATGGGATGCCCATATGACCTTATGGAAATTTGAGGAGTTCATTAAAGTAGAACATGTCTATGCTTATCAGAATAGCCCCTTTTCAGGTTCAGAAGGTAATTAGAATTGACAAGCTGATATCCATCCACCATGCGATCCCTTGAAGTGGCTGCCTGGGTCCATGAAATGAGTGGATATAGGCATATTTCAGCAATTAAGAGATGAACTTAATCTAGACATGTTTCTCTTACACCCTATTAGACACATAACAACAATAAAAATTCTTATGTATGCCAGCAAAGAGACAGAGCCTGCCAATGGTTATGTGGCAGATTCCCTGGTGGGAAGGCCATAAAACTAGCTGGCAAGTGGGACTGAAGCTCGTAGACCTGAGGGAGCTACAAATGGGTCTTGACAGGAAGAAACAGGTAGGTTCTGGACTAGGCTTTGATTATCCTGTGGAAGTTGCAAATGTTCAGAGTGTTGTAAGAAAACCAGAACAGAAGATATTGCATAGATGTGAATGGGCAAGCATCATTACTTCAGGCTGAGAGACCCACCATACAGGCAATAACGTTCAACAGTGGGCAAAGATATCTCCTTTCAGAGTAATAGTTTGATAGAAAAGTGAAACAGGCAATGAAAACATTGGCTGCCTAAAACAAGGGGAGATAAAAGAATAACGGAATGGCTTATGAATGTGAGCACAGGGCTTCATAAATGTGTGACCACACTCAACATAAGTGAGGTTAAGGGAAGGTTCCCATTGGTTAGATTCCTTCACATTTCTGTGGTTTTTGTGAAGAGGGGATGGGAAAGGATGCTAGTGTGACTATGTGACCCTTGCCAAGAGAGGAGTATATTAATACAAGGACTATACTTTTTCCCTACATAACCTCAAAAAAATATTTCTCCTGTTTGATGCAGTGGTTCTAGGACCAGGGCAGTAAAAACAAGTGCTGAAAGCAGAGACGATTTTTAAGAAAGAAACTATAACTATGTATTAAAGCTTTATGTCAGAATTTCAAAAGGCCAGATGCGGGTGGATGTTGCCTTCACCGCATCTGGCAAAATTGGAGTTAACAGTGAATGTAGCTACATTTTCTGGAGGTAAAAATAGCTATCTAAATGTGAATGGACTGAGGAGGAGGTACCTGCTAGACTAGTGCTTGCAACGTAGATCAACACGACTGCTTATTCTAATGTCTCATCCAAAGGTGGAAGTCTGAGTATTAATGGAGAGATGGAATGATAGCTGAGGGTAAAGGGATGAATAAATGGGTTTTGAATTGAGGGAAATCCTATATTACATTAAAACCTCAAAAGAGGCTTAAAGAAAGAGATTATATTGTCTCTTAGCTCAAGTATGCCAGATGCCTGAAAGGGTGAAGCTATGTTTGCTAAGACCACTGCTGCTTTTGTATCCTGCCAAGATTGAATGAATATCTGTAAACATTAATGGCCTTACCCCGGAAGAGATTCATGCAATATAATGGACTGAACTAATGATTAATGATTATATGGAATTCTAGAATTTGGCAGTGTCCTCTGAGTCATATGTCCTTTTGATGTAAGGGATTTGAATTTGAAGACCAGGGGCAGTCTGTGATATTGTAAAATACATATTTAGTCTTCAATCTTGTTTCCAGCAATACAACTTCTAAAATCTTTAGAAACTCCAAAGTGATGTCTTTGTATATGCTAATAAGTTGACTGATGACTGGCATCCCCAAGGTAGCTTCAGGATAGGAGCTGGTTACGGGAAACACTAAGGCAGGATTAGAGGGTTGAGAGATTTCCCCAAATTCCAGGGAAGGGAGAGGGGCTGAAGACTACCATGATCACCAATAGCCAATGGTTTAATCAATCATGCCTATATAATAAAGCCTTCATAAAAACTCAAAAGGACAGGGTCTGGGGAGCTTCTGAATAGTTGAACACATGTAATTTCCTGAATGATGGTATGCCAGGAGAGCCATAAAAACTCCACACCCCTCCCACATGCTTAGCCTTATGAATATATTTATGTGCATCTTTTGCAATATTCTTTATAATAAAATGGTAAACATAAAAAAGAGAAATTAGAAAAACAAACAAAACAGGAACTCAGAAGATGAAAAGTACAATAATTGAATTAAAAATTCACTAAAAGGATTCAACAACTTTGAGCAGGCAGAAAAATGAATCAGCAAAATTGAAGATAATTTAAATGATCTAGTGTGAGGAATATAGAGAAAAAATAATGAAAGAAATGAACAGAAACTGAAGTAAATGTCAAACATCAAAAAGTGTATTAACATATACATTATGGGAATGCCAGAAGGAGAAGAGAAATGGGAAAATAAAATATTTAAATAAATAACTAATGGATGAAAAGTTAAATATGATAAAATATATGAATCTACACACCAAAGAAGCTAAATGAACTTCAAATAGGAAAAACTAAGAGACTCACATTGAAACACATTACAATCGAACTGTTGGAATCTAAGACAAAGAGACCTCTTGAAAGTGGCAAGATAGAAATGATTCATTTCACATAAAGAAATCTCCAATTAGATTAACAACTGATTTTTTATTAGAATCCATAAAGGCAAGCAAGAGGTGAGATGACATATTTAAAGTTCTAAAGACATAAAACTGGCAACAAAAATTCTATACTTCACAAAACTATTCTTCAAAAATAAAGGATTATTAAAATATAACTAGATAAGCAAAAGCTGACACAGATTATTAATTGTAGAACTTCCCTGCAAGAAATACTAAAGGGAATACTTTAGGCTAAAATAAAAGAACACTAGACAATAACTTCAAGGTATATGAAGAAATAAAGAACACTGGTAAAAGTAACTATATAGGTAAATATGAAAGGTGGTATTATCATACTTTGGGTTTGTGAATCCTTTATTTCTTCTACAATTTAAAGTCTAAATTAATAAAATTTTAATTATAAATCTATGTTAAAGGAAACATAATATGTAAGAATATGATCTGTGACTATTAAAATACAAAAGAAGAATGAAGGAGATATATAGTAGCAGTTTTTATACTACTGAAATTAAGTTGGTATTATTCAAACTAAGTTGTCTTAAGTTTAATATGCTAATTGTATTCTCCATGGTAACCAATAAGAAACAAGTAAAATGTATAAAGAAAAGAAAGAAGAAAATCAAAATGGTGAACCATTAAAATTTTAAAAAGTAAAAATAAAGCAGTAATGGAGGAGTAGAATGCATATAAGACATGCAGAAAACAAATATCTAGATGGCAAAGGTAAGCCCCTTCAAATCAAAAATTACTTTAAATATTAACAGATTAAACTCTCTAATTGAAAGGCAGATATTGGCATAAATGATGGAGAAACGTGATTTATTTATATGCTGGCTATAAGTGACCCACTTTAGTTACAAATGCACAAAGAGGTTGAAATTAAAAGAATGGAAAAAGATTTTTCATGAAAATAGAAATCAAAGTGAGCTGGGGTGGCTGTATTATTGCAAAGAAAACAGACTTAAAGTAAAAAAGAAGTTACAAACACAAAGAGGATGTACACTGGTAAAAGGCAAAATGTGGCAAGAAGATATAGCAATTATAAACATATATGCACCTAACAACAGACTTCAGTGCTCCATGTTCAATAATGGATAGAACAACCAGACAGAACTTTAATAAGGAAGTAGAGGACTTGAATAATACTATAAAACTATTAGAACTTAAAGATATATACTGAATATTCCACCCCAAACGACCATACATTCTTCTCAAATGCATGCAGAAAATCTGTAGAACAGATCATATTTTAGGCCACAAAACAATTTTTAATAAATTTTAAAATATTGCCATCATATAAAATATTTTATGATTATAATGGAATACAATTAGAAATCAATACCTAAAGAAAATCTAAAAACTTCACAATTATGCAGAAATTAAACCAAAACCTCTCAAACAACTAAAACATTAAAGAATAAATCATAAGGGTAATTGGAAAATGTTAAGAAATATGCAAAACAATCTATCAAAACTTATGAGATGCAGCCAAAGCACTGCTGAGAAATCTATAGCTGCAAATGCTTAAATTAAAAAAAAATTAAAATCTCCATTCAACAACGTAACTGTATGCCTAAAAACTATAAAAAGAACAGCAAACTAAACCAAATATTAGCAGAGGAAAGAAATAATAAATATTAGCAGGGAGGTAAATGTAACAGATAATAGAAAAGCAACAGAGAAAATTAATGAAACTGAAAGTTTTTGAAAAGATATTGACTAAGAAAAAGAAGACAAATTAATACAATAAAAAGTAAAAGGATAACATTATTATCAACTTCATAAAAATAAAAGGATTAAAAAACATTATGAGCATCTACATATCAGAAAATTGACTAACCTAGATGATATAAACTCACTTTTAGAAAGATAAACTACCAAAACTGACACAAGAAGAAATAGGAAATATGAAGAGAACAGTAAAAAGTAAACATATTAAATTGTTAATCAAGAACTTCCAAACATATAAAATTCCAAGATAGATCAGATGGGTTCATTGGTAAATTCTACCAGACGTTTAAGAAACAATTGGCACTAATTCCTTTGAAACTTTTCAAAAAAGTGGAAGAGAAGGAAATAGTTTTACACTCATTCTGTGAGACTAACATTACCCCATCCCAAAGCCATATAAAGACAATACAACAAAACTACAGGCTAGTTTCTTTTTGACTATAAATTTAAAAATCCTAAGCATAATATTAGAAAACCTAATTCAACAGCATATTAGAAGGATTATACATAATATCTAAGTGGTATTTATCTCAAAAATCCAAGAGTGATTAAATATATGAAATTCAATCACTGTAATATACTATACTAACAGACCAAAGAAATAAAGCCACATTATCTGAATTGATACAGAATATGCATTGAATAAAATACAATATCCTTTCAGGATAAAAACATTCAAAAACTAAGAATGGAAGAAAATGTTCCCAAGATTAAATAAATACCATATACGAAATACCCACAGCTAATATTGTACTCATTTGTGAAACACTGAAAGCTCTTCTGAGGATTCCTGCTTTAGCCATTTCTATTCATCATAGTCCTGGAAGCCCTAACAAGGAGATTATGCAAGAAAAAAACCTACAAGCACCCAAATTGGAAACTACATGGAAAATTATCTGTTTTCGCAGGTGACCTAACATTATATGTAGAAAACCCTAAATATTACACAAAAAATAATCTGTCAGAGATAATAGACAAATGTATCAAAGTTTCAGAATACATAGTTACCATTCAAAAATCAGTTGTATTTGTATACAGTAACAATTAAAAAATTATTATATTTTCAATAGCATCAAAAAGAATAAAATACTTATGAATAAACTTAGCCAAGAAGGTAAAGGACATACATCAAAAAACCATAAAACATTACTGAAAGAAATTAGGGACTGTGATGGTTAATATTGAATGTCAACTTGATTGGATTGAAGGATGCAAAGTATCGGTCCTGGCTGTGTCTGTGAGGGTGTTGCCAAATGAGATTAACATTTGAGTCAGTGGACTGAAAAAAGCAGACCCACCCTCAACATGGGTGGGCACAATCTAATCAGTTGCCAGTGCAACCAGAATAAAAGCAGGCAGAGGAATGTGAAAAGACAAGTCTGGTTTAGTCTTGTGTCATACATCTTTCTTCAGTGGTGGATGCTCCCTGCCCTTGAACATCAGACTCTAAGTTCTTCAGCTTTGGGACTCAAACTAGCTTACTTGCTCCGCGGCTTGCAGATGGCCTACTGTGGGACCTCACCTTGTTGTTGTGTGAGTCAATACTCCTTAATAAACTCCTCTTTATATATACATCTATCCTATTAGTTCTATCCCTCCAGAGAACCCTGACTAATACAAATTTTGGTACCAGAAGTGGTTCTAGAGCAATAGAATATTAAGATGGAGTTATTTTGTTGGTTTGGGGTTTCTGGAGTTGGCTACTTAATATGGATTAGGCCTCAAAATGCTAAGGACTCTACTTCTAATTGTATGAAGAACACTGATAGTCCTTACCGTGAACTGTTTGGAGAGTTAGGCATAATGAACACATTTGATACTTCTGATTTCACTGCTCATGAGAGGCAAGGAGGTTAGTTACTCTACATAATACCTTTGACCACATGTGGAGAACCAAGGATATAATAAAGTTGGTTGGTTGCTTCTGAGTTCACTGGAAAGGGATGAAAGAAAATGATGAACTCAAGGATTCCAACTCCTGGCTTCAGAAGCAGACACGGAGCCTTAAACCTTCTAAGACTGCTCTGAGTGAGAGTATTATCTCTTGTAGGAAAAGAACTGAAATTGTGGAAAATCAGACACAAGTTCTTATCATGTAAGCGGCTGACCTGCAACAAAAGGTGCATGCACAGCCTTTCCAGGTGTCTACTGTTAAAGTGAGGGCATTGACTCAAAAAGAATAGGACCCTGAAACTTAGAATGGGAATGTGTGAGAGGACCCTGATGAGGCTGGGGACATTGAACTTGTAAACTCTGATGAGACTTTTTTGCCAGAAAACAAAAAACAGCTTCCCTATCCCCAGTAGTGGCAACATCCCCCCTGCCCCAACCCATGCTGCCATCAACCTTTCCACCTTTGTCTGAGGAGATAAACCCTGCACTGCCTGAGGCAACAATGATGGCCTCCCCTGAGGCAGTTGTCAGCAAGACAATGCTGATTCTCCTCAGGAGCCACCCCCAACACCCCTGTTTGCATCTAGTCCTATAACTAGACTAAAGTCCTGGCAGGGCCCCAGAGGTGAGGTTCAGAGTGTGACACACGAGGAGGTACACTACACTCCAAAAGAACTGATTGAGTTTTCTAATTTTTATAAGCAGAAATCTGGAGAACAGGCATGGGAATGGATATTAAAGGCGTGGAATAATGGTGGAAGGAACATAGAATTGGATCAGGCTGAATTTATTGATTTGGGCCCACTAAGCAGGGGCTTTGCATTCAATGTTGCAGTTTGGGGAATTAAAAAAGGTTCCAACAGTTTATTTGCTTGGTTAGCTAAAATATGGATTAAAAGATGGCATATTGTGAATGAGCTGGAAATGCCTGATCTTCCTTGGTTTAATGTGGAGGAAGGGATCCAAAGGCTTGGTGAGATTTGGATGCAGGAGTGGATTAGTAAATTTAGACCTACTCATCCTAGCTGGGAGGGTTCAGAAGATGTACCCTTGACCAATATTTTGTTAAATAGATTTGTGAGGACAGTACCTGCATCCTTGAAGAGCTCTGTTATTGCTCTTCTCTGTATGCCAGATCTTGCAGTAGGAACCACAGTCACTCAACTACAAAATGGGAATAATTGGATCCCGAGGTGGCAGAGGCCAAGTGGCAACACTCAAACGTCAAAGGCAAGGTGGGCATAGGTACGATAATGGAAAGCAAAGGCAGAGCAGCAATCAGAGTAGTCTGACTCTTGTAGAGCTCTGGCATTGGCTAATTAATCACAGTGGTCCTAGAAGTGAAATTCATAGGAAGCCTACTGCACTCTTACTTAATTTATATAAGCAGAAAACTTCCAGGCCAAGTGAACAAAAGACAAATTTGAATTATAAAAATAGAGAATCATGGCGCCTCCATCAATTTCCAGACTTGAACCATTTTACAGACCCAGAACCCCTTGAATGAAGGGGAAGCCAGTTCCCCTTGGGGAAGGACCCCACTACACTACCAACAATTTATGCTGTTAATTTTTCTTCCATCTTTTACCAAGGAGACCTCCAGCCTTTTACCAGGGTAACTATGCATTGGGGAAAGGGAAATAATCAGACCTTTCAAGGACTGGACACAGTCTCTGACCTGATGTTGATTCCCGGAGACCCAAACGTCATTGTCGTCCTCTAGTAAAAGTAGGGGCTTATGGAGGTCAGGTAATTAATGGAGATTTAGCTGAGGTCTGACTTACAGTAGGTCCAGTGGGTTCCCAGACTCATCCTGTTGTCATTTTCCCAGTGCCAGAATGCATAATTGGCATAGATATACTGAGCAGCTGGCAGAATCACCACATTGGGTCCCTGACTGGTAGGGTGAGGACTATTATGGTGGGAAAAGCCAAATGGAAGCCATTAGAGCTGCCTCTACCTAGAAAAACAGTAAATCAAAAACAATATTGCATCCCTGGAGGAATTGCAGAGATTACCACTACCATCAAGAACTTGAAAGACGCAGGGTGGTGATTCCCACCACATCCCCATTCAACTCTCTTATTTGGCCTATGCAGAAAACAGGTGGGGCTTGCAGAAAGACAGTGAATAATTGTAAGCCTAACCAAGTGGTGACTCAAATTGCAGCTGCTGTACCAGATGTGGTTTCATTGCTTGAGCAAATTAACACATGTCCCAGTACCTGGAATGCAGGCATTGACTTGGCAAATGGTTTTTTCTCCATCACTGTCCATAAGGCCCACCAGAAGCAATTTGCCTTTAGCTGGCAAGGCCAGTAACATAACTTTACTGTCCTACCTGAGGGGTATATCAGCTCTCTGGCTTTGTGTCATCATTTTGTTTGAAGAGCTCTTGATTCCTTTTCCCTTCCACAAGATTGATCCATTACATTGATGACATTATGCTGGCTGGATCCAGTGAGCAAAAAGTAGCAAACACACTGGACTTATTTGTGAGACATTTGTGTGCAAGAGGATGGGAAATAAATCTGACTAAAATTCAGGGACCTTCTATCTCAGTAAAATATCTAGGGGTTATGGGGTGTGGGGTCTGTCAAGATATTCCTTCTAAATTGAAGGATGAGTTGCTGCATTTGGCCCCTCCTACAACCAAGAAAGAGGCACAACCTATTTAGATATTGAATACAACACATTCCTCATCTGGGAGTGTTACTCTGGCTCATTTATCGAGTAACCGAAAAAGCTGCCAGTTTTGAGTGGGGTCCAGAACAGGAGAAAGCTCTGCAACAGGTTCAGGCTGCTGTGCAAGCTGCTCTGCCACTTGGGCCATATGACCCAGCAGATCCAATAGTGCTTGAGGTGTCAGTGGCAGATAGAGGTGCTGTTTGGAGCCTTTGGCAGGTCCCCATAGGTGAATCACAGCAAAGGCCTCTAGGATTTTGGAGCAAGGTCTTGCCATCTTCCGCAGATAACGACTCTCCTTTTGAGAGACAGCCGTTGGCCTGTTACTGCGCTTTGGTAGAAACTGAACGTTTGGATATGGGTCATCAGGTTACCATGAGACCTGAAGTGCTTATCATAAACTGCGTGCTTTCTGACCCATCTAGCCATAAAGTGGGGCATGCACAGCAGCGTTCCATCATCAAATGAAAGTGGTACATATGTGATCAGACTAGAACAGGTCCTGAGGGCACAAGTAGGTTACATGAGGAAGTGGCTCAAATGCCCATGGTCCCCATCCCTGCCACCCTGTCTTCTCTCCCCCAGCCTGCACCGATGGCCTCATGTGGAGTTCCCTATGATCAGTTGACAGAGGAAGAGAAGACAAGGGCCTGGTTTACAGATGGTTCTGCACAATATGCAGGCGCTACCTGAACATGGACAGCTGCCGCACTGTAGTCCTTTTCTCGGACATCCTTGAAGGAAAGTGGCAGAGGGAAATCTTCTCAGAGGGCAGAACCTTGAGCAGTGCACCTCATTGTGCACTTTGCTTGGAACAAGAAATAGCCAAATGCTTAATTATATACTGATTAATGAGCTGTAGCCAATGGTTTGCCCGGATGGTCAAGGACTTGGAATAAGCATGATTGGAAAATTGGTGACAAAAGAATTTTGGGAAGAGGTATGTGGATGGACCTCTCTGAGTGGTCAAAAATTGTGAAGACATTTGTATCTCATGTAAGTGCTCACTGAAGGGTGACCTCAGCAGGGGAGGATTTTAATAATCAAGTGGATAGGATGACTCATTCTGTGGATACCACTCAGCCTCTTTCCCCCGACACTCCTGTCATCGCCCAATGGTCCCATGAACAAAGGGGCCATGGTGGCAGGGATGGAGGTTATGCATGGATTCAGCAACGTGGACTTCCACTTACCAAGGTGACCTGGCTATGGCCACTGCTGAGTGCCCAATTTGCCAGCAGCAGAGACCAACACTGATCCCTCGATATGGCACCATTCCTTGGGTAATTAGCCAGCTACTTGGTGATAGGTTGATTACATTGGACCTCTACAATCATGGAAGGGGCAGAGGTTTGTCCTCACTGGAACAGACACTTACTCCGGATATGAGTTTGCCTATCCTGCACACAATGCTTTTGCGAAGACTACATCCATGGATTCACGAAGGTCTTATCTACCATCATGGCATTCCACATAGCACTGCCTCTGATCAAGACACTCACCTTACAGCTAAAGAAGTGTGGCAGTGGGCTCATGCTCATGGAATTCACTGGTTTTACTATGTTCCCCATCATCCTGAAGCAGCTGGATTAATAGGATGGTGGAATGGCCTTTTGAAGTCACAATTACAATGCCAACTAGGTGACAATACTCTGCAGGGCTGGGGAAAAGTTCTTCAGAAGGCTGTGTGTGCTCTGAATCAGCATCCAATATATGGTACTGTTTCTCCCGTAGCCAGGATTCATGGGTCCAGGAATCAAGGGGTGGAAGTGGAAGTGGCACCATTCATCATCACCTCTAGTGACCGACTAGCAAAATTTTTGCTTCCTGTTTCCTCGACATCATGTTCTGCTGGACTTAAGGTTGTAGTTCTGATGGAGGAATGCTGCCACCAGGAGACACAACAACAATTTCATTGAACTGTACATTAAGATTGCCACTTGGCCACTTTGGGATCCTTCTACCTCTATGTCAACAGGCTAAGAAGAGAATTACAGTGTTGTCTGGGGTGACTGACCAGGGCTATCAAGTTAAAATCAGTCTACTACTCCACAGTGGAGGTAAGGAAGAGTATGTGTGGAATACAGAAACATTTTTAGGGTATCTCTTAGTATTACCATGCCCTGTGATTAAGGTCAATGGGAAATTACAACAGTCCAATCCAGGCAGGACTACAAATGGCCCAGACCTTTCAGGAATGAAGGTTTTGGTCATTGCACCAGGTAAAAAAACACAACCTGCTAAAGTGCGTGCTGAAGGTAAAGGGAATACAGAATGGGTAGTAGAGAAAAGCCGTCATCAAAATTAGCTACAACCACGTGACCAGTTGCAGAATCAAGGACCGTAATTGTCATGAGTATTTTCTTCTTATTTTGTTAAGAACATGTTTGTGCATGTATACACTGTACTAAGAAAATATCTTCAATTTATTTCCTTTTTATTTTATCATGTGACATAAGATTTATTGACTTCATATCAACATTTAAGTGTTATTAACTATGTAATAGCATTTGTGTTAGCGATTGTGCATTTCCTACTGTACAAAAGACAGTTGTATTATGTTAGGTGTAATTATGACCTTATTATTGTCTTTACTTAAGATTATGTATGATTTCAGGAGATGTGTATGAGTTCAAGTTGACAAGGGGTGGACTTGTGATGGTTAATGTTGAGGGTCAACTTGATTGGATCGAGGATGCAAAGTATTGCTCCTGAGTGTGTCTATGAGGGTGTTGCCAAAGGAGATTAACATTTGAATAATTGGATTGGGAAAGGCAGATCCACCCTCAATATGGGTGGGCACAATCTAATCAGCTGCCAGTGCGGCCAGAATAAAAGCAGGCAAAAGAAAATGAAAAGACTAGACTAGTTTAGTCTTCTGGCCTACATCTTTCTCCCATGCTGGAAGCTTCCTGCCCTTGAACATCAGACTCCAAGTTCTTCAGCTTTGGGAACCGGACTAGCTTCCTTGCTCCTCAGCTTGCAGACATCTTATTGTGAGACCTCACCTTGTGATTGTGTGAATCAGTATTCCCTAATAAATTCCCCTTTATATATACATCTATCCTATTAGGTCTGTCCCTCTAGAGAACCCTAATAGATACACAAAAAGTAAATGAAAAGACATCTGTGTTGTTAAGAGGACAATAGTCCCCAAAGCGACATACAGGTTCAATATAATTTGATTTTTCTTTAATATATAACTTTTTTAATAGAGATGTGGTCTATGTTGCCCAGGCTGTCCTGAACTCCTGGGCTCAAGCAATCTTCCTGCCTTCACCTCCCAAAGTGCTAAGATTGCAAACATGGGCCACAATGCCCAGCCCAGAATTTTTTTAATGGCCTTTTAAAAAAATGCATGATTTTAAAAATAGAATTATCTATTCTAAAATTCACATGGATTTTCACGATACCCTGAATAGCAAAAAGTAATCTCAAAAAGAAACACAAGAAACAAAGTGGAGGACTCACATGTCCTGATTTCAAAACTTACTATAGTACACAAAACATAGTATGGTTCTCACATAGGGATATACATAAAGGCCAAGAGAATAGAAATGAGAGCTCGGAAGTAAACCTTCGCATATATCACTAATTGATTTATAACAAAGTGCCAAGGCTATTCAATGTGGAATGAAAGTTGTTCAACAAATGGAGCTGATAAAACTGGATATGCAAATGTATTGAATGATGTGAAATCCTTACTTTACAGCGTATCTGAAAATAGCTCAAAATGAATGAAAGACCTAAATTGAAGAGGTGAGACTCCAAAATTCTTAGTAGAAATCATAGGAACAAATTTTCATGACCCTTTATTTGGCAATAGTTACTTAAATATCATACCAAAACTACAATTAAGAGAAAAAAAAGGTAAATTCGACTTCATAAAAATTAACTTTTGTATATCAAAGGACACTATCAAGAGAATGAAAACACAACCCACAGAATTGAAGAATATATTTGCAGATAATATCTTAAGATTTAACATCTAGAATGTATAAAGAACTCTTACAAAAAGGTAACTCAATTAAAAATGGTCAAAGTACTTCAACAGACATTGTTCCACAGAAGATATATAAATGGCTAATAAGCATATGAAAATATTCTTAACATCATTAGTCTTATGAAAATGCAAATCAAAACTACAATGAGATACCACTTCCCACCCACTAGAATGGCTACTAAAAAATATTCAAAAATAACATCAATTGTAACGGATGTGGGGAAATTGGAACTTTTTGCATTACTTGTGCAAATGCAAAATGTTGCAGCCTCCATCAAAAGCAGAGTTTGAGAGTTCCTCAAAAAGTTAAAATGTAGAATTACCATGAGGGACTCAAACTGATAGTTGTACATGAATGTGCATAGTAACATTATTCACAATAGTCAATAGGTGGAAATAACCTGTGTGCATCAATGGATGAATGGATAAAAAATGTATATTTATATAATAGAATATTATTCAGGCATTAAAAGGGATGAAGTTTTGATACACACTGCAACATAGATAAACCTTAAAAACATCTATTTTAAATAAAGTAAGCCAGACACGAAAGGACAAAAATGAACCATGTAAAACAGACAAAAATGTAGAGATAGAAAATAGAGGTTTCCAGTGGTTGGCAGGAGAAGCACTGGAGATTTATTGCTTAACAGGTTTATAGTATTTGCTTAGTGTGATGAAAAATTTCTAGAAATATACAGTGGTTTTGGTGCAGAATATTGTGAATTTGTTGAATGCCACTGAACTGTACAGTTAAAAATGGTTCAAATGGAACATTTTATGTCATATTTTACCACATCAAAAAATGTATAATCTCTGAAAGAAGAGTAAACATCTGAACAGGCGAGTTAATTTTGAAACAACCAAGAAGAAAGCATACTTAGAACTCCACAAACTGCAATTATATATATATTGTCAGACATGAAATATAGAGTAGCTAAGCACAAAATGTTTAAAGAGTAAAAGGTGAAATTACAAAGATCATTTAGTAAGAAAATATCAGAAAACAATAGGCATACTTGAACAAAGTGAAACTTCCCGAAATGAAAAACTATATATTCAGTGTAATAACAAAACTCAAATCCAGGGATTAAATGGCAGATTGCAATTTTCACTAGAAAATAAATTTGAAGAACTTATTCAGAGTGCAGTTAAAGATATAAGATGGAGAATATAAAAAAGAGGTTAAAAGAAATGGAAGATAGACTGAGAATGTGTAACATTTGACTGATTAGGTTTACCAAGAGAAAATGAAAAAGAAAAATGAAATACAAAAATCAAAACTGAAAAAAAAATTGTGGCTTCCATTTCTAATAATAGTCATATGGATATTCCAGAAATAATAAAAAAAAATTAGATTTAAGATATAATACATAGATTTAATTAGATTACATTTAATTGATTAGATTTCAGATATAATAATAGATTTAAGATATATAAGATATAAATGTATTATATCTTAAATCTAATCTTACTAAATTTAAAATCATTTGTAAAAACTATTGTGGAGATATCTGTAGAAATTTCAAGACACCAAATGAATTGCGTATGTGATAAATATAAATAAATCATCACTAGGTATGTTCTAATAAAATTTCAGAACACCAAAGATGAAGATAAATTTTAAAAGTAGCCAGAGGAAAAAGGTGAATTACCTTTAAAAGGTTACAGTTTAACAAGAAGTCTGACTTTTCAACTACAAAGATTTTCAGAATAATATCTTCAGTATGCTGAATGAAGTTTTAAAAAGCAGCTGCCAAAAGAGTTTTAAACTGTGTAGGTATATTTCAAGACTAAAGGGAAATGAAAACATCTGTAGATAATGAAATCTGTAATTACCAACTGAACTTAAGGATATGCTTCAAGTGGAAGAAAAGTTAATTGAAATGGAGGGTCTGAGATGTAAGACAGAATGAGAAATAAATAAAATAGCAAATATATAAATAAATCTAGATGAACACTGACTGCAAAAAGCTACAATAATGATAACATCTTTGGGCATTTAAAAAGATAATTAAAATAAGTAAGAGGAGTGACAAATTCTTTGGGAGGTGATTAAATTGAATGAAAGTATTCTAAGGTACTTGCACAGTCACAAGGGGTGAAAAAAGGTTTTGTTTATAGTAAGACTTTGTCAAGTAGGCATATGTAATTTCCAGGTTACCCATAAAAAATTCAAAACAGAAAGTGAAATTTCCAAATTAGTAGAGAAAAAAGTGACATAATAAAAATTATTCAATTCAAAATGAGGCAAAAAAGAAGAGACAAAGAAACACGGGATATTTAGTACAAATAAAAATCACAACATAATACAGTTCATTAAAACTCAAATTTGTTAGTAATTCCATTGATTATATATGAATTATGTGTTCCATTTATGAAGCAAAATATCAGAAGAAAAATCCACCCATATACTGTTTTAAAGAAACATTTAAGACATAAGAATACAGAAAGTTTGGCAGTAAATGAATCAAAAATGAAATAATGAGTCTACGTGAGGATAATCAATGTTCACTGAAATATTAGGGTGAAATGCTGATGGAGAACTTTATAATAGATATACCAGGTCTATAACACCTGAGCCTAATCAAATGTAACACCATAAAAGTGAAATATCCAGACGCTATCCACCAGATTATAGGAAATGCAAAGCAAAAGAATATTAAAAGACATAAAGATGACTCAATCTTGCAATTCCAGAACATGGGAACTTCTAAAAGATAAATTGTTTTAATCAATATGTAGTAAAAAGGGAAAGGGAACTGTTATTGAATAAAAGTGACATCGTGACCAAATGTAATGTAATAACTTTGGACACTGCTTGAAGAAACCAACTATAAAAATTCATATTGAGTCAGTCAAGAACATGTTTATATTGACTGGAATTTTATTACTTTAAGGATTAGTATTAATTTTTCAGTGTAGTAATGGATTGTAGTTATAGTAAAAAAAAAGTTCTTATTTTTGAAATTTACATTGAATTATTGATGAATAAAATTATGTGATATTTGGAATTTTCTTTAACATAATTTTCATTATTAATAATAAAATCATGAAAAGGAACAACTCTTGTTGAATGCACATTGGAACTCTGTTGAAGCAGGCATTTCTGACCTAGGGGGAAAAAAAACATAAAAGAGAAGATTTTTATGTGATAAATACAGGTGGTTGCCAGGGGCTGCCGGGTGGGGAAAATGGGGAGATGTTAGTCAAATGGTACAAAGTTTCAGTTGTGCAGGATGAGTAAATAAGCTCTGGAGATCCAGTGTACAACATGATGACTATAGTTAATAATACTGTATTATATACTTAAAATTTTCTGAGTAGGTTTGAAACGTTCTCGCCATACACACACAGAAAAGGGTAACTGTGAGGTGATGAATACGTATTCAAGCTAATCACGTAATTAGCTCGATTGTGGTATTTATTTCACAATGTATAAGTAAATTAATAAATCACATTGTACTCAACTATATATATTTTTTGTCAATTATACCTCAATAAAGCTGGGGAAAATGTAAAAATAAATAAATAAATTACCGAAAAAACCCAAACATCCATAAATGAAAATGATACCAAATCTGGCGCCACTTTTTACAATGGATGTAAAAGTCAAGAGTTAAAATCTTTAACATGCATGCTTACTATGTCGAAAGATCACGTACATGAAAACAAACATACTTTATTGTGATTTTTTTGAATGTAAGCGATGAAAATCCATCATAAAATAGCTTATGTAAAACAGGGAATGTAGCAACCTGTATAATAGAGGAAGACTAAGAGTAGTTTCGGTTTCAGGCCTGACAATACCAAGATATTCAAAAGCTGTTTTCTGTTTGGCTCTCCCTCATTCTTTTGGCTCTGCTTCACTTTGTGAACTGTGTGTTCCCTCATTCTCTTCTCCTACATGTGAGTTTCCCTCATGTGGCCTATAAGAAGTTGGAAGACAGAGCAATACATATCCATGGAAAAATATAAATGATTAGCAATAATGTTGGTTCAATTATAGTTATTTAATACATTCCAACTTTGCTTGACTATGAGAAATAATGCTATAGACACATATTTAATTATGTAGCAGTGTTGTGAAAGTGCCTTCAGATATATAAATGCAATGTCTTTTTTTATTGTCTACAATTGATTTGACTTTTATTTTAGGACCTGTTCATGACCCTATTAGATAGCAATAAAAATAATAAAAGCCACCCCCCACCCAAGGTTGAATATAATCCTGTAATCTCATTTTACTCCAATAACTTAAACTATCTCTTTAGGTAATTCAGTTCATGTCTCCTTGGAAGACCCAAGTACCTCAGTTTTTAGTGTTCTGCCTCCCTCTTCTTGATCCTCTCTCAGATGGCTTGTGGGTATGTTTAGAATTGAAGTGGATGTGGCTTATGTGACCCTCCGGGCAATAAAAGGGATATGGGATGTCCTGCATTCTTATGGAACCCTTTGGACTTCCGTTGTTCTCTCTGGATACTCAGCAGTTTGTGCTGCTTCCTAGAATGATGAGTGCTGGTGTGCAACTGGTCTCATTTGCCCTCCTATGTGTGATGTGCTGCACCTACTTGTTGAGCTCATGTTCTTGGATATTGGCCCCTAATCTTGAATTCCCAATTCATGATAATTTCTCTTCATTACAATCCCAGGTTTCTGCTGCTCCAAAAGTGTCCTATTAACTCCACATAGCATCCTCAGTGAGGTACACTGAAACATCTAAGTCCCAATTTTCCAGGCCATAGGGAATCAGAAACTTTGACTCAGGTTCATCAAACTATTTATCTAATACCTGCACCTCAACAGCATAGCTCAAACTTTGTGTTGAAAGTAAGGGCATGTGAGGATTCTTCTAGAGGTTTGCAGCCTCTGCCTAGTGTGTCAATAATCTTAATATTTACATCCATCTGACTCCTCCACCTCTATCTATTTGTTCTAGTAGGGGTTTGTGAAAGTCCTGGTGTCTAATCTCCTAACCCTCTTTGTGTCTCAATTTTTCTTCCCAGAATTTCCTGGAACAAGAATGAGCTAGATTTCTTTTCTTTTCCCATCTTGGTAATATTGTTATTTGAAACTTTATAATCAAATCAATTAAGTCTGCCTCTTAATTTCTTAAATGGGAGATAAAGTTACTAAACTATTTCCTCTTGTCTGAGCTTTAACAATAATTCCCTTGCTAAATAATTTGAGAAAGTCAATTTTGACACTCACGACTAATCAAGGAAATTGATCACATTTAGCCAAAGAAATTTGATTCCTGAGAGGACTGGAGGTACAAAGTTGCAAATAAGCAGTGTTTAAGAAAGGAGGAGAATATTTGAATGCTTTAACTTTTCTAAAATACAATTTACTATAAGGGGATACTTGAAAATATTGCTACATGAAAGGAGAGGCAGATGAGGATGGTACTTTTTATGATTTAAATAAAAAGTGGAGGATCATGCGTAATTTTGGTTTTCGTGATTTATCATAAGTCATGTCACACTGAACTCTAATTACTTTATCAATATAAAAATTATACAGTAATAGTTCAGGCAGACAAGTAAAACAAGCATGTAGGATAAACTGATCTGAGGACTTGAAGTAATTTCCATCGTAGCATAAGGCAGATACTTTTTCAGTGCCCTGAATGTTGTTTATTATGGATACTGGTAATAATTCTTCTGAGTGTATCAGAATCACCAGTAGAGCACTGATGAAAAGTGATACTAATAGATAGGAGTAGGTAAGGGAGTTTTCTTATGGAAAGGAGTGAGAATGAAAGGTAAATATAGAAAAAATAAAGATAGAGGAAAAAGATTATGACATAACATTTCAGATAATCAAATGAGATTGAAAAGAAAGATTATATAATTCTACCACATAGCCAGTGAAATTCTAACTTTTAACCATAGCTTCTTCCAACTGGTTCAGCTGAATCCTTGACATCAATTCTTCTGATTCACTGTTATCCAAAATGATCTGTAAATACTTAGTTTGCCTATTCAGTTAATATTCAGCTGGACACCTTTTCCAGAGTTCAATCTCTTATTTTTTCATTTTCCCGTTAGTGCCCTCTATTTGGATACTCATCTTAAGTATTTTGTATTATTGTTTTATTATGCACAGCATTTCTGGTTCAAAATCATCATCTTCAATTTGAACGGATAATTCCAACATCACATCGCTTAACATTCTCACTAGTAAGTTTATCCTACCCACTATCAGATCTAGCACTATAGCAAAATGATGAGCCAACAACTCAAACCTGATTATTATGAATCCAATTACTGGCATTTTTCAGTCTGTCTAGTTCTAGCTCAATGTTTTTTCTCCCCCAAACAATGTATAGATTCAAAGAAATCCTAATCAAAATTACAGCCAGCTGTTTTTGAAATTGACCAGATGATTATTAATTTATATGTACTTGCAAAGGGTTAAAAATAGCCAGGATAGCTTGAGGATGAAAATTATGCTTTATTTAAAAAGATATGATAATTAAGATGGTGTGATTTTTTTAATAAGAATAGGACAATGAAGGAAATAAAAATTCCAGAGCCCAAAAACAGACCTACATAAAGTCATCTGATTTACTTCAAAGGTGACACATCAGAATAGTGGGGTAAGAAATTTCCGTTCAAAAAATGATGCTGTACTAATTGTATATCCACATATTTTAAAAAATTGACATTTTTTAATGCCGTAGAATTTGAAGAGTGAAAAGAATAAAAAATCTTTTCAGAACTGGAGGGGAAAAAAAAAGCAGCTCTATTGTTAATAAGTCTGGGAGGACAGGCAGAGAGAAAGTCAGATATAGTCTCAAAAAAAATGTAACATTGTTTCTTCCAAGGTCTTGCAACAGTTGTGACATTCAATAAGGGCCACCTCTTTGGGCGACCACTGCTTTCTTACTATCGACATATCCAGACCAGATTTTCTATTTTTATGTGTTACTAGGGAAAACCCAATTGCTTTTGTCAGTAACCAATCCCCAGTTAATCTGTACTTATTTTAATCCATCCTCAGAAATAACAACCATACTTCCATTAGACTGCCCTCAGAATCCTTCAGTGGTAACTCAAACTTTGCAAAAGACACTTCCTTCTATCTTGTCAGATGGCATTCCACTAGTCCTCTGAAATACCCTTCCATTCCAGTGAGTCAATAAATCTGATTTTGTCACACTACAGGCTTGTTCCTGTTGATCTTTAACAGGAGTTTGGACACTCTAAATATGAAATGTAAAATGAGAAACTTCTGGAATATAACATAGAAAAATGTCTTTATGACCTTGAGATAGGCAACGACTTATTAAAAAGAAAACAAATAAAACAAATCTCACTAGGAGCAAAGAGAACAATTGATAATTTGTACTACATTAAAATTCAGAATTTCTTTTCACCAAAACACAGCATAAAGCAAAAGAAAATGCAAGCCAAAAATGCATGCAACCCAACATTTGAAATATGTTTAACTGGAAATATCTATTATGGACAAAGTTACTTGTGTCCATAATGTATACAAATTTTCTAGAAATTAATAAGAGACAGTCAACCTAATAGGAAAATGAAAACAGACTTTTTGAGACAATTTGGAAAGAGGATATCAGTATTGGTGAAATTGGTAAAATTACTTTGTAGAACTGTTCATGAACTATTAAACCTGAATATCTGCATAGGTTTTGAACCAGCACTTCCAATCATGGGTCTATTACCTACAGAAATGGGTACGTATGTGCACCAGAAGGCAAGTGCCAAACCATCTATAGCACAACAGGTCCTAACATCCAGAAACTAGAAATTACTGTAATTGCCATTAACAATAAAATGAGCCAAAGAACATGTTTATTTGCAGGAGATGTAACACAATGGAATACTATGAATGATCAATAGAGGAAAAAGTGCTACTACATGCAATAACATAGATGAATTTCACAAATATATTATTGAACAACAAAAATGCTAGTCACAAGATAATACATACTGTATGATTCGATTAATATGAATTTCAAAAACAGACAAAAGTAACTTACAATGTTAGAAAAGAGGGTGGCAATAGTGATAGGTATGGGGCACAAAGAGAGCTTAGATACTGGAAGAAATTCAATATGTATTGACTTAAATGGCCAATTCAGCTACCTGCACATTTATGGTTTGGTAACATTACTGTCTGTAGGTTATTCGTTTTTTAGATACTAATTTTTTAAAGGACAGTTAAGCACAGACAGGAGGCAATTCACAACCCTAGTACAAAGAAAATAGCAAAAACCAAAGTGAGTCTACATAATTGAGAGATTCTCAGTTCCCAAAGTGTATTCAATATTTTCTTTTCATTGTCACCCATATAAAATAAGACTTTATATGTGAGAGATTATCTGGGAAGTGACAGGACAGTTGAGGTTTTCCCTGGGAGATTTTTCAATCATTACTGGGTGAATAGGGCACTTTAGGTATGTTGATTAAGAATAAAAGGAAAAAAAATTGCACAGCATTTCTCTAACGTTTGCATCTAATCTGTTAAACTTTAGTTGAGTTTTGCAAGATTGTCATCTGGGAACACCACTTCAAAAAAGTAGTTGATTAACATAATCTCTTGATTAATTCAGAGGTGTGAATCCCAATCCCTTAGCAAATGAATTGGTAGGTAATGATTAATGATCAGGAAAAAGACAGGAAATTGGGCAAAATGTGAAAAAAAAAAAATTAGTACCTACATCAGTTTGCTAGGACTGCCATAACAAAGTACCACAGACTAAGAGGCTTTAACAAGAGAAATATATTTACTTTCAGTTCTGAGGGCTACAAGTCTGAGGTGAAGGTGTTGGCAGAGTTATTTATGTTGGCATAATTGCCTGTTTGTCTTGCAGATGGCTGTCTTCTTGTGTCTTCACATGCTCTCTCTGTGTGCACCTGTGTCCTAATTTCCTCTACTTATAAAGATAACAGTCACATAGAATTAGAGCTTGTTGAAGTGACCTCATGTAACCTCAATTACCAATATAAAGGCCTTACTTTCAAATACAATCATATCCTGGGGTACTGGGGTTTAGGACTTCAACATATTAATTTTAGGGAGACAAAGTTCATGCTGTAACATTACATATAACTTTACATTGAAAATTAATGTAAAAATAGCCCATAATTATTTTTTAAATTATTTTTAAACATTGTTCAAGAGTAGTTATGCCCATAAAAGTGGAAATCATCATGTCAAGGCAAACAAATTGACAAAAATCTAAGTGAGCAAACACAATTGAAAATACCTCCTTAGTTACTGTTATAGATTGAATCATGTCCCCTTTCCACAAATTGGTATGTCGAAGCTTTAACCTCGTATGTTATATTTGGACATAGGATCATTAAAGAGATAATTAAGATAAAGTGAGGGCCTAAGGGTGAAGCCCTAATCCATTAGCACTGTTGTCCTTATATAAAAAGGAAGAAAATACACACACACACACACACACACACACACACACACAGAGAGAGAGAGAGAGAGAGAGAAAGGCAATGTTAGTACCCAGAAAGAAAATGGCCATCCACAAGCTAAAGAAATAAAGAGGCCTCAGGAGAAACCAACCCTGCTAGCACCTTCATCCTGAACTTCCACCCTCAAGAACAGTGAGAAATAAATTTGTCTTAGTCCATGGCAGGTGAATAAAACATAATATCTTAGACTGGGTAATTTATAAATAACAGAAATTTAATTGTCACAGATGTGGAGGTTGGGGAGCCCAAGATTAAGGAGTCAACAGTTTTGGTGTCTGGTGAGGGCTGGCTCCTCATAGCCACTGTTTTCCTCACAGAATACTCTTGTGGCAGAAAATATGTGAATACTGAGTCCTCACATGACAAAAGGAGCAAAAGGATAAAGGGCAAAAAAGGGTAAAGCCTGTGTCCTCACACGGCAGAAGAGATGGACCAGCAAAAAGGAGCTAATGTGCTCACTACAACCTCTCTGATAAGTGTTCTGTGCATAAGGGTAGAGCAATCACTTCCACAAAAGTCCTTCCTTTTAATACTATTACATTGGCTATTAGGTTCCAACATATGAATTTTCAAATCACAGCATTGTTATTTAAGGCATCTAGTCATTGGTGTTTTATTATGCAGTGCTAGCAGACTAATACAGTTACCCAAATATATTTAGTTTCCTTTTCACAGGGTATTATGTATGGAAAGCACATGTTTAAATAAGGGAGAGGACTGGCACATCACCAAGATTTTGAGTTTTGTTTAATGATTTCATTATTCTTTTTTATATCACGCATTCAATTTTCTTTTTTAAAAAAATTTATTTGAGGTTCAGGGTTACATGTGCATATTTTTTATATAGGTAAAGTCATGTCATGGGGGTTTGATGTACAGATTATTTCATTACTCAGGTACTATGCTTAGAACTCAATAGTTACTTTTTTTCTGCTCCCCTCCCTCCTCCCATTCCCCACCCCCTGGTAGGTTGCAGTGTCTGTTGTTCCCCTTTTTATGTCCAGGTGTTCTACTTATCAGTGAAAAACATGTGATATTTAATTTTCTGTTCCTGCATTAGTTTTCTAAGGATAGTGGCCTCCAGCTCCATCTATGTTACTTCAAAGGACATGATCTTGTTCTTTATTGTGGATGCATAGTATTCAATGGTGACTAGGCACCATATTTTCTTTATCCAGTTTTCATTGATTGGCATTAAGGTTGATACTACGTCTTTGCTATTGTGAATAAGGCTGAAAAGAACTTACACGTGCATGTGTCTTTATGATAGAATGATTTATTTTCCTTTGGGTATATACTCAGTAATGGGATTGCTGGGTCAAATGGTAGTTCTGTTTTTAGCTCTTTGAAGAATCACCACACTGCTTTCCACAATGCTTGAATTAATTTATACTTCCATAAACGCTATATAATTGATCTATTTTCTCTGCAACCTCATCATTATCTCTTGGTTTTTGACTCTTTAACAATACCCATTCTGATTCGTATGAGATGGCATCTCACTGTGGTTTTGATTTGCATTTCTCTAATGCTCAGTTATGTTGAGCTTTTTTCCTATGATTGTTGGCCACATGTATGTCTTCTTTTGAAAAGTGTCTGTTCATATACTTTGCCCACTTTTTAATGGGGTTGATAATTTTTTTCTTGTAAATTTGTGTAAGTTCTCTATACATGCTGGCTATTGGACCTTTTTCAAATGCATAATTTGCAAGTATTTTCTCCCATTCTGTAAGTTGTCTGTTATTCTGTTGATAGTTTCTTTTGCTGTGCAGAAGCTCTTTAGTTTAATTAGATCCTATTTGTCATTTTTACTTTTGTTGCAATTGCTTTTGGGTTCTTCATCATAAAACATTTGCCAATTTCTTTGTCTAGATTGGTGTTGCCTAGCTTGTCTTCCAGGGTTTTTATAGCTTTTGCTTTTATATTTATGTCTTTCATTTATCTTTAGTTAATTTTTGTATATGTTATAAGGAAGGGGTCAAGTTTCGATATTCTGCAAATGGCTAGCCAGTTATCCCACCACCATTTATTGAATAGAAAGTCCTTTCCCCATTGTTTGTTTTTGTTAGCTTTGTCAAAGATCAGATGATTGTACGTGTGTGACCTTATTTCTGGGTTCTCAATTCTATTCCATTGGTCTATGTGCCTGATTTTGTACAAGTACCATGTTGTTTTGGTTATTGTAGCCATGCAGTAGAGTTTAAAGACAGGTACTATGAGGCCTCCAGCTTTGCTCTTTCTGCTTAGGATTACCTTGGCTAATCAGGCTCTTTTTTGGTTTCATATTAATTTTAAAACAATTTTTTTTTGAGATGGAGTTTCACTCTTGTTGCCCAGGCTGGAGTGCAATGGAGCAATGTTGGCTCACTGCAGCCTCCGCCTCCCAGGTTCAAGTGATTCTCCTGCCTCAGCCTCCCAAGTAGCTGGGATTACAGGCATGAGCCACTGCACCTGGCCAACAATTTTTTTTCTAGTTCTGTGAAGAATGTCATTAGTAGTTTGATAGAAATACAACTGAATCTATAAACTGCTTTGGGCAGTATGGACATTTTAATGATATTGATTTTTCCTACTCATGAGCATGGAATGTATTTCCATTTGTTTGTGTCATCTCTGATTTCCTTGAACAGTGTTTTGTATTTATCATTGTAGAGATCTTTCACCTCCCTCATTAGCTATATTCTTAGGCATTTTATTCTTATTGTGTCAATTGTGCATGGTATTGTATTGCATTCATGATTTGGCTATCAGTATGGCTATTGTTGGTGTATAGGAATGCTAATGATTTTTGTACATTGATTTTGTATCCTGAGACTTTGCTGAAGGTGTTTATCAGCTTAAGGATCTTTTGGCCTGACAGTATGGGTTTTTCTAGATATAGAATCATGTCATCTGCAATCAGGGATATTTTGACTTCCTTTCTTCCTATTTGGATGTCTTTCATTCTTTTCTCTTCCTTGATTATTTGGGCCATGACTTCCAATGGTATGTTAAATAGGAGTGGTGAGATGGCATCCTTGTCTTGTGTCAGTTTTCAAGAGGAATGCTTCCAGCTTTTGTCCATTCATTATGACTGTTGACTGTGGGTTTCCCACAGATGGCTCTTATTATTTTAAGGTATTTTCCCTCAATACCTATGTTGTTGTGAGTTTTAATATGAAGAAATGCTGAGTTTTAATGAAAACTTTTTCTGTATCTATTCAGATAATCATGCAGTTGTTGTACTTCTGTTTATGTGATGAATTGTGTCATTGATTTATATATGTTGAACAATCTTGCTTCCTAGGGATAAAATCTAATTTATTGTGGCAGATTCACTTTTTGATGTGCTTTGGTTTGCCAGTATTTTGTTGAGGACTTTGCATCAATGTTCATCAAGGATATTGACCTGAAGTTTCTTTCTTGTGGTGACTCTGACAGGATTTGGAATCAGGATAATGTTGGCTTCACAGAATGAATTGTGGAGGAGTTCCTCCTCTTCAGTTTTCTGGAATAGTTACAAGAGAAATGGTTCCAGTTCTTCTCTGTACATATTGTAGAATTTGGCTTTGAATCTGTCTTGTCCAGGGCTTTTCTGGGGGGTGTGGGCATGTGGTAGGCTATGACTGATTCAATTTAAGAGCTCATTATTGGTCTGTTCAGGAATGTAATTTCTTCCAGGTTCAGTCTTGGGAGGGTGTATATATCCAGGAATTTATCCAATTCTTCTAGATTTTTTAGTCTGTGTGCATAGAGGTATTCATAAGAGTCTTAGTAATGGTTGTTCTGTGGGGGCAGTGGTAATATCTCCTTTGTAATTTCTGATTGTGTTTATTTGGATTGTCTCTCTTTTCTTCTTTATTAGTCTAGCTGGTGGTCTATCTATCTTATAAATTTTTTCAAAAAATCTAGCTCCTGGCTTTGGTTGTCTTTTGAATGGTTTTTCATATCTCAAACTCCTTCAGTTTACTTCTCATTTTGGTTACTTCTTGTCACCTGCTAGCTTTGGGATTGGTTTGCTCTTGCTTCTCTAGTTCTTTTAGTTGTGCCGTTAGGTAGTTAATTTGAGATCTTTCTAATTTTTTGATGTCAGCATTTAGTGCTGTGAGTTTCCCTCTTAACCCTGCTTTAGCTTTGTCCCAGAGATTCTGGTATATCTTTATTCTCATTAGTTTCAAATACTTCTTGATTTCTGCCTTAATTTAATTATTTACCCAAAAGTAATTCAGGAGTAGATTGTTTAATTTCCATGTTATTCCATGGTTTTGAGTGATTTTTTTTTTAGTCTCAAATTCTATTTTTATTGTGCTGTGGTCCAAGAGAGTGGTTGGTATGATTTTGGTTTTTTGCATCTGTTGAGGATTTTTTAATGTCTAATCGTGTTGCAACTTTTAGAGTATGTGCCATCTACAGATGAAAAGAATATATATTCCATAGTTTTGGAGTAGAGAGTTCTGTAGATGTCTATCAAGTCCATTTGATCCAGTTTTGAGTTCAGGTCCTGAATATCTTAATTTTCTGCCTCGATGATCTGTCTAATACTGTCAGTGGTGTGTTAAAGTCTCCCATTATTATTATTATGTGAAAGTCTAAACTTCTTTGAAGGTCTCTAAAGAATTGTTTTATGAGTCTAGGTACTTCTGTGTTGGATGCATATATATTTAGAATAGTTAAGTCTTCTTGTTGAATTGAACCCTTTATCATGATGTGCTACCCTTTTTTGTCTTTTTTGTTCTTTGTTGGTTTAAATTCTAATTTTGTCTGAAATTACAATTGCAACCCATGCTTTTTTCTGTTTTCCATTTGCTTGGTTGATTTTTTTATCCCTTTATTTTAAGTCTATCAGTGTCACTGCATGTCACATGGCTTGCTTGAAGGCAGCATACACTGGGCCTTGCTTCTTTATCCAGCTTGCCACTCTGTGTCATTTAATTAAGGCATTTAGTCCACTTGCATTTAAGGTTAGTATTGATTATCTGTGGATTTGATGTCATTGTATTGTCAGTTGTTTGTTATGCCTACTTGTTTGTGGTTGCTTTATAGTGTCACTGGTCTGTTCATTTAAGTGTGTTTTTGTAGTGGCTGGTAATGGTCTTTCCTTTCCAGGTTTAATGCTTCATTCAGGAGCTCTTGTAAGGCAGGTCTGGTGGTAACTACTTTTTTCAGCATTTGTTCATGTGAAATGGATCTTATTTATCCTTTGGCCAGATATAAAATTCTGAGTTGAAATTTATTTTCTTTAAGAAGATTTAATATAGGCCCCCAATCTGTTTTGGCTTGTAGGGTTTCTGCTGAGAGGTCTGCTATTAATCTGATGGGCTTCTTTTTGTAAGTGATCTGTCACTTCTCTCTGATTCCCTTAATTTTTTTTGTTCTTGTTGTTTCGGCCTTAGACAATCTGATGTTTATGTGCCTTGGGGATAATCTTTTGAAATATTTTGTGGGAGTTCTCTGCATTTCCTCAATTTTAAGGTTGGCCTCTCTATCTAGGTTAGGAAAGTTCTCATGTATGCTAACCTAAAATATATTTTCCATGTTGCTTACACTCGTCTCATCTCTTTCAGGGATGCCAATGAGTTGTAGATTCAATCTCTTTACACAATCCTGTATTTCTCAGATGTTTTGTTCATTTCTTTTTATTCTTTTTTTAAAAAACTATTTTCTGACTGTCTTATTTCTGAAAGCCAGTCTTCAAGCTCACAGATTCTTTACTCAGTTTGGTGTATTCTGCTGTTAATACTTGCAATTTCATTAGGAAATACTTATAGAGTGTTTTTTAGTGCAGTAACATCAGTTACATTATTTTTTATACTGGCTATTTTTTTCTGTCAGCTCCTGTATCATTTTACTGTGATTCTTAGCTTCCTTAGATTGGGTTTCAACATTCCCCTGAATATTGATGATCTTCATTCCTGTTCATATTCTGATTTATATTTCTGTCATTTCAGCTATCTCAGTCTGGTTAAGAATTCTTGCTGTAGAATGAGTATGATCATTTGGAGGAAAGAAGGCACTCTGGCTTTTTGAGGTGTCAGAGTTCTTTTGCTGGGTCTTTCTCATCTTTGTGGGTTGATGTTTTATTCAGTCTTTGAAGTAGCTGTTTTTTGGTTAAGATTTTTCCTTTTTTCCTACTTGAAACCTTGAGGGTTTGGTTATGGTATAAGGTAGGTTCAGTCATCTGGTTTCATGACTGGAAGCTTTTAGGGGCCAAGTTTCATCTTAGGACTCCTGAACTGGGTGTTCTAACTCTGGGAGACTGATATCCAGCCCCAGATTTTATCTCTGCCCCCTCAAAGGTTAAGAACCTGCTGTGCTGGAGAGACCAAAGTGCTTTTGGACTTCTGGTCACAACATTCTCATGAGTGGTGTCAGACAAAGCACTTCATAGGGCAGTGGAAGCTGGATCCATCTTAATTCACATGTGGCAGCAATAGCATCAGTGGCAGCACAGGACAGGAGTGTTGCATGCTTTTTGGTAGTGACAGGGTGTTACTGTGTGCTTGGTTGGTGGCCTCTGTGCAGGCGTTCACAGCAGTGTTGATGGCAGTACAGCTCAGTGGGGGTAGGGATCCCCCACCAGTCATGGTGCACATGTTCATGCTGATGTCAGCATGGGGGTACCATGCTTGAGAGTGTAGTATTAGGTGCTCCCTCTTTGTGCACACTGGTGGCAGTAGCCACTCTGAGTGGGGGCAGGTCTGCTGTTTTCCATGCCTAGTTTCACACCAGCAGTAGAGTCGCTCCAGAAGTGGGCAATGGTTGGGGCAGGGTTGGCAGGCTCCATGCCTGCTAACTCTCCAAAAACAATGGCCATGCAGTGTAGGTGGGTGTGTGTGCACTCACTTCTGCAACAGTGACACAGCAGGGTGCATGTGCACTCCAGCACTGGCAGAGTGTGCTAGGTCTTTCCATGCACATACATGCTGCCAAAGCAATGGGGGAAGCTGGTTGTGAGTGAGTGGCTGCAGGGAAAGTGGCATGGGGGAGGCTGCAGTAGGGGAGGGAAAGGGTGGACTGGTGCACGTCTGTGGGGTCAACCTATTGGAGCACTCTGCCTGTCAGACACAATCTGCCTGCACAGGAGCTATGATATGGGCCCCCAAAGTTACCTGGGGGCTGCACTATAAGAAGACACAGCCAGGCTGGGGACTCAGAAGAGGCAAGCAGACTGAGGGGTGTTGGGGCGGGGGAGGTGCCCCGACTCATGGACACCACCACCATGCAGAGTTCAGGACCAACACTTTGCTTAGGGCAAAAATCTCCCATGGGAGCATGTGGAGCCTTGGGGGATGGAATCCCTGGCCATGCTCCACTACAGATGCGCCCACACCAAAGCCTCTGGGCTCTGCACTGGCTGGAGTTCTGTCCCCTACCACTTCTCTAAGCAGCTTTCTCTGCCAACTCAAGTGTCCATAGTCATAGAGGGGTCTCCGCCTGCCAGGATTCCAGAGGTCTTTGGGGAAAGTGGGTTGCTCCTTGGCAGTTCAAGTAATTGGCTGCCTCAGTCACTGGGGGCTGGGAATGAGTCCCTGTGCATGGTAGCCCCTTGCAGGATTCCCAGCTTCCTCCTGCTTCGGGCTAGCTTCTGTGTCTTTCCTCCATCTACTCTCAGTGCCTTCCCCTCTGAAGATCTGTTAGGAGTGCACCAGTCATCCCCATCCCTCTGTGGCAGCTGTTCCACTTGGCTAAGTCTAGTCAGCCATCTTGATCAAATCCACCAGAAAACTCTATAAAAATCTATGCTGAGTAATTACGATAGGATCCTTGATTCTGGCAATCCCACTTTTAGGTATTTATTCAAAAGAAATGACAACATATGTCCATACAAATACCTGTACACATATGTTCATTATAACTTTATTGTAACAGCCAAATACCCCAGCAGCCAGCCCCCAACCAGTACCAGGGACCACCCAAACTCCCGTTTTTGATTTTTGATACATACTTTCATCGAAATGTTGGTAAAATAAACATGGTGTCTCTAGTGGGATAAAACTTTCACACAATGTATAGATATGTATGTGTGTATATATATATATACACACATACATATTCATATTTATACATATATGCTTTTTATGTATACATAAAAGATCTTTACAAAAACAAGTAAAAATTGACATAACTATTTTAAAATAAAACTAAGAAAAGCAAAATATAATAAATAAAAACATGGATTATCATAAGTGATTATTTCATTACAAAATATTTTAAATTGGGTATATTAAAATTGCAAGATGAAATTTTTTCTACTTTGATAGAGTAACTGGTAGTGGACTTGCCCTCCTTTCAGAAAAAATTACAACACTGGAAAATACAGATAAAATACTGTTTGCAGATATTGGCAAACATGCAGCACAGAACTGTAATCAGTGAAGAAGGGTTAAAAGAAGGTAAGCACCACAATATCCCAAACAGAGAAATAGGAAAGGTAAACTCAGGTAAATACCAGTAATCTCCCTGGATTGAAAAGATCAGAATTAAAATTCTGGAAAGTTTAGATAAACTTTGGAATTTGTAGAGTACCGGAGTTGAAGGAATAGCACAGAGAAAGAGCTTCACAAGTCTGAATAGAAAAGCCGTTGAGTTTTTCCTCAATAAAAAGCTGTGCATGCATAAGGTGAAATTCCACAAGTTAAAACAGACAACAGCTGGAAAGTCCTGACTTGAATAATTTCCAGAAATTACAAAGGGTGGGAAGACATTTAAAGTCTAACCAATAGGTTGAAAAACTCATTTAATCCTTCTCTACGGAAAAATCTGTCAGACTTTATCTGACCAATCAGGTTGATAGATTTTTCTGTAGCGAAGGATTAAACTGATCTATAAGTAATATAGCTGCCTGTCTAAATATAATTCAAATCTTGCTAATGTAGGACAACAAATATAGACACTCAATACCATAATATTCACAGATACCTACTATACAGTGAAAAATTATTAGATATGCAAAGAAGCCAAAAATTATGACCCATAAAATGATGGATAAACATATGCCATGCTAACAACAGCAAGAAGAAAGATGTAGTAACTATATTAATTTCAGACAAGGCAGATTTGAGAATAAGGAAAAATATTCAAAGTAAAGAAGGGCATTACATAATGAGAAAGGAATCAATTCTCCAAAAGATATAAAAATTCTTAATATGTATGTGCTTAACAATGAGCATTGAATATGTGAAAAAAGAAGTGACAGAAATGAAAGGAGAAATAGAAAAATCTACTTTCATATAGTTGGAGATTTCAACACACTCCACTATCATTATGACAGATTCAGAATTCATAAAATCAGTATGGCCATATTTGAACAGAATAGTATCTTTAATAAACTAAATCTAACGGACATTTATAGAAAAATTTATTCAAAAACAGAAAAACAAACATTTTTCTTAAGCTTATATTAAACATTTACCAACTTAGAAAGTATTCTGGGCCATAAAACTCACCTTAATTAATTTAAATTAATAGCAATCATACAAAGTATGCTTTCAGACCATAATAAAATGAAACTAGAAATCAGTGACTGAAAGTTACATGGAAAACATCCAAAATACTTGGAGAGTAAACGACACACTTTAAAATAACATATATATCTAATAAGAAGGGTGAAGACAATTTTAGAAAATATTTTTAAATATCTCAAATGGAAATTATTGACTTTTGTAGAATAGAACCAAGGCAGTACTTAGAGGGAAATGTATAGCATTTAATGCATATACTACAAAAGAAGACAGAACTATAATCAGCAATCAAATTTCCAATTTAGAAAACTAGGGAAATAGCAAATTAAATCCAAAGCATGCAGAAGAAAAGTCAACATTAGAAATTATAAAAAGAGCAGAAATCAATGAAATTGAAAACAGGAACCCAGCCAACAAAATAAAAATTATGAGATTTTGATCCTGTCATCATGTTGTTAGCTGGTTTCTTGTTTTCAATTTCATTGATTTCTATTATTTCTAATGTTTACTTTTGTATACCCAGGGGAATATAAGTTGTTCTATTACAAAGACACATGCAAGCATACGTTCATTACAGCACTATTCACAACAGCAAAGACACGGAATCAACCTAAATGTCCATCAATAATAGACTGAATAAAGTGTGTTACGTATATACCATGGAATACTATGTGTGTGTGTGTGTGTTTTTTTTATAGGATTAAAAAAGAATGAGATCATGCCCTTTGCAGGGACAGGGATGGAGCTGGAGGCCATTATTCTTAGCAAACTAACACAGGAACAAAAAAACAAATATCACATGTTCTCACTTACAAGTGGGAGCTAACTGATGAGAACACATGGACAAATAAAGAGGAACAACACACACGGAGAGTAGAAGATGGTAGGAGGGAGATAATCAGGAAATATCAGTAATGATTATTGGCCTTAATACCTGGATGATGAAGTAATCTGTAGAACACACCTTTATGACACAAGTTTACCTATATAACAAACCTGCAAATGTACCCCTGAACTTAAAACAAAAGTTAAAAAATAAATATGAACCCGGAATGGAAATGGTCGAAATGCCTGACTTAAATCGCATAGAGTGAAAAGCTGGATTAAAAGACAAGACTTAACTGTCTGTTATCTTTATGAAACCCATCTCACAGGTAATGACACCAACAGGCTCAAAGAAAAGAAATGAAGAAAGATCTTCTATGCAAATTAAAAACAAAGAAGAGCAGGAGTCACTATTGCTATGTCAGATAAAGCAGACTTTAAATCAACAACAATTAAGAACAACAAAGACATTACTTAATTACAAAGGTTTTAATTCAACAAGAATACTTAACTATCTTAAATATATCTGTACTCAGCCTTGGAGCACCCAGACTCATAAAAGAATTTTTTTTTTATTTACAAAAAGCCTAAACACACACACACAGTGTTGGAGACTTCAACACCCCACTGACAGCATTAGACAGATCATCAAGGTGGAAATTCTGAAATTAAACTTTACACTTGACCAACTGGACCTAATAAACATCTACAGAACTCCAGCCAATAACTACAGAATATGCATTATTTTCATCTGCATACAGAACATATTCTAAGATTAACCACCTGTTTGGTTATAAAGCAAGTCTCAAAAATTTACAATATTGAAATCATATCAAGCATACTCTTGACCGCAGTGCAATAAAAATAGAAATCAATATCAAGAACATCTCTCAAAACTACACAGATACATGGAATATAAACAACTTGCTCCTGAATAACTCTTGGGTGAACAACAAAATTAAGGCAGAAGTAAAAAAAAATAAAATAAATGAAAACAGAGACAAAAATTAACAAATCTTCGAGATACAGCTAAAGCAATGTTAAGTGGAAAATTTACAGTGCCAAATGCCTTCATTAAAAAGTTAGAAAGATCTCAAATTAATAACCTAACACTGCACCTAGAGAAACTAGAAAAAAAAGAAACTAATCAGCTCCAAAGCTAGCAGAAGAAAAGAAATAACTAAAATTAGAGAACTTAATAAAATTGAGATACAATAATCCATAAAAAGATCAATAAAACTGAGTTGTTTCTGCAAAAAACAAATGAGATTGATAGACCAAACATAAGATTGATAGACTAACAAAGTAAAAAAAAAAAGAGAGAGAAGATTCAAATAATCCCTTGCATCAGTGTGTCCTAGATAAGGAACATGGAGTCTAAAGAGATTATTTTGGATCTTTAAGATTTAATGACTGCCCTGCTGTGTTTGGGACTCACATGGGGCCTGTAGCCCCTCTGTTTTGGCTGATTTCTCCCTTTTGGAATGGGAATATTTACCCAATGCCTGTATCCTCATTGTATCTTGGAAGTAACCAACTTATTTTTTATTTTACAGCCTCATAGGTAGAAGGAACTAGGCTCATCTCAGATGAGATTTTGGACTTTTGAGTTAATGATGAAATGAGTTAAGACTTTTGGAGGACTGTTTGGAAGACATGATTATATTTTGCAATGTGAGAAAGATGAGATTTTGGAGGGGGCAGGGGCAGAATGATATGGTTTGGCTCTGTGTCCCACCGAAATCTTATGTTTAATTGTAATCCCCAATGTTGGCCCAGCACGGTGGCTCAAGCCTGTAATCCCAGCACTTTGGGAGGTCGAGGCAGGCAGATCACTTGAGGTCAGGAGTTTGAGACCACCTTGACCAAAATGGTGAAACCCTGTCTCTACTAAAAATGCAAAAATTAGCTGGGTGTAGTAGCGAACGTCTATAGTCCCAGCTACTCAGGAGGCTGAGGCAGGAGAATCACTTGACCCTGGGAAATGGAGGTTGCAGTGAGCCAAGATCGTGCCACCGAACTCCAGCCTAGGTGACAGAGTGAGACTCCGTCTCAAAACAAAACAAAATCCCCCATGTTGGAGATGGGGCCTGGTGGGTAGTGATTAAATCATGGGGGCAGATTTCTTGTTGGTGCTGTTCTCATGATAGTGACTGAATTCTCACGATATCTGGTTGTTTAAAAGTGTGTGGCACCTCCCCTTCTCTCTCTTCCTCTATCTCCAGCCATGTGAAGGGCTGCCTCCCCCTTCACCTTCTATCTTGATTGTAAGTTCCCTGAGGCCTCCCCAAAAGCTGATGCCACCATGCTTTCTGTACAGCCTGTGGATCCATAAGCCAATTAAACCTCTAGTTTTTGTAAATTACCCAGTCTCAGGTAGTTCTTTACAGCAATGAGAGAAGGGACTAATACAAGAATGGAAGAGACAAAACCACGAGAGTTCCTCTATATCACTCACCATGTTTTGTAGCACACTGCATACTTTTATCATATCAGTTATTGCTCTGTATTGTAACATGGGGTTTGCCTATCTGTTTGATTCATGGTGTTTTAGGTCAAGGTGTGGTATGGATTTCTAGTGTGCAGTAATATCTAATGGAGTTTTCGCTCCCTTCAGGTACACAGGATAATTATACTTTCCTTTATCCTTAGGCTGGAGATGGTGCCACAGTTATGGCTAATTGGTTTAAAAAAATCAGTTCCAGTCTTTTCTTCCCCTGACATGTTATCACATATACGTATTCTAAATGGTGTAGCTTCAAGAGAGTGAAAAGTCTATCAGCCTCTGTCCCTGGGTGATTGTGCAGAGCCTCCGAAATTTGGCAGCTTCTGTAACTGCAGCATAGCCCAACCTACTTGGATGAATAAAAAAAAAATTAACCTTACTTTCTTTGTAGGTGTGGAAACAGTAAAATAAAATAAGACATTTTAATATAGCTTGGAAGGATGGTAACCATATTATACAATGACAAGACATTTGGAATAACTGTCATGTTTCACAAATTATTCATCAGAACATGGAACAAATGAACTTGTAGCCAAAAAGAAGTTAGAAAGCAAAGTAAAAAATGAAAATGTTATTAGGCTGGTGCGAAAGTAATTGTGTTTTTTGCAACAATTTCATTGCAAAAACCTCAATTACTTTTGCGCCAACCTAATGGTAATTGTGTTAGTTGTTATTTGTTGTGTTTGGCATAGTATTATAAGTGAAAGAAGAACTCTGAAAATAATTGGTTAGTTTCAAAGCGAATAATAATAATGGAAATAGAAAAGTCCAGAAATTCTAGACCTTCCAGTGTTTAAAAGACTACTTCTGAGCTCCAAATATAAAAGATAAGAGTGATAAGACTTTAAGGAATGAATGCCCAATAAAACCTTTAATCTGATTTAAATTTCCTCTGGGAAAAGTTTTCTTAAGAGTGTGGCACCTAATAAAAACTTTTAATTTAATAAAGTAACTCAGAACAAAAATCCCATTAAGTGTGTGGCCTTCCAAGAGACCGTACTAACAGCCTCATCTCAAGGCAGTCCCCATTAAATTGAGGGAGAGAAGGGAGGTTCACAAAGTGTCTCTCTCTCTCTGTCTCTCTCTCTCTCTATATATATGTGATATATTATATATAATAAAACTAAAGATAAATATGTAATATATAAATATATAACAAATAATAAAATGAAAATATATAGCATAGTGTAATCCATAATATTTTTATAATTTATATAATATTGGAGAATATAACTTGAAAAGAACTGGAGCTATAGCTACTGATTTTTTTGCCATAAGAATATGTTTATTTTGGAAGTGATTTTAATTCTTTAGCCACAATGTCCCTATATTTTTACATTACCCCTTATTTTTCCATACTATTTATACATTAGATACAGAATTTGTTAGAAGTTAAAAGGGAAAAACACATTCTTTTGCTGAACAATAGCTCATTATATTTAACTTAAAAATTATTAGCTTGTTGAATATCAAAACTTGAAGCTGCTGGGAATCACATTTATTTTTAGGTTCCAAAATAGTTCTGAGTTCTCAGTAGGAAACCATCTTTTATAAACTATAACAAAACTCTCATCTCAAAATTAAATACTATAAATTGACACAACTATATCTATATTGAATGTCTTTATAATATCCAGAAACCTACTGGCTTTTTAGAAATACAATGAAAATAGATTTACATTCTGGCTTTATAAATCAATTTTTATTTTAGAAAATTTTAAACATATAGAGAATACTATATGAAACAGCACATATTCAACATCTTTAATATCATTTAACCAATAATGTTCTAGTATATATCTCTAAAATTCACACCTAAAGAAAACACAGAAAACATGTTTATCACATATTAACATTTAATAATAATTTCTACAATAAAGTATCACTGAGCCTATTTCTCCAATTTCTTCATAAACATTTTTTACAGATGTTTTTTCAAATCAGAATCCAAAGAGGCTCTGCACATGCCATATTCCTGGAGTGTTTCCTAAGTGTACTTGACTCTATATGTTCACTGTATTTGTTGGAAAAAGTCACTGGTAGTCCTGAGATCAGCAGGGATCAGCATCATCTGGGAACTTGTTAGAAATTAAGTTCTCAGGAAACACCCCAAACCTATTGAACCTGAAACTCTAGAGTTAAGAGCCCAGCAATATGCTGATGCATGCTAAAGTTTAAAACCTACTACTATAGTTCTACACACTCAAGATTTTATAGATTGTATTTTCATGATACCATCTAATATGTTGATCTATCTCCCGTATGTCATACAGATTGTGGTTCTCAGGTACAATTGTTTGGTAATGAAAATTCATATATAGTGGGTTTCTTTAACTTTCCATAGAATCATATACAAAGATTCATAATGTCCTGTTGTCTCCTTTTACAGTGATAAAAAGTTTGATCAGTAAGTCAAGTGTGCCAGCTTCATTCATCAATTCATTATTAAATTATCCATTAGCTTTTCACATAATAGTTTCAGCATCCATTTATGATCATTTCTCAAATCTGTGATTTCACTAGAATTTGCAAAATGGGACTATACTAATTCTTTCAATTTGTTATTTGTTAGCAAAAGTAATTTTTAGAAACGTTTTGCACTGTTTGGTTACCCTGAGGAACAATTTGTACAAGAGAAGCAGGAAAACTGCCTGACTCTTTCCTTTGCCAGTTTCCAAAACTGGTTCCACAGAAACCTGCAAACTGAAGTTGTTTTTTTAAATCAACATAATTAATTCATGAATTTGCAATACATTTTATGTGTTTCTATCCACTGCAGTTATTATTACTTTTGATGCTCATATTATCTGAACTTTGGCTAGCAGGAAACTCTTTAGGCATCTGAATCCTTTTAACATGATGCAAATCATTTCTTTTTATAGCTTCCCTGTTTTCTGGCATGACAACATGCTCCAGGCTCATTTTGTACATTTTGTTCACCACACCTTTTTTTTTTATTATTTCTCCAAGACTCTCTGGTTGCCTTAATTGGAAAAATCACAGAGTTCATCATTGCAAATTTAGGGCAACTCATCACATATATGTTTGTCTTTTTTTTTTTTCACAGTAGAAATCAAGAAAATAGATTTATAGATTTTAGAATTTATATCATAAATTCTTACTGATATTTTCCATTTAAAATTAGGAGTTCAGAGTATAAGTATCTGTTTAATTATACTGAAAGTCTTAGCTTCCAATGACATTAACACAAATATTTATTTGCTTTCTCTGGCAATATCTACAGAAAAGTTTCCGAATAAAATGATCAATATTGTTAGTAAAAATATAATCACAAGTCAGTTTAATGTTTCTTTGCATTTTCTTTTGTCCTTAGGATAATCCCTACTAAGGATACGTAGATAATTCATTTTAAAGTCATTTGAAATAATTATCTGTGAGTATAGGCCTCCAACGAGATACACAGTTCAGATGATATAATTTTTGTATTTTATTTTTAAGTACTGATGTTTCATTTTGATTTCATTTTGTTTATAATGTGTAAGACATTTATATACTACCAAAGTCAAATGTATAAGCATGGTAAACTGTCTTCCATTTCCATCCCCTACACCCTGTCCCTACCACTTTTTATTTAGGTGAACTTTTTGCTAATTTATTTTAGTATTACCTTATTTTTTGTAAAGAAAAAATAAACAAATATGTATAGATATAGATATGCCCATCTTTCTTAAGTGCAAGTTAGCAAACTGTACAAATTGTTATGCATGTGCCCTTTCTCACTTCGTAACGTGTTTTGGATGTCATTCCATAATAGTATACAGAAGTCTTCCTTATTTCTTTTTACATTTGCACAGTATTTAATTGTTTGGCTGCTCAATTGTTTTCTTAAACAGTCCCCTGTTACTGGACATTCAGATTGTTTCCAGTTGTTTGCAGTGACAAAACTAGTGCTGTAAGCAATAATTATGTGTATACATACTTTTATATTTTTTGCTAGATGGCTTTGAGATAGATTCTTAGAAGTGGACTCAGAGTCAAAAGTAAATAAACGTGTTTGGCCATTGTGATGGTTAATATTAAGTGTCAACTTGATTGGATTGAAGGATGCAAAGTATTGTTTCTGGGTGTTGCCAGGATAGATTAACATTTGCATCAGTGGGCTGGGAGAGCAAGATTCACTCTTACTCAGGAAAACACACCCACAATGTGGGTGGGCACCATTCAATTGCCTGCCAGTGTGGCTAGAAAAAGCAGGAGAAGAAGGTGGAAGAAGCTGACTTGCTGAGTCTTCCAGCCTTCATCTTTCTTCTGTGCTGGATGCTTCCTACTCTTAAACGTAAGAGTCCAAGTTAGTTGGCTTTTGGACTCTTGAACTTATACTAGTGGCTTGCCAGGGGCTCTCAGACCTTCAGACACAGACTGGAGGCTGCATTGCTAGCTTCCCTACTTTTGAGATTCTGGGACTTGGACATAGCCACTACTGGCTTCCTTGCTGCTCAACTTGCAGACAGCCTATTATGGGACGTCACCTTGTTACTGTGTGAGTCATGTCTCCTCATAAACTCCCTTTCATATATACATGTATCCTGTTAGTTCTGTCCCTCTAGACAACCCTAATAAAGCCATCCTACAAAAATGTGATGGACCCTCACCCAAAATTTGGTTTGGATATCAAGGCTGATGGTGCCACATATGCACCAAGAGGGTATAAAAAGTTCTATTACTCACACAATGAGTTTTTCTGAGAAGAACAGGGCAATGTCTCAAACTTAAATAAGGATGGCTTGAGAAAGTGGAGAAAGGAGACCATTTTGTTTTTTATGGTAGCTGGGAGTGGGGTTAGGGAAAGAACTACTGCGTAGGGGTTAGCACTTGTGTGTTTTGAACTTCCTACTGACACCAAAGGTAAGAGCATCGAGGCTTCCTCATCAGCTTGCCCAGATGTGTGTGGAAGGGCAAGTGGGAGTTGTTGGGCTTAAAAGTTGTCTGCTGTCCATTACAAAAACTTGAGTCAGACCCTTTTTGTTAGATCTTGACAAATTCTACTCCAAAGTGGTTGTACCCTTTTGTAGTGCCGGATTGCCTATTTTTTCCATAGCTTTGCCCCCAAAAAACAAAACAAACAAACAAACAAACAAACAAAACTATGTGGTCAAGCTTTTGAATTGTTAATAATCTGATAAGTGAGAAATGGAATGACCATGTAATTTTAATGTTAATGTATTCTGTTAGCTTGTATACATTTTTATATGTTTAAGCCGTGGCTAATATGCCCTTATCTTATGCCTATTTTCTATAAGGCTATTACTGTTTTCTTCTCTTTTTTTACAAGCTCTTTGTATATTATTGACACTGTTTTTCTGTTATATAACTTACATAATTTTTTAATTTATTTTTTTGCTGATGGTGCTTTCTTTCTGACGAAAGATTTTTTAATTAAATGTTATCAAACTTACTAGTATTTTCTCTTACAGAATCTGAATTTTGGTCTCTATTAAGAAAATAACTCTTCTAAATTTGCATCTGAGGTTATTATATATTTTTATGTACTTTATTCATCCATTAGGAATTCTATATTGTCTCTATTAATCTCCTCCTAGACATATCTATGCATTTTAACACTGTTTAAATAATAACACATAAAACTAAAAGTGGAGTTGTCCAGTCTTCATAATAAAATCTACCAATTACTTTGGTAAAATGGGTCTACAAATCAGGTAGAGCTCAGCAATAATAAGAAAACTGATTAATCGTGCCCATCTGACTCATTTTACGTTAAACCTAATGGTTTATTTAACTGACAGCTAGTGTCTCCTTTTAGGATGATTTGAACAGTAATTTAGTGTAATTTGAGCTTGAGAAGGTACTGATGATATAACAGAAAGATCTGGGTTCATCAATTGGTAGCTATATTTAAGGATGATTTCATGGTATTCCAAAATTCTGTACTTTTGGGGGATTTTGTTGCCTAAAGTGAATGTGGTATAAAGAAGCTGTCATTAAATCCTAATGATTCAAGGAAACCCAATCTTATATAACTTGCCAAGGAATACATAGCCAAATAGTATTCAATCTCTGAGGAAAAACAGCTGTGTTTTGACATTTTGCATAAACTTTGAAAGTAAAACAAAAAATATTTGCTTAAACTGTCCTTTCAGATGCTCAGAGTACTTATTGTTTCAAAAGTTTTTTTCTAAAACATGATGCTGTGTGTTCTTTTGCTTTAAAGCAGGCATTTGGTAATTTTGACATGGTATTATAAAAATTTACTTTTGAGTCACCTAGCTTCAGAAATCTAAACAATTTACATCTGAAAAACACACTTACACAAGTGAAGTGAGTTACATTACAACAAACCTTTTCTACTAGCATTCCCTTTTAAGAGCAAGAAAAAAAATGAAGTTTGGCAACATGATTTAACAGCTGCATATAGTATTTATGATAAAGAAATCACATAGCAGATTTTCAGTTACCCACAGAAGGAGGTCCAAGGAGAGCACACAATTAAGCTACACAGATAATCATCTCAACCATGAGTTTCAACCATCTGAGCTGTCAGTAATTAGCCAATTTTTATTTCACTACTACCCTGACTATTCTCCCCAGGAACATTACAAGAGATATTCAATAATGAGGAACAACAGTGAATTATTAGTAACATGAAATATTCCATATTCTGAATGAATATTGTATATTAATTCTTAAATGAGAAACATGATATATCAATGAACAACAAGAGATAGAAATTGTTGACAGGACAAAGTTAATATAAACACTTTGCTTGAAGGATAGAAAGGAGCTTATGTGGGATGGAGCAGCGTACTCAAAGGACAAATAGCTAAACATTCTCATAATTTCTTCCACAATAAAATAATGCAATCTTTCCATGAACACACTTTATTTTCTATGTTTCCATAGCCTAAACGCTTTATTTGAAACGGCCATTGATGTATGAAGACTCGGAAGTAATCATGTGACTATTATAATTTATAGCAAATGTTGAATGGACAGTTTTAAAAAACTTTGTAGTGTTTTTGTGATCCATAATATATGGCTATCTTCAAAGTTAGCAATTACTTCTTGCACTTTTTTTCTGCTTGTGAAGACTTCAAATTGATCCTTTTTCTAATATTTAGTTCATCTCCCAAATAATTACTTAACTTTTATCAGCAGCATCTTTTTTGTCTTAATTGGTTCATGATACTATGTCAAAAAGTGATTTAAAAATCTTTCAGTGTCAGAAATGTAATAAGGAGGGGTGGAAATTACGCTAAACTGTATTTTACTACAAAGATCATAGTTTCATTTCCAAAATACCATTGCTGCTCTGCTGCAGTTAATTATTTCCATTCAAAAATGTAAGGCCAAGCTTTTGATTTGTGTCAAGCTTTTGAATTGTTAATAATCTGATAAGTGAGAGATGGAATCACCATGCAATTCTAATGTTAATGTATTTTGTGAGGTTGTATACATTTTCATATGTTTAAGCTGTGGCTAATATGCTCTTATGCCTATTTTCCTATAAGGCTATTGCTGTTTTCTTCTTTTTTTACAAGCTCTTTGTATATTATCAATATTAACTATTTTTCTATTATATAACTAACATGATTTTTAAATTTTTTTTGCTGATGGTGTTTTCTTTCTGACAAAAGATTTCTTAAATGTTATCAAACTTATTAATATTTTCTCTTACAGAATCTGAATTTTAAGAAGAAAATATTCATTTCTCACAGGTAATAGGTTAAATCATCCTTGCCTTCTTCTACTACTGGTATTGTGTTTCACTTAACTTTTCAATCTTTTCAACCTCTGATCTGCTTGAAACACATCAAGGTGTGTGGTGTGAGGAACAGATCAAATTTTGACTTTTGTGTTTTGCTGCTGTGTAGTTCCAACATCACTAATTTAAAAAGCCCATCTTTTCTCCTAATTGTTGTGAGATGTCATATTTGTCATATATAACTTTTTTTTTTATTTCTTGACTGTTTTTTTCTGTTCCACTGATCCATGTATCTATGTATATGCAAATACTCCACTGATTTAATAAAAGAAACATGATAATATATTTTGACATTTGGTAGGATTTACCCTCCTATCAACATTGCTATTTTTCAAGGTCCTCCTAAATATTCTTACTTGTTGGTTTTATCAAATGAATCCTAAAACCTAGGCTCATAAAAATGCTTGATGGCATTTTTATTGGAATAGTCTCACATTTAGGTAACTCAAGGAAAATTGACATAATAATGTTGATTCTTTATTTTCAAGACCACAGTATTCTACTAATTTTGAAAACATTTGTACCACTAAAGATATCAGAAACTGCCTTTGCAAAAATTATAACTGAGACAATTTTTACAGTGAAAGAGATATGACCTAACTGACTCCACCTAGCTTCGAACCTTAAAGTTGTCCTTCATTCTTGGGAGTAGGCCAAACTATCTTTGGGAGAAACTTAGTTTATGGTTTAGAAACAAAGACAATAATAGCCCTTTCCCAAAACAAATTCCCTTCCTGCCTGGGGACTACACTGCCTTTGCAAGACTAACAAATTAGTCACAAAATTAGAAATTATGGTTTAGGAATCATGTAGCTGGAGGCTGCAAGATTCTTAACCTCCCCAAATTGCTCCTGGAGATAACATCACTATTGTGAAATGTAAGATCACTGCTTGACATATTTTGCAGACTTTGCATTCGATGTACCAGCAGGCACTATCCAGATTAATCAACTAGCTCGTCTGGTCTTGTGGCCCCTCATCCAGGAACTGACTCAGGTCAAGAGGACAGCTTTAACTCCCTAAGATTTCATCTCCAACCTGACCAGTCAGAACTCCCGTCAAACTATCTTCAAAAATTCCAGTCCCTGAATTCTCAGGGAGACTGATTTGAGTAATAATAAAACTTTGGTTTCCTACACAGCTGGCTCTGTGTGAATTACTCTTTCTTTCTTGCAGCTCCCCTGTCTTAATAAATCAGCTCCGTCTAGACAGTGGGCAAGGTGAATCTGTTGGGTGGTTACAAGACTATTTAAGTCCTCACTTTATGTCTTTGATAGGTTCATGGAAACAGCTACATTAAATGAAACAACGTATATAACAAAACCATTTTCTTCTCTTCATCATTATGTTATTCAAGGACCTGCTGTATGTTGCGTCACTTAATGTTGCAGTTTCCAAGAACCTATCCATGATATTGACAACATACATTACATACAAAGCATGGAGTTTAACATGAAGAGTGTGTGTTCTACATGAGGGAAGGAGAAAGAACCACACATTTGGTAACAACAAGACGGCAATCCTGCATGAACTTCTGTGGCCACCTACATTCCGTTTTCCTCTATTTCTGGGAACACAGGGGAATTTTTTTTCCATCTCTTGCAGTTTAGTGGGGTTATCTGCTACGACGACATGAGCATGTATTTTGACTAATACATAGGAACTGTATATTTTCTTTTTTATAACTCTGGTGCCCTGTACATTGTATAGACAATTAGAAAATATGTATTAAAAGAATAAAAGTAATCATATTAGAAATTCCAGCAGTATTATCCCATGGACTCACATAATTTTTCCATTGTAAATACAGTTAAATATTCAAAGTTGTATTATATATTAGTTTTTCATTAACCTACAATTTTCTTAACACTTCTAAATTTGAATCTGAGATTATTATACATTTTTCTGTACTTTATTCATCCATTAGGAATTCTATATTGTCTCTATTAATCTCTTCCTAGTCATATCTATGCATGTTAACACTGTTTAAATAAAATAACACATAAAACTAAAAGTGGAGTTGTCCAGTCTTCATAATAAAATCTACCAATTACTTTGGTAAAATGGGTCTAGAAATCAGGTAGAGCTCAGCAATAATAAGAAAACTGATTAATCATGCCCATCTGACTCATTTTACGTTAAACCTAATGGTTTATTTAACTGACAGCTAGTGTCTCCTTTTAGGATGATTTGAACAGTAATTTAGTGTAATTTGAGCTTGAGAAGGTACTGATGATATAACAGAAAGATCTGGGTTCATCAATTGGTAGCTATATTTAAGGAAAGATGATTTCATGGCATTCCTAAATTCTGTACTTTTGGGGGATTTTGTTGCCTAAAGTGAATGTGGTATAAAGAAGTTGTCATTAAATCCTAATGATTCAAGGAAACCCAATCTTATATAACTTGCCAAGGAATACATAGCCAAATAGTATTCAATCTCTGAGGAAAAACAGCTGTGTTTTGATGTTTTGCATAAATTTTCAAAGTAAAAAAATTTGCTTAAACTGTCCTTTTAGGTGCTCAGAGTACTTATTGTTTCAAAAGTTTTTTTTCTGAAACATGATGCAGTATGTTCTATTGCTTTAAAGCAGGCATTTGGTAATTTTGTTAAGGTATTATAAAAATCTACTTTTGAGTCACCTAGCTTCAGAAATCACCTAAACAGTTTACATCTGAAAAACACACTTACACAAGTGAAGTGAGTTACATTACAACAAACCTTTTCTACTAGCATTCCCTTTTAAGAGCAAGAAAAAAAATGAAGTTTGGCAACATGATTTAACAGCTGCATATAGTATTTATGCTAAAGAAATCACATAGCAGATTTTCAATTACCCACAGAAGGAGGTCCAAGGAGAGCACACAATTAAGCTACACAGATAATCATCTCAACCATGAGTTTCAACCATCTGAGCTGTCAGTAATTAGCCAATTTTTATTTCACTACTACCCTGGTTATTCTCCCCAGGAACATTACAAGAGATATTCAATGATGAGGAACAATAATAACACGAAATATTCCATATACTGAAAGAATACTGCATATTAATTCTTCTTAAATGAGAAACATGATATATCAATGAACAACAAGAGATAGAAATTGTTGATAGGACAAAGTTAATATAAACATTTTGCTTGAAGGATAGAAAGGAGCTTATGTGAGACGGAGCAGCATACTCAAAGGACAAATAGCTAAACATTCCCGTAATTTCTTCCACAATAAAATAATGCAATCTTTTCATAAACACACTTTATTTTCTATGTTTCTAAAGCCTAAAAGCATTATTTGAAACGGCCATTGACGTATGAAGACTCGGAAGTAATCATGTGACTCTTATAATTTATAGCAAATGTTGAATGGACAGTTTTAAAAAATTTTGTAGTGTTTTTGTGATCCATAATATATGGCTATCTTCAAAGTTAGCAATACTTCTTGCAGTTTTTTTCTGCTTGTGAAGACTTCAAATTGATTCTTTTTCTAATATTTAGTTCATCCCCCAAATAACTACTTAACTTTTATCAGCAGCATCTTTTTATCTTAATTGGTTCATGATACTATGCCGAAAAGTGATTTAAAAATCTTTCAGTGTCAGAAATGTAACAAGGAGGGGTGGAAATTATGCTAAACTGTATTTTACTACAAAGATCATGGTTTCATTTCCAAAGTGCCACTTCTGCTCTGCTGCAGTTAATTATTTCCATTCAAAAATGTAAGGGCAGGATTACCACATATTCCGTTATTTCTAAAAGAAGCCACTAATAGCATGATTTTAATGGTTACGAAGATTAATATTTTTATCATCTTTGTGTTCTTTATACTTAAAGAGCAAAATTGCATAGTACAGATAATCTATCCCTTAAATGTGTAATTAAACTTTTCGTGTGGACACATAGTTTCACACTTTGGTTCAATAACTAATTACATATTTAAACTTGCCCTTTCTCATCGTTAATGCCACATGCTGACCACAAAGACAATACCCGTTTACTAAGAAAATTTTGTTTGACACAGTAATACCATTTACCTTGCTTTGAAATACAATTTCTCATTGTTCTGCTATACTCTTTTTTTTTTTTGCATCGTACCCCAAAAACTGGAAACATTTCTCAACGGTTTCCATTAAAAACAGAAAAAGAAATAATTAGCTCATATTTATATGAAATAGATAATTCATAAATTCTATAAGACACTCAGAACAAACACTATGATGCTAGCAGAAGAAGCAAGCATAAAATAAGTACAATCTCTCAAGGATATATTGATTCTCTCACAGCTTAGCTTGCACACAGGCTAATGATGACAATATTGTGGCATGAAACCTAAGAGTGTATGTGTGTGTGGGGGTGTACGTGCATGTTAGAGAGACAGAGCCCGCTTTTTAAATCTACAACAGAGAAGTCCAAAAAGTTTACCTTTTACATGCACACACACACTTATCACACGCTTATCATCTTAGGACCTTTTAATATCTGTTTATAAACATGTCTCAGGAGAATGTTAAACAGTAAATTGATTTTCATTTAGGCCTTTTTTTTCTAACCACATGCTATAGAAGTATGTGTTAGTGAAATATTTAGGAGAAAATATAACAAATTTTATTTGAATAGTTGCTTTATAAAACCAGCTGCATATGCTATAGAGTAGGGAGAGATTGCCTAGGTAAACTTCTGTAGTTCAAATCTTGAAGAAAACTAAAGGTTAAACACTGAGGAGACATTTCAAGTCTAGTGATTCCCTGAGTTCTCTTTAAAATACTTGCAACATGCACACCATAAATATGCTAGAGAATGTATTTTAAGATATTAAGAAGACATAGGAATGTTAATTTAAAACCCCATGGAACAGAAATAGCCATAATGTCCTGCCGTACCTCACCCACATGGAGTAAATAGTAGGGGTTGATGCTACTGGCTAACTGAATGCTAAGACTGGAAAAAAGCAAGAGTCTGAAAAGTAAAATATCAAGTGTTAATTTTGACCCAAATCCTGCCACACTTTTTACGAGACAACATCAGACTCATTGTATGAGACATATTCACATATTTGATGCTCGTTGTTAAGCACATACATATTAAGGATTGTTATACCTTCTTGGAGAATTGATTCTTTTATCATTATGTAATGCCCTTCTTTAGTTTTGATATTTTTCCTTACTCTCGAATCCGCTTTGTCTGAAATTAATATAGTTACTGCAGCTTTCTTCTTGTTAGTGTTGTTAGCATGGCATATGTTTCTCCATCACTTTACTTTTATGCATCATAATTTTCTGCTTCTTTGCATATTTAATAATTTTTTACTGAATGGTAGATATCTGTGAATATTATGGTGTTGAGTGTCTAAATTTGTTGTCCTACATTAGCTAGATTTGAATTATGTTTAGACAGGCAGTTAAGTTACTTACAGATCAGTTTAATCCTTCTCTACTGAAAAATCTATCATACAAAGAGTTTTTTCAACCTGATTGGCCAGGATTTAAATGTTTCCCAACTCTGTGTCATTTCTGGGAATTCTTCAAGTCAGGACTTTCCAGTTATGTCTTGCCTCATGGAATTTCATCTTATGCACGCACAGCTTTTTATTGAGCAAAAAATTCAAAGGCTTTTCTATGCAGATTTGTGAAGCTCTTCCACTGTGCTATTCCTTCAACTCTGGTACTCTACAACACAAATTCCAAAGTTTAGCCATCTAAACTTTCCAAAATTTCAATTCTGGTCTTTTCAATCCAGGGAGATTACTGGTATTTTCCTGACTTTACCTTTCCTATTTCTCTGTCTGGGGTATTGCGGTGCTTACCTTCTTGTATCCCTTCACTGATTACGGTTCTATGCTACATGTTTGCCAACGTCTGCAGACAGTATTTTATCTGTATTTTCCAGTTTTGTAATTTTTTCTGAAAGGAGGGCAAGTCCACTACCAGTTATTCTATTAAAGTAGGAAAGATTTCATCTTTCATTTTTAATATACCAAATTTACAATATTTTGTAATAAAATAATCACTTATGATAGTCCATGTTTTTATTTATTACTATTTGCTTTTCTTAGTTGTATTTAACTATAAAATAGACTTCCTGGAACCACCGCCCCCAACTGCCGCATCCATGTGGATTTCCCTGTGATCCTCTATGAGATGTGAGCCTCGGAAGCAGACAATAGCACCTCCTGCTCCAGCAAGAAACTCCCAGGCTCAAGGTGTGGCTTCCATTAAGGAGCCCAGGCTGGGGCCACAACTCTGAATAACCTCTGTTGGCACATAACCTTCAGCTGTGAGTGGTTCAGTCCTGTGATATTGGTTGGGTGTTGGTTTGTGTGTGGACAAGAGGAGGTTGGTGGCTGGTGGAGGCTAATGGCAGAGTTAGCCCCCTACTCTCCCCAGCCACCCCTGCAAGAAGCATGGCAGGGCATATACCAGTCAGGAATGCCCAGTACCTGGTTCCTTGCCTGGTCTGCTTTCCTCCACGTTTGCCTGGGGCCTAACCCTGCTAGAGGCTACAGCACTTTATAAGCAAGGTTTGCCTTCTTCCAGCTCCTAGGCTGTGGGTGCTGTATACAAGTAGGAACTTCCTTTCCTTCACTTCCCTTTTAACCCCTAGTCAGAGCATTTCAGCTGTTGTTTGCTACTTAATTCCTCCCATGTTGGACAGAGGCTGGGGGCAGTGCCAGCCTGATTCTTCCCACCTACCTGCCATGTGTTCCCACCTTCAGATGGATGGACAGTTTGCTGGCTGTTGATAGGAGTGGGGACTGGACGGGGGCTTCACCCTCTACCAAGGGCTGGGCTGATCCCCCTACTGCAACTAGTTGTTGCCCCCCCACCCCTAGTTGAGGAGTTGACAGGGTGCAGGCTGGGGTCAGGACAGGCTGTGGATGCTTGTGCCTATAGGGAGTTACTCCAACCCACCTATTCTGTCTAATCCCCCATGCCTTTGCACCAAGGCCTCTACCCTTCCAATTGGGAGGGAACTATTCACCACCTTGTGGTAAGGGACAACATCCTAAGGCTGGTGCCAATAGTTATGAGTAGCCTACCACCCCCTTCCCCTACAGTAACCTCCACCCCTTCAGGATGAGTCAAGGGAAAGTACTGGAGCTGCTGGGTATGAAAAGAAAGGAGGGAAAAAGCATAAAAGGAATATGAAGGTTTGTAAATAGTCCACGATGATGTCATGGCAGAGTCTGATTTCTATATAGAGGTAACTTAAAAAAAAATACTGTGCAAGATCTGTTCTTCTAGAGTGTGGGAAATGGCTTGCGGAGGGTGGCCCTCAGCCTAGAAAGACTATTGTGCTATTTGTTCAATTTCAATAAAATGATTTATAGATCCTGAAAATAAATAAATGAATAAAATAGACTTCTTATGTCATTTTTGACTTGATTTTTGTCAAGATCTTTTATGTATACATATAAAGTATATATGTATAAATATGAATATATATGAGTGTATTTGTGTGTGTGTGTGTGTATATATATATATATACACAAATATACATACATATCTAAAAATTGTGTGAAATTTTTATCCCACTAAAGACACCACATTTATTTTACCAACATTTCAATGAAAGTATGTATCAAGCCGGGCTCAGTGGCTCATGCCTGTAATCCCAGCACTTTGGGAGGCCGAGGTGGGTGGATCACGAGGTCAGGAGTTCAATACCAACCTAGCCAAGATGGTGAAATCCCGTCTCTACTAAAAATACAAAAAAATTAGCCGGGCGTGGTGGCAGGCACCTGCAATCCCAGCTATTCAGGAGGCTGAAGCAGAGAATTGCTTGAACCCAAGAGGCAGAGGTTGCAGTGAGCCAAGATCATGCCACTGCATTCCAGCCTGGGTGACAGAGTGAGACTTGGTCAAAAAAAAAAAAAAAAAAAAAGAGAGAAAGTATGCATCAGATTCAAAAATGGGAGCTTGGATTGCCTCATGTACTGGTTGGGGGCTGGCTGCTGAGGTATTTGGCTCTTATAATACAGTTATAATGAACATATGTGTACAGGTGTTTGTATGGACATATGTTGTCATTTCTATTGAATGCCTGAAAGTGGAATTGCTGGAATCAAGGATCCTACCATAATTACTCAGCATATATTTTTATAGAGTCTTCTGGTGGATTTGAGCAAGATGGCTGAGTAGACTCAGCCAGGTGGAACAGATGCCACAGAGGGCTGGGGATGACTGGTGCACTCCTAACAGATCTTCAGAGGGGAAGGCACTGACAGTGGATGGAGGAAAGACACAGAAGCTAGCCTGAAGTGGGAGGAAGCTGGGAATCCTGCATAGTGCTACCAAAGACAGGGACTCATTCTGGGCTCCCAATGACTCTGGGGCAGCCAATGACTTGAACTGCCAAGAAGCAGCCCACTCTCCCCATAGACTTCTGGAATCCTGGCAGGAAGAGACCCCTCTGCAACTATAGACACTTGAGTTGGCAGAGAAAGCTGCTTAGAGAAATGGTAGGGGCAGAACTTCAGCCAGTGCAGAGCCCACAGGGTTTCGTGTGGGAGCATCTGTAGTGGAGCATGGCCAGGGATGCTCATCCCTCACAGGCTCAACTTGTTTCCATAGAAGACTTTAGCACTGGGAGAGCTGTCAAACCTAAATTCTGTCGAGCAGTCTTGCCCATTAGACAGAACCAGTCTGGCCTGAGCATCCCTTGTTATACTGGCTTCTACTGAGGCCCCAGCTTGGTAATGCCTGCTTGCAGGGCAGCCTTGGGTGCCCAGGGTTTCTGCATCATAGCTCCTGCACTGGCGGATTATGCCTGGCTGGCAGAGAGCTCCAGTGGGACAGCCCCACAGCCATGCACCAGCCCGCCGGATCACTCCCCATAGTACAGCTTTCTCCAGGCCCACCGCAATCCTCCACATCCCTTTGCCAGTGTGTGCATGCATAGGGTTTACCTTCCCTGTCCCACCAGCACGCATGTGTGTGTGTACCCTGCCCTAGCTCTGCTGCTACCTGAAGTGCACCCCATTCCCCTGTCCCACCATTGCGTCAAGGCCTTGGCGGGCACAGAGCATCCCAGGCCTGCTCCAGCCAACAAGCTGCCATTGTGGCAACACTGTGCCTGAGTGAAACTAGGCACCAAGAGCAGTGGGCCCTTCTCCACCCTGAGCAATCACAGAAGGTGCACACAGAACTGCGTCTGCAAGTGCCCCAACACCCTGTTAACATCATCTCCAGTGTGACCATTCACACAGTAGACAATGGGAGTTCCTTGCCATCCCAGAGCCATGCTGCCTTTGCTGCTGCTGTGAATGCCCATGGGGAGACAAATGCCCTTGAACCCATTAGCACCCTGCTGCAGATCATGATTATGCATTTTGCTGCCCTGCCACTACTGCTGGCACATATGAACAAGAGTGAATTTTACTGCCACCACCCTATGAAATGCTTTGGCTGGCATCACCCATCAGCGTGTAGTGACCAGCGGTCCAGAAGCACATTGGCTCCCCCTAGTGCAGCAGGCTTCTAAACTCAAGGAGCCAGAGAAATAAATCAGGGCATGATACAAGTCCCCAAGGTTTAGAACACATAAGCCAAGAGTTGGGAGCTGAGTTTTGGCCCCCTAAAGTCTTCCAGAAATGTGACCAGCAGACTGAATCCATTTTATACAATTAAACCCTCAAAGACATCAAAAAAGATAAAAGAAAAAAAATCGGAAGAATAGCAACTTCAAAGATTAAAGGAGCATCAACCCACAAAGATGAGAAAGAACCAGCACAAGAACTCTGACAACTTAAAAAGTCAGACTGCCTTCTTTCCTATAAACAACTGCACTAACCCTCCAGCAAGGGTTCTGAACTGAGCTGAGATAGCTGAAATGACAGAAATAGAATTCAAAATGTAGATAGAAATGGAGATAACGATGTGCAGCAGTATGTTAAAACACAATACAAAGAAGCTAAGAATCACAATAAAACAATACAAGAGCGGACAGACAAAATATGCAGTATAGAAAAGAATGCAACCACCCTGATAGTGTTGAAAACATTCTACATGAATTTCATAATGCAGTCGCAAATTTTAACAGCAGAATAGACCAAGCTGAGGAGGAGAGAATCTCAGAGCTTAAAGACAGGCTTTCTGAAATAAGACACTCAGACAAGAATGGAGGAAAAAAATGAAATGGAACAAACAAAACCTCTGACAAATATAGGATTATGTAAAAAGATCAAATGTACTACTCATTGGTGCCCCTGAAAGAGATTGAGAGAATGGAAGCAACTTGGAAAACATATTTCAAGATGTCATCCATGAGAACTTCCCCAGCCTGGCTAGAGAGGCTGACATTCAAATTCAGTAAAGGCAGAGAATGCCAGTAAGGTACTTCGTTAGAAGTTCATTCCCAACATGCATAATCTCCAGATTCCCCAAAGTCAAAATGAAAGAAAAAATGTTAAATCTAGCTAGAAAGTTCAGTTCACCTACAAAGAGAAGTCCATCAGACTAATGACACAACTCTCAGTAGAAACTCTACAAGCCCAAAGAAATTAAGGGGAAAAAATTCAACATTCCTAAATAAAAGACATTCTAATCAATAATTTTATATCTGGCCAAACTAAGCTTCATAAGCAAAGGAGAAATAAGATCCTTTTCAGAAAAGCAAATGCTGAGGGAATTCTTTACCATGAGACCTGCCTTACAAGAGCTCCTGAAAGAAGTAACAACTATGGAAAGGAGAAATCACTACAGTCACTACAAAAACACACTTAAATACATAGAACACTAACAGTATAAAGCAACCACACAAACAAGTCTGCATAATAACCAGCTAACATCTTAATGACAGGATCAAATCCACAAATATCAATGCTAACCTTGAATGTAAATAGACTAAATGCCCTAATTAAATAGCACAGAGTGGTAAACTGGATAAAGCACCAAGATCCAATGGTATGTGGTCTTCAAGAGACCCATCTCACACCCTTAGGTTCAAAACAAAGAGGTGGGAAAAACTAGCAAGCAAATGAAAAACAAAAAAGCAGGGGTAGGCATCTTAACATCTGAAAAAATAATCTAAACTCAAAAAGATAACAAAAGACACAGGAGAGCATTACATAATAGTAAAGTGTTTAGTTCAACAAGAAGACTTAACTATTTTAAATATATAAGCACCCAACATAGGAGTACCTAGATTCATAAAAAAAGTTCTTAGCAACCTACAAAGGGACACACTCCCACACAATAATAGTGGGAGACTTTAACAGCCCACTGATAATATTAGACAGATCATTGAGACAGAAAATTTACAAAGATATTCAGGACCTGAACTCAGCACGGGATCAAATGAACCTGACAGAACTTCCATCCAAAAACAATAGAATATACATTCTTCTCATCTGCACATCATATGTACTCTAAAATTGACTACACGATTGGACATAAAATAATCCTCAGCAAATGCAAAAGAATCAAAATCACACCAAACCCACTCTCAGACCACAGTGCAATAAAAATAGAATTCAAGACTAAGAAAATCACTAAAAACTATACAATGACATGAAAATTAAACAACCTGCTCCTGAATGATTTTGGAGTAAAGAAATTAAAGCAGAAATCAAGAAGTTCTATGAAATTAATGAGAACAAAGATTCAACATAATAGAATATCTAGGACAAAGCTAAGACAGTATTAAGAGGGAAATATATAGCACTAAGTGCTCACATCAAAATTTATAAAGATCTCAATCTAAAAACCTAACATCACAACTAAAAGAACTGGAAAACAAACAGCAAAGAAACCCCAAAGCTAGCAGAAGACAAAAAATAACCAAAATAAAATCTGAAAGACATTGAGATACAAAAACGATTCAAAAAATCAACAAATGCAGGCAAGAGTTTAAAAAAAAAGTAATAAAATAGATAGACCTCTAGATAAACTAAAAGAAGAAAAGAGAGAAGATCCAAAAAAAAAAAACACAACTAGAAAATACAAAGGGGATATTACCACTAACCCCACAGAAATACAAATAACCATCAGATACTATTATGAACACCTCTATGTACACAGACTAAAAAATCTAGAATACATAAATAAATTCCTGATTACATGTATTCTCCCAAGTCTGAAGCAGAAAGAAATTAAAGCCCTGAACAGAGCAATGATGAACAATGAAATTGAACCAGCAATAGTCTACCAACCAAAACAACCCAGTACCATATGGATTCACAGAAGAATTCTACCAAATGTACAAAGAAGAGCTGGTACTATTCTCACTGAAACTATTAAAAAAAAATCTAAGGAGGAGGAATTCCTCTCTAACTCATTCTTTGAGGCCAGCATTATCCTAATACCAAAACCTGGCAGAGACATAACAACAACAACAACAAAAAAAAAAACAATTCAGGTCAATATCCTTGATGAACATTGATACAAATATCCTCAATGAGAGTACTGGCAAACTGAATCTAGCAGCACATCAAAAAGCTTATCCACCATGATCAAGCAGGCTTTGTATCTGGGATGCAAGGTTAGTTTAACATATGCAAATCAATAATGTGATTTGTCACATAAACAGAACTAAAGGCAAAAACTCAACAGGTGCAGAAATGCTTCTGATAAAATTCAATACCTCTTCATGTTAAAAACTCTCAATGAGTTAGGATTTGAAGAAGCAAACCTCAAAATAATAAAAATCATCTATGAAAAACCCACAGCCAACATAATACTTAATAGGGAAAAGCTGGAAGCATTCCCTTTAAAAACTGGCACAAAACAAGGATGACCTCTCACTAATCCTATTCATCATAGTATTGGAAGTCCTGGCCAGTGTAACCAGGCAAGAGAAAGAAATAAAGGGCATGCAAATAAAAAGAGAGAAAGTCAAACTATCCCTGTTTGCAGGTGACATGATTCGATATCTAGAAAACCCCATGGTCTCAGTCCCAAAGCGTATTAAGCTGATAAGAGAAACTTCAGCAAAGTCTCAGGGTACAAAATCAATGCACAAAAATTACTAGCATTCCTATACACCAACAAGAGTCAAGCCGAGAGCCAAATCAGAAACGCAATTCAATTCACAATTGCCACAGAAAAATAAAATAGCAAGGAATACAGAAAACCAAGGAGATGAAAGAACTCTACAAAGAGAACTACAAAACACTTGTCAAAGAACTCAGAGATAACACAAACAAATGGAAAAACATTCCATTCTCATGTATAGAAAAAATCAGTATCATTAAAATGTTCATACAGCCCAAAGCAATTTATAGGTTTAATTTTATTCCTATTAAACTGTCAATGAAATTTTTCACAGAACTAGAAAAAATGATTTTAAAATTTATATGAAACCAGGAAACATTCTGAGTAGCCGAGGAAATCCTAAACAAAAAGAACAAAGCTGAAGGCATCACACTACTTGACTTCAAACTGTACTACAGGGCTACAACAACCAAAATAGCATGGGATGGGTACGAAAACAGACATAGAGCAATGGGACAGAATAGAGAGCCCAAACTTAAGGCCACACATCTACAACTATCTCATCTTCTAGAAAGCTCACGAAACCAAGCAATGGGTAAAACACTCCCTATTCAATAATTGGTGCTGGAATAACTAGCTAGTTATATGCGGAAGAGTGAAACTGGATCCCATTCTTACGCTATATACAAAAATTAACTAAAGATGGATTGAAGACTTAAATGTAAAACTTAAAACTATAACAACCCTGGAAGACAACCTAAGCAATACCATTCTGGATACAGAAATGGGCAAAGATTTTATGATAACGATGTCAAAAGCAATTGCAACAAAAGCAAAAACTGACAAATGGGATCTAATTAAACTAAAGAGCTTCTGCACAGCCAAAGAAACTATCCACAGAGTAAACAGACATCCTACAGAATGGGACAAAATTATTTCAAACTATGCATCTGACATTCAGCATCTATAAGAAACAAACAAATTTACAATAGAAAAACAAACAATGCCATTAAAAACTGGTCAAAGGACATGAAGAAACACTTTTCAAAACAAGACAAACATGTTGCCAACAAGCATGTGAAACAAAGCTCATCACTGATTATTAGAGAAATTCAAATCAAAACCACAATGAGACATTATCTCACACCTGTCAGAGTGGCTATTATTAAAAGTCAAAAAATAACAGATGCAGGTAAAGTTTCAAAGAAAAAGGAATGATTATACACACTGGCCATTCCTGAAAGACCTAACAACAGAACTAACAGTTGACCCAGCAATTCCATTACTGAGTATATACCCAAAAGAATATAAATCATTCTGTTATAAAGTCATATTCACATGTATGTTTATTGCAGAACTATTCACAGTAGCAATGACATGGAATGAACCTAAATCCCCATCAATGGTAGACTAGACTGGATAAAGAGCGTGGGGTACATATACACCTTCGAATACTATGCAGCCACAAAAAAGAATGAGATTATGTCCTTTGCAGAAACATGGATGGAGCTGGAGGCTATTATCCTTAGAAGACTAATGGAGGAATAGAAAGCCAAATACCATGTGTTCTCACCTATAAGTGGGTGCTAAATGATGAGAACACATGGACTCATAGAGGGGAACAACAGCCACTGGGGCCTACTGGAGGGTTGAGGGTGAAGGTGGGAGAAGATCAGGAAAAATAACTAATGGGTACTTGGCTTAATACCTGGGTGATGAAATAATATGTACAACAAACTCCCATGACATGAGCTCACCTATATAACAAAACTGCACACATACCCCTGAACTTAAAATAAAAGTTAAAAAAAAATGATAACGAAGTCCCAATGAACATATGTTCTGTAATATATTTTGCCAAGTCTAGCAGAGTTTCAGATTCAATAGTCAGATCAGATAGCTTTTGAAGTAATGTATTGAAAAATAGAAACAAAATAGAAAATCCTGAAATAATATTCACAACCTTAAGAAGAAAAAAATCATATTTAAAAAAGAAAAAACTCAAACTTTTTACCATAACAATTGTACACCTTAATAGAAACCATGGTTTCTTAATTGTTTGGTGCATGGGTATATTTCTTATAAATATTTGATTCCTTGTTATTTTCTTAGGAAGTCTTATCAAACCATATGCATTTGTAAATAATTCAGAATTGCATTAGATAGAACAAAAATATAGAACTGTCATACTTAGTTTATTTTTATCAAGAAGAATAGAAATCCACTTAAATTATTTTAATAAATGATAAATGCCACATATGTTGGTAAAGGAAAGAGCAATTTTGTAGGATTGCAAAATCAATTGTATGACTGCATAACTGGAGATGAAATGCAATTTAGGAACTGAGAGTGCCCAATCTTTTGGGATAATAATTGTCATATTTATCTCTTGGTGGCCTGTATTAAACATCTTTCATTCTGGCAATTCCTTTTCTCTTGTCTTTGCTTCTCCTGTACTTGTTACTACCAATGATTACTTCAGTCTTTACACAGTCCAACTTTTTTCTCTATATATTGTTTTCATAATACCTTTGTATTTACCACTTCTGCTTACTCATAACTTGACTTCTCTATGAGTCACTTTCAGCCTTTCTTATTGCTAGCAACTGAAAGATTCTTTCTCCATATTTAGTAGTTTGGCTACCTAGTTCATCACCTCTCATCTGATACAAATTTTTATGTCAGGCAACATTATAAGACATTAAAGACAGTGGAGATTGACTGCCTTTGAGCCAGGTGTTCCAGTCATAGGTTGAGTGTGGCCAGTAAAATGGTTAACAGGTTCCAGTGTATAACAACCAAGACTTTTCTCCTTGAAAGGAGGCTGAGTGTAGAATAAGAATTATTTCCTCAGAAGGGGGTGTGTTATGGGTAGGAACCAACTTAAGAAATATTGTTCAAAAATTAAAAACAAAAATTATACGATCATCTCAGTAGATGCAGAAAAAGCATTTACAAATCCAGCATCCATTTATGATTAAAACCCTCAGCAAAATCTGAAGGGTCATATCTTCAGGTAAAAGAAAAAAAAAAAGCCATCTGTGACAAACCCACAGTCAACATTATAATGCAAGGGGAAAAGTTGAACGCATTCCCCGTGGAACTGGAACAAGACAAGGATGCCCACTTTTACCACTTCTATTTGACATATTACTGGAAGTCCCAGCTAGAGCAATCAGACAAGAAAAAGAAATAAAGGGCCTTCAAATCAGTGAAGAGGAAGTCAAACCATCATTGTTAGTTGATGATATAATCCTATCCGCAGAAAACCCTAAGGACTCATTAAAAAAGCTCCTAGGTCTGATTAATGAATTCAGTAATTTCAGGATACAAAATCTGTATACACAAATCAGTAGCTCTGCTATACACCAACAGTGACCAAACTGAGAATCAAACCAAGAACTCATCCCCTTTTACAATAGCTGAAAAAAAAAATTAAAATACTTAGGAATATACCTAACCAAGGAAGTAAAAGACCTCTACAAAGAAAACTACAAAAACGCTACTGAAAGAAATCATAGATGATGCAAACAACTGGAAACACATCCCATGTCCATGAATTGGTAGAATCAATATTGTGAAAATTACCATACTGCCAAAAGCAATATACAAATTCAATGCAATTCCCATCAAAATGCCATCATCATTCTTTACAGAACTAGAAAAAACAATCTTAAAATTCATATGGAACCAAAATGTGCCCACTTAGCCAAAGCAAGACTAGGCAAAAAGGACAAATCTGGAGGCATCACATTCCAGATGTCAAATTATACTACAAAGCTGTAGTTATCAAAACAGCATGGTACTGGTATAAAAATAAGCACTTAGACAAAGGAAACAGAATAGAGAACCCAGAAATAAAGCCCAATATTTACAGCCAACTGATCTTCAACAAAGCAAACAAAAACATAAAGTGGGAGAAGGACACCCTATTAAACAAATGGTGCTCAGATAATACACAAGTCACATTTAGAAGAATGAAATTGGATCCTCATCCCTCACATTATACAAAAATCAACTCATGATGGATCAAAGACTTAAATCTAAGACCTGAAACCACAAAAATTCTAGAAGATAACATCAGAAAAGCGCTTCTAGACATGGACTTAGGCAAAGAGTTCATTACCAAGAACCAAAAAGAAATGCAATAGAAACAAAGATAAATAGATGAGACTTAATTAAAAAGCTTCCTCACAGCAAAAAAAAAAAAATAATAATAATAATCAGCAGGATTAACAGACAACCCAAAGAGTGGGAGAAAATGTATTCAAACTCTGTATGCAACAAAGAACTAGTATCCAGAATCTAGAAGGAACTCAAACAAATCAACAAGACAAAAACCAAATAATCCCGTCAAAAGTGGGCATGAATAGACAGTTCTCAAAATGTAATGAAGACATGGAATCAACCTAAATGCTCATCAATGATAGAATGGATCAAGAGCATGGGGGTACATATACACCATGAAATATTATGCAGCCATGAAAAGGGATGAGATCATGTCCTTCACAGGAACATGGATGGAATGGCCAAGAAACATCAAAAAAAAAATGCTTAGCATCACTAATGATCAGGGAAATGTAAATCAAAACTGCAATGAAATCCCACCTTACTCCTGCAGGAATAGCCATAATTAAAATGAAAAAAAATTGTAGATGTTGGTGTGGTTTTGGTGAAAAGAGAACACTTTTTTCACTGCTGGTGGGAATGTAAACTAGTACAACCACTATGGAAAACAGTATGGAAATCCCTTAAAGAACTAAAAGTAGATCTACAATTTGATCCAGCAATCCCAGAGAAAAAGAAGTCATTCCATGAAAAAGACACTTGCACCCGCATGTTTATAGCAGCACAATTTGCAATTGCAAAAATATGGAACCAGCCAAAATGTCCATCAATCAACAAGCAGATAAAGAAAATATAGAATATATATACCATGGAATACTACTCAGCCATAAAAAGGAAAGAAAGAATGCCTTTCACCAAAACTTGGATGGAGTTGGAGACCATTATTCTAAGTGAAGTAACTCAGGAATGGAAAACCAAACATTGCATGTTCTGACTTGTAAGTGGGAGCTCAAGCTATGAGGATGCAAAGGCATAAGATGATACAATGGACTTTGGGGACTCAGGGGGAAGGGTGGGAAAGAGGTGAGGGATAAAAGACTACACATTGGGTACAGTGTATACTTCCTGGGTGCTGGATGCACCAAAATCTCTGAAATCACCACAGAAGAACTTATCCATGTAACCAAACACCACCTGTTCCCCAAAAACTATTGAAATATATATATTTCAGAGGTGTCTTCAGCCTTTACATTTTCTCTTCAGTGTGTTTTATTCTGTAAGACTGGCTTTCTCTATAAATTGAAGAAAATATCCACCAATAGCTCTTATATTCTTATGTCTTTCTGACTAGAAAGAAAAAGACTCTTTACTGATACCTCCAGTTAGAAAAATCTCAAAAAAGGCTAGTTGTCTCAGTTCCATTTATGTGCCCATTCCTTGACTATGAATGATGCCTGTGGTAGTAGTAGTAGGGTCACATAAAACAAAGGCAATTTCTATTCTGTCTATATAGCTAAAGTGGAGGGATGAGAAACAGTTCCTCAAAAGAAATGTGGAAAAACAAGGTAAACTATCAATATAATCTAAGAGTACTGTAATAACTGAAGTTATATATTAACATTTGTTCTTCTTTTCCTGATCATTTGCACATTCATAACATGTTTATACACTAGTATGGATAGAAAATTTAACTTTTCTACCATAAAGACACATGAATGTGTATGTTCATTGCAGAACTATTCACAATAATGAAGACATGGAATCAACCTAAATGCTCATCAATGATAGAATGGATCAAGAGCATGGGGGTACATATATACCATGAAATATTATGCAGCCATGAAAAGGGATGAGATCATGTCCTTCACGGGAACATGGATGGAATGGTCATTATCCTTACCAAACTAATGTAGGAATGGAAAACCAAATACTACATGTTCTCTCTTACAAGTGGGAGCTAAAAGATGAGAACACATGGACTTATAGAGGGGAACAACAGACACTGGGTCCTACAAGAGGATGAAGGGTGGAAGAAAGTGAAGAATTAGAAAAAATAATTAACGGGTACTATGCTTAATACCTGTGTGATGAAATGAATGATTTGTAGAACACACCTTCATGACATGAATTTACCTATATAATAAACCTGCACATGTACCCCTGAATGCAAAATGAAAGTTAAAAAAGAAAATAATTTATATCTTTACAAAATTGAGTCTTAGTATGCATGAGCATGAAGTATACCTTCATTCATTTAGACCTTTGGGTTTTTTTCACACATACACTCAGTTTTTAACTAGATGTGTATACATGTTTTGTGTATCCATTTAATCACTGATGGACACGTGAGTTGTTTCCACATTTTGGCCACTGTGAATAATACTTTTAACGACATGGGTATACAAACATCTCTTCAAGTCATTGTTTTCAATTATTTGGGTATACACCCAAAATAAGGATTTGCTGGATTTTATGGCAATTTTATGTTGGATTTTTTAGGGGCCACCATATTATTTTACTTACCTGTTACACTATTTTCCATTTCCACCAACTATGTGGAAGAATTCCAATTTCTCTACATCCTTCCAAACTCTTGTTATTTTATGTTTTTGATAGTAGCTATGCTAATAGGTATGAAGTCGTATCTCATTGTGGTTTTGAATTGCATTTATCCAACAATTACTGACATCAGGCACTTTTTATGATTATTGACAATTTCTATATTTTCAAGTGTTTTGCATATATCTTTTTTTTTTTTTTTTTTTGAGATGGAATCTCGCTCTGTCACCCAGGCCAGAGTGCAGTGGCACAATCTTGGCTCACTGCAACCTACACCTCCCAGATTCAAGCAATTTTCCTGCCTCAGCCTCCCGAGTAGCTGGGACTACAGGTGCACGCCACCATGCCCAGCTAATTTTTTGTATTTTGGCAGAGATGAAGTTTCACCGTGTTGCCCAGGCTGGTCTCGAACTCCTGAGCTCAGGCAATCTGCCGGCTTTGGCCTCCCAAACTGCTGGGATTACAGGCATGAGCCACTGCACCTGGCCTGCATATATCTTAATTAGGCTGTTTTCAGGATTTCCTTGTTGTTGTTGGGTTGTAGGTGTTCTCCATATATTCTGTATATTAACATCTTACCAGATATATAACTTGTAGATGTTATGTCTTATTAGGTGTGTTGTCTTTTCCTACTGTTGATTGTGTTCTGCCTTAGTGGCACCACCCTAGTAGATTATCTCTGTGAGTACTGCACCCCTGCAGCAGGCTTCTGCCTACCAGGCTTTTCCATACATCTTTTGAAATCTAAGCAAAGGTTGCCAAGCCTCCTTCATTCTTGCACTCTGCACACCTGAAGGCTTAACACGATGTGGAAGCCACTAAAGCTTACAGCTTGCGTGCTCCAGAGTTGTGGCATGAAATGTACCTGGAGCCCTTTGAGCCGAGGCTACAGCCAGAGCATCCATGATGTAAGGAGCAGACTCCTGGCATGGGACAAGGCAGTGGCACCCCAGGCCTGCCCCCCAAGACATTCAATCCTTCTGGGCCTCTGCGCCTATAATGGGAGGGGCTACCTGGAAGATCTCTGAAATGCCTTGGAGGCCCTTTTTTTTTCACTGTCTTGGCTACCAGCACCGGCCTGTTTTTTCAGTCATGCAAATCTTTCTAACAAATGATTGCTCCACAGTGTGTTTGGATTCTTCCCCTGTAAAAGGTTTTTCTTTGCCACATGGCTAGGCAGCAAATTTTACAAACTTTAATGCTCTGCTTCCCATTTAAATATAAGTTCCAATTGTAGGTCATTTCTTTGTATTCGTATCTGATCATAGGCTGTTAGAAGAAGCCAGGCTAATTCTTAAAATGCTGTGCAGCTTAGATATTTCTTCCGACACATACTCTAAATTATCAGTCTTTTTTTTTTTTTTTTTGAGGCAGAGTCTTGCTCTGTCACCCAGGCTGGAGTGCAGTGGCATGATCTCAGCTCATTGCAACCTCTGCCTCCCACATTCGAGTGATTCTCCTGCCTCAGCCTCCTGAGTAGCTGGGATTACAGGCGTACACCACCAAGCCCAGCTAATTTTTGTATTTTTTTTAGTAGAGACAGGGTTTCTCCACATTGTCTAGGCTGGTCTCGAACTCCTGACCTCAGGTGATCCATCTGCCTTGGCCTCCCAAAGTGCTGGGATTACAGGCCTGAGCCACCATACTCGATCTAAATTATCACTCTTTTTTTCTTTTCCTTCGAGACAGAGTCTCACTCTGTCGCCCAGGCTGGAGTGCAGTGGCGTGATCTCTGTTCTCTGCAACCTCCGCCTCCCAGGTTCAAGTGATTTTCCTGCCTCAGCCTCCTGAGTAGCTGGGATTACAGGCGTGTGCCACCATGCTTGGCTAAATTTGTATTTTTAGTACTAAATTTGTATTTCTAGTAGAGACGGGGTTTCACCATGTTGGTCAGGATGGTCTCAAACTCCTGACCTCATGATCTGCCCTCCTTGGCCTCCCAAAGTGCAGGGATTACAGGTGTGAGCCACTGCACCCAGCCACTTATCACTCTTAAGTACAAACTTCTGAAAATTACTAGGACATAAACACAATGCAGCCAAGTTCTTTGCTAAGGCATAACACTAGCGAACTTTGTTCCAATTCCCAAAAAGTTTCTCATTTTCATTGGAGACCTCATCAGTCTGGATTTCACTGTCCATATCACTGTTATCGAAAAGAAGGTCTTGATCCAGACCCCAAGAGAAGATGCTTGGATCTCATGCCAGAATAAATTCAAGGTGAGTCTCAAAGTATAGTGAAAAGAGATGGTTTATTAAAAGCTACTCCATTACAGAGTAGGGCATCCTTAGAAAGTAAGTGGAGAAATGCACCCTCTCTCTATATATATATGGGTATTGCTTATGAAAAAGCTAATCAAAGGTATGCCCATGTGCAGGTGGGGTGACAGCATGACAAAATTTATTATTGTATTGATTTAAGGAAAACTACCCTCGACAATTTAGCATGCAAGTAAAACAAAGCATACCTATAGTTACCTTGAAAACATATATTATTATGGGTATTGGGACCTCTGGACTTTCTTCTGTTGTAGGAGTGTGTCCTTGTAGGTATCTTTAGGCTGTATCCTCAACCATAAATATTCTAAGACCACGGGTCATGACTGAAAAGAAATGTGCCTTGCTAGTTTTAAGATGAAGTTGATTTTAAAATGGTGTCACTCTGGTTCTCCTAGGCTCCTGCTTCCCTCACATCACTATCAGGGTTTTGCTCACAACAATTTAACCAGTCTCTAAGAACTTTCTAATTTTCTTTCATCTTTCTATCCTCTTCTGAGCCCTCCAAATTCTTCCAACCTCTGCCCACTACCCAATTCCAAAGTTACATCCATACTTTCAGATATCTTTATAGCAATACCCCACTCCTTGGTATCTATTTTCTGTGTTAGACCATTCTTGCTTGCTACAAAGAACTATCTGAGACTGGGTAATTTATAAAGATAAAAGGTTTAATTGGCTCATGGCTCTGCAGACTATACAGGAAGCATAGCACTGGGGATGAGCTCAGCTTCTAGTGAGGCCTCAGGAAGCTTATGATCATGGCAGAAGGCAAAGGGTGACCCAGCATATTACATGCAAGAGTAGAAGCAAGAGAGAGAGGCAGGTGGTACCACACACTTTTAAACAAACAGAGATCGTGAGAACTCACTGACTATTGTCAGGACAGCACCAAGCCATGAGAGATCCACCCCCATGACCGAAACACCTCCCACCAGGCCCCACTCTCAACATTGGAGATTACACTTCGACATGAGATTTGGGTGGGGAAAAACATCTAAACTATATCAGCTGGTTTCTGGCATTCTTAAAAAACTATTTTGGCCTACATATTGTTCTCGTGATGCTTCCATGGGAAAGTTAAGTCCTGGAGCTTCCTAGCCCAACATCTTGCTGAAGTCATGCTCCAAAGAGATCATCTTTTGTCTATGGTTCCATAGTAATACATTTGTCATAGATTTAAATATCCATAATTTGTGGAGTTGTTGCTGGACTCGACAATTTACTATTGGTCTATTTGTCTGTCCTTGTTACAATGCTATATGCTTCAGTTTTACAACTACTCTTTTTTTTTTTTTTTCCTCCCCCGAGACGGAGTTTTGCTCTTTCACCCAGGCTGGAGTGCAGCGGAGCAATCTTGGCTCACTGCAACCTCCACCTTCCGATTTCAAGTGATTCTCCTGCCTTTGCCTCCTGAGTAGCTGGGATTACAGGTGCCTGCCACCATGCCCAGCTAATTTTTGTATTTTTAGTAGAGATGGGGTTTCACCATGTTGGCCATGGGCTCAAATTCCTGACCTCATGATCAGCCCACCTTGGCCTCCCAAAGTGCTGGGATTACAGGCATGAGCCACCGTGCCTGGCCATAACTAGTCTTAATATGTCATAGCATAGATTTGCCAACTTTTGATTTTTTATTTTTATTTTTTTGTGTGTGGTCGTCCCCTTCCTTCTTTCCTTCTTCTCTTTCTGTCTCTAGAATTACTTAGCTGTTTCTGGTGCTTTGAATTTCAATATTAGGTTAAGAATCCATTTTTCAATTTCCACTAAAAAGCGTTAGAATTTTGATTGGTATCCTATTGAATCTATTTGTTAATTTGAGAAAGATACTGAATTTTCCATTCCTTGAACACAGTATATTTCCTCATTTATGTATGACTTTTAAATTTCTCTCTGCATGGTGTTTAAAATGTTAGTGTAGCTGTCTTGTACATCTTTTCCTTATATGTCATCCTTGGAATTTTATGTTTTTTGGTCACATTGAAAATTGTACATTTTGAAGATTTGTTGCTTATTAAAAATCATTTTTGATCAGTTAATCTGCATCCACTGACCTTAATAAATTCTCACTCAATAATTTATTTGATTATTTTTATTTTGAACATACACAGAAATGTGTTTGTGACTAATGAGAATTTTATTTCAATTCTTTATTTTTTTTTGTTATTGTTTTTTCTTCTTGTCCTGATTTCATAGTCTGTTAGGGCTGGTATATTTTTGGTTTGTCCTCATTTCTGAAGTATAGGCTCTTAAAACTTTCAAACTGGTTATCTGGTATGTTGATCAAGTTGAGTTACCAGATAAAATGCAGGAGAGCCAATTAAATATGGAAGTCAGATAAACATTAAATAATTTCAAGTGAAAGTATGTCCTAAGTATTGCATGGTACATGCTTACACTAAAAAATAATTGCTATTTAGCTGAAGTTCAAATTTATCGAGGCATGCTGGACTTTTATTTGCTGATTGCAGCAATCTTATTACCAAGATTCATCCTATTTTCTCATCCTTAACTGCAGTATTTTTTTCTCTCCAACTCTGTGAGATTGCTAAGAGCTATATTTGGCTTCCCAACCCTTTGCTTGTAGCTTTCTCTTGTTTTTCTCTCAACTTGTTCTTAGCCTCTTAGCCTCCTGTCAATTATGGAATGGAAAATGTATTGGGGACAAATTGCTACAGAATATTGGGCTGACTTCAATGTGCTTCCCTTTCCTGTGAGATCTTGGTCTTGAAATCCTTGGAAAACTTGGTAACTCTGTGACAGTATTAAGTATATGTCGTCTACATTGGGTAATGCTTCTCTAGTTATTAATACTGGCAGAATCAGTCTAAAACAGTCTACATTAATATTACTGAAAAAAGTAACCTTTTTCTTAAAACATTATTTGAATATTCAAGTAAAACCATTTGAGGTAGAATTTCATTTTTGCTCAGTTTCTCTAGTAGGTGCACGATAATTCAAACTATCTATGTTTTATTTTCAGTCAGTTTTATATATGACATTTTAAGAGAAGTATATCTCAGTTGACTGAATTTTCATTTTATTGCTGAAAATATATCACAATTTCTTACTGTCTTTAAATATCTGCTCTATTTGTACTTATGTGCCTTTTTATGTTCCTAACATTTTTTGATATGCCCTTTCTCTTATTTTTCTTTATCAGTTTGACCAGTGTTTTCCATATTATTAAACTTTTAAAAGTACTAACTCTTGGCTTTGTGGATTCTTATTCTATGAAGCATTTATTTTCTGTGTGATAGATTCTTGATATTCTCATTATTTTCTCTTTTATTCTACTTTCTTTACATTGATTTTCTTATTACTTTCAAACTTCTGAAGTTAGGTATATATTTTAGTGTTTGTTATTTTTTAATACTTATCATTAAGATTATAAATGTTGCTAAAAGTAACATTTTGCTGCTGCATCTTGAAAAGTTTTATAAGTAATATTTTTATTATCTTTCTTTTCTCCATAGTTTTAAAATTTCATTACAACTAATTTTTTGACCAAGAAATTATTGTGTGTTTTAAAATTTCTATAAATATGACTTTTTAGGGAATGTGCTTAATTGATTATATCTTAATTGTAGTGTGGTAGCAAATATGTTATTTATGATTTTTTGGTTGAAATTTGTTTACATCATAATCTAAAATGTGAATTTTTTAAATTGTCTTCCTTGTATGTTTGAGGATAATGTATCTTCTCTAATATTTTGGTACAGAATGCTACATATGTTAATTATATTATAATTGTTAAATATATTTATACAATTTTCTCTACATATACAGCCTTTTAGATAACTTGATCTATCAATAATGTAGAATTAGTCTCCAACTATTGTGGCATGTTATTTCAACTTTTTCCTATCAACATATCAATTATGGCTTGATATATTTTGAGAACTTATTAGGTGAATAAGTATATCAAATTATCTAGAGAAACAGAGCTAATAGAATGTATTTCTGTGTGTATGTGTGTGTCTACACGCACATGTATAAATGAAGAGAGAGACAGAGAGAAAGAGAGACAGATTTATTTTAAGAAATTGGCTCATGTGATTATAGTGGTTGGCAAAACCAAAATCTGCATGAGGGGCTGCTGGCTGGAGATCCGGGGAGAAGCCAGTGTTGCAGCTCCAGTCTGAAAGCCATCAGGCTGGAGAGCCAGGGAAAATCTTATATTGGTGTTCCAGTCCAAAGGTCGTGTCTTGGAAGAATTTTCTCTTGCTCAGGGGAGGTTAGTCTTTTGTTCTATCCAGTTTAAGTGATTGGATTAGGTCCACCCATATTAGGGAGAACAATTTTGTTTACTAAAAGTCCACCAATTTAAATGTTAATCTCGTCCAAAGTTATCTTCCTGGAGACATGCAGAGATATATTTGACCAAATAACTGGGCACATCGGTTCAAACAAGTTGATACATAAAATTAACCATTATAAGAAGCTTAGAATTGTTATATTTTGGTAATTAAAATTTTATCATTATTTGCAACTCTCTTTGTTCTTAATAATGATTTTGTCTGATATTAGCTTTCTTTTAATTAGTATTTTCTTAGTATACCTATTTCATGCTTTAACTTGTAACCCATCTGCATCTTTATACTTAAGAACTGTCTCTTGTAAAGACCTTTATAGCTATAGCCTTTACAATGCTGTCTGATTATCTCTTACTTACTTGGTGAATGTAATCTACGTATATTTTATTGCAATGGTCATTATTATTATGAGGCTTATTTCTGCCATTCTAATTTTATTTGTATTTGTTCTGCATTTTCTATATGCTTGGCTTTTTATCTATTTAGTTTTTGTCTACTTTTGTTCTTTTCCCATATTTTCCACTTACTTGGAATTTATCTTCTTCATTATTTAAGTAATTTTCATTGTATTTTTACCAAAATAAATGTATCAGTAATTACATAATTGCACAATCACAAATCTCAATCAACCTAAAAAATGCAGAAAACATGAAAACAAGCAAAACAACACAGATATCAAAAAGTAAATTTATCTTGCCTCACCTTCAGAATAGTATAAAGAACTCAGAACACTTTAATCCAAAACATTTGCATCCTGATTCATGTACTACTTTTGTCTCCTATTTTATTTTTGTTTTTCTCTAACATCATGCATTACAAATTATTTTTATTAATTAAAAAATCAGTTTGAGACTAGGCACGGTGGCTTATGCCTGTAATCCCAGTACGTTGGGAGGCCGATGTGGGTGGATCACTTAAGGTCAGGTGTTTGAGACCAACCTGGCCAACATGGTGAAACCCCGTCTCTACTAAAAATACAAAAAAAAGAAAAAAAAAAAAAAGAAAAAAAAAAAAAAGCTGGGTGTGGCGGTGCACAACCTGTGCAACAGAGATGCTGTCTCAAAAAAAAAATCGTTTGAATTTACACACCTGTTTATCATTGTATTTCATCACTACTCTGCATCTCAAACTATTCGTCTAACATCAGCTGTTAATCCTTAGAAAGATGATTTAGTACACTATCTTTCCTTTTTTCTTTGCCTGAAAATATCCTTATTCCACCATTATTTTAAATGTATTGATTTGCTGGGTATATGTATCAGTTGTCTGCTTTTATATCACAAAACAGCACCATATATTTTATCAGATGATCATAATATGAATCATCAACTTGAGTTATGTTTAGTGGGATGGTTCTTTTGCTGATCTCATCTGAGGTTAATCATGTGGCTGTGCTCAGCTTGTGGATTAGCTTGGGAATGTTAGCCTAGGATAGGAATTGTAAATCTCAGAACTTTTGACATTTTGAGTTGTATAATTTTATGTTTCGTGGGACTTTCCTATGCATTGTAAAATGTTTATGATATTCACAGCCTCTCTCTATTACATGCCATGTAACTCCCAAAATTGTGACAACCAGAAATGTCTTCACATATTGACTAGTGTCTTCTGACATTTCTGGCTGAGAGACATTTAGGATTTTAATTCTTATTGCTGCTGTAACAAATTAGCAAACAGTGATTTAAAATCAAAGAAAGAGGCAGAGCAAGATGACAGAATAGAAGGCTCCACTGATCATCTCCACCACAATGACTAATTTAACAACTATCTCCACAGAAAAAAACACCTTCATAAAAACCCCAAATCAGGTGACTTCTCACAGTACCTGGTTTTATTTTCATATCACTGGAAGAGGCACTGAAGAGGTAGAAAAAAAAGTTCTGCATCCCGATGCCACCCCTTCACCACCGCCAACAGCAGCAGTGCGGTGGTAAGAAGAGCATCTCTGGGCACTAGGGAAGGAAGGGCATGGCAATTGCAAGGCATTGAAATCAGTGCCGTCCTGTTACAGCACAAAGGAAAGTCTGATCAAACTCAGCTGATGCCTGTCCATGAAGGGAGCATTTAAAGCAGCCCCAGCCAGAAGGGAATCTCTAATACCAGCAGTTGGAAGGTGAGTTCCTTCAAACCTCGCCACCAAGGGCTAAACTACTCTGGGTCTGTAAGAAAACTTGAAAGGCAATCTAGGCCATAAGGACTGCCACTCTTAGGTGATTCCTAGTGCTGAACTGGGCCGAGAGACAGTGGACTAGGAGAGCAGGTGACTTACTGAGACTTCAGCCCAGCTGGGCCAGCTAAGGGAGTGCTGGCATCACCCCTCTCCTAACCCCAGGTTGCATAGCTCATGGGTCCAAAAGAGGCCTCTTCCTTTTGCTTCAGGTGAGGAGAAGGAAGAGTGGGGAGGACTTTGTCTTGTATCTTGGATACTGGCTCAGCCCCAGCAGGATAGGGCACCGGCAAGGGTTTGGAGGACCCCATTCCAGGCACTAGCTCCTGGATGACTTTTCTAGACACACTGTGAAATAAAAGAAAATGTGTTGACTTTAAGGGAAAGACTCAGTCCTGGCAGCATTCATCAACTGGTAAATAAAAAGCCCTTGGGCCTTGAATAACCAGCAGGGATACTCAAGTACTACCTTGATTACTTTGAGTGAGCTCTAAAACTTGCTGGCTTAAGGCGAGACTCAGCACATTACCAGCTGTGGTGGCTACAAGGCAAAACTCCTTCTGCTCAAGCAAAGGGAAAAGAAAGGAGACTTTGTCTTGCACCTTAGGCACCAGCATGGCCACAGGAGGGTAGAGCACCAAATGAGCACTTGAGGCCCTGATTCCAGGATTTGATACTTGAGCAGCATATCTGCACCTGCCCTGGGCCACAGGGGAGCCCACTGTCCCAAAAGAGTAAGTTCTATGCCAGGCAGCATTTACCACAAGATGACTTAATAGCGCTTGGGATTTAAGGTTGCATCAGTGGTAGTCTGACAGTATTCCCCATGGCCTGTGGTGGGGGTGGCTAGGCATTTTGTGGCTTGAGTGTCACCTCAGCTGCAGTACAATAGAACACTGGTGGATTTCTAAAGCTTTTGACTCTAGTAGTTTCTGACTCCCAGCTGCCACCTGGACCCACTCAGGGCCTGGGATAACTTGTTGCCCTAAAGGAAAAAAGACAGGCCTGGCTTCCTTTGCCATCTGCTCATTGTAGGTACCCAGGTCCTTGAACAAATATATGCAGTAGTCAGGGAGGAGTTACAACAGGCCTTGAGTGAGACTCAGTATTGTGCTGGCTTCAGGTCTGATGCAGTGTAGTCATAGTGGTGTTGACCACAGGTGTGCCAGATGTCACTCCATCGCCAGCTTTATGTCACTTAGAACAGAGAGAGAGAGCGAGACTTTGTTTGGTGGACAACAAGTGAAGAGAACAACAACCTTTGCCTGGTAATCCAGAGAACCTGTCCAGATCTAGTCTAAGAACAACAAGGTGGTATCTCCAAGAGTCTGCAAGAACCACAGAGTTCCTGAGCTTGGGTTTCCCTCTAAAGCAGGTAAAGCTTAGATCACATCACCCAAGTTCTTTCAAATATCTGGAAAGCCTTTCCAAAAGGGACAGGTACAAACAAGCCCAGACAGTGAAGACTAAAATAAGTATGTAACTCTGCAGCACCCAGACACCAAAGAGCATCTGCTTACATCAACACTATCCAGGAAAACATGACCTCACCAAATGAAATAAATAGAGACCAATCTTGAAGAAGGAGGTATGTGACATTTCAAACAGTTAATTCAAAATAACTGTGTTGAGAAAACTGAAAGAGACTCAACATAACACAGAGAAAGAATTTAGAATTCTATGAGGTAAACTTAACAAAAACTTTGGGATAATTAAAAAGAATCAACCAGAAATTCTGGAGCTGAAAAATTCAATTGTCATACTGGAGAACATATCAGAACCTTTTAATAGTGGACTCGATCAAGCAGAAGAAAGAATTAGTGAGTTTTAAGAGCTATTTGAAAATGCAGTCAGAGGAGACAAAAGAAAAAAGAATAAAATACAACGAAGCATTCCTATATGATCTAGAAAATACCCTCAAAAGGGCAAATCTAAGAGTTATTTAGCCATTAAGTGAAGGTAGAGAAAGAGATAGAATTAGAAAGTTTACTTTAAAAGATAACAGAGAAATTCCCAAACCTAGAGAAAAATATCAACATCCAAATACAAGAAGGTTATAAAACACCAGACAGGTTTAACCCATGAAGACTATCCCCAGGCATTTAATAATCAAATTCTCAAATATCAAGAATTTTTTTTTTACAAAAGGATCCTAGAAACAGCAAGAGAAAAGAAACAAATTACATACAGTGGAGCTCCAATATGACGGACAGCAGACTTTTTAGTAGAAACCTTAGGGTCCAGAAGAGAGTAGCATGCCATCTTTAAAGCGCTGAAGTAAAAAACAAAAACAAAAACAAAAACTTTTTACCCTAGAATAGTATACGTGGCAAAAATATCCTTCAAACATAAACGAAAAACAAAGACTTTCCTAGACAAACAAAAGCTAAGGGATTTAATCAACACCAAACCTAGCCTACAAGAAATGCTAAAGGGAGTACCTCAATCAGAAAGAAAAGGATGTTAATGAGCAAAAAATAATCACCTGAAGGTACAAAACTCACTGGTAATAGTTAAGTACACACACAAAAAAACACATAATATTATAACACTGTAACTCTGGTGAGTAAACTCTCTTGTCCTAAGCACAAAGACTAAATAATAAACCAATCAAAAATAATAACTTTTCAAGACACAGACAGTACAAGAAGATATAAATCAAAACAACAAAACATAAAAGAGGAGGAACAAAGTTAAGACGTAGAATTTTTATCGGCTTTCTTTTGGCTTGTTTCTTTATGTTATAGTGTTAAGTTGTTATCAGCTTAAAATAATAGGTTATAATATAATATTTGCAAGCCTCATGGTAACTTCAAACTAAAAAACACACAATGGATGCACAAAAAAATTAAAAGCAAGAAACTAAAACATATTACAAGAGAAAACCACCTTCACTAATGGAAAATATGGAAGAAAGAAAGAAAGAGAGAGAGGGAGGGAAGGAGAGGGCGAGGGAGGGGGAAGGGGAGGGGGGAAGGGGGAGGGGAGAGGGGAGGGGGGGAGGGGGAAGAAGGTGGGAGGGGGAAGGGGAGGAGAGGAGAGGAGAAGAGAGGAGAGGAGGAGAAAGACCGCAAAGCAACCTTAAAGCAAACAAACAACAACAAAAAGTGGCAGGAGTACGTCCTTACTTATCAATAGTAACATTGAATATTAATGTACTAAACTCGGCCCGGCACGGTGGCTCACACCTGTAATCCCAGCACTTTGGGAGGCCAAGGCGGGTGGATCACGAGGTCAGGAGATCAAGACCATCCTGGCTAACACGGTGAAACCCCGTCTCTACTAAAAATACAAAAAATTAGCTGGGCATGGTGGCGGGCACCTGTAGTCCCAGCTACTAGGGAGGCTGAGGCAGGATAATGGCGTGAACCCAGGAGGCAGAGCTTGCAGTGAGCAGAGATCGCACCACTGCACTCCGGCCTGAGCGACAGAGCGAGACTCCCTCTCAAAATAAGTAAATAAATAAATAAATAAATAAATAAATAAATAAATAATAAAATAGATAAAAATAAAAATGTACTAAACTCACCAATCAAAAGGCATAGACTGCCTGAATGAATGAAAAAAAAAAAATGACCCATTGAGCTGCTGCCTATAAGAAACACACTTCACCTATAAAGACATATATATCCTGAAAACGTAGGGATGGAAAAATATTTCATGCCAATGGAAACCAAAATATAGCAGGAGTCGCTATATTTATATCAGACAAAATAAATTTTCAGACAAAAACTATAAGAAGAGACAAATAAAGTCACTATATAATGATAAAGGGGTCAATTCAGCAAGAGGATATAACAAATTTAAATAAATATGGTCCCAACACTGAAGCAACCAGATAGAATTAAAAAATATCATCAGAGCTTAAAGAGAGACAAAAGTTTGAATACCACAATAGCTGGAGACTTCAACATCACACTTTTCAGCATTGAACAAATCTTCCAGACAAAAAAGAAGCATCAGACGTAATCTGCACTATAGAACAAATGGATATAATATGTATTTACAGAACATTTCATCCAATGGCTGCAGAATACACATTCTTTTCCTCAGCACATGGATCTATGTTAGGTATAGTATAGACCACATGTTAGGTCACAAAACAAGTCTTAAAACACTCAAAAAAATTCAAATTGCATCAGCCATCTTCTCTTACCACAATAAAATAAAACTAGAAATTAAAAACAAGAGGAATTTTTGAAACTATACAAATACATGCTTGTGAATGACAAGTGGGTCAATAAAATATTAAGAAAAAATTGAAAAAATTGAAACAAATGATAATGGAAAAAAGCATACAAAAACCTATGGTATATGGCAAATGCAATAAAAGGGCATTGAATAGCTACAAGTGCCTACATCAAGAAAGAGGAAAAACTTCAAATAAACAATCTAATGATGCATCTTAAAGAACTGGAAAAGCAACAGCAAACCAAACCCAAAATTAGCTGAAGAAAAGAAAAAATAAAAATCAAAACAGAAATAAAGGAAATTGACATAAAGAAAACAATACAATAGATAATGAAACGTGAAACATAAAAATGGTTTATTGTAAAACAAAATTGACAAATTTTAACCAGACTAAGAATAAAAGAGAGATGATCCAAATAAATAAACTCAGACATATAAAAGTAGATGTTACCACTGATATTACAGTAATTAAAAGAAGCGTTAGTGTCTCCTATGAGCAACTATGTAACTATGGATTGGAAAATCTTGAAATGGATAAACTCCTAGACACATACCACAATCAAAATAAGAAGAAATCCAAAACCTGAACAGACTAACAAGAAGCAACAAGATCAAAGCCATAATAAAAAGTCTTCCAGTAAAGAAAAGCCCGGGACCCTATGGCTTCACTGCTGTATTCTACCAAACATTTAAATAAGAACTAATACCAATCCCATTCAAACTATTCCGGAATATAGAGGAGGAGGAAATACTTCTCAACTCATTATATGAGGTCAGTATTGCCCAAAACCAGAGAAAGACACATTCAAAAAAGAAAACTACGGGCCAATAACTCTCATGAATACTGATGCAAAAATCCTCAAAAAAATACTTGCAAACCAAATTCGACAATACTTCAGAAAGATCACTCATCATGACCAAGCGGGATTTATCCCTGGGATGCAAGAATGACTCAACATATGCAAGTCAATCAGTGTGATACATCATGTCAACATAATGAAGGATAAAACAATATGATCCTTTCAATATATGCTGAAAAAGCATTTGATAAAATTCAACATCCCTTTATGATGAAAAAAAAACCTTCAAAAACTGGTTATTAAAGGAACACACCTCAACATAATATAAGCCATATATGACAGACCCATAGCTAGTGTCATAATGAATGAGGAAAAACTGAGTCTTTATGAGATTGGAAGATGATAAGGATGCCCACTTTTGCCAGTGTCATTCAACATAGTATGGAAGCCCTAGCTAGAGTATTCAGACAAGGGAAAAAAATAAAAAGCATCTAATCTGGAAAGGAAGAAGTCAAATGTATCTTGTTTGCAGATGATATGATCTTATACTTGGAAAATCCTAAAGACTACAGAAGAAAATGATTAGAACTGATATGTTCAGTAAATTTGTAAGATACAAAATCAATGTACAAAAATCAGTAGCATTTCTATATGCCAACACTGAACAATCTGAAAAAGAAAAAGTAATCTCATTTACAATAGCCACACATAAATTCAAATACCTAGAAATTAACCAAAGAAGTGTAAGTAGATACAATGAAAGCTATAAAACATTGATAAAAGAAATTGAAAAAAAAATTCTATGTTCCTGAATTAAAAGAATTAATACTGTTAAAATGTCCATACTACCCAAAAGCAATCTACAGATTCAAGGCAATCCCTATTGAAATCCCAATGACCTTTTTCACAAAAATATTTTTAAAAAATTCTAACATTTATATAGAGCCACAAAAGACCCAGAATAGCCAAAACAATCCTGAATAAAAGGAACAAAACTGGAGGAATCAAATTACCTATTTTTAAATTATACTACACAGCTATAGCAACCAAAGCAGCATGGTACTTGCATAAAAACAGACACATAGGGCCAGGTGCGGTGGCTCACGCCTGTAATCCCAGCACTTTGGGAGGCCAAGGCGGGTGGATCACGAGGTCAGGAGATCAAGACCATCCTGGCTAACACGGTGAAACCCCGTCTCTACTAAAAATACAAAAAAGTAGCTGGATGCGGTGGTGGGCGCCTGTAGTCCCAACTACTCGGGAGGCTGAGGCAGGAGAATGGTTTGAACCTGAGAGGCAGAGCTTGCAGTAAGCCGAGATTGCGACTCCGTCTCAAAAAAAAAAAAAAAAAAAAAAGGCAGACACATAGAAGAGTGAAATATAATAGAGAACACAGAAACAATCCACACATCTACAGTGAACTAATTTTCAACAAAAGTGCCAAGAATATACACTGGGGAAAAGATAGTCTTTTACATCAGTGGTGCTGGGAAAACTAGATGTCCACATACATAAGAATAAAACTAGAACACTGTCTCTCACCATATACAAAAATCAAATCAAAACGGATTAAAGACTTAAATCTAAGATCTCAAACTATGTAACTACCAAAAGAAAACTTTGGGAAAAATTTCCAAGACATTGGTCAGGGCAAGTATTTCTTGAGCAATACTCCACATGTACAGGTAACCAAAGCAAACATGGACAAATGGCATCACATCAAGTTAAAAAGCCTCTGCACAGCAAAGGACACAGTCATGAAAAGAAGAGACAACCCACAGAGTGTGAGAAAATATTTGCAAATTACTCATCTGACAAGGGATAAATAACCAAAATATATAAGAAGTTCAAAGAACTCTACAGGAAAAAAAAAAAAAATATATATATATATATATATGTATATATATATATATATAAATAATAGTTCTACTAAAAACTGGGCAAAGGATATGAATAGATATTTCTCAAAAGAAAACATACAAATGACAAATAAGCATAGGAAAGGGTGCCCAACATCAGTGATTATCAGAGAAATCCAAATCAAAACTACATTATCTCATCTCAGTTAAAATCGCTTATATAAAAAAAGCCCAAGCAGTAACAAATGCTAGTGAGGATGTGGAGAAAAGGGAACTCCTGTAAGCTGTTGTTGAGAATGTAAATTAGTACAACCACTATGAATAACAGTGTAGAGGTTCCTCAAAAAACTAAAACTAGAGCTACCATATAATCCAGTAATCCCACTGCTGGGTATATACCCAAAAGATAGGAAATCAGTACATTGAAGAGATATCTGCACTCTCATGTTTGTTGCAGCACTGTTCACAGTAGCTAAGATTTGGAAGCAACCTAAGTGTCCATCAGCAAATGAACAGGTAAAGAAAATGTGGTGCATATACACAATAAAGTACTATTCAGCCGTAAAAGATAATGAGATCCTGCCACTTACAACATGGATAGAAATGGAGATCATTACGTTAAGTCAAATAAGCCAGGTACAGAAAAACAAATATCATATGTTTTCACTTATTTGTAAGATCTAAAAGTCAAAACAATTGAACTCATGGAGAAAGAGAGTAGAAGGATGATTACTAGAGGTGGGGAAGTGTAGTGAGGAGTTGGGGAAAGGTGGCAAAGGTTTATTGGCACAAAAAAAATTAAAGTATAAACAAGGTCTAGTATTTTATAGCACAACAGGGTGACTACAGTTGATAATATTTTTCATCTTAAAATAACTAAAAGAAGGTAACTGGATTGTTTGTAACACAAAGGGAAAATGAATTGATTGATACATCGTTCTCCATGATGTGATTATTTAATACTGCATGCTTGCATCAAACCATCTCATGTACCTATAAATATATACACCTACTATATACCCACGAAATTAAAACAAAAGATACAAAAAATAAAACAACCCAAATTTCACCACAAAATACCCCAAATTGCTAAAAAAAAAAAAAAAAAAAAAAAGAAAGAAAAGAAAAATCCTGCACAAAAAAAAAAGCAATGCTGGAACAATGCTGGAGGTATTGCACTGCCTGATATCAAACTGTACTACAAAGTTGTCATACCCAAAACAGCACGTCATACAAACCAGACACAGAACAATGGAACAGAATAGATAACACATAAATAATCCATGAACTTACAGCCAACTCATTTTCAGCATTGCACCAAGAACATACATTGGAGAAAGAACAGCCTTTTTAATAAAATGATGCTGGGAAAACTGAATATCTCTTTCAAAAGAATAAAACTAGATCCCCATCTTTTGATATGTAAAACTAGTAAACTCAAAATGGACTAAAGACTTAAATGCTAGGCATAAAAATTCGAAACTAATATTTTTAGGGTAAAATCTCAAAAGAACAGAAAACAAAAGCAAAAATAGACAATTGTAATGACCTCAAAATAAAAAGCTTTCACACAGAAAAACACACACATGTAAACACACACACACACACACACAACAAAAAACAAAAAACAATTAACATGGTGAAGAGATTACCTGCAAAATTGGATTACATGTTAACAAACTATATAACAAGATATTAATAACCAGAATATATAAGGTACTCAAACTCAATAGCAAAAATAATAATCCCTTTAAAAAGTAAACAAAGGCCAGGCACGGTGGCTCACGCATGTAATCCCAGCACTTTGGGAGGCCCAGGTGGGCGGATCACGAGGTCAAGAGATCAAGATCATCCTGGCCAACATGGTGAAACCCCCTCTCTACTAAAAATACAAAAATTAGCCAGGTGTGGTGGTGTGTACCTGCAGTCTCAGCTACTCAGGAGGCTGAGGGAGGAGAATCGCTTGAACCCGGAAGGAGGACACTGCAGTGAGCCGAAATTATGCCACTGCACTCCAGCCTGCTGACAGAGCGAAATTCCTTCTCAAAAAAAAAAAAAAAAAGTAAACAAAATAGATTAATACATATTTCTCAAAAAAGACATGCAAATGGCTAAGCTGTATGAAAAAATACTCAACACTAATCATCAGGAAAACGCAAATCAAAACCACAATGAAATGTCTCACCTTACCTAGAATGGAAATCATAAAAAAAAAAAAAAAAATTACAAATGCTGGCGAAGATGTGAAGAAAACAGAATGCTCCTACACTTTTGGTGGGAATGTAAAGTAGAACAGCCATTATGGAAAACGATATTGAGGTTCCTCAAAAAACTAAAAATAGAACTACCATAAGAAACTCACTGCGAGGCATTATATATCCAAAGGAAAGAAAATAAGTATATAAAAGAGATATCTTTACTCTCATGTTTTCTTGCAGTACTATTCACAGTAGCCAAGATCTGAAATCAACCTGTGTCCATCAATGAATGAATGGATAAGGAAATTGTTATATATATATATACAATGAATATTATTAAAATAATTTTAAATAAAATAGTAGAATCCTGTCATTTTTAGCAACATGGATGGAACATAAAGACATTATGTTAAGTGAAAAAAGTCAGGCACAGAAAGACAAATACTGTATATTCTCATTCATAAGCAGAAACTAGGAAAGTGGATCTAATAAAGACAGAGAGTAAATGGGGTTATCAGAGGCTGTGAAGAAAAGGAAAGTGATAAAGAGAAATTGGTTAATGGGTACAAAAATACAGTTAGGAGTAAGTCCTATTGTTGGATAGTACAATAGAAAATTATGGTTAACAATAATTTCTTGTATATTTCAAAATAGCTAGAAGAGAAGAATTGCAGTGTTCCTGACACAAATAAAAGGTAAATATCTGAAGTGATGAATATCACACTTACCCTGATTTAATTATTATGTATTGTATACAGATATCAAATTATCACATGTACCACAAAAATATGTACAGTTATGATGTACAATTTTTTTTTTTTTTTGAGATAGAGTCTCACTCTGTCGCCCAGGCTGGAGTGCAGTGGCGCGATCTCGGCTCACTGCAAGCTCTGCCTCCCGGGTTCAGGCCATTCTCCTGCCTCAGCCTCCCGAGAGCTGGGACTAAAGGCGCCTGCCACCATGCCTGGCTAAGTTTTTGTATTTTTAGTAGAAACGGGGTTTCACCGTGTTAGCCAGGATGGTCTCCATCTCCTGACCTCGTTATCCACCCGCCTCAACCTCCCAAAGTGCTGGCTTTACAGGTGTGAGCCACTGCACCCTGCCATAAATTTTTTTAAGAATAAAAAAAACCCACAAAAATATGTACAGTTACGACGGATAAATTTTTTAAACAGTAAAAACATAAAGAAACCCAAATTTTTATCTTATAGCTCTGGTGCTCAGAAGTTCAAAATGAATCTTACTGGGCTAAAATCAATATGCTGGTGGAGAAGTGCTATTTCTTGGGACTCTAGGGAAGAACCTCCTTACATTTTCTAGCATCTAGGGATTACTTACATTCCTTGGTTTCTGGGTCTTTCCTCCATCTACAAAACCAGCAATATTAGCATCTTTCTCCCATTTTTTTCTCTCTGTGTTTCTGTTGTCACATCTTTTTGGCTCTTTTAGGGATATTTTTGATGACATTAGGACCACTGGGATATTGCAGGACAATGGCCTCATCCTAATGCCCTTAATTTAATCACATATATATTTAAAGTCACTTTTGCTATGTAAGGCATCATATTTATACATTCCAGGGATTAAGATGTGGATGGTTTAGGGAGGGAATTATTTTGTCTACCACAACTGATCTAGGAGGATCTCACTTGAGATTATTTGTTTCTGCTCCATATGTTTTTATCTTTTAGTAAGCTCTCCCAGACTTTTTCACATGATAGAGGTAGAGATTCCAACGGTAAGAACCTAAGCCCCAATGATCAAGTGCTTTTTAAGCCTCAGATTTGATAAAGTCTAACTGTCAAATCAAATCACAGAACCAACCCCAAAGTCAATATGGAAGAGAGTGTACAAGGACATGGTTATAGGGATATAGGGAGGAAAAAATAATTTGGCACAATTACTAAAAATTTAAAACAGTACAGTAATTTATATTGAGTTACTTTCTCTCAGAACTTTGATATGATTTCACTGTATTCTAGCTGTTAATGTTTTAAAGAAGTTGTAATTACAATTATTGTTTCTTTTTAGATACCCTTTCTTTCCAAATGCTTGGGTGTGCTGTGGTTTCTAGACCTGTAGTCCTGTCTTTATCAGTTCTAGAAAATTTTTCAGCCATTATCTTTTTAAATATTGCTTCCCCTTAAATTATTTCAGTTCTTTTTTTTTTAAAAAGTGCTCTTTTATTTAAGTGAATAATTAGTGTTTACATTGTTATTATGTTTACATTGTTAGTTGTAGCACCAATTAGTGACTGTGATTACATTTGTTTTGTTTTATGGCATTTTCATTTTTCTGGAATTATTAATAGCCTGATTTTCAATTGTGCCATTTCAATTTTGCAATTTGCAATCTACATATTAAAAACTCTTCCCCAGTTTTTTCTGATATCAAAGGCTTTTCTTGAGTCTCTCTTTCCTCTAGATTCTTTACTTCTAAAGCCCTTGGCCGTCTTGATCTAATCTAATTAATCAAATTTGCAACTTCTTTCTTTTGTCTCTGTGACTTTAAAGCCAAGTGTCAATTGAGACATGTTATTATGTTTTTGCCATAGTATAAAAATGTATATAAAGACTGTAATATGTTTAAGAGACATGAAAGAAAGCACATATGTATGTGAAAGAAAATAAATTTTCTGAGTCCTCTAGACATTTGTGTCTCTAATGCCTACTTCTGACAAACTTAGACAATGCCGAAAGCTTTGAATGACTCTTCAAAGGCATAATAATGATACATTGGGCTTTGGGGACTTGGGGAAAGGGTTGGGAGTGGCAAGGGATAAAAGAATACACATTGGGTACAGTGTACACTGCTCGGGTGATGGGTGCATCAAAATCTCAGAAATCAACACTAAAGAACTTATTCATGAAACCAAACACCACCTGTTCCCCAAATATCTGTTGAAATAAAAAGATTAAAATAAAAAAAAAATTATCGTCTAACAATTATCTTTAGAGAGGACCTGAAAGTCAAAAACAAGATGCTAAAAGAACCAATGAAGGACACAAAGAACTCTTGTAAATGAAAAAGATAGTTGTTAAAATAAAAATTGTAATGGCAGATTTTGATGATAAAGTTAAAGAAATCTCCCAAAGTACTAGAAAATATTAAAGAAAAGTAAAAGACTTTATCAATCCAGGAGGTTCAACTTTCACCAGTAAGATTTCCAGAAGGAGAAAATATAGAGAAAAAAATTGTCAGAAAAACAAAAGAACATGTTCTAGATTGAAGGATCTCATGAGAGCTCTGCAGCATAGATGAGAGAAGACCTAAAACAAAGAGTACCATGAGATTCAAGAAGGTGAATGATAAGAAGAAGGACCGAAATACTTCCCATAACAATTAGAAGGAAGAGGTAGAATTTTAAAAAGGAAAATAATGGGTTAGAGCATCACACTTCTCAGCAGCAATTCTGGAAGCCAGCAGAATGACTTTAAAATTCTGATTGACTATTATTTCCAACTTAAGATTCTATATCCAAATGAGCTGTCAATCAAGTGTGAGGACAAAGAAAAGATTACTATACATGCAAAGACTCATAAAATGTACCTTCACAGTGTGTTCCTTCTTAGGGAATGACTGGAAGATGTGCTGCACCAAAACAAGTGAAAAAAACAAAAAATAAAAGGGAAAGCTACAGAATCCAGGAAACAAGAAATCCTACCTAAACAGTAATAGAGAAAAATTCTGAGGTGACAGCTGAGCCTTAGATCTCAAGACATACTCTTTGCTTTAGATCTTAACACTGTCTTTGTCGCATTCCAGAGATTTTGGTATGTTACATGCCTGTTACCATTTACTTTAAAGAATGTTTTGATTTCGGCTATAACTTCATTGTTTACTTAAAAGTCATTGAGGAACAAGTTTACTTTCCATGTAATTGTGTGGTTTTGAAAGAGCTCATTGGTATTGATTTCTATTCTTATTCCACTGTGGTCTAAAAGCATTCTTGATATGATTTTAATTCTTTTGAATTTATTGAGTTGCTTTATAGTCAAGCATGTGGTCAATCTTAGAATACATTCTGTGTTAAGATGAGGAGAATGTATATTCTGTGGTTGATGAGTGGATTATGTTGCAGATATCTACTAAATCCAGTTGGTCAAGTGTCAAATTTAAGTACAGAATTTCTTTGTTAGTTTTCTGCCTCAATAGTTTGTGTAGCTCACTCATTGTGGTGTTGAAGTCCTCCAGTATTATTGTGTGGCTAAGTTTTTTATAGGTTTAGAAGTACTTGTTCTACAAATCTGGGGGCTCCAATGTTGGATGTGTATACATTTAGGGTTATTAAGTCATCTTGCTTAACATTTTATCATTATGTAATGCCCTTATTTGTCCCTTTATATTGTTGTTGGTTTAAAGTCTGTTTTATCTTTCATAAGAATAGTGACCTCTGCTTTTTGTTGTTGTTGTTTTCTATTTGCATGATAAATCTTTCTCTATTTTTTTACTTGGAGCCTATGCATATTGTTACATGTGAGATGCGTCTCTTGAAGACAGCAGACAGTTGAGTCTTGCATTTAATCCAACTTGACACTCTGTGCCTTTTAATTGGGGTGTTTAGACTATTTACATTCAAAGTTATTATTGATATGTAAAGATTTTATCCTATCTTAATGTTGTTAGGTGGTTTCTTTGTTGTCTGTATTGTGTAGTTGCTTCATAGGGTCTCCAGACTATGTATTTAAGCGTGTTTATGTGGTAGCAAGTATCATTCTTTTGTTTCCATGCTTAGAACTCCTTTAGGAATCTTTCATATGGCTGGTCTAGTGGAAACAAATTCCCTTAGGAATTGCCTGTCTGAAAAAGACTTTGTTTCTCCTTCACTTATAAAGGTTAGTTTAGTGGAATATGAAATTCTTTATTGGATTTTCTTTTCTTTAAGAATGCTGAAAATAAGCCCCCACTCTCTTCTGGTCTGTGAAGTTTCTGCTGAGAAGTCTGTTTTTACACTAATAGGATTCCCCTTGTAAGGGATCTGATCATTATCTTTGGCTGCCTTTAAGATTTTTTCTTTCACATTGACCTTGAAAATTCTGATAACTATTTGCCTTTGTGGTGGTTGTCTTGTATAGTTTATCACAGGATTCTCTTAATTCATTGAATTTGCATGTTGCTCTCTATAATGATTGGGAAAATTTTAGTGAACTGTATCCTCAAATATGTTTTCCAACTTGCTTACTCTTTCTCCTCCTCTCCCAAGAATGCCAATGCGTCATATATTTGGTCTCTTTACATAATCCTATATTTCTCAGAAGCTTTTCATCATTTTATAATTCTCTCCTTTTTTTTTGCTTTTGTCTGACTGGGTTGAGTTGAAGGACTTGTCTTTGTGCTCTGAAATTCTTTCCTTGGCTTTGTCTATTCTGTTGTTAAGTCTTTCATCTGTATTTGGAAATTCCTGTAGTGAATTCTTTAATTCAGGAAGTTCAGTTTGGTTCTTCCTGAAAATGGCTATGTCATCTTGCGACTATTGAATAATTTTACTCACTTTATTGGATTGGATTTCCATTTTATCTTTATGTCGTTGAGCTTCCTTCCCATCCATATTCTGAATTCTGTGTCTGTCATTTCAGACATTTCAATCTGGTTGGGATTCTTTGCTGTGGAACTACTGTGAATATCTAGAGGTAAGAAAACTCTCTGACTTCTTGAATTGCTGAAGTTCTTTCACTGGTTCTTTCTCATCGGAGAAGCTGGTGTTCCTTTATCTCTTTGAAATTGCTGTCACTTAAATGAGGTTTTTTTTTTTGCTTATATATTATACTTTCCCCTTGGTTGTTTGACTATGGTGTATAGCATCTATAGTTGATTAGTTTCATTTCTGGGTGCTTTCTGAGGGCCAAAGCTCTGTATGAGTTCCATAGTTATGATTGACTTTCTACATTGGGTTTCACAGTGTGAAATGAATTTACTTTTGTTAGTAATGTTGTTCAGGCTGTGATCCAGTAGACGGTGCTTAAGAGTAAGGGTCGGCAGATAGGCTCATATACAATAGTGTTCTGGGGAGGGAGAGATGGGGATGTGCGAGAAATAACTCCCTCCCAAGTCTGTTCCTGGGCCTTGGGGTAACCCCTTTTAATCACTGGTGCTGTGCTCATTTTCTCTTAGCTCCAAGGGGAGCCCTGGCAGCCTGCACTCCTCCTCCCTTAAGGGTGGCCAGAGCCAAAGTTTAGGTCACCAGGATTCCTGCAACTCAGGGACCCATTGGTTTTCTGAGCTTAGCAAAGACAAAGCAGGTTGTGGGGTATGTCTGCAGGTGATCTGGTGATATAGTGGGTCAAGGGTGGAGGGTCCTTGTGCAAAGGGATCCCAGTATCTAGCCTGATCAGCTAGTTTTGTCTCAAACCTTCTGCACTCAGATTGCTGGCATGTTCCAGGTGATCAGGACCATGGGGCTCCCTCAGGCAGAAACTGTGACTGGTCAACAAGCTCCACCTTTCCCTGACTGGTCTTGCAGAGGGAGGGACATTTAGCTCCCACACCAGCACATGAATCCACACCTCACTCTTCTCTGTGTTCTAAGACTTGGGGTTCCCCCCCACACTTGAACTCTAGCCAAAAATCTCAGCTCAATAACTGTGGTTGGTGTGCTCAAACCCTAGGGGGTTGAAACTAGTCCTGTGGCTTTGTCCTCTGCCCTCTTGGGGGCAAACACTGGCTGTACCAGGCTGTCGAACTGCTCTCCGGCTGCTGGCAAAACACTCAGACAGAATAGTGGAGGCTGTGCTGTGTGCATTCTCTTGTGGGAGCTGAAAGGCAGCTTGCTTTGTGATGGGCCAGTGAAAAAGGGGGGCATGCAGGTAAGTTGTGCCTTGATGCTGCAGGGAAGGCAGGCTTCCTCTCTCCCAGCCAAGAGTCAGGAGGGGCTACGCCCATTCAAAGCAAGATGGAGAACCTTTGGGGATGGGTACTTACGGTCACGTTTTGCTGCAGTTGCCCTGTGTGCCATATAATATTTTGGTTCTGTCCAAGTTTATTCCCTGCCTCTGCCTACTGTTCAGGCAGTTCCCTCTGTCAATTGAAATGTCTATGAGGGTTACAACATCTCTTGTAGCTAGGATTCCAGAGACTCACAGCAGGATTGTGATGTCACAGAGTTCCTTCATTTACCTCTTCCTTAGGGCCTGTTCAGGACCAAGAGCCTGGTCTGGTGACTCTATGTGGACTTCTCAGCTTCCTCCCTATTTAATCTTGGAGTTGTGTTGTGTCTCTGTCAACTTTCAGTGTTTTCTCTAAAAGATCGGTTTGAAGTGTAGTTGTTTACCCAAGATTTTGGTTTCTCTCAGTAAAAGAGGTGCTTTCCAGCTGCATCTAGTTGGCCATCTTGTCCCTTCCATCAAGAAATACTTTAGACAACCTAAATTTATCAATGTTTACTTGAGCAAAGCATAATTTATGAATTAGACAGCCTCCCAGACTGGAATATGTTCAGAGAATCTCCAGTGATATCTCATGGTTGAAAAATATTTGTGGATTAAGAAAGTGACATACAAGAACTGAAAGTGAGGTCCAGAAACAGCTGGATTGGATACAGCTTGGTGTTTTGCTTATTTCAACACGGGTTGAACAGTTGGTTGCCTTTGACTGGCCAAAACTCAAGGATTGGTACAAGAATAGGTGCAGTCTATTTTTAAACCCGGTTAGATTACAGTTCATTGTGTACACAGAAATCTCTAGGTTGAATTCAAAATAAGGTGGCAGATTTAGACTAAACTTAACAATTCTAAAGAGTAATCTTGAATACCTTTGTGTCAAAGCACCTCAAATTTGTAGATGACTGCTCTAGAAGAATTATTATTGAGAACAGAAGATATGATTAGGCAAATGTTTATATAGCTTATGTGACATGAAAGATTAAGCTCAGTTTCTGGAAAAAAAGCCGAATATAAAGAGTCTTATGTGAGAAACAATGTAATGAAAAGCTTGATAATACATACTGATTAGTGAGTGATGTAGGAGGATGTAAAAGTAATTTTTAAGTTTGAAGACTGAAAACTGAAAAAAGATGGGTAACCATTAAAAAAAATGAGTATGGTTCATTAGATAATGGGCTCAATGTTTTGACATATTGAGAGTGAGATCGTGATAGAACTTCAAAATGGAAATAGCCAACTATCAAATAGAAATATAAGAACAGTGTTCCAGGCCAGGCGCAGTGGCTCACGCCTGTAATCTCAGCACTTTGGGAGGCCGAGGTGGGCAGATCACGAGGTCAGGAGACCGAGACCATCCTGACTAACACGGTGAAACCCCGTCTCTACTAAAAATACAAAAAATTCGCCGGGCATGGTGGCGGGCACCTGTATTCCCAGCTACTTGGGAGGCTGAGGCAGAAGAGTGGTGTGAACCCGGGAGGCAGAGCTTACAGTAAACTGAGATCGCGCCACTGCAATCCAGCCTAAGCGACAGAGCAAGACTTTGTCTCAAAAAACAAAACAAAAAAAAGAACAGTGTTCCAGAGAAGTTTGAACTAAGTATACAAACTTCACATAGAAGTGATAATTAAGATAATGAAATTAAAAAATGATCTAAGGAGCAAAGTAAAATTAAATCAAGGGCAAAGCCTTATATTAAGGAGCAGCAGGAAAAAGGAGTTGTTAGAAAAGCAACAATAAGCCTAGTTGAAAAGATGAGAGGAAAAACAAGATAATAAAAGGTCACAAACTATAAAGTTTAAGAATATTTCAATAAAAAAGGGATCATTAGTCAACTACTGCAGGGAAATAAATTTTAATGACAACTACAAAATTAGTTTTATCATTTGGAAATCATTTCAAAGAATAGTCTTAATAATGAGAAAGAGAAAGACATCAGATTACAATTAAATAAACATCAGATCGAGGTTGCCAAAATAAAGGAAATAATTGTATAAAGTTTTAAAAAATGTTACACAAACGAGAAGCCAGAGGTAGGCAGAACTTGATGTTTAAGGCTGCTTCTTAAGAGCAGGACTAAGAGCGTGGTAGTAAAGTTGATTGTTCCACCCACTGAAATCTCAATAACAATTTGGAAATAGTTGGTCCTGAGATTACTCAGACAGAAGGATCTCAATTGTAAGAGATTTAAGGAGTGGTCAGCCCTTCTTTAGAATCTTTTTTTTTTTTTTTTCAGGAAAATAAAAAGATTAAATCCTGAGTCCCCAGCCCAGCCCCAAGACTGAACTACTGAGCAATTCTCCAGCTCCAGTGAAGATAGGGTATAAGTAAGTCAAAAACAAAAAACAAAAAACAGCAGGGTGACCAGTAGGTGAACAAGAGATGTGGCAGGACTCTAGTCCTGGAATAAAAACTAGACAGAAAGAATAACCTGTCAAAATTAAGAAATATAAACTAAGACAAAAACCCACATCTGGTGAACGAAATGTTAGGGCTCAGAAGTCAATACTCCAAAATATGGTACATTGAGGTTCTGAAGAAACTTCGATGTCTCTATGATTTTCTTCCCCCGCATACTCTCTCTCCCAAATCCTTCAGATTTTTTTTTTCTTAAGATCCAGATCCACCAAGGAGAACATTTTTTCTTCCTTCTCTATAAAGCCAAGAGTATAATTACATCTTAACAAACCCTTTCACAAGATAATGTACAAGTTATTTGTTCCCTGATCTAATTATTCTTCCTAGTGATCCCCTTAACAGATTCTCTTCTCCCACCTTTCATAACCTTTCTTTCCAGGATGGTATATAAGTTCCTGAACTCCACTGGAGAGTGGGAAATCACTCTGTGATGCTCCCCATCTGCACAATAAATGTGAATGCCTTTTCTCCTATTAATCTACCTTATGTCAGTGATTTTCAGCAAACATTCAGAAAGCAAGAGGAAAGTCTCTCTTGGCCTCTATGAAACTAACGTGCAGATGCACAGTATATCTGTGAATCCAGGGAAGCACGTTCTGAAGGGTCTCTCTCCAGTGAAGCAGATTCTAGACTCTCTGGCAGCAAGACTTTTGGGGGAACTCAATATATAGCTATTACTACCCATGTCACTAGAATTAGAGCTACAGTCTTTGCTGTAATGTATATATCATTTTGGATCAGCTAAGGACCAAGTTTTCAACTCATAGGTGTCCAGGTGGAAACAGCTGGCAAGGCAGAGGCTGAGAAATCAAGGCATGTCTTGACAGATGGGGTAAAGTTTTTATTTTGTTTTCCCAAAGATAATTAGAACATATGTATAACAGAAATGAAAAAAAAAAAAACAGTTGAGTAGAAGACATTAAATATGTAAGAGAAAGGACAAAATTTGTGGAGGGAAGTAATGAATTGAGTTGAGAAAATAAGCTGGTAGTTTCTTTTTCCTTAACAGAATAAAAGTTATTTATACAGTGAAGAAATGTTAATTTTTTTTAAAATCAGGTACCAGTCTAGGTGCATATTATAGATTGGTAATCAGTAAATACAAGGATATGACTTTATGAAGCTTAAAATCTAGTAGAGGAGACAGAAATATATATATATGTAATGTATATATATTACATATATATACACTTAATTATTTATAACATTACTAAATCTTGCCCCAATACTAGCTCAGCACTTTAGCCCTCCATTTTGAACCAAGAGGAAATTCTCTAGAGCTAAGTTAATGTAGCTTAATAGAGCAAAGCAAGGCATTGAAAATGACTAGATTAGTTTATGTGACTCATAAACATAAAGTATATATAGATGGTGATATATATATATATAGTGATAAGACTTCTGTAGAAAAGAACTGAATGTTGTGAAAAAGAATTTGGAAAAGGGGAGAGATTAGACAGCCAATTTAGATCAGGTTGTAAAGGAAGACCAGCTTTAAGAGGTTTCATTGGAGCTAAGATCTTAATAAGTTGGCTGAATAAGGTGCTGACCAGCTGGAAAAGCCTTTCAAGTAGAAATAACAGGAAAATAAAACGCTCAGAAGAGGTAATAAATTTAGCATATGGAGGGTCATAAAGTGGCTGGAGCATATCGTGTGAGGGAGAAAGTAGCAGAAAGTATGGGGGAGTCAGTAAAGGTTCAGATCATGCAGGGTTTTACAGGTTTTAATAAAGAGTTTGAATATTAAATTCTAAGTGTAAAGGGAGAAGACACTGGAGGATTTGAATGAGACAGTGAAATTTTCTAATTTACATTTTTAAAAGATTATTCTCATTTCTGTATGAACAGCAAAATTAGGTGGAGAGGGGAACTGGGTGCAAAAAAACAAAAACAAAAACAAAAACAAAAACAAACAAAAAAGATAAGGCTATTTTAATATTCAGCCAAGAGATGGGGGTGGCCTATCCTAGGCTGGTGATGGTGGGGAGAAAGAGAAATGGAGAAGTGGGATATTCTTTGTAAGTAGAAATTTCAAAACTTTGATGAATTAGATGTGTGTGAAGACTGGAAGAAAGATGTCCAAAAAGAAATTAGATTTCTAGTTCAGGCATTTACTTGATGTCTTGATTATGTTAAATAATAGGGTTAAAACGGAAAACCAATGTAATCAATGTAATCAATGGCAGATGGGAATCAAGTGATAGAAATGACAATTTATTTAATCTACTGATATATGATGAGGTTAAAATTGAGTAGTAGATTAGAATGACCTATGCTTGGGTCATTTTCTATTTATCATTATTCAAACATAACTAAAAAATAATGCATATAAAATAGAGGATTCTAGTTTTGGATTTTTGTCATGAATCAAAATTGAAACTGTTGAAACTCAATTGTGTTGAAGTAGGTAGGCAGATTTTAAAATACTATCTACTATAGAAATTCTTAAAATGCAAACCTACTTTATTAAATGGATTTAAACACCATGTTGCCTGCCATAAGATTGTTTGGAAAGACTAAATGATTTAATTGGAAGCATCAATTAAAATAAAACATATTACTTTATATGTTAAACACTATATATATATGTACAGAATTTAAGGATTTGACCTAGTTTTTCTCCAGAGGGTCACGTTTTTGTTACAACAAGAACATGTCTCTAAGCACCATCTTTACAATACAAAAGAACCATCTTTTACAAAAATTTTGATTAACTGTGGCATTTCCTTTCTGCTGTGAAGAAAGCTGGCTACTGAATAAATTGTGAAGTACCAAAACCTCACCTTACAAATTTCTCTAATCCATTTAACTTCTTTCTTTCTACACATTTCCTGGGAATTTAATATTCTATTTATCCCTCTGGCTCTTCTTCCTCTATAGCAATTGTGGCATCCTATGCAAGACTTACATCCTCTGCACTCCTATGTTACGAATATTTTCTTTTCTATATGACCTAAAGATGATATAACCAAGCAATTCTACTTCTAGGTATATGCTCAAAAGGTTTACATACTGGTACTCAAAAAATTACTTGTACACAAATACTCATAGTAGCATTATTCAAAATAGACAAAAGTTAAAAACAACCTGAATGTCCACGGGCAGTTAATGAATAAACAAATTGTGATATATATGAAAATATCCAACCATAAAAAGGAATGAAACAGTGATACATTATATAACCTGAAAAACATTTATGCTAAGTGAAATACGCCAGACAGAATAGATCACATACTGTATGATTTTATTTACTTCTTCACACCCCTATCAAAACTGATTCATAGATGACATGATTCTATGTATGGAAAATCCCACAGGATCCACCAAAACCTAATAGACCTAATAATGAATTTAGCAAAGCCTCTGGGTAAAAACCAACATATAAAAATCAGCTGTCTTTTTATACACTAATAATAAACAATCTGAAAAGGAAATAATGGAAATAATTCCATCTATAATAGTGTCCAAAAAAGTTAAGTATTTAGGAATAAATTCAACCAAATATGTGAACAGCGCATACACTGAAAACTACAAAACATTACTTTAATAAACTAAAGAATACATAAATAAATGGAAAGACATTTCATGTTTATGGATTAGAAGACTTACTTTTGTTAAAACGGCAATGCTAACTTCAAGCAATCTATAGACTCAATGCAATCATAAAAAGTCTAAGAGCCTTTCTGCAGAAATGGAAAACACAATTCTTGAATTCATATGAAATTGCAAAGAGCCTTGAATATTAAAACAAACACTCACAAAGTAGAGGAACGAAGTTGAAGGACTATTATTTTCACATTTTATAACTTACTACAAAACTACAGTAATTAAACAGTATGGTCCTAGCATAAGAACAGACATATGCACTGATGGAACAGGATTGAGAGTCCAGGAATAATCACATGTATGTATGGTCAATTGATTTTCAACAAGGATGCCAAGATCATTCAATAGGTAAAGAATAGTTTCCTCCAAAAAATGGTGCTGTGACAAATTGATATTCACATACAAAATAATAAAGTTGCAGCTTTATACAAAATTATACAAAAATATACAAATTATGTATATATACATATACAAAAATGTACTTAAAATTGTATCAAAGACTTAATGATAAGAGCTAAACTCTAAAGCTCTTAGGAAAAAAAGGGTTTTCCTGACCTTCATGACCTTGGATTTGGCAACGGATTCTGAGATCTGACATCAAGAGTACAACCAACAAAAGAAAAAATAGATAAATTGGAGTTTGTTAAAATTAAAACGTTTTTCATGTTAAAGGACATTATCCAGGAAGAGAAAGACAACTTACGGAATGGGAGAAAATATTTGCAAATCACATATCTGATAAGAATCTAGTATCCAGATTTTATAAAGAACGCCTTCTACTCAATAACAAAATGAAAAACACTCCCATTCAACTCTTAGAAGTCTTTAACAACAACAACAACATGGACTTGAATTGATGTTCCTCTAGAGATGTGCAAATGACACTTGAAAAGATGCTAAACATTATTAGTCATTAGGTCAATGCAAACCAAAATCACAGTGAGATACCACTTCACTCCCACTTACACGGCAATTTTTAAAAATCAGAAAAATAACTAGCATTGTCAAGGATACGGAGAAATTGCAAGCCTTTTACGTTACTTATGAGAAGGTAAAATTGGTCAGTTGCTGTAGAAAATGTTGACAGTTCTGATACAGGAGATAGAAATTATTTAGGCAGATAGTGAGAGCAAAAGATTCTTTGGCAGAACTTCCCTTCTAACAAAAAGCAACCCGAGAAATCATTTTATTTCTAACAAAGAGCAGCCTGAAATACTGAACTGCAAATATAGATAAGGAAGCTCGAAGTTTGCACGGGGAAATGCCAGCAGCTACGCCAATAGAAAAGGGCTACCTGGGGGCCAGGCATGTCCACCCTGGAAGCTCCGTTTTCTTTTTTTTTTCGTTAGCACTTGTACAGTAAGAAAGAAATGGGCAACATGGAGCAGCTCAGGTAGAAAACCCACCCGAATAATACAGAGATTCATGCCATATGCAGATGGCAAACCTGGTTCTGTTTTATCGTGCCCTGTGTAGATCAGACACCATCTCCCCACCAGCTCATCTATAAAAGCTCCTTCATTTCACTGCAGGTCAGCAACCCATTTTTCTGGGACCCCTCTCTATAACAGAAAGCAATTATCTTTCTTTCACCTATCCAATTTCCCCTTTAACTTCACTATTTGTGTATCCACATCCTTGATATCTGTGGCTGAGACAAGAAACCTCGGGTGTCACCCCAGACAACAAGGCCACTTCATTGTGGGGGATCACCTGAGACCCAAGGTAGATTCATAAAAAGAAAGAGTATAGGAGCAGTTCTTTAAAAAGTTAAACATAGAATTACCATATAATCCAGCAATTCCACTTCAAGGTATACACTCAAAAGAATAGAATACTAGTACTAAAAGAAATACTTGCACACAAATATTCATAGTAGCACTAGTCACAATTGACAAAAGCTGGACACACCCAAATGTCTATAAATAGCTTAATGGACAAATAAATGGTGTTATATACATAAAATGGAAAATATTTAGCTATAAAAAGGAATAAAGTACCTATATATGCTATAACCTGAAAAATGTTTTTTGTTAAGACACAAAAGGTCATATATTGTATGATCCAATTTATATATAATTTGTGAATAGGCAAATTCACAGAAATGAAAAGTAGATTGATGGTTTTCAAAGGCTAGGGGAAAGTGAGAGTGGAGAATAACTGCTTACTGAGTATGTGATATTATTTTGGGGTGATGAAAATGTTTAGAACTAGAAAGAGGTGATTGCACAACATTGTTAATATAATTAACGGTACTGAATTATTTATTTTTAAACAGCTAATTTTATTGTATGAGAAATTTGCCTCAATTGAAAATAACTGGCTGTGTCTCATTTTTTAAAATCTAACAAATCTGAAGTTTACATTTAATGGCTTAATGTTCTACTCCCTGTTGGATAATATATGCAATCTGATAGAGGGAGGTAATAATGCTTTAACACAAAGAATTGGTTAATGGTGAACATTTCTGGCAGGGCAAGTTAGATAAATATGGGTTATGGAGGTAGTCAAACCTCAATTAATTCAAGTGTAAATGTGTTTTTTCTTACAGAACAATTTTTGCACATTGGTAATAGTGCTACTTCATGATTTTTGCATTTTTATGATTCAAATTTTAAAATCCTAATTATATATATAGTTAAAATGTAGTGCTCAGATGAGGCTTATTGAACAATTAGGGCTTTATTTCTGAAAGCATGTGGTCTTAAGTGCTAGTACTTTTGAATCCCATGTCTTTAGAAATATTATTATGTATACATGTTTTTAAATGATTTGTCTTTTGCAGTAGGAGAGCACCTTGTGTCACCAGTGGAGACTGTCCAGGTTCTTGGCACCTTGAATAAAGAATTGGACAAACCACACAAAGCAAGGAAGGAATGAAGGGGTTTATTGAAAATAAATGTACACTCCACAGTGTGGGAGCGGGCTCAAGCATAGGGGATCAAGGGCCCCATTACAGTATTTTGGGGAGTTGCAACACCTTCTAGAGGATTCCATCGGTTACTTCGGGTATGCCCTTTGTAAATGGAGAGGATGAAGTAAAGTTACAAAGTCATTTACTTGGCCTACGCCCTATGGAGAGGATATTTCTTGTCATAGCTGAAGTGTGAATCGGCCTTATGTTCCCTGCCTCCAGACCCTATTTTCCTGCCTCATCTGCCCCGAGAGATGTGATCCTCATACATTTTTATGGGAGGCACAGGGACCAATGGTCTTTTTTCTGTAACTGCTTTATGCTGGCTTGAGGCACAGTCCCTACCTACTGGGGATCACAAAACTGTCATTCTGCTGTGTCTAGTGGAGGCAAGGTAGCTCCTTGATGGCCAGGGGTGGTGTCTTCACTTGGAACTGGCTGGACCCTTTGTTGCATGATCATCTAAAGCTTGATGCTTTCTAGGTGAGAGGAAATGAATTTGGTTAAAAGATTTAATGGGAACTTCATGGGGTGGATACTTCTGCTGTCAGGAATGTTTGTTATAGAGAATTGCAAGAGAAAAAACAAAACCTGGTTTGTTCTAGAATCTATGTGTTTCCTTAAAGTCTTAGCACAAGTCACTCCATTTGGTTTGGTTTGGACTGTTGGGGCCTAGTGCATGAGATTACTTCAAAACAATGGCCTCCCAGAATTTTGTTTAAAAAATTCCACCTTTTTGGTTAGGTTCTCAATTAGGTGAGAGTTTAACCAAAACTTAGGGCCTTAGCACCACTTAGTCAACATCATTTTGGGTTTCTGGTTTCAGCACATTAGGTTATGGTGTCCTCATGGTTGCACATTTCTTTCAGCTCCTGTTATTCCAGCTTAAGAGAGACCATACGACATTCTAGAGATGGTTGCATGCAAGCATTTAAAACCTTTGAGATAATACAGCGCACCAGGGACACTATTATTATGACTATTGGGAGGATAATACCAACAGTTTGGAGTATGCTCCTTACCCAATGTCCCCATAAACCAAACTTCCTAAAATCAAATAGATCAAAGACTGACTTAACTAAGCAGTTTCTTCATTAATCCACTACCACTGAATTTCTATAATTCTCATTTGATGTATTCCTTTATAGGTCACAAGTGCCAGAAGCTGCACAGATACTTTTCTGTTCAGCCAATCCCATTATAAGTTTCACAAAAGAATTTAAAGTCTTGTGAAATTGTAGCCTTTACAGTATTATTTGCTATAGAGCCTATCATGGGGGATACATTTCTAGTTATTGCCTCTTTTACTACGGAAAAAGGAAGTAACAAACGATGCCCTTCTAGAAGAATGAAGCCCTCCTGGCAATGCTCTTTTTAACCCCTGATGTGGGTCAACAGGGGTGAACCAATGTTTTATTTTTGACTGATTATGAGGCAACACATGTACCATTAAAGTTTCGTACCTATGTTGGGTCTTTATCTTTGATTTGTCATAGTATAAGTTTATCCATGTTTAAGGCTGGCTGCAAACCCCTTCCCAAATAAAAATATACCCCATAAGTGGCCATAACAGACCCCTTTTTCACTTCTATTCCTCATAGAGGCAGAAGCAAGGAAAAAATATTCAAAGATAAGAGCTTCATGATAGTAGAAGTCTTAATCTGTAAACTTGGGAAAAGCTGTTTACATAAAGGATGCCATCTTTTTCTTGGGAGAAATTTCCCTGGTTAGTTTTATCTTAAGGGTTCCAAAGGGTGTACAGCTCCAAGAGTGTGGAGGGACCCTTCTCAACTGCAAGACCATGAACCCAAAGCCCAGGGTCCCAAAGTTTTGTTGTAGTGTGTGTAGCAAGGACAGTTTTTTCCTGATGTTTCCAGAATATCCAAACCATAAAAGCTTTCTTTACCTGATGAAAATACACTGTAGCATAATAATCTTCTCTTATAACATCAGCCCTCTTGCATGGGAAAGCTTTTATACAACCAGAAAAGATGCATTAAAAGTAACAATTGAATGAAATCCCTTTATAAAGTGTTTAAATGGCCTACCAGGTAACCAAGTGTACCTGCAGCTTTAATTGTTTTTCCAGAAATATGGGGCCAAACATTGGCTATAAACTATTCTAGTAATTTGTAAGATACCACACCTATGTATTCAATTTTATTTTATATTTTTCATGATGAATTATGGAATGCAGAACTTTTAATAATAAAAGCTTTAAGGGCTCAGGAAGGACAAGAAGGCCATCCTGGTTCTCCACGAACCCATGCTTAATTAACATTAGACTTATATCCTCTTGAATACCAGTTGTATTTCCAAATTTGGTGCATAGCACTGACAAGGAAATTCGGTTATTTCTGTGATTTACAATAACTTAACATAATAACCATAATTATAATTGACAGTATATATTCAGATATTAGAATTTTAGCAATCTCCTACAATTTTGGAACATATATTAGTATTAGTCACAAAAATATAACCCAAACAATATTAAGCATCATTTTGACAATCTCGTGTAACTAAACACGTTAAATAATCCTGTTTATCTCCTTTCTGGATGTTTTAAGGGGCCCTCTGATTCATCCTAAAAGCCAGCCACCAAGAAAGACAATTTTGGAACTGAAGTTTGATTTTGGAATTTCAGATTACCATAAATTATTTATTTTGCCAAAACGATGACTTAGGGATTTAAATAAGTAAAAACTTTTTTATAATCTTTAACCCCCCACGAAAAAATCCAAATTCTACTGTTTTTACACATTTTGCATGTAAAGCTGTGTCTAGTAGTGTTAATTGCATGTTACAATGGCAAATTTTAACGTAAATCCTGGTAAGTTGTGTTCTGATAAGGTTTGACTATCTCCAGCACAGCTAGGAATGTGGCCAACTCCACATGTCCCCAGGCCTTACCTAGCTGGAAAGCAGACAAGTTAAACAATTTTCAAAAGCCAAACAAGCAGCTTATGACCTTAACGCATTTAGCAAACCTAACATTTGAACATAATTTAGACCACATGTTTACATTATGAAGACATTTGTATTTTACCAATAATCTTTAAAACTATCTTTATTTCCCAAAGATCACTCAAGTTACATGAACTAAATAAAAGGCATTATATTTTTCACTTTTCTGACAAAATATTTAAGATCTTATTATTAAGCCAATTAATTTAAAACTTTACAGAGGAAATAAACAGTGACTTTTACTTTATGTTAGGCAAAGAGAGAAATTTGACTTAAATTGTATCTAGGAGAGTATACTCAGCACACTTAAAGTATCAGGAAGCCTAAAATCCAAAAAGTTAGTTTAAGGTTAAAAGGCTGGTGTGCTCTATCAATTCCTCTCGGCCCATCAAAGGTAGCCTAGGAATTCCAAATAAGTGGAAGAAATGATGACTTGCTAGAAATGCATAGGAAACAAAATAACTATTCACAGAAACAAAAGCCTTCCACTAGAAACTAAAACAAAAATGGTTTTTTTATATATGCAAACACAAGCAAAGCCAGAGAAGAATAAACAGTGAACAAATGAAAACTAGAAGTAAACCATCTGGGAAGTGAGGAGCGCCTCTGCCCGGCCCCCACACCGTGTAGGAAGTGAGGAGGCCTCTGCCCGGGCCGCAATGTCTGGGAAGCTAGGAGCGCCTCTGCCCAGCGGCCTCACCATCTGAGAAGTGAGGAGCGCCTCTACCCAGACGCCCCACCATCTGGGAAGTGAGGAGCCTCTCTGCCCGACTGCCCCACTGTCTGGGAAGTGGGGAGCACATCTGCCCGGCCGTCCCACCATCTGGGAAGTGAGGTGAGCCTCTGCCCGGCCGCCGCCCCGACTGGGACGTGAGGAGCACCTCTGCCTGGATGCCCTACCGTCTGTGAAGTGAGGAGCGCCTCTGTTTGGCTGCCCAACGGTCTGTGAAGTGAGGAGTGCCTCTGCCTGGCTGCCACACCTTCTGGGAAGTGAGGAGCACCTCTGCCCTGCGGCGGTCCTGCCTGGGAAGTGAGATGCGCCTCTGCCTGGCGGCCGCACTTGACTAATGCCTCTGCACCACTGCGCCACCGTCTGGAAAGTAAGGAGCGCCTCTCCCTGGCCGCCCCACCGTCTGAGAAGTGAGGAGCGCCGTTGCCCGGCCGCCGCTGTGCAACCCTCCAAGTATGAAGTGGCAGTCATGTGTGTGATCTTTATGCCCTCCCCAAGTTTGCATTTTTGACATTAAAGTTTACTTTTAAATTAAAAAGAGAAAGACAACTAGAAGCAAAAACAAACAGAAAACCAACCCTAAATTTTCCCACTTAATTTACCCTGGAGGCTACAGTGTTACCTAGGGCCAAAAAAACCCCACATAATGAATGTTTTATTCCTGATACACAATTCAATATCCTTAAGCTCACTAATATTATCATATGTCTTTTGCAATCAATAAATTTACCTTAGGCACATGACTGATCAGTACTCCAGTGCCAGCGCTGTCCATGCAACACAATAAACATAGTGTGAAGCAATGCAAGCATGTATGTGAAATTTGGCTCCACATTAAATCCAGCTTCATGCTTAACTATGTAAAAAAGGAATAGCCAAACTGCCGATGCATTTCTTTACAATTCTTCTTATTTAACTTTAATCAAGACTAAGAGCTTTAACTATGAAAATGTTAATTAGCCAAATGTCTTCAATTATCAGGTTTTAAGAAATATTTTATTATTGAAACTTTTTTCACATCTTTCTCCCCTATTTAATGATTCCTTACTGCATTGTTTTATAAATAACCTTTTCGAATCTGTAATTTAAACTAACTTTTAGATAACTTCTGAATTAGACAAAAGTATTCTTTTTTCCACTAATAACATAACCTTTCTGGCACATTTTGTATACAGAATTACCAGTTAACTAAATTTTTTATCTTTGGTAACCTAAAGCTTTAATGAAACCCTAAAAAGCAAGAAATCCTGAGCTATCAGATATGGGCATTTATAGATAAAAACAATTCCACAATTTTAGAAACATATTTCCCAATATCACAACCCTTTCTTAATTGGAAATGACCCAAATATTAAGTGAGCATTAAAATAAGTTTAAGATTTTAATTTACAAAAAAAGTTTATCTAAAACATTTATCCCATTCACTGTACTTAATTTTTACTTTTAAGGAGGGAGACACAAGACATCAATCGGCATATGTAAAATGAACATCACATTGGTCTGGAAAGGCAGGAGAACTTGAGGCAGGTTGGGGGATTGGGGGCTTTCAGATTCAGGTAGTTGGAAGACAAAAAGTTGCATTCTTTTGAGTTTCTGATTAGCCTTTCCAAAGGAAGCAATCAGATCTGCACTCATCTCAGTGAGACTTTGAATAGAATGGGAGGCAGGCTTGCCCCAAGCAACTCCCAGCTTGAATTAACAATGACATTTTAAAATATCTAGCGAAGACAAACATAAAATTCAGACAAAATGTATGCTGACAATTCTAAAGGCATTTCTATTTTTATTCCACCAATAATTTTAAAGCTGTCTTGTTTAGTAAAGTTATACTTTAAGTCATGTGAACTTGAAAATAGCTTAGACTTACTTAATTTATGAGTGCTCATTTACTTACAAGCCAATTTGGTAGACACAACATATAACAATAAGTGTACATACAAATAAACACATCTAAACATATATATACACACATAAACAAAGATCTAATAGCTTGGGACCTTAGCCATGAGACAGCAATACAATACTTCGCCAGTTTTACTTTGCCCCAATAGATAATCCATTGAAGGCTGTGAATCAAAATTTCAGATAAAGCAGTCTCCATGGCAGTTTGATTTTTTTTCTTTCTTTTTTTTTTTTTTGGAGACAGAGTCTCGCTCTGTTGCCCAGAATGGAGTGTAGTGGCGCGATCTCTGCTCACTGCAACCTCCGCCTCCCGGGTTCAAGTGATTTTCCTACCTCTGCCTCCTGAGTAGCTGGATTACAGGCGTGTGCCACCGTGCCCAGGTAATTTTTTGTATTTTTTTAGTAGAGATGGGGTTTCACTATGTTGGTCAGGCTGGTCTCGAACTCCTGACCTCGTGATCTGCCTGCCTCAGCCTCCCAAAGTGCTGGGATTACAGGTGTGGACGCCACGCCCAGCAGGTAGTTTGATTTTTAAAGGCCAAACCTCCCCAGACTCCAAAAAGCACTGAGGCCAAACAGTACCAAAGGAGGGCATCACATATTAAACAGGCCTTCTGCTTAGAACAGCAGCACAAAAGCCTGGATACATGCAACACCATCCCACTTTCTGATTAGACAGCAAAGTTCAGATTCTGAACAATTTTGGAGCCAAGCATCATTGCAAGTGAGAGAGAAAATTCTAAAGAGGGCTTAATACTAGACCTCAGAACCTCTGCAGAGTGTCGCTTTGGGCAGGTTGAGGTCTGCAGGATTACCTGGAGCATTCTCCAGATGTCTCTGCCCTTAGGTGGGCACCGGTGCCACTTTGCATGTGTTCCCTCCGGAGCCTACTGTCAGGCCTCTGAGCCCAAGCCAAGCCATTGCATCCCCTGTGACTTGCACGTATACGCCCAGATGGCCTGAAGTAACTGAAGAATCACAAAGGAAGTGAATATGCCCTGCCCCACCTTAACTGATGATATTCCACCACAAAAGAAGTGTAAATGGCCGGTCCTTGCTTTAAGTGATGACATTACCTTGTGAAAGTCCTTTTCCTGGCTCATCCTGGCTCAAAAAGCACCCCCACTGAGCACCTTGTGACCCCCCCACTCCTGCCCGCCAGAGAACAAACCCCCTTTGACTGTAATTTTCCTTTACCTACCCAAATCCTATAAAACGGCCCCACCCTTATCTCCCTTTGCTGACTCTCTTTTTGGACTCAGCCCACCTGCACCCAGGTGAAATAAACAGCCATGTTGCTCACACAAAGCCTGTTTGGTGGTCTCTTCACACGGACACGCATGAAATTTGGTGCCGTGACTCGGATCGGGGGACCTCCCTTGGGAGATCAATCCCCTGTCCTCCTGTTCTTTGCTCCGTGAGAAAGATCCACCTAGGACCTCAGGTCCTCAGACCGACCAGCCCAAGAAACATCTCACCAATTTCAAATCCGGTAAGCAGCCTCTTTTTACTCTCTTCTCCAACCTCCTTCACTATCCCTCAACCTCTTTCTCCTTTCAATCTTGGTGCCACACTTCAAGCTCTCTCTTCTCTTAATTTCAATTCCTTTCATTTTCTGGTAGAGACAAAGGAGACATGTTTTATCCATGGACCCAAAACTCCGGCGCCGGTCACGGACTGGGAAGGCAGCCTTCCCTTGGTGTTTAATCATTGCAGGGATGCCTCTCTGATTATACACTCACGTTTCAAGGGTGTCAGACCACGCAGGGAGGCCTGCCTTGCTCCTTCACCCTTAGCAGCAAGTCCCGCTTTTCTGGGGAAGGGGCAAATACCCCTCAACCCCTTCTCTCCTTGTCTCTAACCCTTCTCTGCTTTTCTGGGGCAGGGGCAAATACCCCTCAACCCCCTCTCCTTCACCCTTAGCGGCAAGTCCCACTTTCCTGGGGCAGGGGCAAGTACCCCTCAACCCCTTCTCCTTCACCCTTAGCGGCAAGTCCTGCTTTCCTAGGCGGCAAGAACCCCCCAATTGCTTATTTCCACACCCCAACCTCTTATCTCTGTGCCCCAATCCCTTATTTCCACGCCCCAATCTCTTATCTCTGTGCCCCAATCCCTTATTTCTGTGCCCCAACTCCTTCTCTGCTTTTCTGGAGGGCAAGAACCCCCCACCCCTTCTCCGTGTCTCTACTCTTTTCTCTGGGCTTGCCTCCTTCACTATGGGTAACCTTCCACCTTCCATTCCTCCTTCTTCTCCCTTAGCCTGTGTTCTCAAAAACTTAAAACCTCTTCAACTCACACCTGACCTAAAACCTAAATGCCTTATTTTCTTCTGCAATGCCACTTGACCCCAATACAAACTCGACAGTAGTTCTAAATAGCCAGAAAATGGCACTTTGAATTTTTCCATCCTGCAAAATCTAAATAATTCTTGTCATAAAATAGGCAAACGGTCTGAGGTGCCTGACGTCCAGGCATTCTTTTACACATCAGTCCCTTCCTAGTCTCTGTGCCCAGTGCAACTCATCCCAAATCTTCCTTCTTTCCCTCCCACCTGTCCCCTCAGTACCAACCCCAAGCGTCGCTGAGTCTTTCTAATCTTTCTTTTCTACAGACCCATCTGACCTCTCCCTTCCTCCCCAGGCTGCTCCTTGCCAGGCTGAGCTAGGTCCCAATTCTTCCTCAGGCTCCTCTCCTCCACCCTATAATCTTTTTATCACCTCCCCTCCTCACACCTGGTCCAGCTTACAGTTTCATTCCGTGACTAGCCCTCCCCCACCTGCCCAGCAATTTACTCTTAAAAAGGTGGCTGGAGCCAAAGCCATAGTCAAGGTTAATGCTCCTTTTTCTTTATCCCAAATCAGATAGTGTTTAGGCTTTTTCATCAAATATAAAAACCCAGCCCAGTTCATGGCTCGTTTGGCAGCAACCCTGAGAAGCTTTACAGCCCTAGACCCTAAAAGGTCAAAAGGCCGTCTTATTCTCAATATACATTACCCAATCTGCTCCCGACATTAAATAAAACTCCAAAAATTGGAATCTGGCCCTCAAACACAACAGGACTTAATTAACCTCACCTTCAAGGTGTACAATAACATAAAAAAGTTGCAACTCCTTGCCTCCACTGTGAGACAAACCCCAGCCACATATCCAGCACACAAGAACTTCCAAACGCCTGAACCGCAGTGGCCAGGCATTCCTCCAGAACCTCCTCCCCTAGGAGCTTGCTACACGTGCCAGAAATCTGGACACTGGGCCAAGGAATGCCCGCAGTCCGGGATTCCTCCTAAGCTGCGTCCCATCTGTGTGGGACCCCACTGAAAATCGGACTGTTCAACTCACCTGGCAGCCACTCCCAGAGCCCCTGGAACTCTGGCCCAAGGCTCTCTGACTGACTCCTTCCCAGATCTTCTCGGCTTAGCGGCTGAAGACTGACACTGCCCGATCGCCTCGGAAGCCCCCAGACCATCACGGACGCCGAGCTTTAGGTAACTTTCACAGTGGAAGGTAAGCCCATCCCCTTCTTAATCAATACAGAGGCTACCCACTCCACATTACCTTCTTTTCAAGGGCCTGTTTCCCTTGCCTCCATAACTGTTGTGGGTATTGACAGCCAGGCTTCTAAACCTCTTAAAACTCCCCAACTCTGTGCCAACTTAGACAATACTCTTTTATGCACTCTTTTTTAGTTATCTCCACCTGCCCAGTTCCCTTATTAGGCTGAGATATTTTAACCAAATTATCTGCTTCCCTGACTATTCCTGGACTATAGCCGCATCTCATTGCTGCCCTTCTTCCCAATCCAAAGCCTCCTTTGCGTCCTCCTCTTGTATTCCCCCACCTTAACCCACAAGTATAAGATACCTCTACTCCCTCCTTGGCGACCGATCATGCACCCCTTACCACCTCATTAAAACCTAATCACCCTTACGCCGCTCAACGCCAATATCCCATCCCACAGCATGCTGTAAAAGGATTAAAGCCTGTTAACACTCACCTGCTACAGCATGGGCTTCTAAAACCTATAAACTCTCCTTGCCATTCCCCCATTTTACCTGTCCTAAAAGCAGACAAGCCTTACAAGTTAGTTCAGAATCTGCGCTTTATCAACCGAATTGTTTTGCCTATCCACCCCGTGGTGCCAAACCCATATACTCTCCTATCCTCAATACCTCCCTCTACTACCCATTATTCTGTTCTAGATCTCAAACATGCTTTCTTTACTATTCCTTTGCACCCTTCATCCCAGCCTCTCTTTGTCTTCACTTAGACTGACCCTGACACCCATTAGGCTCAGCAAATTACCTGGGCTGTACTGCCGCAAGGCTTCACAGACAGCCCCCATTACTTCAGTCAAGCCCAAATTTCATCCTCATCTGTTACCTATTCGGCATAATTCTCAAAAAAACACACGTGCTCTCCCTGCTGATCGTGTCCGATTAATCTCCCAAACCTCAATCCCTTACAAAAGAATAAGGACTTTCCTTCCTAGGCATGGTTAGTGTGGTCAGAATTCTTACACAAGAGCCAGGACCACACTGTGTAGCCTTTCTGTCCAAACAACTTGACCTTACTGTTTTAGCCTAGCCCTCATGTCTGCGTGCAGCGGCTGCCACTGCTTTAATACTGTTAGAGGCCCTAAAAATCACAAACTATGCTCAACTCATTCTCTACATTTCTCATAACTTCCAAAATCTATTTTCTTCAGAATTCAGGCCTGTCCTCAGAATGCTACAAGGTACAGCCAATTTAAGCTCCCGTATAGACGCTCCTTTTTATTAGGCCCCAGTCTCATTCGACACCAGACCAACTTAGACTGTGCCCCAAAAAAACTTGTCATCCCTACCATCTTTTGTCTAGTCATACTCCTATTCACCGTTCTCAACTACGCATACATGCCCTGCTCTTGTTTACACTGCCGGTTTACACTGTTTCTCCAAGCCATCACAGCTGATATCTCCTGGTGCTATCCCCAAACTGCCACTCTAAACTCTTGAAGTAAATAAATAATCTTTACTGGCAGGACTATGCTGAATCTCCTTAGGCACTATACCTGTTTTTCTCCTTCTGTTATTCCATTTAGTTTTTCAATTCATACAAAACTGTATCCAGGCCATCACCAATCATTCTATACGACAAATGTTTCTTCTAACATCCCCACAATATCACCCCTTACCACAAGACCTCCCTTCAGCTTAATCTCTCCCACTCTAGGTTCCCACACCGCCCCTAATCCCGCTTGAAGCAGCCCTGAGGAACATCGCCCATTCTCTCTCCATATCACCCCCCAAAAATTTTCGCCACCCCAACACTTCAACACTATTTTGTTTTATTTCTCTTATTAATATAAGAAGGCAGGAATGTCAGGCCTCTGAGGCCAAGCCAAGCCATCGCATCCCCTGTGACTTGCACGTATAAGCCCAGATGGCCTGAAGTAACTGAAGAATCACAAAAGAAGTGAATATGCCCTGCCCCACCTTAACTGATGACATTCCACCACAAAGGAAGTGTAAATGGCCAGTCCTTGCCTTAAGTGATGACATTACCTTGTGAAAGTCCTTTTCCTGGCTCATCCTGGCTCAAAAAGCTCCCCCACTGAGCACCTTGCGACCCCCACTCCTGCCCGCCAGAGAACAAACCCCCTTTGACTGTAATTTTCCTTTACCTACCCAAATCCTATAAAATGGCCCCACCGTTATCTCCCTTTGCTGACTCTCTTTTCGGACTCAGCCCACCTGCACCCAGGTGAAATAAACAGCCATGTTGCTCACACAAAGCCTGTTTGGTGGTCTCTTCACACGGACGCGCATGAAACCTACTATGAGCTTTCCTTTGGTACCTGGGTGTAATCCCCAAGTTTTAGCATCCTTATAATTTGATAAGGCCATGCTTTCCCAGACCTCCTGCTCCATGAACTTTAATGACAGGAACTGGGGACTGGGTGGGTTTCCTTTGCCCTTAGTCAGTTGAATAGGGGAAGGGAAGAATTTAGCATAAGTAAAGAAGGTTTAAGTCACCTGAAACATATGCAAGTTTTCTCCGGGGTGCACAGCACACAGAGATCAGGGACCACACCCAGAAAAGAATTTTAAAAACAGTCTAGGGCAATTATTCCTATTCATTTACAGGCCTTCGGGCAATACCAGGGAGTGACCCCAGCCAGTTGCCCTCAATTTCCAAGGAGCCACTAAGAAACAGCCACTGAAAGACTGAAAAAGAAAGAAAGGAAAAAAAAAAAACTGGAAAAAGTCCCAGCTCCTTTAAGCGAATTTAGTGGTGGCAGTTAGCTTCTTCCACATGGAAACCACTTAGTTTCCCTGGCCACGGACAGAAACCTGCAGTTGCTGCTGAGTTTAGGCGCTGCCCACCAACGGTCCCGAGATGGAAAGGAAAGTAGTGACAGATTCCCCTGTATGAAGCAGAAAGGAAAGGGAGAAAAATGAATCCCAAACTTTGGGCTTACCTTTTCCTCCTGGCTAGCTTGCCAAAATATTTCACTGGTGGACAGTGTCCAGGTTCTTGGCATATTGAACAAAGAATCGGATAAAACACACAAACAATGCAAGGAAGAATGAAGGGATTTATTGAAAATGAAAGTACACTCCACGGTGTGGGAGCGGACCCGCGCATAGGGGCTCAAGGGCCTCATTACAGAATTTTTGGGAGTTGAAATACCCTCTAGCAGATTCCATTGGTTACTTCGAGTATGCCCTATGTAAATGGAGAGGATGAAGCAAAGTTACAAAGTCGCTTACTTGGCCTATGCCTATGAGGAGGATATTTCCTGTCATAGCTGAAGAGTGAATTGGCCTTATGTTCCCTGCTTTCATACCCTATTTTCCTGCCTCACTAGGACTTTAGCAGCAGGCACATTGACAAGTAGGCCATCTATCATCCTATCATTTAAAAAATATTTTTTTGGTCTAGTGCTTCTATAAATAGAGCACTTTAAATTGAAATATCTATATCTGATTTAAAGCTGTAAAAAATCGTTCCTCCTTTATGACAATTTTGGGTAAGTACTATCAAAATAATGAAACTCGGCTGGGTGCAGTGGCTCACACCTGTAATCCCAGCACTTTGGGAGGCCGAGGCGGACGGATCATGAGGTCAGGAGATCGAGACCATCCTGGCTAACACGGTGAAACCCCTTCTCTACTAAAAATACAAAAAATTAGCCGGGCGAGGTGGCGGGTGCCTGAAGTCCCAGCTACTCGGGAGGCTGAGGCAGGAGAATGGCGTGAACCCCGGGGGGGGCGGAGCCAGCAGTGAGCCGAGATTGCGCCACTGCACCACTCCAGCCTGGGCGACAGGGAGACTCCGTCTCAAAAAAAAAAAAAAAAAAAAAAATGAAACTTTCCTTTAGAGTAACTTCTCCCCTCCTCAAAGATGAATAAAGATTTCTTCCTTTTCTTTCCAAGCAGATGCAACATACACAGTTACAGTAGTGTTAGAGTGTGTTAGAACTAAATTGTGTCATAAAACTTTATACTGCACTGGTGTCATAAATGTCAAATGGGTACCACTGAGGACTAAGCTCTGCTTTTTTTTATCTTGCCCAAATTCCCATCTAAAGCACCTGGGAGTCATGCTGTACAAACCATAAACTCTCATGATATGGGTTTTATTTAACCCTATATGTTGTGACTTACTTTCCAATCTGATTGGCATAACGTTATATGACAAAAAAGGAAATAAAAATATTTTACCCCAAAACATGTTTCTTTGCCATATTTTGAAATGGCCCTGCAAAGCAGTCCTTTGTGGGAGAACATTTACACCTGTAAAGAATCTCTATTAACATAGTTAGAATTTTTTATTCCAGGCCCTCCCAATCCTGAAGAGATTAGCTGAGAGTCTAGCACCTTTTAAAGGTCTGAATAAGAAACACTTGTCATCTATTGTCTCTAAGAGCAGCCACTCTGAGACTTCAAAAGAACCTTGGTCTACACAATCTTTTATCTTAACCTTAACATTTCCTTTCTATTAATCCCAGGTCTTTAAACAAACTCAACCAATTGTCAACAAAAAATTTTTAAATTTACCTATAGCCTGGAAGCCCCCTGCTTTGAATTGTCCCACCTTTCTGGACCAAAGCAATGTATTTTTGAAATGTATTTGATTGATGGCTCATGCCTCCCTAAAATGTATAAAACCAAGCTGTGCCTCAACCACCTTGGGTACATGTTCTCAGGACCTCCTGAGGCCTGTATCATGGGCCATGATCACTCATATTTGGCTCAGAATAAATCTCTTCAAATATTTTAGTTTGACTCTTGTAATTGACATGCAACACATTCTAAAAGACTGCAATGAAATGCCAAGCAATAAGCAAACCCAAGAATCAAAATTGATACTTCAAAATGTTTCAACAGTCAAAGAATATAACTTAGGAAGAAAACATCCTTCAATTATTACACCAAAAAAGAAAAAAAGGAGATAGGTATTTAAAAGCAGTTTCTCATCATTTTTTTACTGTCAAAATGAGGGTGTGATATTTCAAGCAAATGACTAAACTTGAAAACAGTTGTTCAGTAAGAAAAATTTTGCTTGCTAGAGAAAAGAGAAATAACTAAAATAATTTCTGTAAAAGAATTTTACTTCCCAAGTTTCCATATATATCATTCTATCTATAATATTCTAATATTTATAAATTAATACCTTCAACAGTTTTAAAAACATCTTATAAGGTGTTTGTGTCATTGGACAATTTCTATTACTATTGCTATCACTAGTGATTTTCGGAGGTATTTCAGATTTACAGTAATTTGGTAAGTGTGTTAGGTTCATGATTAGTTACAAGAACAATTATCTTCTGTTTGAGATCAGTAGAGAAATTAATGCTTCAATGGACAAGAAACTTCATCTATAATTTTTATATGAAATAAATCTTATGAAGATTACTGGCTGCACAGACTAAGAAGTTGTGAGGAGACTATAGCACCAGTATTTCTATGTATGCAACATAATGGCAAATTTATAAAGTCTTTGCTAGTGATGATAGTTCTTTATCTTCCAGAGAAAATGTTACAGAAATTCATAAGGAATTTCAGAAAATGAATTCCCAAGAGAAGTTTCTCACAATGCTTTTTACATATCACCAGAAATACTGACTAGCCTGGACTTCCACATAATCATTGGGTCATCTTCCTTCATTCCTTTTCCCACACCTTGAAAACTGAAATCACAAAAGGACTCCTTTGAATTCCAGAATAAAGAGGTGTTATACTGAGAGTATTTCTGGTTTTGGCTATCCATCATTCTTTGTCTTCTTCAAGTAATAGTACCTTTATTTCCTTTTATAGGATTTCTTTTACCTCTCAGTCTTTAAGGGATAGTGAGTCAGATTTTCCATTCTTTTTTTAGCTACTTTGTGGTAAAAACATTCCAAGCTTGGCCAAGGATGGTGGCTCACGCCTATAATATCAACACTTTCTGAGGCTGAGTCTAGGAGTTTAAGAGCAGCCTTGGCAACAAAGTGAGACTACCATCTCTACAGGAAGAAAATGAGTTGTGTGTGGTGGCACATGCCTGTGGTCCCAGCTACACTGGAGGCTGAGGCAGGATGATCACCTGAGCCCAGAAGGTCAAGGCTACAATGAGCCATGACAGCGCCACTGCACTCCAGCCTGGGTGACAGAGTGAGACTCTTATCTCAGAAACAAACAAACAAAAAAATCCAAGCTTAAACAATTAGAGCCTCTCTTGAGCAGAGTGAAAAAGGAATAATAAAAATAGTTAGATTTAATTCATCCCAGCAGAAGCAGCATAGTATACCTGCTATGTAGATCACTAGAATTGCCCTTTTTGTGTCTAGTAATTCAGCTCTTCTTTTGAGTCTGAGGACTATACATCATTCACATAGGAAGATAGATAGATAGATAGATAGATAGATAGATAGATTTTTCTATTGCTTGAGTTATTCAAAGTCAATTTCTTTTTGCTTGCAAACAAAGGGACTAATTGTCAAAATGAATTATCATATTGCCCTGGCAAGGTCCTTGTCAGTGTTAAAACAAGATAAGGAATGTAAAACACTAGCATGGCGTATGTCTAAAAAGTGTCTAATAATAATGGCATTAATATTTATAATAGTTAACAAGAATTGAAGCTGACAGTACTGAGCACTTCACATGCATTATTTCACTTAATCCTCACTATGGATCTGTGGAGTAGATTCCAATTATCTCCATTTTATAGGTTAAAAAAAAGTCCAGAGAATGAGAAGCCCAAGCTAATGCAGCTGGTAAGTAGAGAGGCTGGGATTTGACACCTGGCAATCTTCAAATACACACATTTAAACATTGCATTCTGAAGGGTAGGTGGAGCAAGATGGCAAAATCAAAGTCTCCATCTATAGTCTCCCACAAGGACACCAATTTAACAACTATCTACATAGGAAAAACACCTTCAAAAGAACCAAATTTCATGTGAGCCCTCATGGTATCTGGTTTTAACTTCCTATCACTGAAAGAGGCAATAAAGAGATAGAAAATACAGTCCTGAATGACTGACACCACTGCTCCATGAGGTTGGGGGAGGGTGCTGGAGGAGGGAGAGCACAACAATTGTGAGACATTGAACTTAGTGCTCTGTGTTAGAGCAGAAAGGAAAACCAGACCAAAGTCAGCTGACAGCTGCCCACTGAGGAAGCATTTAAACCGACCCTAGCTAAAGGGAAATTGCAGATGCCAGCAGTCAAAACTTGGCCAACCCTGCCACCAAGGGCTACAGTGTTCTGTGTCTCCAAGTGAACTTGAAAGGCAGTCTAAGCCGTAAGGACTGCAACCATGGCGAGTCCTTGTGCTGACCTAGGTCCAGAGACAGTGGAATTGGAGGAACATGTGACTTACTGAGGCACCAGCTGGGGCAGCTGAGGGAGTGCCGGTATTAGGCCCTCCCCTAACCCCAGGCTACACAGCTTGCAGCTCCAAAAATGATCCCTTCTTTCAGCTCGAATAGAGGAAAGGGAAAAATGGGAAAGACATTTTTTGGGGGGGCAGGGGGGATCTAGGATACCAGCTCAGCCACAGCAGAACAGGGCATTGGTCAGAATCAAGAGGCCCCCATTCTGGGCCCTTGTTCCCAGATATTTTTAGACACACCCTGGAACAGAAGGAAACCTGCTGCCTTTAAAGAAAGAACCCAGCCCTGGCAGCATTCATCGCCTGTTAACTGAAGAGCCCTTAGGCTCTGAATAACCAGCAGCGATATTACATCTTGGGCCTTGGGTGAGCCTCTGAGATTTGCTGGCATCATGTTAGACTCAGCACATTACCAAATGTGGTGGCTAGAGGGCAAAACTCCTTCTGCTTGAAAAAAGCTGAGAGAAAAGTAAAGATGACACTTTCTTGCACCTTAAGAGCTAGTGCGGCCACAGGGGAGTAGAGCACTAATTAGGCTCTTGGGGTCCCAATTCCAGAATTTGACTCTTAGATGGCTTTTCTGCACATGCCCTGGGCCAGAGAGGTGGCCACTGCCCTGAATAGTGACTCCCAGGCTAGGCAGCATTCACTACTAGTCGACTTAAGATACCTTAGGCCTTAGGAGAACATTAGCAGTAGTCTGGCAATACCCCTCATGGTTTAGGGTGGCAGTGGCTATGGAGTGAGACTCCTCTGCCTCTGAAAAGGGGATGGAAGAGTGAGAAGAAATATGTTTTGTCTTTTGAGTGCCAGCTCAGCTGCAGTACAATAGAACACCAGGCAGACTTCTAATGTTTTTGGCTCTAGTCCCTGACTCCTCAGTGTCACCTGTGGACCCACACAGAGCCAGGGGAAACTCAATACACTGAAAGGAATGACACAGGCCTAGCTAGCTTTGCCATTGGCTGATTGTAGGGCCCCTGGGACTTGAGAGCATATAGACAGTAGCTAGGGAGTAGTTACTGCAGGCCTTGGGAGAGACTCACTGCTGTACTGGCTTCAGGTTTAACTCAGAGTAGTCATAGTAGTTGTGGCCACAGGTGCACTTGTGTCACTCTTCCACCAGCTTTATGTGGATCAGAACAATGATAGAGACTGTTTGAGAGAAAGTAAGGGAAGGAAGCAAGAGTCTCTTTCTTGTAAACCAGAGAATTCTCCCAGATCTTCCCAAGACCATCAAGGCAGTACCTCTACAAATCTGCAAAAACCACAATGTTACTGGGCTTAGGGTGTCCTCTAAAGCTGATAAAGCTTGGATCATAGCACACAAGTCCTACCAAGTATCTGGAAAGCCTTCCCCAGGAGGAGTACAAACAAGCCCAGAGAGTAAAGACTAAATAAATACCTAACTCTTCAAAAACCAGACACCAAAAAGCATCTACTAGCATCAACAGCATCCAGGAAAGTATGACCTCAACTAATTAACTAAATAAGGCACTAGGAACCAATCCTGTAGAAAAGGAGATGTGTGACTTTTCAGACAGAGAATTCAAAATAGCTGTGTTGAGGAAACCGAAATAAATTCAAAATATCACAGAGAAGAAATTTAGAATTCTATAAGATACATTTAACAAAAAGAAGAATAATTAAAATGAAACACAAATTCTGAAACTGAAAAATGCAATTGGCATACTGAAGAATGCATCAGAACTTTTTAATAGCAGAATTGATCAAGAAGAAGAAAGAATTAGTGAGCTTGAAGACAAGCAATTTGAGAACACAAGACCTGAGGAGATAAAAGAGAAAATAATAAAAAACTATGAAGTATGCTATTCAGAATCTAGAAAATAGCCTCAAATGGGCAAATTTAAGAGTTATTGGGTTTAAAGAAGAGGTAGAGAAAGAGACGGGTAAAATGTTTATTCAAGAGAAAAATAACATAGAACTTCCCACAGCAAGAAAAGATATCAAAATCTAAGTACAGGAAGCTTATAAAACACCAAGCAAATTTAACCAAAAGAAGACTACATAAAGGTATTTAATAATCTAACTTCCAAAGATTAAAGATAAAATAAAAGGATTCTAAAAACAGCAAGAGAAAAGAAGCAAATAACATACAATGAAACTTTAATAATTCTGGCATCAGACTTTTCAATGAAAAACTTACAGACAAGGAGAGTGTGCCATGACAAATTTAAAGTGCTAAAAATCAAAAACCTCTTACCCTAGAATAATATACCCAGCAAAAATATCCTTCAAACATGGAGGAGAAATACTTTCCCAGACAAACAAAAGCTGAGAGATTTCACCAACACCAGACTTGTACTACAAGAAATTCTAAAGAGAGTACTTCAATCAGAAAGAAAAGTACATTAATGAGCAATAAATGTCTTGAAACCAATGACAATGGAGACACAACATACAAAGACCTATGGGATACAGTGAAAGTAGTAATAAGAGAAAACTTCTTAGCCATAAGTGCCTACAACAAAAAAGAGGAAAGACTTCAAATACACAATCTAATGACGCATCTTAAAGAACTAGAAAAGCAACAGCAAACCAAACCTAAAATTAGTAAAAGAAAAGAAAAAATAAAGATCGGAACAGAAATAAAGGAAATTGGAATGAAGAAAACAATACAAGAGATAATGAAACAAAAAGGTGGTTTATTGAAAAGTTAAACAAAAAGACAAATCTCTAGCCATACTAACTAAGGAAAAAAAGGGAGAATCCAAATAAAATAAGAAATGAAAAAGGGGAAATTATAACTGATACTGCAGAAATTCAAAGGATTATGAGTGGGTACTATGAGCAACTATATGCCAATAAATTGGAAAATCTAAAAGAAATGAACAAATTCCTAGACACATACAACCTACCAAGATTGAAACAGGAAAAGTCCAAAACCAGAACAGACTAATAACAAGTAATGAGATCAAAGCCATAATAAAAACACTTTCAGTAAAGAAAAGCCTGGGACCTTATGGTGTCACTGCTGTATTCTACCAAACATATAAATAAGTACTTACAGCAATCCTACTCAAACTATTTTGGAAAATATGGAAGGAAGGAATACTTCTAAACTCATTATAATGGGTCAGTATTACCCTGATACCAAAACCAGACAAAGACACTTTCAAAAAAGAAGACTACAGGCCAATATCTCTGACAAATATTGATGCAAAAATCTTCAAAAAAATACTGACAAACAAAATTTATGAAGAATTCAGAAAGATCATTCATCACGACCAAGTGAGATTTATTCCTGGGATACAATGGTGGTTCAACATAGGCAAATCAATCAATGTGATACATTATATCAACAGAATGAAGGACAAAAGCCATATGATTCTTTCAATTGATGCTGAAAAAGCATTTAATAAAATTCAACATCTTTTCATCATAAAAATTCTAAGAAAACTGGTTACAGATGGAACATACCTCAACATATTAAAAGCCATTTATGTGGGATCCATAGGTAGTATTATACAAAATGGGGAAAAATGAAAGCCTTTCCTCTAAGATATGGACCACAACAAGGATGAACAGTTTCACAATTGTTACTCAATACAGTGCTGGAAGTCCTAGCTAGAACCATCAAAAAAAGAAAGATATAAAAGTCTTCCAAATTAGAAAGGAAGAAGTCAAATTATTCTTGTTTGCAGATGATGATTGTATGTTTGGAAAAATCTAAAGACTACAGAAGAAAACTATTAGAACTGATACATTCAGTAAATTTGTAAGATATAAAATGAATGTACAAAAATCAGTAGCTTTTCTATATGCCAACAGTGAAAAGTGAAAAAGAAATAAAAAGTACTCCCATTTACAATAGCCACACATAAAATTAAATACATAGGAATTAACTTAATCAAGGAAGTGAAAGTTCTCTGTAATAAAAACTATAAAACACAGATGAAAAAAGTTGAAAAAGACATCAGAAATTGGAAAAATATTCCATGTTCATGGATTGATAGAATCAATATTGTTAAAATGTCTATACTAACAAAAGCAATATACAGATTCAGTGCAATCTCTATCAAAATACCAATGACATTCGTCACAGAAATAGAAAAAAAATCTTAAAATTCATGTGAGACCACAAAAGACCCAGAATAGCCAAAACAGTTCTATGTAAACAAAGCAAAACAAAACAAAAACTGGAGGAATCACATTATTTGACTTCAAATTATACTATAGAGCTACCAAATATCATGATAATGGCATAAAAAAAGACTCACAGACCCACGAAATGGAGTGGGGAGCCCAGGAACAAATATGCACATCTTCACTGAACTCATTTTAAACAAAGGTGCCAAGCACATACACTGGTGAAAAGACAGTCTCTTCAACAAATGGTGCCAGGAAAACTGCATATCCATATGAAGAAGAATAAAACTAGACCCCTATCTCTTGCCATAACCAAAAATCAAATCGAAATGGATTAATTACTTAAATCTATGACCTTGAGCTATGTAACTGCTAAAAGAAAACATTGGAGAAACTTTCTATGACATTGGTGTGAGCAAAGAATTTATTGAGCAATACCCCACAAGCACAAGCAACCAAAGCAAAAATAGACAACTGGCGTCACATCAAGCTAAGAAACTTCTGCAAGCAAAAGAAACAATAACAAAGTGAAGAGACAACCCAGATAATGGGAGAAAACATTTGAAAACTACCCATCTGTATTAATCCATTTTCACACTGCTATAAAGAACTATCTGAGACTGGGTAATTTATGAAGAAAAGAGGTTTAATTTACTCACAAAACTGCAGGCTTAACAGGAAGCATGACTGGGAGGCCTCAGGAAATTGACAATTATGGCAGAGGTGAAGGGGAAGCAAGCAGCTTCTTCACATGGCAGCAGGAGAGAGAGAGAGAGAAGCAGGAAGTGCCACACAGTTTTGAACAATCAGGTGTCATAAGAATTCACTCACTATCATGAGAACAGCAAAGGGAAAATCCATCTCCATGATCCAATTTACTCCCATCAGACCCCTTCTCCAATTGAACATGAGATTTAGGTGGGGACACAAATTCAAACCACGTCATTCTGCCCCAGCCCCTCCCAAATTTCATATCCTTTTCCAATTGCAAAATACAATTATTCCTTCTTAACAGTACCCCAGTTTTAACTCATTTAAGCATTAAATTAAAAGTCCACAGTCCAAAGTCTTATCTGAGACAAGGTGATTCCCCTCTGCCTATGAGCCTGTAAAATCAAAAACAAGTTACTTACTTCCAAGATACAATGGGGGTTGAGGCATTGGGCAAATGCTTTTATTCCAAATGAAAGAGATTGGCCAAAACAAAGGAGATACAGGCCCCATGCAAGTCTGAAACCCAGCAGGGCAGTCATTAAATCTTAAAGCTCCAAAATGATCTCCTTTGATTCCATGTCTCACATTCAGGCCACACTGATGTAAGGGGTGGGCTCCCAAGACCTTGGGAAGCTCTGGCCCTGTAGCTTTGCAGGGTATAGCCCCTGTGGCTGCTTTCACAGCCTGGTGTTGAGTTCCTGTGACTTTTTGAGGCTCATGGTACTAGCTGTTGGTGTGTCTACCATTCGGGAACCTGGAGGATGGTGTCCCTCTTCTCACAGCTCCACTAGATAGTGTCTCAACTGGGACTCTGTGTGTGGGTTCCAATCCTACATTTCTCCTCCACACTGCCCTAGTAGAGGTTCTCCATGAGGAATCTGCCCCTGCAGCAGACTTCTGCCTGGACATTCAGGTGTCTCCATATATCCTCTGAAATCTAGGTGGAGGTTCCCAAACCCCAACTCTTGCCTTCTGCACACCTGCAGGGCCAATACCACATGGAAGCCTCCAAGACTTGGAGCTTGAACCCTCTGAAGCCATGGCCCGAGATGTACCTTGGCCTCTTTTAGCTGCCACTGGAGCTGGAGTAGCTTGGACACAGGATGCCATGTCTCAAGGCTGCACAGAGAGGCTGGGCCCTGTGCCAGGCCCATTAATCCCTTTTTTCCTCCTAGGTCTCCAGGCCTGTGGTGAGAGGGGATGCTGTGAAGGTCTCTGAAATGCCCTGGAGACATTTTCCCCATTGTCTTGGCTATTAACATTCAGCTCCTACTTGCTTTTGCAAATTTCTGCAGCAGGCTTGAATTTCTCCCCAGAAAATGGGTTTTCTTTTCTACCACATGGCTGAGCTGCAAATTTTCCAAGCTTTAATGTTCTGCTTCCCTTTTAAACATAAATTCCAGTTTCAGATAATCTCTGTTCATGCATATGAGTGTACACTTTTAGAAACAGCCAGGTCATGTCTTGAATGCTTTGCTGCTTAGAAATTTCTTCCACCAGATACCCAAAATCATCTCTATAAAGTTCAAAGTTCCACAGATCTCTAGGGCAGGGACAAAATTCTACCAGTCTCTTTTCTAAAGTATAGCAAGAGTCACTTTTACTCCAGTTCCCAATAAGTTTCTCATCTCCATCTGATACCAATTCAGCCTGTACTTCATTGTCCATATCACTATCAGCATTTTGGTAAAAACCATTTAGCAAATCTCTAAAAAGTTCCAAACTTTCCCACATCTTTCTGTCTTCTTCTGAACCCTCCAAACTGTTCCAACCTCTGCCTGTTACCCAGTTCCAAAGTTACTTCCACATTTTCAGGCATGTATATAGCAGTGCCCTACTCTTCTGGTACCAATTTTCTGTAATAGTCCATTTTCACAGTGCTATAAAGAACTAACTTGGACTAGGTAATATATGAAAAAAAGAGGTTTAGTTGACTCACGGTTCTGCAGGCTTAACAGGATGCATGAGTGGGAAGCCTCCAGAAACCTACAATCATGAAGGAAGGTGAAGAAGAAGCAAGCAGCTTCTTCACATGGAGGCAGGAGAGAGAGAGACAATGAAAGTGGAAGTGCCATACACTTTTAAACCATCAGATCTTGTGGGAACTCACTCATTATCACAATTTGCCGCCATGATCCAATTACCTTCCACCAGGTTCTTCCTCCAATTTGACATGAGATTTTGGTGGGGACACAAATCCAAACCATATCACCATCCAACAGGGGATTAATAACCAGAATACATAATGAGCTTATACAACTTTATGGGAAAAAAATCTAATAATCTCATCAAAAACGGGCAAAAGATTTAAATAGACCTTTCTCAAAAGGAGACATACGAATGGTAAACAGGTATATAAAAAGGTGTTCAATATCATGGATCATCAGTGAGATGCAAATCAAAATTACAATGAGATATCATCTCACCTTTTATCCAAAAGTCAGTCAGTAACAAATGGTGGCAAAGATATGGAGAAAAGGGACCCTCACACACTGTTGGTAGAAACGTAAATTAGTACAACCACTATAGAAAATATTTTGGAAGTTTCTCAAAAACCTAAAAATAGAGCTACCATATGATCCAGTAATCCCATGGCTGAGTATATACCCCCAAAAAAGGAAATCAGTATATCAAAGGGATATCTGCACTTTTATATTTGTTGCAGAACTGTTTACAATAGCTAAGATTTGGAAGCAACCTAAGTAAGTGTCCATCAACAGATGAATAAAGAAAATGTTGTACATATACACAATGGTGTACTATTAATTCATTGAAAAGAAGAGATCTAGTCATTTGCAACAACATGGATGAAACTGGAGATCATTATGTTAATGAAATAAGCCAGACACACACAGAAAGGCAAACATCACATGTTCTCACTTATTTGTGATATATGAAAATCTAAACAATTGAACTCATAAACATAGAGAGTAGAAAGATGGTTACTCGAGGCTGGGAGGAGTAGTGGGGCGCTGGCAGAAAGGTGGGGATGGTTAAGGGTACAAAATAAAATAGAAGAAATAAGACTTACTACTTGATAACACAACAGGGTGACTATAGTCAATAATAACTTAATTTTACATTTTGAAACAAAGAGTGAAATTGGATTGTTTATAACTCAAAAGATAAATTCTTGAGGGGATGAATATCCCATTTTTCATGACATGCTTATCTCAAATTTTATGCCTATAACAGAACATCTCGTGTTTCCCATAAGTATATACATCTACTCTGTATACACAAAAATTTAAAAAGAATATGTACATATACTCTCTGAATCCAAAATAAAAGTTGAAAAAGAAAATAAATAAAGATTGTATTCTAATTTTGTTCCTCATTTTCTTATGTGGCATTGAAGAACTCTTAATTGCTGAATCTGTTGTTGACAGTGTAGTATTGCCCTTACTGCCACGTGAGAAATGCTATACTCAGTACCTCTTTCTAACAAATAGCTTTGCCCAGTATTATTAAAGCATCACACTATTAATTAGTTCTCTGCTAGGTGTGGTGTTTCTTGATAGTTATGTGTTGCCTAACCTGTCCTATATCAACAACACTAATAGCAAATGATATTCCCAAAAACGTGTAGTTTCTTATCCTGTGTGCAAAGCAGGAGACATTTCAGTAACTGGATAAAACTGTGCCTTCACTACCAAATATATATTATTTCTGTTAAATAAAACAATCAGTATTTGATCTTTGGAATTATCATTATGTTTTTTGTGTAAATGGGAGTTTCATAGCTTTTATAAATGCAACATCTGCCTCAGTCTTGCTTAAGATTCTTCTAGGTTTCTTCCATAGCTACAGGCCTTTAAAAAATGATCCAAGTTTTTTATACTTCCTATGTAATAAAATTCTTTCGGATTAGTTGCTGAAGTAAACCAAATACAACATTACAAAAGCAGTAAGCAAGAAATTTTCCAATTGGCACCTTTAGTCTTTTTTCCTCTTATAGACTAGAATTCAGTGCTAACCAAGAAAAGCTATTTTTTTGAGATAGCATCTAGTCACTCTATGCTCACAAAACAAATAGTCAACCAGGAAAAGATACTGCTAGGTCCACTGTGGAGGGGAAGGGGTGATAATTAAATGTCGTTTTGAGTTGCAATCAGCCATGTCTTTTCTCTGTTGTCCTAAGGAAATTGTCTGCTCAAGTGATTCTTAAGCACACATAAAACACACTGCATAAAGCTTGGACTTAAAGTCATTAGTAGAATTACCTCCCAAGACAAATGAGATTTCAAAATGCCTCCAGGTCGTTCTTTGTCTTCAGACATTATAAAAACATACTTAAAATTTTAAGTAGCTCATTATTTTAAATGGATCTTCCATCCTTTCCAGTCAAAATAAACTTTACCCTTCTAATTTTGGAGAAGTCTGTGTGTATCTCTGGGATAAAACAAGAGATAACAGGCGATAAAGAATGTATGTATTGATGACTCAAAAATCTGCACGCCTTATTTTGTAATTGAAATGTTTAAAAAATGTTTTAGATATGTTTAGTTTCAAAATGATAGGTTTTCTCATTATAGCTTCAGGGGTCCTGTTTAATTGGCAAAGTCCAGCCTCATGTTCTGAGGATCATGATGCTTTCATGTCCTTCATGTCTTTCATACACACACACACACACACACACACACACACACACACACACAGAGTATATATATATGTATAATAAATAAATAAATATATATTTCAATTTGTTTTTCAGAGCTTTTATGTGGTTTCTATTGAGTTATTGTATTTACAGTATCGTAAAACATTTGGTGAAGTTTGATCTCAATCATAAACAAAAAATCTTATTTTTATTTTCAATGAGTGGTTATTGAACACCCACTGAGCAAGATTATGTGCTCAGTTCTGTTGGTACAAAATTGAATTGAACAATGATTCATACTCTGCCATAGCTTTGTAGTTAGTCATTATCCTGGCTCAATGGTTTTCCTCACACTATTTGTATGCTGCCACTACAAATTATATTCTGAGGCTCCTTTTCTATCTCGTCTACATGATGGAGATATCAAACTTTCTCCTTGTGTTTTTTGTTTGTTTGACACTGTTTTGAATTTTACCTCCATAAATCACTGAAATACCAAGGTCTAAGTTAAAAAAAAAATGAAAGTAGCAATCAGGAACCTAGGCTGTATTTGTAGTTCACTTTCTAATACACTGTACGAGTTTAGGTACATCTCAGCTGCTCATTTTCTTCATCTTCCTCATCGACCTCTCAAAACATTTACTGCATGGGTAAACTGAGACAATTACAGTATATATTTATTTATTTAGTTTGTTATATGAATTCTCTGAATCATAAGCAATTCTCTACAAGGACCTCAGCTCTATGAAGTCTAGCTGAGAATTAGCCAAATACTAGCCATCTTATGGCTACTTAACATTCGTTGAATGGAACCCATACAGGCCTTTCCCAGGTTAATGATGTTCTAGCATCTTTACAATGAATATATCACTTTATTTATCTCAGTCTTTTTTCCTTTTCTATTTTCACAAATTTATTGCCTTTTCTTTCCCCTTCTGCTCTCTTTATTTTCTGATTCTTACTTTATCTTAGACTTGTTAGTGATATTGCTTAAATTTTTGCAGACACTCAGAGTTCAACAAATTTTTTAACCATCAGAGGTTTCTAGATTAAATACAAGATTTCGTTAAATTTGATTTTAACAAACAATAAATAGTTTGTAGTATAAGTGTGTCCCATATAATATCAGTGAAAGTATTTTATATAGTAAAATATTATTTATCTGAATCTGTAATTTTATTGGGTATCATATATTTTTATTTGCTAAATCTAGAGTCCCTCGACCCCTCATTAGAACATTTTTTCTTATGTGGTTAAATACTATTATGTACATTTATTCTTTACTTTTCCCCAAAGTATTTTAATATTATTTCATAGTTGATAATATATGTTTTAAAAATATTACTTTATACTTATTTTACCATGATAATTTCATGTCTAAAACTGAATAGGCTTCCTCCTTCATTTCTGACTTCAGGACTCAAACCCAAAGCTTCATCTTATTCCTTCTTTACTGTCATCTCTTACATGCAAAAAGTTGCAAAGTCATTTTAATTCTTCGTAATTTATCTTGAATTCATCCATCCAATCCCACATTTCTCACTACTGTTGTGCCTTGTGTAGCATATTATCAAAAGTGTGAAAAACATACTTTTCAAATTTTTACATGATTCATCTTATGAAAGGGCAATTAATGCTGCAGCATAAGGAAACTGATATTCTTTGACTGATAGAAACATTAATAAAATGATATAAAGTAGAAGTAAATGGAATGTTCTACAGCTGTCATTTTTTTTAATCAGCTGCAAAAGTAGAATATGAGGAAAACCTTATTTGCAGTGCAATTTTGCATTGTCATTTTATTTTTCTTACATTAGTAATTATTAAAATTTTTTGAATACATACTATGTTTTACATACATTCTAATAATTGTCTCAGTCTCATGAGGTGATTACTAGCATTTTTTCTGTTTTATAGAAGAACCTGAAAATCAGAAAATTTAAATAACCATTCCAATTTCCTAGCACATTTTATAGAAACATTATTCATAGTAGCCAAAATCTGAAACAACTGAAATGTCCTATATCCACTTAATGGATAAGCTGGATTATATTCACACAATGGAATACTATACAGCAATAAAAAGTAGTTAACCACTGATACACAGAACAATTTGGATGAATATCAAAGGGGCTGAGTAAAAGAAACCAGTCTTCAAAGGTTACATATTGCATGACTCCATTTATATGACAGATTTGAAATGACAAAATTAGAGTGCTGAAGAACAGATCAGTGGTGTCCATTGGTTAGAGTTGGGGATAGAGTGTGATCATGAAGTAAGAGCATAAGGTAGTTTTGTTTTTTGAAGGATGGAAGTGTCCATATTCTGATGGTGGTGGCAGTTCCATAGATCTATATATGTCTTAAAATTTATAGAAATGTGCACTAAAAGAAAAATAAAATAAATTTTATTGGATAATAATTTTAATTTTTTTTAATTAAAAAAAATACACTGGTTTATTTTGGTATATATTTTAAAGTCAAGTTTCCAAACAAAACAAAATGCATTTTAATACAGGAGATTATAATGTAATGTTTGGTTTATAGGTATTTCTAGCAGAGATTGGATTTTATTTGTTGATTTAACTAAATGTATAGCACAGAGTTTATTTTGATATTTTTAACAACAAATTCAGAAACTTCCTAATTAGTCATATTTTTATACTCTAGAAAAAGAAAAAGAAAATACAGTAGCCATTAATATGGAAGTAAACGTGAAGGGTTAGGTGCTGGGATACACAATAATGCTAATGCTCTTTGCTCTTAAAGGGAAATAAAATAATATATAAAAATGAATTATGTGCATAAGTCCAAAAAAGATGTGGATAAACAGACTGGGGCATATTCATATAAAAGTATACCACTCATCAACTGAAAGGAACAACCTACAGAAACACACTCTATATTGACAGTTAGAAACCTGATGCTGAGTAAAAGATGCCAGCCTCAAGAGTTTGCACTGTCTGATTCCATTAATGTGAAATACAAGAACAAGCATAGCTGACCTATGGTCATAAAGATAAAAAAATAGTGACCCAGTTGGAGATGAGGTGGTAGATGTGAAAAGGGACAAGAGTGAACTTTCTGGGGCAATACAACTATTCTGTAACTTCTTGTGGAAGATGGTTACATGGTGTATACAATTGTCAGTATTCAAAACATGTAAGATCTGTGTATCTTTGTATGTAAATTATACTTTAATATATAACAATAGCATTTAATCATATAAGAAAATATTCAAAATACATTAAAGAATATAACAAGAGAATGTTAATAAAAAATAATTATATTCAATTTATATACTGCATCCAAACGGTAAAAAATAAGGATAATAATTTAAAAATTATGCACAACAGCAAAAGTTTGCACATTAAATGAGTCATTGAAGCCACACAATTTTAGACCACATTCTGGCTAATCCTCAATTTCTGTTTGTTTCTCTTCTTACTCCTTGGCTACACAAGAAAGTCACAAAATGTGTGGATTAGTTCAATACAAAAGTTATATATATATATATATATTTACAACTAAGAAATATTTACTGTTGACTCAAAGAGTATATAATGGCATTTCATTTAATTAGTTTTCTTTTTACTTAATATTAAGTCATTCCACACATTTTAATATGTCTAAAATACATTATTCCGTATGCTTGAGCTCAGGCTCATCCCTAGAATTTGCAGGACAAAAGAAAAAGTACAAATGAAAGCTTCTAATCCATACCCTACTCAATTTCTCTTCTGACATCTGGAACTATTTTCTACCCAGGAAACAAAGGTGTGGATTTTATTATCACTGCTGAGTCTATTGCAATCCCTCCATCTATTTTCCACCTTCATATAATAAAAATGTTGTTTCAGCAACATCCTGGTTTCATCAATTATGGGGTTTGTGTTTTCATTTTCTATTTTTTTTCTCTTATTTAGGAGTGATTCTCAGAAAATAAATATGCAGAAATCTCTTTATTCTGTCATCCTAAATCTAGATGTACCTTCATGACATTTTGTACCTCTTTCAAAAATGTGTATGCTCTTCTTGCATACAGCATTATTTTTTTTGTGCAATTAGCTCCTTCAGTAGACTATAAGATCTGTGGAAACAGTTTGTCTCTTTGCTTACTCATTTTTGTTTCCCCTAAACTATCTAATTTGGTGCCTTAACTACAGATGATCCTCAGTTTTCTATTGGGTTATGTCCCTATAAATCTGTTGTAAGTTGAAAATATCCTGAGTTACAAATGCATTTAATACACTTAACCTGCTGAACATCATAGTTTAGCCCAGTTTGCTTTAAACATGCTCAGAACACTTATATTAGACGGCAGTTTGGCAAAATAATCTGGCAACACAGCTTACTGTAGAGCATTGGTTTTTTACCCTTGAGATTGCATGGCTGCGTAGGAGATTCAGAGAGAGTTTCATACCATATATTGTTGGCCCAGAAAAAAAAAAATCAAAATTTGAAGTACGATTTCTACTAAATGTGTATTGTTTTCACACTATTATAAAGTTAAAAAATCTCAAATTGAACCATCATAAGTCAGGGATCGTCTGTATATGTTGCTTAATTCAACAAGCAAATACTTGTTCAATTAAATTAGATTAAATTAGGTTTTCAGTATTTTAGAAAAACAATATATATGTAAACTGCATTTACGGATATCCTGTCTTCGTTAACAGTATGAAATAACTTTTTTTTTTCTTTTTTCTTGGAAATCCATAGCCACCCTAATGTAAAGCAATTGTTTCACTGGTGAGTATTATCTATTAGAAGTCATATTGTCTTTGGAAGTCAGACAGTCCTAGGTTCAAAAGCAGGATATTAACCTAAGTTGGGAATTAGGAGGATTAATCAGATAAAAAGCACTGTGAAAGCATCTGATGTGTAGTTGTTGCTCAAGAAACCACTGTTATTGTTACCTCTATTATCATTTCCATGTTATTATTATTCCCGTGTGCTAACACAATGCAACCCTTAGAGGTTTTTTGCACTGTGTAAACTGCTCCTAGAGTGGTGAGTCTTGTTGCTGATAACTTTTCTGTTTCTGTTTACTATCATTCCTCAGTATTTTAATTTCCAACATTGCAGCATAAAGGTAAACAATGCAGGCTCTCGAAGCAGATTTTCTGGCTTCTAATAATGACTCTAATCATTAATTGGGTTTTTGATCTTGAACAATATATTTATCCTTTGAATGCTTTAGATCTCTCAAGTGTAAACTGGGGATAGTCATAGATTTTATTTCATAGTCTTGCTTTAAGGATGAAATTAGTTATGTAGCACATTTAAAACAGTATCTGGAATGAAGTAAATATTGTATATAGGGTTAGTTATTATAGCAATTCTGATCTGTGGTTGCTTCTAATGTTTTTTCAAGCAATAATATGTAAACAATGTAACTTTTAATTCTAAGCTCCTTTTGGCCCTGTAAGGTAGCTCTAGGAATTTCCTGGAGGAAATGTGCATAGGCTCTACAGAAACCCTTGTTCTCATTTATTTATAGATTTTGGATGATAAGACCTACTAATAGTATGGCTTCTAAAAACATGGAATTATGATTGATTATTTACAAAGTGATTCTGCCAAAATAGGCTAAGTGAAAACATCTGGTGTGCCCCAAACCTGTGAAATTATTCCATATGGCTGAATCCTAGCCTTTGCATGAAGAAAAATAGAGAGAGTTATCTCACTTACCAATATATTCAGTAAAATACTGTGAGCTTTTGCTTGAAAGAAAAAGAAGAATAGCTATAGGTAATTTTATATCTAGATTTTTAAATTCAAGTAATATAGCTCTATTTGTTTAACTACTTAAACACTGAAAGTAATCTCCTCCCTACTGCTTCTGCAGCTGTATTTGTTGACTGGGGAGAGACTAGGAGTCTATTATTATATTCATAATTAATTCATCTACAGTTGAGTAGACAGAGGGAATATGAAATGGGCTTAACTCGAGAATGGAGAATCCCCTCTCCCTGCTGTTTCAACCAACATCAAGTGTAATTTTATCAACATTGAATTTGGGTCTCGTCTGTCCATAGGACCTAATCTTCAGTTACAATGAACATTTAATCTTGTTAGTCATTAAATTCTACCAAGATTTATTACTTGGCTAATATTCTTGATGAGTTTCAGTTGCTAATTGCATCCCTACAGTTCATAAAATTTGTAAATGCATTCCTCTACTTCTGCAAATCCTTCATATCTCTACGTTAGCAAACAGTATAAATTGTTGAGGCTGTAGCAGTAGAAAAAGCATTTTCTCCTTCAAATATGACATGTGGTGTATTACCTGGATGTGCAGTATTGTCAGGGGTGTAGGTTTTGACCTGCAACGCATTACTTGCTTGACTGAGTTTGTGACTGTTTATCACTAATGACGTATTTCTCTCCAGGAATGTATCATTTATCTTGTCACTGCTTTAACATAGTAAATACTGATATGAACCTGGAATTTTCCAGCAATTTGTGAAAGAAATGAAAGCAACTATTTGAAGTTTTATTCCATCCCAGCAAAGACAACCTTTATCATGGATTTCCAATGTATGTGAAGAAACACTAACCTAGAATACAAAAGGGTATGTCTAGAGCTTTGTGCATACAAAGTACCCATCTTACTAGTTATGCCTAGTGCTCATAAAATGCAATAATAATGAGCAGGTTGTTTTTCAAACCAACAAAAGGGCATTTTGCAGACAGGGAGTTTTTTTATTATACATTTTTTAAAAAATTGTAGATCATATCCATCTAGGATTTCTTGTAAGAAATCAATATATTTCTATCTTAATAATTTTGTCAATAGTACGTTCAAATATAAATAAATGTTAGTGTGCTTTGTACATAGTATACTAGTCCTATTTCCCCTTTCTTTCTAGTAAGGAGAAATATTCACTTTTTAATGATTTGTCAATTCAGATTCACAAAACTGAATTCAATTTTGAGAAAAAAATTTGCTTAATCTCTACAACCCTATCATCCCTTTCACTATTCTCAGTGGAACTCAGACTAACAAATGAAGGCTATCTGATGGCTTACGATCATTTTTCTTGAGGCTGCAGTTTAAACCATTGATAATTTTCCAGGGCCATCACTCTTTTTTGGTGGGGGGAAAGGGTTGATTACAAATCAGGGATGACAAGAGCATTCCTTCCTGTTTCACAACAGCCAGTTCTGTTTTCCCCCCTGTGATAGAGTAAGGAGATTGAGTCTTTCATTGTTTATTTAAAGGATCATTAATAACTCACTGTGTTCCAATTATATCACAGATAACTAAAATCTTCAGTCAATTCAAAACCTTGATTTTAACCACCTCTCCTGATAAACCTTTTGTTTATTTTTATTTTTATTTTTTCATTTTTCCATAAGTTATTAGGGTACAGGTGGTATTTGGTTACATGAGTAAGTTATTTAGCGGTGATTTGTGAGATTTTAGTACACCTATCACTCAAGCAGTATACATTGCACCATATTTGTAGTCTTTTGTCCCTAGACCCCCTCCCACCCTTCCCTCAACTACTTGAAGTCCATCATATCATTCCTATGTCTTTGTGTCCTCATAGCTTAGCACCCACACATCAGTGATAACACATGATGTTTAGTTTTCCATTTCTGAATTACTTCACTTAGAATAATATTCTCCAGTCTCATCCAGGTTGCTTCAAATGCTTTTAATTCATTCCTTTTTATGGCTGAGTAGTATTCCATCATATAAATATACCACAGTTTCTTTATCTACTCATTGATTGACAGGCATTTGGGTTGGTTCCATGATTTTGCAATTGCGAATTGTGCTGCTATAAACATGCATGTGCAAGTATCTTTTTCGGATGACTTCTTTTCCTCTGGATAGATACCCAGTAGTGGGATTGATGGATCAAATGGTAGTTCTACTTTAGTTCTTTAAGGAATATCCACACTGTTTTCCATAGCGGCTATATTAGTTTAATTCCCACCAGCAGTATAGAAGTGTTCCCTGATCACCACATCCATGCCGACATCTACTGTTTTTTGATTTTTTGATTATAGCCATTCTTGCAGGAGTAAGGTGGTATCACATTGTGGATTTGATTTCCATTTTCTTGATCATTAATGATGTTGAGTATTTTTTCATATGTTTGTTGGCCATTTGTATATCTTCTTTTGAGAACTGTCTATTGATGTCCTCCACTTTTTGATGGGATTGTTTGTATTTTTTCCTACTGATTTGTTTGAGTTCATTGTAGATTCTGGATATTAGTCCTTTGTCAGTTACATAAATTGTTAAGATTTTCTTTCACTCTGTGGGTTGTCTGTGTACTCTGCTGACTGTTCCTTTTGCCATGCAAAAGCTCTTTTGTTTAATTAAGTCCTAGCTATTTATCTTCGTTTTTATTGCATTTGCTTTTGGGTTCTTGGTCATGAAATCCTTGCCTAAGCCAATGTTTAGAAGGACTACCAAGAGCAATCTACAAATTCAACACAATCCCCATCAAAACACCACCATCATTCTTTTTTTCTTTTTTTTTCCTTTTAGGCCTGCAAGTACCAATTAGTTGAAGTGCTTTATTTGTTATTTACAATTCATCTTTTTCTTTATTTACACATAGAACATATTTGGAATTATAAAATCTTACAAAATACATGGTTTTATTTAAGTAATATCTCTATACTTATGGACATCAAGAAAATTCACAACTGCTTCTTCCTTTGGATAATACTGTCATGGAATTTGGTATCACATATTCTTGTTTTAGAAGCAGTTTAGTATTAAACAAAAGAATCTCTACAAAGTCTCTTCAGTTGGACCAAATTTGTAACCATAAGTTTGCAGCTGTCATAATTGCAGTCCAAACAGCATTTACAATCTACCACAGTAATTATATGTGTGAACATATAATCTTCTTCTTTCATTCTGTAACTTCACATGGGAGACAAAAATCATTATTCTCTTACTCAACACTTGAAGTTAATTTGTTTTACCAATTAAATACCTTAAAACAGGAAACATTTTTCTCAATGCTACTGGAATCCATGTTTTGCATCTCTTTCTTCTCCAGGTAGATTAAATATCCAAGGATTGTTTAATAAAGAAGAGATTTATTTTAAACACATTATTCTATTTAAACTACTCTTTCAAATTCATTGGTAACAAAACTTGAAAATTCAGTGACCTTTCCTCATATTCTGTCTCTTTCAACTTTGATGATATTGATTTACTCAACAGATATTTATTGAGAAATAACTATATGTCAATCCCACATCAGAGTTAAATCAAATAACAAAGCTAATAATAAATCCTTCCCTCATAGAGCTGTTATTCTTGTGTGTGCATTTCATGATGGTAATGGTGAGGTATTTGATCCTGATGGATACCTCAACTTTGTTATACTGACTCTTGACTTTATTTCTGTGACTCATTGTCATATTTTCAATTATCACATATCTAAAAGAGATTCTGTCAACTATTTTTAAAGTATTTTTAAAATTTAGCTATAATTTACATGTGTAAGAAAAGGAGTCATCTTACACATGTAGTTTGATGAGGTCTTACAACTGCATAATCATCCCAATTAAGTTATTAAACATTCCTATCACTTAAGAAAATTCCCTTCTGCCCCCTCTCATTTGATTCTACTCTCACTTCCAGGCAACCACTGTTTTTATTTTTATTTTTTTCATCAGAGATAAGTTTTGCCTGTTGTAAGAGTTTAGATAAATGGTATCACAAAGTCGGTACTTGTTTGGTTCAGACTTTTTCATTCAGCCCGATTGTTGCATGTAATAATACTTTGCTCCTTTTCATTACTTGGTAGCATTTCATTGTTTGAATATTCCACAATTTTTTCATCTATTCCCCTGGTGATGAACATTTGAGTTGTTTCTTTAGGGCTACTATGAATAATAATGTCTGAGACTATTAAGAATAAAGCTTTTTAATAAATTCTTGTACAAATCTTTTTTTGCACATTATTTTACTTCTGTTAGGTAAATATCAAGAGAAATTGCTGAGTCATAAGGTGGGAATACGTTTAATTTTAGGAGAAGTTGACAGCTGAGTTTCCAAAGTGATTAAACAATTTTAACTCCCAGGGTCAAAGTATGATAGTTCTAGTTGTTCCACAAACTTGTTAATTTCATTAGGACTGCTATAACAAAATACCATAGACCTGATAGCACATATACCACTGATATGTGTTTCTCATATATCAGTGAGATACAGAGGCAAGGAAGTCAAAGATCAAGGAGCTAGCAGATTCACTGTCTGGTGAAGGCCCACTTCCTCATAGATAGCCTTCTTTTCACACTAACCTTACAGAGTAGAATGAGCAAGAGGTTTTTCTCAGGCCTCTTTTATAAGGTTACTAATCTTTATGAGGGCTCTGCCTCCATGACATAATCACCTCCCAATAGCCCCAACTTTTAATACCATCACCTTGAGGGTGAGGATTTTGAGTAGACATAAATATCCAGACCATAACATTTATCAACATTTAGTGTTTTTATCATTTTTTAATTCTAAGCGTCATAAAATCTCACCATGAGATTTTTTCCTATGCATATTTGCTATTAATATCCAGGTAGGCCTGACTAGAACAGTGTTCAGTGTTGGATGAGTTGTTTCCCAGTACTGAGGCAAGACACTACCGAATTACTTGTGAATTTGAAGGTTTTTCAATCTGGCATATGGGAAGCGGTACCATTCATATGTTTTTGGCTGTTTTTGTTTTTTTCTGTTCTTGTTCTTTCAGCTGTATTCAGAGGATAAATCTGGTACCTATTACTGTGTCTGGTTCATAAGCAGAAGTCTATTGATCATATAGTTTTAATATTTTTCTAATATAAGCTGAGAAATGATGGTGGATAGGAGGCAGTGTTGGTGTGTCTCTCCCACTTGGAAGGACAGAATACTGGGCAGAGATTCACACTGTGAATGTGTTCTTGAAGAACCACCACAGAAACTTACCAGGAAAACCAAAATAATTCACTGATCCTGTGAAAGAAATGGCAGGCTGCAACTTACTCCATGAGACAAGCAAAAAACTATCAGTTTCCAGAATGTGAGAAGTAGACAACGTGCCTCCAAACACACATCCCCACTGAGGAACGTGAAAATTCAGATCACAGAAGAAGCCCTTTACCCTACTCAGAGCTGGAACAGATTTATGGAGTGGTGTGAAATATAAAAGTAGAAGCAGCAGTGGATAGTGCCTTGTAAGCATTCCCAGTCTCTAGCACAAGCCCAGGGAAGCTATTTGTGACTATATCTCACAGGAACCCTCAGGTAAGTCAGACAATGAATTCAGAGAGAGGTTGCAGGGTGAAAGAAGTTCCCAATTTAATTTTGTGATACAATTTTGACTGGGGAAAAGCTCTCCTGAACAGAATCTGGGGATGAGCAGGAAGTGTGCTGCAGATATGTGAGCAGAAGCTGGGCTTCCGGCCTTGCGGACAGACGGGGAGGGGCATGTCCTGAAAATCATGCTTGCTATCTCTGTAGGGAAGCTTATAGCCTGGGGCAGGTTCAGTTCTGTACTCAGGCTACCTAGATCTAAACCCGGCGCTCTTAGCAGGGCACTGCAGGAGTGACACTCGCTTTGCCAACTGTGTGGGAGCTAGGTGAGGCCTACTATTGCTGGCTATTCCCCACTCCCCTTGAAAAGTCTTCTCCACAGCAGAGGCAGTTATTCTCCCCTCTGGAACACTACCCTAGTGGCCTGAGATTCATCCCTCGTCCCCCACAGTGACTGTGGCAGGCCCTGCCCAAAGAGAGTCTGAGTTCAGACCTGACCCTCCCCAAACCTGATGCTATATCTCTACCTGCCCTAATAGATTAACAGAAAGGACATAAACTCTTGGGAGCTTTATGGCCTCGGCCATCAGCTGAGAAAACAGAATACTTCCCCTGAACAACTTAGAGCAAGCAAAAATTCTACTGCTACTACTGCAGCTGGTGCTCTCTTGCAAGTGCCACCTCCCGGCTGGAGGCCAAGCAACTCAGGCCATTACAGCACCTCTTGGTAGAACAACACTGCACCCAAGAAAAAGAAAATGGCTGGTAACAGCACTGCCTGCAACACCCTGGCTAACCAGAGGTCCTGAGTCTGTCCACATGAGAACTTCACTGTTAGCATAACTAGCATTCGAGAAAGCCAGCACACTAAGCTTATCTACAGCAAAGGAACCTAACATAGTCTACATTACTCCCCTGCCACCTCCATCAGAGCAGGTGGTTGCATCCACTGCTGGGAGACCTGAAGAGAGGTCACATCACTGGATCCTTTGCATACATTTCCCAACACCAGCTCAGAGTCTGGTACCCCACTGGGTGGCTATACCCAGAAGAGCAATAACAATCACTGCAGTCTGGCTCTCAGGATGCCCCATTCCAGGGGAAGGGGGAGAGCACCACATCAAGGCATCACCCCATGGGACATGATAATCTGAAGAGTAAGACGTGAGTCCCAGATCTTTCCACTTGTGGGTAGATTCTTATAGCACAGACACAACTACAGTGCTGGAAACAGTAGAGAAACTTTGCACCTCTACTCCAACAGGCAGGCAGCCTCTGTGATTATGAAAGGCCTTCGAGAAGTGGTCCTTATTCCCCTTGGCACACCACTGCAGAGGCAGCTGGGGCTTCTCCTCTAGAAATGCAGCACTGTTGCACATATAGACAGCCCTCCTGGAACAATCCAGGGTGATTGCAGCCCCTCAAGAGGAGCATGCCACAGATTCAGGCCTGCATAAAAGGCAGAGCCATATTTCCTCCCTTCTTAGAACATCAACATTTCTTACAGATGAAAAAAGTTGCCTGTCTCATCTGAATAGTCAGAACACCCGAACAAGAATGAGGCTGTGAGGTAGACAGCTTTTCTGCTGGCCTTGCAGGGGAGCTGCGGTAGCTCCCACTACTTACCCCAATAATTGGGGTAAGCTCAGCAATTCTAAGTGAGAGCTCCTCCAGGAACCTTTATCAAGCCTGGGACTTCTGCCCACCATTGGGTATTACATCTACCTACCTGCCTTAGCTATAGCCAGTGCCTACTCAAGGATACCTCCCATATTGGCCTGAAGCTTAAATCATCAACCCAGTAAATAAAATACTGGGGAGGAAATAAATAAAGTATACACCACGAGAGAATGAGATAAGCTTCAAGAGATCCCTGGCATTCCAGCCCCATAAGAGATAATGAACTTGCCCACACACCGAGTACATAAATACTACAACCAGCATCTGGGAAAGCTGGTGCACAAATATTTTGTATAACTGAGGAACTCATACAGAGTCTTCACTTTCACCACTAAAAGCACCAAAAATCAAATTAGGCTAAAATAAAATATGAACATTAAAGACTGGTTCTTAAGAGGAAAAAAAAAGAAATATAAAAGACACAGTTCAATAAAAAAATGAATTCAAGAACAATTTGAAGAAATGGTCCACCCAAATGAGAAGAAACCAGGAAAGTAATTCTGGTAATAAGACAAAATGGGGTTCTATAACACCCCAAAAAGTTCACACTAGCTCTCCAGAAATAAATCCGCACCAAGAATAAATCTCTGAATTGCCAGATGAAAAATTCAGAAGATTGATTTTTAAGCTACTCAAAGAGTTACCAGAGACAGGTGAGAACTAACTTTAATTAAAAGAAAATTGAGGATGTGCATAAAATATTTTCCAGAGAAACAGACATTGTAAAGAAAAACAATCAGAACTTCTGAAAATGAAAGACACACTTAGGGGAATACAAAATGCAGTGGAAAGTTTCACCAATAGACCAGAAGAAGTAGAAGAAAGAATTTCAGAGCTTGAAGACAAGGCTTTTGAATGAACCCAATCAGACAAAAATTTTAAAAAAAGAATTCTAAAAAATGAACAGAGTCTCTAAGAAATGTGGGATTATGTAAAACAACCAACCCTAAGAATAATTGGTGTTCCTGAGGGAGAAGTCAAGTATAAATGTTGAGAAAACTTATTTGAGAGAATAATTAAGGAAAGCTTTCCTGGCCTTGCTAGACACCTAGACACCCAAATACAAGAAGCTAAAAAAATTTCTGAGAAATTCCTCACAAAAAGATCATCACAAAGACACATAGTCATTAGACTATCTGAAGTCAAGGTGAAGGAAAGAATCTTAACAGCTGTGAGACAAAAGCATCAGGTAAACTATAAAAGAAAACCAATCAGGTTAACATCAGATTTCTCAGCAGAAGCCTCACAAGCCAGAAGGGATTGGGGTTCTATCTTTAGCCTCCATAAACAATAACTGTCACCAAATAATTTGGTATCCTGCAAAACCAAGCTTCATAAATGAAGCACAAACAAATGCTGAGGCAAGCAAATGCTGAGTGAACTAGCTACTACCAAACCAGCCCTACAAGAAATGCTGAAAGGAGTTCTAAATCTTGACACAAAAGCTCAATATTCACCGAAATAGAACCTTCTTAAAGCATAAATCTCACAGGACCTATAAAACAATAACACAATGAAAAAATAAAGTATCTAGGCAACAACTAACATGATGAATAGAACAGTATCTTGAATCTCAATATTAATGTAGAATGTCAGTGGCCTAAATGCTTTACTTAAAAGATACACAATGGCAGAATGGATAAAGAACCACCAACAAAATATCTGCTGTCTTCAAGAGACTCACTTAACACATAAGAGCTCACATGAACTTAAAGTAAAGGGGTGGAAAAACATATTTCATGCAAATGGAAACCAAAAGTGAGCAAGGGTAGCTATTTCTTATTTCAGACAAAAGAGACATTAAAGCAACAGCAGAAAAAAATGAAAACAAAAACAAAAACAAAGAAGGCCATTATATCATGATAAAAGGATCAGTTCAAAAGAAAGATATTACAATCCTAAATTTATATGCATCTAACACTGGAGCTCCCAAATTTATAAAACAATTACTACTACACCTAAGAAATGAGACAGATGGCAACAGAGTAATTGTGGGGGACTTTAATACTCCATTGACAGTACTAGACAGATCATCAAGAAAGAAAGTCAACAAATAAACAATGGACTTAAATTATACCCTAGAACAAATGGACTTAAGAGATATTTACAGAACATTCTTCCCAACAACCTCAGAATATACATTCTTCTCATCAGCACATGGTATAGTCTCCAAGGTAGACCATATGATAGGTCACAAAACACTTCTCAAGAAATTTAAAAAAAATCAAAATCATATCAAATATCTTCTCACACCACAGTGGAATAGAAATGGAAATCAATTACAAAAGAACTCTGAAAACTATACAAATACATGGAAATGAAATAATCTACTCTTGAATAATTTGGGGTTTAACAATGAAATCAACATGGAAATTTGAAAATTCTTTGAAATGAATAATAATAGTGACATAAGTTATCAAAGGCTCTGGGATACAGCAAAAGCAATGCTAAGAGAAAAGTTCATAGCATTAAATGCCTTCATCAAAAAGTCTGAAAGAGCACAAATAGACAACCTAATGTCACACCTCAATGAACTAGAGAAACAAGAACAAATGAATCCCAAACCTATTAGAAAAAAAAATAAGAAAGATCTAAGCAGAACTAAATGAAATGGAAACGAAGACAGTATGAAAGATAAATGAAATCAAAAGGTAATTCTTTGAAAATATAAACAAAATTGATAGACCATTATTGAGATTAACCAAAAAAAGAAGATAGAAGATCCTAATAAGCTCACATAGAAATAAAACTGGAGATACCACAGCCAATACCATATAAGTAAAAGATAATTTATGGCTACTTTGAATACTTGTATGCACACGATCTAGAAAATCTAGAAGAGATAGATAAATTCCTGGAAATATACAACACTTTTAGGTTAAATCAGGAAGAAACAGAAACCCTGAAAAGACTAATAACAAGCAGCAAGATTGAATCAGTAATAATAACATTGCCTAAAAAAAATCTCAAGACCAGATGGAGTTACAGTGAATCCTATCAGATATTCAAAGAATTGGTGTCAATCCTACTGAAACTATTTCAAAAGATATAGAAAAAGGGAATCCTCCCTAGATCATTCTATGAAGCCAGTATCACCTTAATACCAAAACCAGGAAAGGACTTAATAAAAAAGGGAAACTACAGACCAATATTGACCCAGCAATCCCATTACTGGATATATACCCAAAGGATTATACATCATTCTACTATAAAGACACATGCACACATATGTTCACTGTAGCACTATTCACAATAGCAAAGACTTGGAACCAACCCAAATGCTCATCAACGATAGACTGGATAAAGAAAACCTTGCACATATGTGCCATGGAATACTATGCAGCCATAAAAAACGATGAGTTCATGTCCTATGAAGGACATGAATGAAGCTGGAAACCTTCATTCTCAGCCAACTAACGTAGGAACAGAAAATTAAACACTGTATGTTCTCACTCATAAGTGGGAGTTGAACAATGAGAACACATGGACACAGGGAGGGGAACATTACACACCAGGGCCTGTTGGTGGGTGGGGGGCTAGGGGAGGGATAGGATTAGGATAAATACCTAATGTAGATGATGGGTTGATATGTGCAGCAAATCACCATGATACGTGTATACTTATGTAACAAACCTGCACGTTGTGCACATGTATCCCAGAACTTAAAGTATAATAATAAAAAAACCCTCAAAAATATTCTAGCCAACAGAATATAAAAGCGTATCAAAAAGATAATAGAGCATGATTAAGTGGGTTTCATCCCTGGGATACGGTGATGATTTAACATACACAAGTCAATAAATGTGATACATCACATAAATAGAATTAAAAACAAAAACCATATCATCATCTTAATAGATGCAGAAAAAACATTTGATAAAATCCATCATCCCTTTATTATAAAAACCCTCAAAAAATAGGTATAGAAGAGATTTACCTCAAAGTAATAAGAGCCATACATGACAAACTCATAGCCAACATCATATTGAAGGGGGAAAACTTGAATGCATCCTCCCCTGAGAACTGGAATAAGACAAGATGCCCATTTTCACCACTTCTATTCAATATAGTACTGGAAGTCCTAGCCAGAGCTATCAGAGAAGAGAAAGAAATAAAGGGCATCCAAAGTGCAAAAGAAAAAGTTGAACTGTCACTGTTCACCAATAATATGATTGTATACTTAGAAAACCCTAACGACTTATTCAAAAAGTTCCTAGATCTGAAAAATGAATTCAGTAAAGTCTCAGGTTACAAAATCAATCTACACAAATCAGTAGCACTGCTATACACCAACAACAACTAAGCTGAAAATCAAATCAAGAACTCAATTCTTTTTGCAACAGCTGAAAAAAAAAAACAAAACAAACAAACAAAAAAGCTAGGAATGTATTTAACCAAGGAGGTGAAAGATCTCTACAAGAAAAACAACAAAACACTGCTGAAAGAAATCATAGATGACACAAACAAATGGAAACACATCCCATGCTCATGAATCGATAGAATCAGTATTGTAAAAATGACTACATTGCCCAAAGCAATGTACAGATTGAAGGTAATTATTATCAAAATACCATCATCATTCTTCACAGAACTAGAAAAAACAATCCTAAAATTCATATGGTACAAAAAAAGAGCCCACATAGGCAAAGCAACTAAGCAAAAAGAACCAGACTGGAGACAACACCTTACCTAACTTCAAATTATACTACAAGACTATAGTTACCAAAACAACATGGTGCTGGTATAAAAAATAGGCACATAGACCAATGGAACTGAATAGATAACCCAGAAAACAAGCCAAATACTTACGGCCAATTGATCTTTGACAAAACAAATGAAAACCTAAAGTGAGGAAAGAACACCCTATTCAATGAATGGTGATGGGAAAATTTGCAAACCAAATGTAGAAGAATGAAAATGGATCTTCATCTCCCACCTTATACAAAAATCCACTAAAGATGAATCAAAGGCTTAAATCTAAGACCTGAAACCAAAAAAATTCTAGAAGATAACATCAGAAAAACTCTTCTAGACATTGGCTTAGGCAAAGACTTCATGTCCTAGAACAAAAAGCAAATGCAACAAAAACAAAAATAAATTGTTAGGACTTAATTAAACTAAAAAGCTTATACATAACAAAAGAAATAATCAGCAGAGGAAACAGACAACCAACAAAGTGGGAGAAAATATTCACAAACTATGCATCTGACAAAGGACTAATATCCAGAGGCACTCAAACAAATCAGCAAGAAAAAAACAAATAATCTCATCAAAAAGTGGGCAATCACATGACCAGACAATTCTCAAAAGATAATATACAAATGGCCAATAAACTTATGAAAAAATGCTCAATATCACTAATTATCAGGGAAATGCAAATTAAAACCACAATGAGATACCACCTTACTCCTGCAAGAATGGCTATACTTTAAAACTCAAAAAATAGTAGACATTGGCATGGCTGTGGTGAAAAGGGAACACTTTTGCACTGCTGATGGGAAGATAAACTTTTAGGGGAACCATTAGGGGAAACTAGTATCAATATTTCTTAAAGTACTAAAAGTAGAACTAGTATTTGATTAAGAAATCCCACTACTGGATATCTACACAAATAAAAATAAGTAATTATATGAAAAAGATACATGCACAAGCATGTTTATAGCAGCACAATTTTCAATTGAAAAAATATAGAACCAAGCTAAGTGCCCAGCAACCAATGAGTGGATAAAGAAAATGTGGTATATGTACACTATGGAATACTATACAGCCATAAAAATGAATAAAATAATGTATTTTGCACCAAGTTGGATGGAGCTGGATGTCATTACTCTAAGTGAAGTCAGGAATGGAAAAACAAATATTGTATGTTCTCACTTATAAGTGAGAACTAAGCTATGGGGATGAAAAAGCCTAAGAATGATATAATAAACTTTGGGGACTCAGGGAGGTAAGGATGGGAGGGAATGAGTTGCAAAATTCTAGATATTCAGTGTGGTGTAGACTGCTCTGGTGATGGGTGCACCAAAATCTCAGAAGTAACCACTGAAGAACTTATCCATATAATCAAAAATCATTTGTACCCCAAAAACAATTGAAATAAAAAACATTTTTTTTTCTAATGTAAGCATGAAGAACTCTAATTACTGCTCCAGTTGCACTGTATACATTTTGATATGTGGTGTTTTCATAATCACTCAATTCAGATTTTTCTCTAATGTATCTTTTAATTTCTTGTTTGATACATGGGTTATTTGAAAGTATGTTACTTAATTTCAAAATATTCATGTTTTCTACTGATGTTTTGTTGTGATTTGATTTCTAATTTAGTTAAATTTTGTTCAGCAAACAGAGTCTTCATGATTGCAATCCTTTAAAATTAACCTAGTTTATGGTGAATTACATGGTCTATCTTGATGAATATTCCATGTTTCCTCGAAAAGAATGCATATTTTCTTTCATTGGGATTATTGTTCTATAAATAAAAATTAGTTTGAAGTGGGCGATTGTGTTGCTCAAGTCCTCTATATGTTTATGATTTTCTGTCTACTTGTTCTGTCAATTTCTGGGACAAGAATGTGGGAATTTTGAAATTTAATTGCAGATTTGTTTATGTCTCATCTTACTTAAATTATATTTTGTTTCACGTATTTTGAAACTCTTTTGTTAAATACACTTTTAGGATGCTTGTTTTATTGATGATTTATGGTTTTATCATTGTCAAATATTTCTCTTTCTTTATTTTCATGTGTATTGTCCTGAAATCTACTTTCTCAGATATCAATATATCCACTCCAGATTTCTAACAATTAGGTTTGCTGATTCCTATCTCATGTCCAATGTCATTGTCTCTTTCCATTCTAAACATGTCTAAATAACACATCTGGGGTAATCTTCATAGAACATCACCTTCACAGAGCCCTTACAATGCTCATAAATCTTCATTAGTTCTCTATTATTTAAAAGATATGAATTCCTTAGACTTCTATCCATAGATTTTCACCTTGCAGCCTCAACTTATCATTCAAAATAGTTTTCCAAATACTTCCTTATAAGAATCTTTGGCATCATACAAAATGTTCTAAAAAATCACAAGCCTCCAAATAAGTTATGCATTCTTACCTGTAGTAGATTGACTAAGTGGCTTTAATTTTTACCCACCCTGAATCCATGTCTTTAACGTGTAACTTTTGCAGTTCCTCACATTACATTCAGCGTATACTTGCCTACCACTTGACTTTGGACTTGGTCATATAACTTGCTTTGGCTAAGAGATGTTAGATGTGACTTAAGCAGACTTGACGTCAGCAGAGACTTCAAATGTTCTTGCAAGATTGAGAATTTCCTCTTGTGCTTCAACCAATACCATGACAATTTAATTTTCCTGCTGGTATAAGGAAGATGCAGCTTATGACCAAGGCAAGTAAAGCCAAACCAAGTCCAGTCGAGCTCAGCTAAAATCAGCCAACCCCCAGCTGACCCCTGGATCCTTGAGTGAGAATAAATTATTGTTGCTGTTTTAAGCCACTGAATTTTGGAGTGCTTTGTTACATATCTTATTTTTATGTTAATAGTTAACTGATACATTACATCCATACTATTGTTCAGTCTTCTTTTTATTTTCATCAATCATTTAGATATGTTTTAGATACCTACTCATTATACAAGGCTCAGTCTGATGTGTCTTACTTTAGAAACTTTTTCTATTATAGTCTCGCCTCAAAGAATTTTCCCTTCTTAATAATTATTACACAATGTATATGTATATAAAATCATCACATTTTACACCTTGGAGAAATTTAGTCTTTACAATGAATCAGATTAGACTGAGAGAAGTGTAGAGAGACTACTCTATGGATCTAACACAGGGGTTAAATTTGTCTGCTCCTTATACCTTCTCCAGCCTCATTTCCTATAATTAATTATAATTAGTATTCCCCTTTTGGGACAAAATAATTGTCCCTGATGACAAGTTACAGTGTGTTTTTCTAGTGCGTCTTTGAAACAAATAGATTGCTGGCTCTCAGATCGACATTTCTGTCCTAAACTTCAGTTCTGACCTAGGACAGGATCTGGGTGTGTAAAGAGAAGACTCCTATTCACTTAGTACTATTTCCATGTTAGGAAATCTGTGGAAAACCAGGTTTATTATATCTTATTTCCAAACTGTCCACATACCTAAAAATTGTTCTCATATTTCAATTTATCAATAAATATATATTTAACATAGCACTTTATGTCCTTAAAACAGGCTTAAACAAATGTAATACAATAACTTTTTATTTCAGTACTTCACTAAGAATGCTTATTTACATTTTTTTAGAAAATGCAATTTCATTTACTAATAATTAATGTTTATTCCCAAGGCCAATTATCCAAAGATTGTAATACCCTTCTTTCTAGTTTTATAAGGTGTATCACTTCATGGTGATAAAATATTTGTATGGATATTATAATATATTTCTTTATCCTCATTGTACTAGAACTATGTCTCAACCATTCCTAGTAATTGATTTCTATATATTCAGTTTCACTGAACACTCCATATTTGTAAAAAGAAGTTTAGTTAGCATTTTTCTACAATTTATGCCTTGTACACAAAATTTATAGTATCTTAGAACTTCCATGGAGACTTTGTGAAGTGCAATCTCACCTAATGGAAAATTACTTCAATATAAATTTATACTGCTGGGAAAAGGAGATGTATAAGGTTGGAAATGGCAATAAATAAGTTTCTTCCTCTTTAAATTCTTTCTGAATTTCAATTTATTGGAAATGTGAAATAAGTAGAACAACAGTGGCAGAAATCATTGGTTTCTAAAAATTCTAATATGAATTCACCCTTCCTGACAAAGAAATTTGCGTAAGGAAACAGTGACAATTCTGTGAAAGAAGGGTATAGAAAGTAACTAAACAGAAAACAAAAATCAACAGAGTGTACAGGTGAGGAAATATATTACTTTTGGTGTTGATAACCTTTGAAGCCCAGTTTAATTTATTCAGGTTCTCCATATCTTTGCACTAGATACAAGAGCCAGTAGAGCTATTTCTGATGTTACTCATGGAGCACTACAGAGACATACAGACTAATATAATTACATTTCATTCTTTCAATAGGAAATACAAATATGTAGGGAGAATTTTTCAATTTTCCATCCATTATAACAGTTATATTTTCTGTATTTATATTATTTTTTTTACAGGATAATCATTTATTAATTCATTTATCATTTTATTTAGGAATCTAATACAGTGTTTGATTTAGCAGTGAAGAACAGCATGCCTAAATAAATGATATTTAGAAGAAACTGTCATAAAAAAGCATAAATAACTAATAATACAATCCATCAACTAATAATACATAGGAAACCAGGAAAACACATAAGATACTATCTCACAACAGTCAGAATGGCTATTACTAAAAAATCAAAAAATTACTGATGCTGACAAGACTGCAGAGAAAAAAGAACACTTATACACTGCTGGCAAGTGTCAATTAGTTCAACCATTGTGAACAACAGTGTGGCGAGCCCTCAAATAACTATATTCTGTTTTGTTTCTCAAAAATATTTGGGCCAAATTTAGCACACTTAAATTACATTAAATACACACAATTGAAATATGAGTATTCCATAGTTTCATTGTTTAGTTTATATTGCTAAAAAATTGAGGCAAAAACTATAAGCAAACTATTCCTGCAGCATTTCATTTCTAGAAGTTGGTAATGATAATGTGTAATATGATGACTTAAAATTCAAATCTAATAAAATTCATTGTCATTTATATATATAAAAAGGGATCATGATTAGCATCTAATATATGCATATACCCAAAAAAACCCATGGAGTATTGGTTATACGGTTTGGCTGTGTCCCTACTCAAAATCTCATTTTGAAGTGTGATCCCCATAATCCCCACAAGTCAAGGGCGGGACAAGGTGGAGGTAATTGGATTATGGAGGCAGTTTTCCCCATGCTGTTCTCATGATAGAGAGTGAGTCTCAGAAGATCTAATGGTTTTACGAGAGTCTGGCATTTCCCCTACTTTCACTCACTCCATTCTGCCACCTGGTGAAGAAGGTGCCTGCTTCTCCTTTGCCTTCCACCATGATTGTAAGTTTCTTGAGGCCTCCCCAGTAATACAGAACTGTGAGTCAATTAAATCTATTTTCTTTGTAAATTACCCAGTCTCAGGCAGTTCTTTATAGCAGCATGAGAATGGATTAATACAATTGGGCACTATGGTTTGAATATTTGTATCCTCCAAAACTCATGTTGAAATGTAATCCCCACTATGACAATATTGAGAGGTAGGGCCTGAAAGAGGTAATTGGTTCATGAATGTTCTGTCCTAATGAACATATTAATTCATTCAAAAATTAATGGGTTAATGGATTACTGGGTTTTCATTGAAGCGGGGGCGCTAGTGGCTTTAAAAGAAGAAGAAGAAAGACTTGAGCAAGTATGCATTCACAGCCCCCTTACCATGATATTATGCACTGCTGTGGGACTCACTTTGTTTGTTTCTTTCTTTCTGTGAACTTGCGTAGAGAAGTAATGCCTTAGAACTTTTATGAGAATCTCCACTAGCAAGAAAACTCTCACCAGATGCAACTCCTTAACCTTGGACTTCTCCACCTCCATAACTACAATAAAAAATTATCTTTTCTATATAAATTTCTCACTTTTGGTATTCTGTTATACACAACATAAAGTACTAAGACATTGGGATAGGTCACCAAGGGCCTTATTATCCTATTGGCATAAGGCTTCTGCAGCCTTTTGGAGAGGTGGTAAAATAATGTATTGTTGAGCAGTAAGATAGAATAGACACTTCAAAAGACCTCTCTCTATAAAACTGAGGAAAATTTCATAAAATACACATTTTAGTGCATTTCTAGACTAGCAAAGAAAAAAGAAACCTCTAAGCACGACCACCATCACCAAAAATGACAAAGTACTGAGTTTGAAATGAAACCAGAAAAGCGAGTTCTGAGCAGCCATTGAAAGAAAAAAAAATGTAGTTACTCTAGAAACAACTGCCAAATTCAGCATTCCAGCCCATGGATTAAAACATGAAAAAGTCTCAAAGAAGGGAGATAAACCTGAGACCATTTTATCAAGGATATTGAGACAGCTGCATTCAAAACATGTCCTACGTAGGTCTTTATATTACCACAGTCAAAAATCAGAGATATAAATTTACTGAACAGTGAAGCAAATGAATTGACAGAAGTGAGACTCTGCAGGCAATAAACAACAACAGCAAGGGATTTATATACCTAATACTTAAATTGGAATTATGAAAAACAGACTGTAAATTATTCATTAAATGTTAAACAAAATAAAATATGGACTTTGAAAAAGGAACAAGCAATACAAGTCTGTGAAAAATACAGTGGTATTTTAAAAACAGCCAAATAAAAAGGTTAGAAAAGTGTGTATATACACATAAGCACCCATATGTATTTGTTGAAATTTTGAACTCAATAGGTTCTTCTACTTCTGGTACTATGTAAAAAGTTGAGAAATTATTGCTTTCAAAAAACAATGAGAAAAATCCAAATAAGCTACAAAATGAAAGTTTTACTTTTTCAACCCATCAGATTGCTGAGGACACAAAGAGATCTAAAAAAAATCCAGGAAGTGCGGGGGCCTATATATATGGTCAGGTATGCCATATTCATTGATTGGAAGATGCAATGTTTTTTATGATACCAATTATTTCCATATTGAACAATTTATATGATACAACTGCATTCAATGTTTTATATTTCATTCTTTTAAATCATCAAGCTGATTCTAAAATTTGATACAAGAAGCAACAAAGCAAAAGCAGTTTTGAAAAGGAAGAACAAAGTTAGAATACTTGGAATAACTAATTACATAAATTACTAAATAACTATTTTAACCAACATAATGTGGCATTAGCTTAAGGAGAGACATATATATCCACGAAACAGATGAAAGATGCTGAAATAAATCTATTTTTAAATATTAATAGAGTTTATTTTTAGAGCAGTTTTAGGTTTACAGAAAAATTTAGTGTAAAAATATAGAGTTCCCACATACTCACTTGCTTCCTGCACACAGTTTCCTGTTATTTACATGTTGCATTAGTGTAATATATTTATTACAATTCATGAGTCAATATTGACACAATATTATTAACTAAAGTCTCTACCTTAGATTTCACTCTAGGTTGACATTTTGCTTTGACAAATGTATTATGACATGTATTATGACATATTTCAAAATGTAGTTTTTAATTATTATGCAGGTATGGTGAGGTCAACAGGTCTCCTGAGGTTACTATCTGCCATTGAAAAGGTAGTTTGTAACTCGTAGTTTGTAACTCATACTTTTCAAGAGGAGAGTACACTAAAGAGGAGGGTACACTAAAGAGGAGTTTTCAAGAGGAGGGTACACAGGGGAGCTACACTAAAAAGCATCAGATTCGCCTGGGTGCGGTGGCTCATGCCTGTAATCCCAGCACTTTGGGAGGCTGAGGTGGAAAGATCACAAGGTCAGGAGATTGAGACCATCCTGGTTAACATAGTGAAACCTCGTCCCTACTAAAAAATACAAATAATTAGCCGGGTGTGCTGGCAGGCACCTGTAGTCCCAGCTACTCTGGAGGCTGAAGCAGGAGAATGGTGTGAACCCAGGAGGCAGAGCTTGCAGTGAGCAGAGATGGTGCCACTGCACTCCAGCTTGGGTGACAGAGCGAGACTCCGTCTCAAGAAAAAAAAACTCACCAGATTCAGTCAGGAGGCAGAGAGAATGGAGGAAAACATAGACAAGAGCCTTTATTGTGGTTTCCATGAGAAGAAACATATGAGGCAGGGTAAGCAGATTTAGGATTGACTAATTTGAATAACTTCAGCCGGCTCTGAGGCATAGTGGCTATCCCTAGTTGTCTGGTACCTGGCTCTGGTGTGATTAGGGCAGATAAATAATTGCCCGGAGTGTGAGAATCTTGTGAAAGACTGACAAAGGTGGTGTTAGGGTATGAGCTCTGGATTAATTAGTTGGCATATGGAAAGTGTGCTTATAAGTGAGATATTTACTCTCTCTAGGAATTGGCTGGCTCTGGAAGGGCAATCTCTCCAGTGTTAGTAAGGCCCCACATGTCAAAGCACCAGAAACACATGGTTAATATACATGTATTCACCATTATGGTATTATACAGAATAGTTTTAATGTCCTAAACCTATTAATTTCTCACTCTGTCCTCTTCCTAAACCCTGGCATTTGTTTTTGTTTTTCTTTTTGTCTCTCTATCTTTGTCTTTTATTGAATGTCATAGAGTAGAAATATATGTAGCCTTTTCAGATTGGCTGTTTTTTGCTTAGCATTTATTAAAAAAATCAATTGGCCGGGTGCGGTGGTGCATGCCTGTAATCCCAGCACTTTGGGAGGCTGAAGCGGGTGGATCATGAGGTCAGCAGATTGAGACCATCCTGGCTAACATGGCAAAAACCATGTCTACTAAAAAATACAAAAAATTAGCTGCAAGTGGTGGTGGGCACCTGTAGTCCCAGCTACCTGGGAGGCTGAGGCAGGAGAATGGCGTGAACCTGGGAGGCAGAGCTTGCAGTGAGCCAAGATCGCATCACTGCACTCTAGCCTGGGTGACAGAGCGAGACTCTGTCTCAAAAAAAAGTTAATTAATTTTCCACAAAGAAGTATAGATAATTCAATGAGAAAATTATTGTCTCTTCAATAACTAGTCCTGGATAACAGATTATTCATATTTTTAAGAATATAACTCAATCCTTACCTCACACCATACAGAAAAAGCCAAATTGAAATGATTCATAGATCTAAACTAAGTGTTAACATTCTAAGATTTCTAAAAGAAAACAAAAAATATTTATGACAAAAGATATGTAAAGATTTTGTAGACTGGACACATAAACATAAACCATAAATGAAAAAAAGATGTACTCTAGAAAATTAGAAGTGTCTTTTCTTAGAAAAGTACCAATTTAAAATGAAAAGAGAAGCCATAGATTGGGGGAAAAGTTTTTGCAATACATATGTGTAATAGGTAGAATTCTAAGGTGTCTCCCCCAAGATTTCTGCTCTGTGGTGTACACACTTTGTATTATCTCTTTCCCTTAAGTGTGGGAAAGACAAGCAAATAGGATACGATATTATTCCTTTGATTAGATTACTAATCAGTGAATTTTGAGTTAAACAAAAGGGAGACTATACTGGGTGGGTCTAGCCTAACAAGAAACAAAAAGCAGCACCAAATATGCTACTCCTGGCCTCAAAGAAAACAACCATATATGTTTACAACTGCCTATGAATGCCATACAGCAAGGAAATATGGGTGGTCTCTAGGCACAGAGAGTATTCCTCAGCAAATGGTTAGCAGGAAAACAGGGACTTCAGTCATATAGCCACAAGGAAATGAGTTATACCAATAATCAATGAGCTTGGAAGAGAACACTCAGCCTCAGACGCAAATCACAGTGCCATTATATAATCTTCATTATAGCGTGATCAGTGGATTTATTTTAAAGCCATCCACAGATTCCTGGCCCATTGTAGAAGAGTAAGTCTGTGTTGTAAGATAATGAATTTGTATTAAGTTGCTAGCTTTGTGATACATCATTATGCAGGAATAGAAAATGAATACAATATTTTTGACAAAAGACTTAGAAATTATAAACAATTTCTACAATTCAACCATATAAACTCAAACAATCAAAGATCTGGATGAAATATTTGAACAGACACTTGACCAAAAATGATAATATTAATGGTGAGCACAATAAAATATGTTTACAATAATTTTCTGTTGCTGCTATATCAAATTACCAAGAATCTAGTGGTTTAAAGCAACAACATTTATCATCTTACAGTTCTTTAGGATAGAAATTACATGGCTCTACCTGGGCTAAAATTAAATTGTCTGCAGGAGTGCATTTCTTTCTGGAGACTCTAGAAAAGGGTCATTTATTGTTCTTTTTTCAGGTTCTAAAGAACTCCCACATTCCTTGGATCATGACCCCCTTCATCCATCTTCAAGGCTAGCACCTTTGCCTCTCTCTGATCATTCTTCCATAGCCACATCTCCCTTGACCCTTGGCTTATCTGCGAAAGATTTGACATTCTTAAAGACTCATGAGATTAGGTTTGATCCACATAGCTAATCCAGGATAAACTCATCTGAAAGTCCTTAAAGCGTAATCACATTTCTACAGTCCCTTTTGCTATGTAAGGTAACATTCATAGGTTCTAGGTATTAAAATGTGGACATCTTTGGAAGATCATTATTCTGCCTATCACAATGCTCAACATTATTAGTTATCAAAAAATAAATTAAAATAAAAATGAGATGACACTATGTACCCACTAGAAGAGCTAAAATTGTAAATACAGTACTGCACCGTACGTTAACAAGGATATATAGGAACTGGGCCTTACAATAATGCTGGGGAGAACAGAAAATAATACAACTACTTTGAAAAATGGTTTACTGACTTCTTAGTTCAAATATACACTTACCAATGACCCAGAAATGTTATTCTTACATGCTTACCCAAGGTATATAGAACATATGTCCACAATGGACTTGTTCACAAATGGCAATAGTAGTTTTATTGATAATAAGTAAAAGCTAGAAACTACCTAAACATCCATCAATAAAAGAATACATAAACAAATTGTGAGGTGTCCACACAAAGGAACACTACACAGTAATAAAAGTCAGCAAACCTCTGATATGCACAACAACATGTATGAAACTCAGGATCACTATGGACTAGTCACAAAAGAGAATATGCCATGAGATTTCATTTATATTAAACTCCAGGAAATATGACTGTAATCCAATGATAGAAAACAAATCAATGTTGCCTACGTCCTGGGAGAGGGAGCAGGGATATGCTGGGAAGGGTCATATGGGCAACTTTTGAGATGATTAAAAAATATATCTTGATTACAGTCATACATTACATGGTCGTATACATATGTTAAAATCACCAAACCATAAACTAAATATGTGCATTTTATAACATAAAATTATACTTTATTATAGTTTATTTTTATAAAATGAAAAAGTAAAGGCATTTTCAGACAGATGAAATATGAGACAATTTGTCTCCAGCTGATCTTCCCTATAGGAAATTCTAAGAGATTTGTCAGGCTAAAGCTACCAGATGGAAACATATGGAATTCCAGATCTTCAAGAAGAAATGTGGAAAGATTAACTATCTGGATAAATGCAAAATACTTTTGAAAAAGTACATGTTTATCTATGTATATCTGAATATCAGTAATATATTGCTATATACCAAACTCTTATACTAAAAAGGCAGCAGGAGAATATTTCTTTCTGCTCAGCTAAGATAGTCTTATATAGCATAATCACGGGAGTGACTGCCACATCAGCTATGCTATATGCTATTGGCTAGAAGCAAGTAAGGTTTGACCATACTTCATGGGAAGGGATTATAAAAGGCATAAATCATTGGTGGGGAGAGTCACCTTAGGAAGTTCTCACAAAAGGCTACCCTCTGATTCCCCAGTGATCTATGTCTCTTTTATATGCAATATATACTCATCCCACCCCAATACCACCCAAATCTCATATTCCATTATAGCATCAGCTCAAATTTCAAAATCTCATCAACTATATATGGACCAGGTGCAAGTGACACTTATAGATTTAATCAATTTTTCTTGTGAGGCAAAATATTTCTTTGTATTGTGGATTTGTGAAAGTAAAGAGACAAGTTATCTGCATAGTACACACAGTGTACTATGATGGTTAATTTTAGGTACTGACTTGACTGGGTCACGTGGTAATCAGGAATTTGGTTAAATATTATTTCTGGGTGTGTTTGTGAGGGTGTTTCTGGATGAGATTAACATTTGAATCAGTAGACTGAGTAAAGCAGATTACCCTCCCGGTGTGAGTGGGCTCTATCCAATCCATTGAAGGCCTGGATAGAAAAAAATATGAGTAAAAAAGAATTCTTTCTCTCTGCCTGATTGACTTTAAACTGGGGCATTGGTCTTATCTTACCTTCAGACTCAAACTGAGACTGGAAGTTACACAATCTATTCTCCTGGTTCTCAGGCCTTTGGACTCAAACAACTCCATCAACTCTCCTGGATCTCTAGTTTGCCAGCTGCATATCTTGAATTTCTCAGCCTCCATAATCACATGAGCCAACCCAGACTAATACAACACTCAACATACTATAGTACGATAGATACAAGATAATAGCTATAGACATCTCAGTTTGAATGAGGGAGAAAATGAAAGGTGAAATTAAGTCACTGGTTCATGGAAGTTATGAAATCTAGACAGGCAAACTCTAACCAAAGCTCCTTGATTGGGTTTCAATGATAAGGAATAATCTTTGGAACATTTAGCTGTGCCCTATGAGTTTTTTTGTTTCTGCCCTTCAAATCATTCTTCCTTTTTCACGGAAAGTAGCTTGTGTTTGCAGCTCAGTCTGCTTCCTGCCAGTAGAATTTTGGAAATCCAAGAAACATGTTTTGTTTTCAGTTCTGTGTCTTTTTTTTAGTCCAAGCTGACAGCATTTCTGCTAAAATACATTTCTTAAGAAGCTAGTGAGCCTTCATGTATTTAATAGGGATTCATTTCATTAGACAAAAGACAAACCCACTGACCTTTTCAAGATAACTGCTTCTCTAATTCTTTCTGGCTCCTGCTAAGTTGGATGAGGGAAAATGCCCTTACAGTTCCAAGTAATTTTCTGATTTGGTTAAGAGATCAGTGAGGTAAAAAATCTTTTCAAATAAACTTTTGTGAGACTGATACTGTAATGTTTTTATCTTTCTGAGGTTTCAGGAAAGGGTTGTATGCCGAGACCAGCTCGGTAGTGGAGACCCTAACCCCCACGACCCTAACCCAGCAGCGCTAGAGGAATTAAAGACACACACACAGAAATACAGCGTGTGGAGTGGGAAATCAGGGGTCTCACAACCTTCAGAGCTGAGAGCCTCTAACAGAGGTTTACCCACATCTTTATTGACAGAAAGCCAGTGATAAACATTGTTTCTATAGATTATAGATTAACTAAAAGTATTCCTTACAGGGAAACAAAGGGATGGGCCGAAATAAAGAGATGGGTCTGGCTAGATATTTGCAGCAGGAACATGTCTTAAGGGCCAGATTGCTCATGCTAGTGTTTGTGGTTTGAGAATGCCTTAAGCGATTTTCCGCCCTGGGTGGGCCAGGTGTTCCTTGCCCACATTCCGGCAAACCCACAACCTTCAGCGTGGGCATCAGGGCCATCACAAACATGTCACAGTGCTGCAGAGATTTTGTTTATGGCCAGTTTTGGGGCCAGTTTATGACCAGATTTTGGGGGCCTGTTCCCAATAGTTGTAGAGTCACCCACAGCCTTTTCTCTAGAACACAGTTTTCTAACAGTGAATCTCCTAATTCAGTTTCTTTGGGCAACTTGATAAGCTGAAAATTTCCAAAATTATCAAGTCTTGCTTGCTTTTCATATAACACTGCTTTCTTCAATTTATATCTTTCCTCTCACATTTTACTAATAAGCGACAAAACTATGCCATGCATTCAACACTTTGTTTGGAGATCTCATCTAAATATCTAAGGTGATCATTTAAATTTTATTCCACATAACCGAAAGTCACATTTCTGCTAAGTTCACCAACACTATAAAACAATGGTCCTTCTTCCTCCAATTTCCATGAATATATCCTTCCCTACTTTTTGAGCTCTCACCCCTAGCGTCCTCCAAGTCCAAGTTTCTAACTATTAAGAGTGATTTAATTTTGCTGTGTCATGCCCTTAATAAATCTTCCAGATTCTGCCCATTGCTTTTCTCATAAGCAGCACTGCAATAAAGATAACAAAATTTGTATTAGCTATCTATTGCTACTTAAATTCTGTATTATTCAGGTTACCAGAGAAGCTGAACTGGTAGATTATGTATGCATTTATATGTATTTCTTACAAGGGATCTTCTTCAATTGAGGGAATTGACTAAGCGTGTCTGAAGTCCATTGAACAAGCAGTCAAGAAGGGAAGATCAAACTCAGGATGAAATTCCATAGGCATGGGTTGAAGTTTTTGGTCCATAGATGGCAGTTGGAAAGAAAGTTCTAGAGTAAGGGAGAAATTCTAGACTCAGTGTCTAAAATCTCACTCATACAGGAGATCTATGAAAACCTTTAAATATTTCAGACTGATTAAGTAAATTCTACCCTGGATAATCTCTCTCTTGATGAATTTAAAGTCAATAGATTAAAGTCAAAATATTAAGAATATTAATCACCCTACAAAAAATTTGTGATTGAAAAATCCATACCTAGCAACAGCTAGATTAATGTTTGATGGAAGAACTGAAGTTATGTGTTTGCTAAGAAACAGCCATTGCCTTCCCTTAGTTCTCCAAATCTCCTAAAGAAAAATCCCTTGTCATCTTCCCGAAACAAAATCAAACTAGAATGGAAATTATTGAAATTGTAGTTCAGCTTAGCCAAGCTGATACATCAAAAAGTCAGAAAAGCTACTTAACCCTTGGCCTCTGAAGATATGCCATGTCTTTTTTGCTGCAATTTATTGGTCAAGTAAGTGTCAGGACCAGATTATATTAAAATGGAGCTATACTAGGCTTTATATCATGATGAAAGTTGTGAAAATGTATCAGTAGCCATTTTTAATTTGCCGTATTCTGCTCTTTGATTATAAATTATTTATATCCCACCACATCCAATGTATACTCACCACTCCCAAACTCCCTTCCCTCAAATACACACTGTATTATTCTATTTATGTAAAATATAAGAATAGATGAGACTAATCTATGATAATGCTTCTCAGGGAGAACTTGACTGGAAAGATGTGTAAAGAAACTTCCTGAGGTATGGGAATGTTTTATAACTGACCTTGAGAGGGGGTTACACAAATATAAACAATTGTCAAAATTTATCTGAATAAACAAATAAACCTTTATAGATTTTATTTTAGGTAAATTTTATCTCAATAACATGCTTTTTAATATATCAAATTCTAAGGAACTAACGAAAGTTGGATTAAACACAGTTGAATAGAAATTTGTAAACCTAAAGATAGATCTGAATAAATAGTCAGAATGTAGTACAGAAAGTCAAAGAATTGGAAAATATGAGAGGATAATACAAGTGGAAGATAGAATGAAAAGGTCTAAAATATATCTAATCAGAGTCTCAAAATGAGAAAACTGAGAGGATGAATGAGAACCAATCTATAAAAATACTACGGTTGAGGATTTTTCAGAAATTATGAGAGAGATGAACAACCTAAATTTCAAAAGAACAAGGATTTTTGTCTATTAATTTATTACATTACTGTCAGTATGTAGAACCCTTCCAGGCATAAATTAGATGTGTAATAAATATTAATAAATATTTGCAGAATAAATGACTAAAGCCTCAGAAATAAGAGGAAATGTAAACACACAAAAAAAATAAATTCACTTATAAGCTCATTGTAGTAAAGCTATTGAAGTTCTAAGATAAAGATAAGATTTTGAAAGTAGCTACAATAAAAAGATAAATAAAATACAATTATACTATATTCCTATAAAAATCTACAGAAAGATTTCAAAAATACTAAAATATAGCCTGCAGAATGTTCTTCTTTGGTTAACACTATCTAAGAGAAGGTAGCTTGGTTTTATCAATATTAAATTTTTTGGAACACACATATATATATATATATATATATATATATATATATATATATATACATGAGGTTGTTTTTAGAACTAAGAGAGACAATATTTAGCAACTGTTGCTAAAAACTATATTAATTGGTTGGTAAAAGAGAAATAATATCTAAAGCATTTTACGTCTTAAGAAGAAAGATTTTTACACATAAATAGAGATTTCACTGTTTTAAATTTAGGTTTTGAGATTGATTTGTAACAAACTGTAAAATTTCTGATTTTAAAGAATGGTTTTCAATTAGTATTTTTACATAGAACATCTGACATGCAGGATCAAATTACTGACATTAAGAAAGAGATGCTTGTTTTTGCAAACCAAATCAATGACACATAGACAGGATAAAACAACGGACCAGCCTGAACACCACAGGAATAAATGTGATTAGAAAAATGTGCTAGATTTCATTATTAATCAGAGAAATGTATATTAAATCTAGGAAGTTATACCATTTTACGTTCATTAATTTGGCAAACATTAAAGAAATGTTAGCAAGAATGTGGATCAGTGGGAACTCCAATGTTATATTGTGCTCATAATAGTTTAAACAAGCAAATTTACTTTGGAAAACAATTGGTATTTTTTTTAAGTTGAATATTGATATTGTTTTTGATCCAGCAATTCTACTATAAGGTATTCATAACATAAAAGACTACACATTGGGTACAGTGTACCCTGTTCCAGTGATGGGTACATCAATATCTCAGAAGACACCACTAAATAACTTGTCCATGAGACTCAACAACACCTGTTCCCCCAAAACCTATTTAAATAAAAATTAAAAAAGATTACACTGGGAGATATTTCTTCGACATTTCTAGAATACAATGTATATGGCAACAATTTTGTAATAGCAAAAACATAGACTAATATAAAGGTTGTAGTAGTATAATGGATATATATGCATTGGCATATTCACCCTACATAATATTATCCAACTGTGATACTTGAGGAACTACAACTATATTTTACAACTATGATAAATATTAAAGACATAATTTCTGCTTCAAAAAGCAAAACACAGAAGACAACTTCTATCATGCAATGTTCATAACTCAAAACAAGCATAAGTGAGCGATGTCAGCAAGATGGTGAATTAGGAAGAGCCAAGTGCTCACTACCCTGTGGAAACACCAAGTACACAACATATGGACCAAAGTAGGTTTATGACAACTCTGGAAATCAGTTAAGAAGCTGCAGCATCTAAGAGAACCCTAAGCCAAGAAAAAGCCACACTCAAAATGGTGATATGTTTTGTGGCATTTTTTCTTGCCCATGTCCCTACCCCCTCCCTGTTGTGTTGTGGCATAGTTGGGAGGAAGCCTCCTTAATTCCTAGTTTCTCAATACAGAAGAAAAACAGTAAAACTTGTTCACAATAATGTGGCTTGTCTTGGGCCTACCCAAGGTAATGGTTTCTGTCTTGTCTTAACTGGAGCGCTGATGGGGACAGTGGCATAGATGTAATATCAGATTGTAAGGTACCGAAAACAATAGTGGGCACAGTGGTGTGTGAAAACTACAGGAAAACTGCAGACTTGTGGATGCCTGAGGGCAAGAGATTACAAACAGAATAATAGAACATCTAAGGACCAGAGAAGAAACAGAGATGAGGCTTTTAAAGGAATGAAGATATTTGAAATCAGCCATGTACATGGGGAATTGGGTAATAGAGCACAGGCACAGGCCCCATGAACATGTATCCTCAGAAAAGGCCAGAGAAGATCTTGAGCTTTCATGCAGGAGTGGTTAGTGAAGGTGTCTTCTCTACAGAGTTAATCTACAAGCACTGTAAGAAGTGATTGTTTTTTCAAATCCAATTTTCAACAAAAGATCACAATGCATAAAAGACACAGGAAATGATGTCCCATTTCAAATAACAAACTAAATCTTCAGAAACCATCCGTAAGTAAACAGTCTTAGAAGTTACTTGATAAAGTTTTTAAAACAAATGTCTTAAATATGCTCAAAAAGCTAAAGGAGAACACAGACTAAGCATTAAGGAACTTAGAAAAATAATACCTTAGCATTATAAAAATTTTAATAAAAATATATAAATTAATAAAAAGAATCAAATGAATATTCTGGAGCTGTAAAATTTAATAACTGAATTGAAAAATACACTAGAGAAACTCAACAGCAGACCTGAACAGGTAAAAGAAATAATCAGCACACATGAAGACAGATCATTTAAAAGTATGGATCTGAGGAGAAGAAAGAAAAAATAAGGAAGTAAACAGAGTAAGGGACTTATGGGACATCATCAAGTAGATTAATACATGCATTATCAAAGTCTCAGAAGAAGATACAAAGAAAGGGAAAGAGAGGTTATTTGATGGAATAATTACCACGATCTCCCAAATTTGGAGAAAGACATACAAATTTAAGAGGCTAAAAAACTCAAAACGTGAAAAGTTCAAAGACACCCACACTAAGAGAGATACTAATAAAAGAGTTGAATGTCAAAGAAGAAGAGAGAATCTTTAAAGCAAATAGAGACAAGTTTTCCTCAGTAGGATTATCAGTAGATTTCTCAGCAGAAATATTTTAGGCTAGGAGGAAATTGGATTATATTTTTAAAGTACTGATATTAAGAACAAAAAAAGTCAAAGGACAATTCTGTATCTCAAAAAACTGTCCATCATAATTGAGGGAGAAATTAAGACATTCCTAGATAAACAAAGAATAACATTCATTCATTCATTATCATTAGATCTACTCTACAATGAATGCTAAAGGGAATCCTTCAAGTTGGAATGAAAGGACACTAGAGGATAACTTGAAGCAATACAAAAATATAAAGTAACCCACTAAACATAAATAGATGAACAATATAAAAACCTATATTATTAAGATTTTGGTTTATAACTTCACTTTTTTTTAATAGAATTTAAAACACAAGCTAAGAAACATTTATGAATCTATGTTAATTGGTATACAATCTATAAAGATGTAATTTGTGACATCAATAACAAAATGGAAAGTGGAGTGGTAAACAAGTAGAGATTCTGTATGAAATTAAAGTTAAGTTGTTATGTTTAAAATTGACTGTTATAACTTAAATATTTTATGTAATATCTATGTTAAAAACAAAGAATAGAAAATTTTTACAAAGAAAATATACACAAAGGAAAATAAGAAGGGAATCAAAATGTGGCGCTACAAAAATGAACTAAACATTCACAAAAACAGTAAGGGAGGAAGTGAAGGAGAAAAAAACCATAAGACATGCAGAAAACCATTACCAAATGGCATTAGTAAGTCTTTTTCTATTAGTAATTATTTTACATGTAAGTACTTTCCTATTAGTAATTACATTACATGTACATTAAACATGAATGTAAATTACTTTCAATGCCAATCAAAAGACAGATTGCCAGAATGGAAAATAAACAAAAACCCGGAATCCATTCCACTATGCTGTCTACAGGAGATTCACTTTAGGTCTAAGGACTTACCTCAGGGCAAGTGAAAAGATCGAAAAATATATTCCAGACAATGTACTGTGGCTTATGCCTGTAATTCCAGCACTTTGCAAGGCCAAGGCAAGAGGATCACTTGAGGCCAGGCCAGGAGTTAGAGAGCAGCCTGAGCAACACAGTGAGACACTGTCTCTAAAAAACAAACAACAGCAACAAAAAGCCAGACATGGTGGAAAAAGCCTATAATCCCAGCTACATATGAGGCTGAGATACGGAGAGTGCTTGAGCCTTGGAGTTCGAGGTTACAGTGAGTTACGATCATGGCACTACACTATAGCCTGGGTGACAGGGTGAGATCATGTTTCTGAAAAAGAAAAAAAAAAACAGAGAGAAAAAAATATTCCATTGAATAAATAGTGGAGAAAGAAAACCAGGGTGGCTATAATAATAGCAGACAAAATAGGCTTTAAGTCACAAACTTTTATGAGACAAAGAAGGACATTAAATCATGATAAATGAATCATTCCACCTAGAAAATATAACAATTATTATCATATGCACCAAATATCATAACTCCAAAATATGTGACGCAAATATTGACAGAATCAAACAGAGAAATAGGAATAGGAGGAGACTTCAATACTTCACTTTCAATAATAGAAAATGAGACAGAAGATCAATAAGAAAAGGGAGGACTTAAATATCACTACAACAATTGGATGTAAAAGATATATATGGAAACCTCTAGGTGGCTGGCAAGATGGCCAAATAGTAACAGCTCTGGTCTGCAGCTCCCAGTAAGATCAATGCAGAAGGTGGGTAATTTCTGCATTTCCAACTGAGGTAGCAGGCTCATCTCATTGGGACTGGTTAGACAGTGGGTGCAGCCCACAGAGGGTGAGCTGAAGCAGGGTGGGACGTTACCTCACCCAGGAAGTGCAAGGGGTCAGGGAACTCCCTCCTCTAACCAAGGAAGGCTGTGAGGGACTGTGCCGTGAGGAACAGCGCACTCCAGCCCAGATACTATGCTTTTCCCATGGTCTTCGCAACCTGCAGACTAGGAGATTCCCTCTGGTGCTTATGCCACCAGGGCCCTGGGTTTCAAGCACAAAACTGGGCAGCCACTTGGGCAGAAACCAATCTAGCTGCAGGAGTTGTTTTTTCCTTCATAGCGCAGTGGTGCCTGGAACGCCAGCTAGACAGAACCATTCATTCCCCTGGAAAGGGGGCTGAAGCCAGGGAGCCAAGTGGTCTAGCTCAGCAGATCCCACCCCCGTGGAGCCCGGCAAGCTAAGATCCACTGGGTTGAAATTCTTGCTGCCTGCACAGCAGTCTGAAGTCCACTTGGGATGCTCGAGCTTAGTGGAGGGAGGGGCATATGACATTACTGAGGCTTGAGTAGGCTGTTTTCCCCTCACAGTGTAAACAAAGCCACTGGGAAGATCAAACTGGGTGGAGCCCACCACAGCTTGGCAAAGCCACTGTAGCCAGACTGCCTCTCTAGATTCTTCCTCTCTGGGCAGGGCATCTATGAAAGAAAGGCATCAGCCCCAGTCAGGGGCTTATAGATAAAACTCCCAACTCCCCAATGTTATTCTTATCAAACTACCAATAACATTCTTTATAGAAGTAGTAAAAAAACTATTAATTCAACATTGAACCAAAAAGAGCTTGAACAGCCAAGACAATTTTAAGCAAAAAGAACAAAACAGGAAGCATCATGTTACCTGACTTCAAACTATGTGACAGGACTATGGTAAGCAAAAGAACATGGATACTCGTACAAAAACAGACACATAGACCAACGGAACAGAATATAGAGCTTAGAAATAAGGCCGCATACCTACAACCATCTAATTGTCAATAAAATTGACTTTATAAAACAACAATGGAGAAAAGATTCCCTATTCAATAAATAGTGCTGGGATAACTGGCTAACCATATGCAGAAGATTGAAACTGGACGCCTTCCTTATACCATATACAAAAATCAACTAAAGATAGATTAAAGACCTACATGTTAAACCCAAAACTATAAATCCCTGGAAGACAACCTAGGCAACACCATTCAGGACATATAAACAAGCAAGGATTTTATGACAAAGATTCCAAAAGTAATTGCAACAAAAGCAGAAATGACAAATAGGTTCTAATTAAACGAAAGAACTTCTGTACAGCAAAAACAAACAAACAAACAAACAAACAAAAACCAATGAGTAGAAGAAACCGATGACCAACAGAATGGGAGAAAATTTTTGCAATCTATACATCTGAAAAATGTCTAATATCCACCATCTATAAGGAATTTAGACAAATTCACAAGAAAGAAACCAACAACCTCATTAAACAGTGGACAAAGGACTTGAACACTTTTTTAAAGAAGACATACATGTGGCCAAAGAAGCATATGAAAGAAACTCAATATCACTAATCATTAGAGAGTTGCAAATCAAAACCACAATGAGATACCATCTCACACCAGTCAGAATGGCTATTACTAAAATATCAAAAAATAACAGATGCTTGTGAGGTTGCAGAGAAAAGGGAATGCTTATACACCATTGGTGGGAGTGTAAATCAGTTCAACCCTTGTGGAAGACAATGTGGTGATTCCTCAAGGACATAAAGACAGAAATACCATTTGACCCAGCCCATTACTGGATATATATCCAAAGGAATAGAAATTGTTCTGTCATAGGGACACATGCACACATATGTTGATTGCAGCACTATTCACAAAAGCAAAGAAGTGGATTAAATCTAAATGCTAATCAATGGTAGACTGGATAAAGAAAATGTAGTACTTATATACCCTGGAATACTATGCAGCCAAAAAAAAGAGTGAGTTCATGTCCCTTGCAGGAACATGGATGAAGCTGGAGGCCATTATCCTCAGAAAACTTATGCAGTAACAGAAAACCAAACACTACATGTTCTCCCTTATAAGTGGAAGCTAAATGGTGAGAACACATGGACACAGAGAGAGGAACAACAGACACTGGTGCATACCTGATCGGGGAGGATGGGAGAAGGCAGAGGATCAGATAAAATAACTACTTGGTACTAGTATTAATACCTGGATAACAAAGTAATCTGTACAACCAATATGAGTTTACCTATATAACAAACCTGTGCATGTACCACTGAACCTAAAATAAAAGTTTTTCTAAGAATGAATATTTTGTTCCTAATGTGGAACCCGTAACTATATAGTCTTAGGGACATCATATCACTTTTCCTGGCCTCATCTATTAAACACCATTACACATCTATTCATATCAAACATTATAGAATGTTATGAATGTGAATTATTTCCCATTAGGTAAAGATTTTGGAGTTCTTATAAAGAAAGGGAGGAGATATATAAGAACAAAAACTACTTTTATTGTATTTATACTTTTAATTTTGTTTCAAGACAGGGTCTTGCTCTGTTATCCACGCTGGAGTTCAGTGGTACATTAGTAGCTCACTGCAATGTCAAGCTCCTGGGCTCTCAGCAGTACTTCCACTACTTCCACCTCAGCTCCACAAGTAGTTAGGACTATACTCATGCACCACCATGCGTGGCTATTCTTTTTTTACTTTTTGTAGATATAGGGTCTTGCCTTTTGTAGAGGCTTGTCTTAAATGTGAGCCTCAAGCAAACCTCCCATCTTGGCCTCCCTAGTGCTGGGATTACAGAAGTGAGGCATCGTGTTTGGCCCCAAGAACAAGGACTACTTTTAAAATAACATGAGAGAAAAAATAAAACAGCCTGACAAAGCTTTAGTTGAAAATCGAATTTTTATAAATTCTATTCTTCTATTTTTCTGAACTTCTATAACATTTCTCATCATAATTTGTAATGGGAGGGAGCATTATTGAGAGAATGAAAAAACACCTGTGTGACTAGTGCTCAGAAAAAAAGAAAGTATGTATAAAAGACAAGGCTGGAGAAATAGAGAGGGATAAATCAAACAAGGGGTTGGGAGCCATGCTAAAGATATTGTTCTTTAGCCTAAGACACAATTGGAAGTAATTGGGAAGTTTGGTTTTTTTTTTTTTTCTTTTTTTTTTTGAGATGGAGTCTCACTCTGTCGCCAGACTGGAGTGCAGTGACCCGATCTCGGCTCACTGCAACCTCCGCCTCCCAGGTTCAAGTGATTCCCCCGCCTCAGCCTCCTGAGTACCTAAGATTGCAGGCGTGTACCACCACACACAGCTTAATTTTTGTAATTTTAGTAGAGACAGGGTTTCACCATCTTGGTCAGGCTGGTCTCAAACTGCTGACCTCAAGTGATCCGCCTGCCTCGGCCTCCCAAAGTGCTGGGATTATAGGCATGAGCCACCGCGCTTGGCCATAATTGAGAAGTTTGAACCAGAAAAATAAAATGATCAGACTTGTATTAGGTTGGTCACCATTACTTTTAATGGCAAAAACCGCGATCACTTTTACACCAACCTAGTATTTTATGAAGCTCACTCTGTTTGCAGTGTGGAAAGTTGATTTGCAGTGGACAAAAAGCAGATATAGTAAAACTAATGAGAAAATTACAACAGTAGTTCAGGTAGGAGATGATAGGGAATTTGTCTTAGATGTTATTAATTGAAATGATACAAAGTGGGCCAAATCGTAGTTTCTTTAAATCCAGGGAGTTAGTAATGGAATATAGGAGAAATACAAAGAGATACATGAAATATCAATGTTCTGGCCGGGCGCGGTGGCTCACGCCTGTAATCCCAGCACTTTGGGAGGCCGAGACGGGCGGATCACGAGGTCAGGATATCGAGACCATCCTGGCTAACACGGTGAAACCCCGTCTCTACTAAAAATACAAAAATTAGCCGGGCATGGTGGCGCGCTCCTGTAGTCCCAGCTACACGGGAGGCTGAGGCAGGAGAATGGCGTGAACCTGGGAGGCGGAGCTTGCAGTGAGTCGAGATCACACCACTGCACTCCAGCCTGGGCGACAGAGCGAGACTCCGTCTCAAAAAAAAAAAAAAAAGAAATATCAATGTTCTTGGATTAGGGAGGTAGCTGATTTATGTGTATTATTTTATAAATTAAAATAGAACAATACATAGAACAATGGTGACAAGTTTTCATGAAGCAAAGATTGTGACTAATCTTACACTAAGCAACTGACACCCATAAGAAATAAGAAAGGAAACACAAAAAACTTTACTAAATAGAAAATGTGAATTTAATTGACAAACATGTCCTAATGTAACAGTAGTTTCAATGCATGTAAATGGATTATAGTGATTAATGAAGCAAAGCAAATATACAGTTTTGAAAAAAAGAGAAAGAATAACCAGATGTTCTTTTAAAGGACACAGAATAATCAGAAATAGAGGAGAAGAAAAAGAAATACTAAGCAGTATGAATCAAAGAAAGCTAGGAGTGAGGCAGATATAATTTAGGGAAAAATAATGTTATGTTATGGTAAAAGGGACCATTGCACAAGGAGATATAACTATTATAAATATATATTCCTAACAGTGCCAACTCTAAATGTGTTAATTAAAAAGAGACAGAACTTTAAGGAAACATAGATAAACAATTTTAATTAGAGACTTTAACACACTCTTCTAGAGAACCAAAAATAAAGATTTTTTAATATATGCTCTCTGTGTGTTCACACATATAACTGTACAAACAACTGAAAATTATTTTCAATCACACATAGAACATTTAAAATAATAGACCATATATTTTGTCATATGGAAAGTCTGTAAATTCCAAAAGATCAGTAAAATGAAATAACATTGGACATCAATAGTAATGAAAGAATAGCTTAAAATCAGAAGTTAGAAAATAAAATAACATATTTATAAATAGCCCATAGTTTTAAAAAAGAATCACAAAAAATTACAATAAAGAAATTTTTAGGTGAGTGATAAGACACCGATTGTCAGAAATTGTGGTTCACAGAGAAGCAATAATTAGTGGAGAATGTGTACTCTTTGTGTTTTATAAACAAATAAGGATAATTTTTAAATTACTAAGAATTTAGTTCAATATTTTGGAAACATTGAAACTAAAACCAATGAAACTAATAGAATAAAAATGATAATGGGCAGAAATAATAGTAATAGTAATAATGATAATAAAACTCAGAAACAACTTTCTTCAAATTACAATATTTTCTTAAAAGGAGTAACAAAATTGTTAGACTTCTCTCAAAAATGTTTAATAAACTAGAAAAAAATACAAAAATAAATACAATCATAAAAAAAGAAAATAGCTACAGACCTAACAGAATTCTAATAAATAATAAGGAACAAAATTAGCGACTATAACATCAATTTGAAAACCTAGATTAAATGAATACATTTACAAAATAATATAAAACAACAAAACTGGAAGAAGAAAAAAGGGACTTAAGTATATCTAGAAGCATCAAAAAATAGAAATAGTAGTCAAAACCTTTGTTCCTCAACTCACATGCCCAATGATTTTACAAGTGAGTTCTATCCAACTTTCAAGTAACAGTTAATCTATATTTTAACATATTTTCCTGAAAATACTTTAAAAAACTGTACTTTCTCAGCTCTTTTCATAATGCAAGTGTAGTATTTATTCCTTAAACAGATGTGAACAATTCAAGATTGAAAGCATATTGAACAGTTAACTTATGAAAGTAAATGCAATTAGCCAGGCTTCATGGCACGTGCCTATAGTCTCAGCTACTCAGGAGGCTGAGGCAGGAGGGTCCCTTGAGCCCAGGAGCTCCAAGCTGCAGTGAGTTATAATCCCACCACTGTACTCCAGTCTGGGTAACAGAGCAAGACCCTCTCTCTAAAAACTAAATAATTAATTAAAAATAAAAAATAAAGTAAATGCAAACATTCAAAAACCTACTGAATCATAAAATATATTTTAAAAACTTTATGATTAATTATCCTAAACGCAAGGATATAGCTACAGTAGAAAATTAATAAATGTTGAGGATGGCAGAATAACAAAATAGGCTACCCTGGGCCTCCAGCAGAATGCAACCACTATTCTGAACTGCTTTTGCTCAGATTGTTATTGGAGAGAAAACAAAGCTTCTGTCTTGTTAAGCCACTACATTTTTGTTGTTTGTTATGGAATCTAAACCTGTACCCTAACAATAGCACCACTGTCTCCCAAATTCTGTTTAAACTGTCCTCATTGCCAGCTGGCTGAAAAGTGACACAGTACCAAAATCCCATTTTAGAGTTTGCTTCCTAGGCTTACACCTGCCACCAATTATGTTAATTATTTTCCCTAGCAGACTGAGATGGGAATTAGCAAGCGGAAAATGTATTGAAAAGTGTTTCACTTGTAGTGAATTGAGATATCCAGGATTGAGTAGTGGGAGAAACTTAGCACAATTCCCTCATAACTAAGTTCTCAACTGATATTCAGGTAGTGTATTCAAGAGATAGTAACTCTGGAGGTGGGATGGCCCTTCAGGGTTGCTCCAGTTGAAACAAAGGCCTGGGCTTTTGTGTCCCTGCATTGGCCAGTCATTTACTGCAGACTGCTTCCTTATAGAAGGTATAATTTTAAGTGAAGCAATTCTCTAAGGGCAATTGCAATTTCCCATGAGAAATGCAGCTGTGGCAAGCAGGTAGGGGATGGATGCAGCAGGCCTGAAGAGGGAATCTGCTCAGGGGATCATAATATTCACTGTAATGCTCTATCATAATACCAGGCTTCCATTTAATTATCTTCTCAACTACAAAATATCTTACTTTGCTGGTGCAGAATTTAAAATGACCTGCAGAATTTAACGGGATCTTTTGCTTTTAAACTTGTAAAAAAATCAAGTTCACTTATAATAAGATAAATGTAAAAGAAATTACAATGGGATATTTTCAGAACTTTTGATAACCTACGGCATTGGGTAGTATGTAGAGGTAAATTTACTCTAATATTCTGTGGAGGCTAAAGCAACTCCATCTTGGAAATAATTTTACCATGTTGGCTTCTGATTAACCCCTGTTCTTGGAAGGGCTCTAAGATTTTCAAGTTATCTATTGTTTCTTGTGTAGGAGTGGAAACTTAACCGTAAATCCTGCCCTTAGGCCAAACAACCTTGATGTTATCATACTTTAAATTGCCCTACACATGCTTTCTGAACCACCCCTCCCTTATGGTATAAACCCTGGGTCTGGGGGGTAATGCTGCAGGAATCCCACCATCTTGTCTCTCTGTCACCCAAGACACAGACATAGCTTCTATTTGTAAGTCCCTATTAAATGTCTCTGTAAGAAATTGCATTTGTCATTCTCTTGCTTCAGCCTCTCAGCTTCCTCAAACTTTGGGGTATGTTTGCATAGAACTGCCTACCATGAAACATTATTTTGCTGGGACTATAAAATTTTACAGTTCTCTAGGCAGAATATCTGCATTGCTTTTACTCAGTAATTCATATAAAAATGTATTTAATAACTAAGTCATGATGTTAGACTCAGCAATGATTCTTGGATATCACATCAAAAACACAGGCAACAAAAGAAAAACAAAATTAGATTTCATCAAATATAAAAACTTTTGTGCCTCAAAACAATCAACAGGTGGAAAGGCAACTCACAGAATGGGAAAAATATTTTCAAATCATATATTTGATGAGGAATTAATATCTAGAATATGTAAAGAACTCCTATAACTCCACAACGGAAAAACAATCCAATTAAAAATGGTTTGAATAGATATTTCTCCAAAGAATATACACAAGTGGGCATACAGATTGCCATCAAAAACATAAAAGATGTTCAACATCACTAATTATTGGGGAAATGCAGATCAAAGCTACTATGATATTCCACTTCACACCCATTAGGTTAACTATTATCCAAAAAACAGAAAATAGCAAGAGTTGTTGAAGATATGGGGAAATTAGAAGTCCTGTACATTTCTGGTGGTAATGTAAAATAATGCGGCTGTTGTGTAAAACAGTATGGTAGGTCCTCAGAAAGCTAAATTAGAATTACAATAAGATGAAGCAATTTTAATTATAGGTATGTACCCACAAAATTTGGAAGCAAGGACTAGAACAGATATTTGTACACCCATGGGCACCATTGCTGTTCACCTTACAAATTATCCTTAAAATATAGTTAATATATTTTATTTCTTACTATGCCACTTAGCATTTCTTTTTCTTTTATTCAGTGAATTGTTATTTATATTGATTCACATATTAGCTCTTTTTTCTTAATATTCTTTCTCATATCCTTTCTACTTTCTGAGTTTAACTTCATTCTTTCTGAGGTATATTTATCAGCAGGACTTTAACCAAGGGTCTGTCTCAGTTTTTCTTTAGCTGAGTTTATAATTCTAAGTTAAATAATTTTACCTGGAGATTTTTTGTGTGTGTGTTTTGCTTTTGCTATTGAAAATGTTATTTTTGTTATAATTCTTCCTGTGTAGGCAATCTTTTATCTATGTTTGCTGTTAAGATTTCCATTTTTTCTTTGATGCTGCACAGTTTCACTTTGCCATAATATTAAATTGTTATGTTAAATTATGTTCTCTTCCACAGAAATTTTTATGCTTTTTTAACCAGATCTGTGTCCTTTATCAGATCTTGAAAAAATTTAAAGTCACTATATCTATAAATCTTACTATTGCTCAAAAATCTATTCTAAATGATCTGTTTATTTGATTTCCCTTTGATTAACCGGTCTTTGAATTTCTCTATCCTGCCTTATGGGTAATTTCCTCAAAACCATATTTCAGTTTACTAATATCTCTTTAGATGTGGCTAATATACTATTTAGATCATCATTAATTTTTCCATTTCAACAACTTTATTTTTTTAAAGTAGGCCGGGTGCGCTGGTTCACACCTGTAATCCCAGCACTTTGGGAGGCTGAGGCGGGTGGATCATCTGGGTCAGGAATTCAAGACCGGCCTGGCCAACATGGCAAAACCCTATCTCTACTGAAAATACAAAAACTTAGCCGGGCATGGTGGCGTGTGCCTGAAATCCCAACTACTCAGGAGTCTGAGGCAGGAGAATTGCTTGAACCAGGGAGGCAGAGGGTGCAGTGAGCCGAGACCGCTCCACTGCCTTCTAGCCTGGGCAACAGAGTGAGACTCCATCTCAAAAAATAATAATAATTTAAAAAGTAATGTTTCGCTTCAGTCTTTATTTTCATTTTCTTTTACATACAGTGAAATTCACATTTTATGGCCTATAGTTTTATGAGTTTTAACAATTGCATAGAGTCATGTAACCATCACAATAATCAAGGTACAGATCAGTCCCATAACTCCAAGTTTTCATTTAACTGCTTCATTTGCTCATTAATTTGTTCAAGTTTCCTAAAGATTCTGAATATTAGACTATTGTCAGATACATAGGTTGCAAATACTTTCTCCAATTCTGTAGGTTGTCTGTTTACTCTGTTGATAGTTTCGTCTGCTATGCAGAAGCTCTTTAGTTTAATTAGATCTCGTTTGTCAATTTTTGCTTTGGTTGCAATTGCTTTTGGCATCTTTGGCATGAAATCTTTGCTGGTTCCTATGTCCAAAATGGCATTGCCTAAGTTGTCTTCTAGAGTTTTCATAGTTTTGGGTTTACATTTAAGTCTTTCATCCATCCTAAGCTGATTTTTGCGGATGGTAAAAGAAAGTATTCTAATTTTATTCTTCTGCATATGGCTAGCCAGTTATCTCAGCACCATTTATTTAATAGGGAGTCCTCTCCTCATTGATTGTTCTTGTCCACTTTGTTGAAGACCAGATGGTTGTAGGTGTGCAGGCTTATTTCTAAGCTCTATATTCTGTTTCATTGGTCTGTGTGTCTGTTTTTGTACCAATATGATGCTGTTTTTGTTAACTGTAGCGTTGTAGTATAGCTTGATGTCAGGTAGTATGACGTCTCTGGCTTTCTTCATTTTGCTTGGGATTGCTTTGACTATGTAGGCTCCTTTTGGGTTCCATATGAATTTTAAAATTGTTTTTTTCAAATTCTATGAAATATGTCACTTGTAGTTTGATAGGAATAGCATTGAATCTGTAAATTGTGTTGGACAGTATTGCCATTTTAGTAATATTGCTTATTTCTATCCATGAGCATGGAATGTCTTTCCATTTGTTTGTGTTGTCTAATTTATTTGAGCAGTATTTTGTAATTCTTCTAGAGATCTTTCACCTATCTGGTTAGTTGTGTTCCTAAGTATTTTATTCTTCTTGTGGCTATTGTGAAAGTGATTACATTCTTATTTTGGCTCTCAGCTTCGACATTGTTGTTGTATAGAAATGCTACTGATTTTTGTACATTGATTTCGTGTCCTGAAACTTTGCTGGAGTTATTGATCAGATCTAGGGGCTTTTGAACAGGACCTGTGGGATTTTTTAGGTATAAAGTCACATTATCTACGAAGAGAGATAGTTTGACTTCCTCTCTTCTTATTTGGATGCCTTTTACTTCTTGCTCTGACCTGATTGCTCTCGCTAAGACTTCCAACACTATGTTGAATAGGGGTGGTGAGAGAGGGCATTCTTGTCTTGTTCAGGTTCTCAAGGGCAATGCTTCTAGATTTTGTTCATTCAGTATGATGTTGGCTTTGAGTTTGTCATAGATGACTGTTAATATTTTGAGTTATATTGCTTCAATGCCTAGTTCATTGAGAGTTTTTAACAAAAAGGGATGTTGAATTTTATCAAAAGCCTTTTGTGTGTCTATTGAGATGATCATGTGGCTTTTGTTTTTAGTTATATTTATGTGATTAATCAAATTTGATTTGCATGTGTTGACCCAAACTTGCATCCCAGGAATAAAGCCTGCTTGATGGTGGTGGATTAGCTTTTTGATGTGTTTCTGGATTCAGTTTGCAAGTATTTTGTTAAGAATATTTGCATTTATTTTCATCAGGAATATTGGCCTAATTTTTTTTTCTATATCTGTCAGATTATGGTATCAGAATAATTCTGACCTCATAGAATGAGTTAGGTAGGACTCCCTCCTTCTCGAGTTTTTGGAATAGTTTCAGTAGGATTCGTGCCAGTTGTTCTTTTTACATCTGGTAGATTTCAGGTATGAATCTGTCTGGTTGAGTGGTTTTTCTGATTGGTAAGTTTTTTATTACTGATTCTGTTTTGGAGGTTGCTATCGGTCTGTTCAGAGTTTCAATTTATTCCTGGGAGATTGTATGCTTTCAGGAATTAATCCATTTGTTCTTGGTTTTCTAGTTTCTGTGCCTAGAGGTGTTCCTAATAGTCTCTGAGGTTTTTTTTTTTTTGTATATTTATATGTGGTTGTTACTAATGTCGCTTTTGTAATTTCTGCTTGTCTTCCTTTGAATCTTCTTACTTTTTTATCAGTCTAGCTAGCAGTCTATCATTTCTATTAATTATTTCTAAGAACCAACTTTTGCTTTCATTGATCTGTAAAGTTTATCACTTCTCAATTTCATTCAATTCAGCTCCTATTTGTTTTTTTTTTCTTTTTTTCTTCTTTTGCTAGCTTTACCATTGGTTTTCTCTTATTTCCCTAGTTCCTCTAGGTGTAATATTAGGTTGTTAATTTTAGACCTTTCTAACTTTTTGATGTGGGCATTTAGTGCTATAAACTCTCCTCTTAACACTGTTTGAGCTGTATCCCAGAGATCTAGGTATGTTGTATATTTGTTTTCATTAGTTTCAAAGAGTTTCTTGATTTCTGCATTAATTTCATTGCTTGCCCAAAAGTCATTCATGGGCAGGTTGTTTAATTTCTATGTAGTTGTATGATTTTAAGAGACCTTTTTCATATTTATTTTTATTTTTATTGCATTGTAGTTCAAGAGTGTTGTTGGTTTTTTTTTTTAATTTGTTGAAAATTGTTATATGACTGATTGTGCAGTCAATTACAGAGTATGTGCTATTTACAAATGAGAATAACATATATTCTGTTGTTCTTGGGTGGAGTGTTCTGTACTTGACTATTAGGTCCTTTTGGTTGTGTGTCGAGTTTAGGTCCCAAATATCTTTGTTAGTTTTCTGCCTTGATGATCTGTCAAATACCATCAGTGGGGCATTGAAGTCTCCCATTATTATTGTGGGATTATCTAAGTCTCTTTTTAGGACCCCAAAAACTTGCTTTATGAATCTGGTTGCTCTTGTCTTGGGTGCATATATATTTAGGATAATTAAGTCTTCTTGTCGATTTGATCCCTGTATCATTACATTATTCCCATTTTTGTCTTTTTTGATCATTGTTGATTCAAAGTCTATTTAGTCTGAAATTAGAATTGGAATCTCTGCTTTTTGTTTGTTTGTTTTCCATTGGCTTGATAGATTTTTGTCCATTTTTTTAAGTCTATGAGTGTCTTTTCATGTGAGATGAGTCACTTGAAGCATGCAGTCATGTCTTGCTTCTTTATCTAACTTGCCAGTCTGTGCCTTTTTTGTGAAGCATTTAGCCAGTTTATGTTCAGAGTTAATATTGATATGTGTAGATTTGATCCTTTCATTGTGTTGTTAGCTAGTTGTTATGCACATTGTGTCGCTGCTTTATAGTGTCAATGGTATATGCACTTAAGTGTGTTTTTTGTGTTGGCCAGTAAAGTTTTCATTTACATGTTTAACACTCTTTATTGATCTCTTGTAAGGCAGATCTGGTGGTAATGAATTCCCTTAGCATTTATTTGTCTGAAAAGTATCTTATTTTTCATTCGCTTATGAAGCATAGTTTGGCTAGATATAAAATTCTTAGTTGGAATTTCTTTTATTGAAGAATGTTGAATATAGGCTCTCAGTCTCGTCTGGCTCTTAGAGTTTGTGCTAAGAAAGGTATGCTGTTAGCCTGATAAGGTTCTCTTTGTAGGTGAACTGCCCCTTCTCTCTAGCTGCCTTTAATATCTTTTTGTTTATGATGACCTTATAGAATCTGATGACTATGTGTCTTGGGGATGGTCGTTTTGTATAGGATCTCACAGGGGTTCTTTGCATATCCTGAATTTGAATGTCAACTTCTTTAGCGAGGTTGAGGAAATTTTCATGGACAATATACTCAAATATGTTCTCCAAGTTGCGTGCTCTCTCTCTTTCTTTCAGGGATTCCAATGAGTTATACGTTTGGTCCCTTTACATACTCTCATATTTCTCAAAAGTTTTGTTCTTTCTTTACTTCTTTTTTCTTTACTTTTGTCTGACTGAGTTAACTTGAAGAACCAGTCTTCAAGCTCTCAGATTCTTTCTTCATCTTGGTCTATTATCCTGTTAATATTTTTATTGTATTTAATATTATGAAATTATTGTAGTGAGTTTTTCAGTTCTATCAGACAAGTTTGGTTTTTTCATGCAATGGATAATTTATCTTTCAGCTCTTATATCATTTTGCTGGATTCCTCAGATCCCTAGAGTTGGGTTTCAACTTTTTCCTGAATCTCAATGATCTTCATTCCTATCAAGATTTGTAATTCTACGTCTGTCCTTTCAGCCACGTTAGCACAGTTAAGAACCATGGCTGGGGAGTTAGTGTAATCATTTGGAGGTAAGAAGACATTCTGGCTTTTTGAGTTGTCAGAGTTCTTGCGCTGATTCTTTCTCATCTCTGTGGGCTAATATTCCTGTAATCTTTGAAGCTGCTGTCCCTTGGAAGATTGTTTTTGTCTGCTTTTATGTTATTTGATGCCCTTGAGGTTTTGATTGTGGTATAAACTGAGTTTAGTCAACTGGCTTTATTTCTGGAAGATTTCAGGGTGCCAAGTCTCAGTTCAGCACTCCTGGGCTGCATGCTCTAACCCTGGGGGGCTAATACCAGTCCCATGGCTTTGTTCTCTGACCCCTTGTGGTTAAGCACTTACTACACTGGAGGGCCCAATGTGCTTCCGGTCCACTGATAAAAACACTCCAATGGGAGCTGATGGCCAAGGTGCTTCACTGGGGTAGTGGAAACAGGGTCCATGCTCATGTGCACATGCCAGCAGCAGTGATGCAGTGGTGTCCACACCTGTGTGTGTATCAACAGTAGTGGTACAGCAGAGTACCTGAATGTCAGTAGGGTTTGGGTGCCAGCAGCGAGGTTCATTTTCACATGAGCTTGTGGCAATGGTGTGGTGAGGTCCACATCCATGTGTGTACTGACAAAGTGTGGTGGGGACTGTGTGCAAGTGTGTGATGGCAAAGTGGTGGGAAAGAGCTATGGATGTGTGAGTACGTGTTGGTGGGGTCCCCTCTACTAAGGTTCTCTGATGATTAAGCATGGTCTGCTGGTGAAGAAGCTATTGTGGTGGCTTCCATAAAGTGCTCCAGTTGGGCATCCCAGGCTGCACTACAAGCTGGCACAGTAAGGCAAGAACTCCAGGAAAAGCTGGCATCCAGGGGTGTGCTCAGTTCAGACTGTCCCTATCCCATGAGCAAGACTGTCCTGCCCTGTCCAGATCCAACAGTCAACAAAGACCAAAGCCACCTAGAGGATCACAGCAAGCCTTAGGGGATGGGCATTCCTGGCCAAGCTCCACTGCTGCCATTCCCATGCCAAACCCTCTGGGCTGGAGTTTCGTCCCTGCCACCTCTCTGAGCAAGTCTCCCTGTAAGCTCAAGTGTCTGTGGGCATCATGCAGTCTTCTGCAGCTAGGATTCTGTAGGTTCATGATGAGAGTGGGCCACTCCTTGCTTATTTAATTTACTCCGTACCCTGGAGTTACTGGAAGCCAGGAAAAATTCTTGGTGCTCAGCAGCCCTGTGCTTGGTTCCTAGCTTCCTACCCCTTCAGCTCAGGGTCTGCATCCTCCCCCAATCCATTCTCAATGCCTTTCTTCTGAAGATCTGCTCAGAATTTGCCAGTCTTATTGATGGTCTGGTCTCTCAGTGGGAGATGCTCTTCCTGGCTGCATCTAGTTGGTCATCTTGTCTCTCCTCCCAATAAATCTGTCAATATTGTCTTCTTAAAAATATGAACTTTCCAATTCAAGAACATGAAATGTCTTTCCATTTATATGTGTTAACGTAAATATTTTTTCTGGAATATTTTGTAGAATTTAGTGCACAAGTCTTTCACTTCCTTAGTTGAGTTTATTATTTAGTAGTTCATTTTGATGTTATTATAAATGAAATGTTTTCACTGTTTCCTTTTTTAATTGTTCATCATTAGTTTATAAAAATGCAGCTGCCTTTTAAGTGTTGATTTTGTATCCTGCAACTTTGCTGAATTTGTTTATTTGTTCTAACCATTTTTTTTTTATTTTTGGTGAAATATTTAGGGTTTTCTACATATAAGATTATGTCCTCTGTGGATAGATATAATTTTACTTTTTGATTTCTGACTTCAATTCCTTACTACCTTTTTTTGCCTAATTGACCTGACTAGGACTTTTAGTACTATTTTGAATAAAAGAGATGAAAGTGAGCATCCTTGTCTCATTCTTTGTATTAGAGGAAAACATTTCACTCTTTCACAATTGAGTATGATATTGGCTCTGGGATTTCCATATAGGACCTTTAATATATTAAGGTGGTTTTATTTTACTCCTAGTTTGTTGAGTGTTTTTATCATGAAAGTGAGTTGAATTTTGTCAACAGATTTCATTGAATCAAATGAGATGATAATGGGGTTTATTCCCTTCATTCTGTTTATGTGGTGTATTGCAATGATTGACTTTTGAATGTTGAATCATCCTTGCACAACTGGAATTAATTTCACCTGATCATGATGTATAAATATTTTAATGTGCTGTTGAATTCACTTTGCTTGCATTTTGTTCAAAAGTTTTGCTTCAATACTAATCAGTGATATTGCTCTGTAGTTTGTTTTTTCCTTGTAATGTATTTGGCTACGGTATGCTAACTTCATAGAATAAGACTGTAAATTGCTATAGACTGAATGTTTATGTCTCCAAAATTTATATCTTAAATCCTTATCCACAATGGGATGGTATTTGGAATGGAGACTTTTGAAAAGTGATTAGGTCATGAGGTCAGAGTCTTCATGAATGAGATAAATACCTTTATAAAGGAGGCTTCAGAAACACTAGCTAGACTAATAAAGAAGAAAAGAGAGAAGAATCAAATAGACACAATAAAAAATGATAAAGGGGACATCACCACCTATTCCACGGAAATACAAACAACCAACAGATAATACTATAAACACCTCTATGCAAGATAAAATAGAAAATTTAGAAGAAATGAATAAATTCCTGGACACATGCACCCTCCCAAGACTGATCCAGGAAGAAGTTGAATCACTGAATAGACCAATAACAAGTTCTGAAATTGAGGCAGTACTAAATAGCCTACCAACCTAAAAAAGCCCAGAACCAGATGGATTTACAGCTGAATTCTACCAGAGCTACAATGAGGAGCTGGTACCATTTCTTGTGTAATGATTCCAAACAATTGAAAAGGAGGGACTCCTCCCTAACTAATTCTGTGAGGCCAGCATCATCCTGATACCAAAACCTGGCAGAGATACAACAAAAAAAGAAAACCTCAGGCCAGTAGCCCTTATGAACATTGATGCAAAAATCCTCAATAAAATACTGGCAAACTGAATCCAGAAGCATAACAAAAAGCTTATCTACCAAGACCAAGTCAACTTCATCCATGGGATGCAAGGCTGGTTCAACATACACAAATCAATAAACATAATTCATCACATAAACAGAACTAAAGACAAAAACCACATGATTATCTCAATAGATGCAGAAAAAGCCTTTGATAAAATTCAACATCCCTTCATGTCAAAAACTCTCAATAAGCTAGGTATTGAGGGAACATAACTCAAAATAATAAGAACCATTTATGAGAAATCCATAGCCAATACCATGCTGAAGGGGCAAAAGCTGGAAACATTCCCCTTGAAAACCAGCACAAGACAAGAATGCCCTCTCTCACCACTCCTACTCAACATAATATTGGGAATTCTGGCCAGATTAATCAGGCAAGAGAAACAAATAAAACATATTCAAATAGGAAGAGAGGAAGTCAAATTGTCTCTGTTTGCAGATTACATGATCCTATATCTAAAAAATCCCATTGTCTCAGCCCAAAAGCTTCTTAAGCTGATAAGCAACTTCAGCAAAGTCTCAGGGTATAAAATCAATATTCAAGAATCACAAGAATTCCTATACGTGAGAAACAGACAAGCAGAAAGCCAAATCGTGAATGAATTCTCATTCACAATTGCTACAAAGAGAATAAAATACCTAGGAATACAACTAACAAGGGAAGTAAAGGACCTCTTCGAGGAGAACTGCAAACCACTGCTCAAAGAAATCAGAGAGGACAAACAAATGAATATACATTCCATATTCATGGATAGGAAGAATCAATATCGTCAAAATGGCCATACTGCCCAAAGTAATTGATAGAGTCAATGCTATTCCCATTGAACTACCATTGATAGTCTTCACAGAATTAGAAAAAACTACTTTAAAATTAATATGGAACCAAAAAAAGAGCCCCATAGCCTAGACAATCCTAAGCAAAAAGAACAAAGCTGCATCATGCTAGCTGACTTCAAACTATACTACAAAGCTCCAGTAACAAAAACAGTGTGGTACTGATACAAAGACAGACACATAGACCAATGGAACTTTATTCTCCATTCTAAAAATAAAGAACTTAGAAATAAGACCACAAATGAAGAACCATCTGATCTTCAACAAACCAGACAAAAAAAGAAATGGGAAAAGGATTCCCTACTTAATAAATGCTGCTGGGAGAATGGCTAGTCATATGCAGAAAACTGAAACTGGACCCCTTCCTTACACCTTATACAAAAATTAACTCAAGGTGGATTAAAGACTTAAATGTAAAACCCAAAACTAGAAAAACTTAGAAGAAAATCTAGGCAATACTATTCAGGACATAGGCACAGGCAAAGATTTCATGACAAAAATATTGAAAGCACTTGCAACAAAAGCAAAAATTGACAAATGGGATCTACTTAAAGAGTTTCTGCACAGCAAAAGAAACCATCATATTATCGGAGTGAACAAACAACCTACAGAATGGGAGAAAATATTTGCAACCTCTCCATTTGATAAATGTCTAATACCCGGAATCTGCCTTAATTTCAGAATTAAGTTCCTGTGTCCAAGAACTTATCCATTTCTTCTAGATTTTCTAGTTTATTTGCATAGAGGTGTTTATAGTATTCTCTGATGGTAGTTTGTATTCTGTGGGATCAGTGGTGATATCCCTTTTATCATTTTTTATTGTGTCTATTTGATTCTTCCCTCTTTTCTTTTTTATTAGTCTGGCTAGAAGTCTATATATTTAAAAAAAAAAAACAGCTCCTGGATTCATTGATTTTTTTGAAGGGCCTTTCATGTCTCTATATCTCCTTCAGTTCTGCTCTGATCTTAGTTATTTCTTTTCTTCTGCTAGCTTTTGCATTTGTTTTCTCTTGCTTCTCTAGTTATTTTAATTGTGATGTTAGGGTGTCGATTTTAGATCTTTCCTGCTTTCTCCCATGGGCATTTAATGCTATAAATTTCCCTCTAAACACTGCTTTAGCTGTGTCCCAGAGATTCAGGTACTTTGTGTCTTTGTTCTTATTGGTTTTAAATAACTTATTTATTTCTGCCTTAAGTTTATTATCTATCCAGTAGTCCAGGAGCAGATTGTTCCATTTCCATGTAGTTGTGTGGTTTTGAGTGAATTTCTTAATCCTGAGTTCTAATTTGATTGCACTGTGGTATAAGAGACTGTTTGTTATGATTTCCACTGTTTTGTATTTGCTGAGGAGTGTTTTACTTTCAGTTATGTGGTCAATTTTAGAATAAGTGTGACATGGTGCTGAGAAGGATGTATATTCTATTGATTTAGGGTGGAGAGTTCTGTAGATGTCTATTAAGTCCACTTGGTCCAGAATTGAGTTCAAGTCCTGAATATCCTTTTTAATTTTCTGTCTCCTTGATCTGTCTAATATTGACAGTGGGGTGTTAAAGTCTCCCACTGTTATTGTGTGGGAGTCTAAGTCTCTTTGTAGGTCTCTAAGAACTTGCTTTATGAATCTGGGCACTCCTGTATTGGGTGCATATATGTTTAGGATAGTTAGCTCTTCTTGTTGCATTGATCCCTTTACCATTATGTAAAGGCCTTCTTTGTCTTTTATAATCTTTGTTGGTTTAAAGTCTGTTTAATCAGAGACTAGGATTGCAACCTCTGCTTTTTAAATTTAATTTTATCTATTTATTTATTTATTTATTTATTTATTGCTTTCCGTTTGCTTGGTACATCTTTCTCCATCCCTTTATTTCGAGCCTATGTGTGTCTTTGCATGTGAGATGGGTCTCCTGAATACAGCACACTAACAGGTCTTGACTCTTTTTTTTTTTTTTTTTTTCTTGAGATGGAGTCTCACTCTGCTGCCCAGGCTGGAGTGCAGTGGCATGATCTCGGCTCACTGCAAGCTCTGCCTCCCGGCTTCATGCCATTCTTCTGCCTCAGCCTCCTGAGTAGCTGGGACTACAGGCGCCCACCACCACGCCCGGCTAATTTTTTGTATTTTTAGTAGAGACGGGGTTTCACCATGTTAGCCAGGATGGTTTTGATCTCCTGACCTCGTGATCTGCCCGCCCCGGCCTCCCAAAGTGCTGGGATTACAGGCGTAAGCCACCGTGCCTGGCCAAGGGTCTTGACTCTTTATTCAATTTGCCAGTCTGTGTCTTTTAATTGGGGCATTTAGCCAATCTACATTTAAGATTAATATTGTTATGTGTGAATTTGATCCTGTCTTTATGATGCTAGCTGGCTATTTTGCCCATTAGTTGATACAGTTTCTTCATAGTGTTGATGGTCTTTATAATTTGGTATGTTTTTGCAGTGATGGGTACTGGTTTTTCCTTTCCATATTTAGTACTTCCTTCAGGAGCTCCTGTAAGGCAGGCCTGGTGGTAACAAAATCTCTCAGCATTTGCTTGTCTTTAAAGGATTTTATTTCTCCTGTTTGCCTGGATCACCAGTGGAGGCTGCAAAACAGCAAAGATCACTGTCTGTTCCTTCCTCTGGAAGTTTCGTCCCAGAGGGGCCCCTGCCAGTTGCCTGCCAGAGCTCTCCTGTATGAGATGTCTGTTGACTCCTGCTTGGAGGTGTCTCCCAGTCAGGAGGCATGGGAGTCAGGGACCCACTTGAGGAGGCAGTCTGTCCCTTAGCAGAGCTCGAGTGCTTTGCTTGGAAATCCTCTGCTGTCTTCAGAGCCAGCAGGCAGAAACCTTTAAGTCTGCTGAAGCTGTGCCCACAGCTGCCCCTTCCCCCAGGTGCTCTGTGTCATCTCTTACTTATTTCAGCAGTGTTTTGTAATTCTCACTTTAGAGATATTTCACCTCTCTGGTTAGCTGTATGCCTAGGCATTTTATTATTATTTATTTATTTATTTATTTATTTATTTGGTAATTGTGAATGGGATTATGTTCCTGATTTGGCTCTTGGTTTGGTTGTAGGTATATAGAAATGCTAGTGATTTTCATACATTGATTCTGTATCATAAAATTTTGCTGATGTTGCTTACCTGCTCAAGGAGCTATTGGACAGAAACTATGGGGTTTCTAGACATAGATTCATACCATCCACAAACAGGGATATTTTGACTTCCTCCCTTCCTATTTGGAGACCCTTTATTTCCTTCTCTTGCCTGATTGCTCTGGTCAGGTCTTCCAATATTACATTGACTAGGAGTGGCGAGAGAGGGCATCCTTGACTTGTGCTAGTTTTCAAGAGGAATGCTTCCAGCTTTTGTCCATTCAGTATGATGTTGGTTGTAGATCTGTCATAGATGGCTCTTATTATTTTCACGTATGTTCCTTCAATACCTAGTTTTCTGAGTATTAGACAGATCATTGAGGCATAAAATTAACATAGATATTAAGGATCTGAACTCAACACTGGACAAATGGAACTGATAGACATCTGTAGAACTCCCCACCACAAAACACAGAATATACATTTTTCTCATCACCACATGGCACATACTCTAAAATTAACCAAACATTCTGACATGGAACAATCCTCAGAAAATGCAAAAGAACCAAAGTCACACCAACCACTCTCTCAAACCATGGTGTAATCAAATTGGCAGTTAACATTAAGAAAATAGCTCAAAACTGTACAATTACATGGAAATTACGCAAACTGCTCCTGAATGACTTTTGGACAATTAATGAAATTAAGACAGAAATCAAGAAGTTATTTGAAGCTAATGAGAACAAGGTAAAGATAACAGATTCTCTGGGACACTGCTATGGCAGTTTTAAGAGGGAAATTTATAGCACTGAGCGCCCACATCAAAATTTAAAAAAATATATCAAATTAACCACCTAACATCCCAACTAAAAGAAGTAGAGAAGCAAGAGCAAACTAACCCCAAATCTAACAGAAGACAAGCAATAACCAAAATTAGAGCTCAACTGGAGGAGACTGAGACACAAAATACATTCAAAGATCAACAAATCCAGGATTTGGCTTTTTGAAAAAATTAATAAGATAGATAGACTGCTAGCTCTACTGATAAAGGAGAAGAGAGAGAGGATCCCAATAAACACAATTAGAAATGACAAAGGGAATATTACCACTGACCTCACAGAAACACAAATAAATATCAGAAACTGCTATGAACACCTCTATTCACACAAACTAGAAAATCTAGAAGAAATGGATATATTCCTTGAAATATATATCCTTCCAAGACTGAACCAGAAAGAAATTGATTCTCTGAACAGACCAACAAGAAGCTCTAAAATTTAATCAGTAATAAATAGCCTACCAACCAAAAAAAAAAAAAAAAAAAGCGCAGGACCAGATAGATTCACAGCTGAATTCTACCAGACATAGAAAGAAGAGCTAGTATCATTCCTACTGAAACTATTCCAAAAAAACTGAGAAGGAGAGACTCCTCTCCAATTTCTTCTATGAGGCCAGCATCATCCTGATACCAAAATCTGGCAGAAACACAACAACAAAAGAAAAATTCAGGCCAATATCCTTGATGAACATTGACATGAAAATCTTTAACAAAATACTAGCAAAGGGAATTCAGCAGCAAATTAAAAAGCTAATCCACCATAATCAAGTAGGCTTTATCCTTGGAATGCAAGGCTCATTCAATATACACAAATCAGTAAATGTGACTCATCACATAAACGGAACTGAAGACAAAGACCACATGTTCAGGCCAGCCATGGTGGTTCATGCCTGTAATCTGTAATCCCAGTACTTTGGGAGGCCAAGGTGGGCATATAGCTTGAGCTCAGGAATTAGAGACCACCCTGGGCAACATGACAAATCTCGGTCTCTGCAAAAAATGCAAAAATTAGCTGGGTGTGGTGGTGTGAGCCTGTCATCCCAGCTACTCCAGAGGCTGAGGTGGGAGGATCACTTGAGCCCAGGAGGTTGAGGCTGCAGTGATCTGAGACTGTGCCATAGCACTCCGGCCTGGGTGACAGAGTAAGACCCTGTCTTGAAAAAGCCCACCAAAACCCATAAAACAAAATGCACAAAACTTAAAATAAGAGCAACAAAAAGATCATCTCAGTAGATGCAGAAAAGGCTTTCGGTAAAATTTAACATCCCTTCATGTTAAAAAGGGAACCAAGTATTCTAACTCATTCTAGTGATCTTCCCAGCTGACTCAGCATTATGTTTAAATATTTTGTAGTATTTTATCTTCTGGGAATCCAGGGACATTTCAAACACTCAGCTGATGTGCAATTTCAATGTTAACCTTGAGGACTAAAAAATGGGATAAGAAAGCAAATTGATTCAATCAAAAGAGGTTATTTTTGTGCAGGAAAATGGTTAACAGAGAGAGGTCATTGCTGCTATGGATTTGACTTTGGTTGTCTTCACTTTGATCCATGTCAGTCTATATCAGCCCTCTCTGCAATTTATTTTCTATATAGGTAGATTATGTACTACCTTTTCTTGCCATTCCTGAAAAAAAATCATACAGGAGTTGATGAATATTTCCACTAGTGCTTTGGATTCTAATATCTCATGCCACTGGTTTCCACTAATCGTGATACAGACCCAGTGCTACATTTCTCAAGTAATACAAGAGGGGTTCAGAGAACCCATAGACTAGAAGAAAATGGCTACAAAGTGACATAAAGCTATGGTAACATTAAGGTTTGCCTATGGAGTTAATTCAGGAAAGATGAAATGAAGGTCAGTATTCTTACACTTATCATAAAGAAATAAGCTAAACAGAATATTTTTAAAGCCACAAAACCTGGTGAAGGGCAAAGAATATTGGGCTTGACATACAATTATAAATGATTCATTTTGACTTTTTATAGTTTAATCATGTATAAAAGTTTATTTTAACAGATCAAACAGCCTATTTAAAATGTTGTCAATGTGCCAACATGAAAATGTGTCTCTATTTCTTCTTCATCTATAAAATGGAAAAGACAGTACGAGACCTTTCTATCTTATCTTACAAGACTGCTAAGAGAAGTAATTAAGCAAACAAAATATAAATATGCTGAGTTTTAATGCTTCAAATCGGCCGCACACTGCTATGTCGGTTAAAATGATTTTAAGACTGTGAGTTCAATGCATATATTTGTATAGGGAATATCTGAGTAATGACAATGGTAATCTCAGAGTCATTTGATTTTTGGTAATTTTAAAGTTTCTTACTTGTATTTCTATTTTTCTATAAAAAATAATTTTTTTCAAAAATAAAGGGGGTAATTAACGATTAAATTACTGCACTTGAGTTAATTTTATAAAAATGTTGATCATGTTTCTTATTTAAAATGATATTTGAAAATAGTTCACAAATTTAAAAATCATGAAAACATTGACTGTAACAGAATAATTATATAGCTGGTGATATATTTGGGAAAATATTTAGAATGATAACTTTATTTAAATGAACTAATTTTATACATAACCAAAGATCACACAAGAGTAACAAGATGTTACTGAACTTCATGCTAAGCCTAAATAGTTTACATAATTGGAAAATAATTAAGTGTGATATACAGAGGCCATGAGGTATGATTTCATATATGATATTCAGCTCCTATATTGTAGGTCTTTGTTTACAACCATATTTATGTTTACATTTATGACTTTCACATTAAAATTGTATTTATAAATTTAAATACATTCATCAGATAATAGGAACGGTTTCACTCAATTTGAGTTTTAAACCCACCGCAAGCTTACTGAGAAGATCTTTACAGACCACTAGAATGTCACTATGGATCTTGATAAACAGATAACTGACAAGTTGCTAACTTTTTCTTCATTTTAGGCATGGCCTTTGCATAACGCAGGAGTAGCAACAGTAAACACAACTCAGTGAATATTGTATTTGTTTAGATTGCTTAGCTAAATACATACACTTATATTTTTATTATGTATATTATATATATTGTACATATATTTTCATAGTTTATGCCGAGATATATTTCCCTTTTCTCCTGGTTACTGGTGGCCTTAGATACACTAAGTAGAAGAAAGCTGATCAAACTCTATAGAACAAAATGAAGGTCTCCAGGGGTTTACTCAAGTAAAATCTAAACTAAGAATGATGCAGGGTATTGTACTACTTCTTTATAGATACATGCAACCTAAAATAGTCATTTCAAAACTCATGACTTAGTAGGTGGTAATTTTGATTTCATTGATGGTATATTAGATTCAGCAAGTTATGTGTCTAATTTAGAGGGTTAGATTTTTGGTTCAAGAGTTGAAGTATCAGATTTATGCAGGAGACTTAATTCAGCAGATGATATACCTTACTCAGTGCATGATGAATCTGATATAGAAGGTGATATATTTAATTCAATAGCTAATATATCAGAATCAAATGTGATTCATTTTTTCCAGCGAGTAATTAATATTACTCATAACTGATTTATCTATTTTAGCATGAAGTGTGTTCTGTAAGTTATTTATTTAGGTATATGAGATATAAATTATATTACTAATATAGATTTTCATTGCAAAGTTGTTCAGAAATTCCTGATTACCACCTTCTTGTTACTCCATTTCATACATTTTTAAATTATGTTTTCAGAGACCACCTACTTCAGAAGAATCAGAAATGCTTATTAAACTTGTAGCTTCTTTAAATCCACCACAGACCTAATAAGGAACAGGGCTAACTGAATATTTAACGAGGGCCCATGGTAATTTTTTTTTCTTCTTACCCTCTCCCTTCCATTTTAAAGATTCATGGTAATTTTTATGCACAGTGAAATTGTATGCTTTATGAAATTTGAAAACTCTGACATGTTAGAAACAGGATGCATCAAATACAGAAAAATATGATGTTCTTCTGAACACAAAAAACAAATTTATGATACATCTTAAACTTGATGTTTCCTTTGTTGTAATTATCACAACACTTCATCTTTTGTAAATATTGCCTCTAATACAAGATGTAAAAATTGATTAGTGTCTGCCCTTAAGTAATAAAGTAAACTTGTCACCTCTCCCTGTGGCCTGAACAAAATATTGGATATACTCACAGTTTGACAAGCAAAGCTTGCATTTCAGAGCATAGAAGAAAATAGTCGCTTTTTTTAACATGGATAGTTGTGGTTTCAGACAACCCTATGTGTACATTTATGGTCATCATGAGTGTTCTTCACTATTTCATACTCTTTTACTTCCATGGTTGTGTTAGAAATACGTTTTCTCAAATACTTTTAAGTTATGTAAAGCCATGTGACTTGGCTTGGGCAATGAACTATGAGCAGAACTGATGTATATCAGTTATAGGTAGAAGCTTTAACAGCCAGTATGTGTATGTTTCCCATCCTTTCCCCTTCCTAATGAAGGTATTTATTTGGATTATTTTGTCTCTTTGAACACTGTATATTGTATATGTGTGGGAGGTAGATCATTTTTCTTTATATTCCATAGGTCTTCAGATAAGGAGGAGTCATATCTGGATCTGATATCGGGAATCCTGTGCCTGACTCAGAGATCTTGGATTTTGAGCTCCACACAGTCACCAGATGAGATTTCTGTGTTGCTCTCCCTGGGCAAGAAGTGATAATATTCTGTGTGAATAAAGGGAGTGAACTGAATTTTCTGTGACCAAAAGGGCAGACTGTGGTAGTCATTATTGTTATTCACCATTTACCTTTGGCTCTCCTCATTAGGTTCAGTCACACAATGAGATTGTACTTCCCCAACCCCGCAAAGTTCATCATGGCCACTAGACTGGCTGTAACCAATGAAATGTGAGGAGACATGCTGCATTTTATCTCTTAGTGAAATCTTTGGGAGGTAGTGCGTTTTTCCATGTTCTCTTTACCTTCATCTCAATTGTTTGCAGCATCCTGAATGGTAGCTCCTCTTTTAAGCCTTGGTCTCAGGGTAGACAAAATGTAACACAGCTCCTAGCCAACCTGTGAAACACATGTACTATGAGGAAAAAATAAACCTTTATTGCTTTAAGTAAATGAGGTCTTAAGATTTCTTGGTATTGGAACAAAAATCAGTCATTCCTGATCAGCACACAGCATAAAAAAAATCTTCTAAAAATGTTGCATAATGGTTTAATGTTTTGCTACAGATATATTTATACATAGCCCACTTTTGATCAGTTGAGTGACCTCATGATAAATATATCTGGGCATTTAATTCAATTTCTCTCTATACTGCCCATTTATTAGGTATATCACTTATTAGCATTTTCATGAAAGTTGGGAAGAAGAAATGGTGTTTGAATTAGTTACTTTCTCTATATGTTGGCAGCTTCTCTAAAATGTCTTCAGGAAAAGATTTTAAATTTTGGCTGTAGTAAAAATATAAAAGGTCTAGAAATTTCTATTACCCATGCTATTTCTTAGAAAAACAGAAGTTTACAATTAGGTTTTTTTGTGTTCTTATTAGGGAGATGTTGATAGCCCTGGGACTGTAGTCGTATCTCCACTTTATTTACTATTATAACTTAATGAGATGTTAGCATCGTTATAAATTATTCTTTATAGTTAATTGTATGAGATTATATTAATTTCCATCAGCTACTGTTCCACTTAATAGAGGATATGCAGCTACAGGTAGCAAAAGTTACCTAAATAAAGGGCCAGGAAAGTATAGCCATAGGATAAATCTGGCTTTCTACTTATTTTTCTGCAGTGTTCAATCTAAGAATGATTGTTACATCTTTAAGTGGTTGAAGAAAAAGCTCTTAAAGAATTTTTTGACACATTAAAATTAGATGAAATTCAAATTTTATGTCAATAAATTAATTTTATTAGAACATATCCATGCCCATTCATTTATATATTGTATCTGGTTACTTTCACACTACAATGACAGAGATGAATAATAGTTTGCAACAGAGACAGTGTGGTCTATAAAACTTAAAACAGTTACTATCATCCCCTTTACAGAAAATGTTTGCCAACTCCTGCTCTAAATGATGAATGTTTTCACTGTTCGTAATCAAATAAACTGAATATTTTGTGATGACATTTTATTTTTAAAGCTAGAAATTGATTGCTGATACCTGTTTTTTGTAATAATTGGGATTTAAAATTAATCTCGTATCACCATTTAATTTTGATTCCTTAAATATAACAAACAATCAGCAACAGTGGATTTTAGAGGAATCATAATAAAATTGTCTTTGATATTACTGTATTTCCAGCACAATGTTTTAATATTAAGAAGGAAATCCTCAGAGAACCTAGAAGTCTTTAATTTTGCTTGTGCAAATATTTGAAATTTATGTTTTCTTTTGCTTATTTTGAAATTATAATTGAATTAAATTATCTTGTACAACTCAATGTGAATATATTGCAATAATAGCATTTTTATTTTTTTAAAAGATTGAACATATTGTGTAAGGCCTTGATTTGCCTACATGCAAGAAAAAAAGTTAGTAGTAATATATTTGAAGTTAAGAACAGCAAAAATAGATAATTCTAATGCTAAATAGCCTCTATTCTGTTTGAAAACTGGTTTAAATTTCTTACTTGAAAAGTATGTGGAAAAAGCAAATGATTTAATTATTGTATATGGCATAAGACAAGGGTTCACTTTTATCTTTTTGCATGTGGATATCAAGATTTTCCAACACCATTTATTGAAGAAAATTTCCCTTCCTCACGTGTATCCTTGACACCTTTGTGAAAGATTAGTTAAACATGCCTTTTTGGATTTAATTCTGGGCTCTCTATTCTGTTCCATTGGTCTATGTGTCTGTGTTTATGCCTGTACCATACTCCTTGATTACTTTGTAATATAGTTTGAAAAAATGAAGTGTGATGCCTCCATCTGTGTTTTTCCCTCTCGAATTTGCTTTGGCTATTCAGGATCTGTTGTGGTTCCATACAAGATTTAAAATTGTTTTTCTACTTCTGCAAAAAATAGACATTGAACTTTTGATAAGGATTGTATTGAATCTGTAGCTCACTTTTAGTAGTATAGACTTTTCAACAATATTAATTCTTCTAATTCATGAATGCAGACTATCTTTCCATTTATTCATGCCTTCTTCCATTTCTTTTATCAATGCTTTATAGTTTTCAATGTACAGATCTTTCACCTCTTTAGCGATGCTGTTATAAATGGGATTTTTTTTGGTTTTTAATTTCAGACAGTTTCTTTTTAGTGTATAGACACATAACAAATATTTGTGTGTTAGTTTTGTATTTTTCAACTTTACTGAATTCACTTATTAATTCTGACAGTTCTGTGGTGGAGTATGTAGGGTTTTTTATATAGAACATCATTCATCTGCAAACAGAAGTTAATTACTTATTTTCCCAATTGGGTGATTTTTTTACACCATATACAAAATTTAACTAGAAATTGATTAAAGGCTTAAATGTAATGTCAGTAACTGTAAAACTCCTAGAAGAAAGCATAGAGAAAAAGTTCCTTGACATTTTTCTCGGCAATGGATTTCTTTAAAATAACACCAGAAGCAGAGGAAGCAAAAGCAAAAATAAGCAAGTAGTCCTACAATAAACTAAAAAGCTTCTACACAGCAAAGGAAACAGTCAGCAAAATGAAAAGGAAACCTACAGAATGAGAGAAAACTTTTGCAAATCGTATATCTGATAAGCATTTAATATCCAAAGTACATAAATAACTCAAGTAACTCAATAGCAAAAAAAACAAAAAAATCAAATAACCTTATTGAGAAGACATACAAATGACAACAGGTAAATGAAAATGTGCCCACTATCACTAATTATCAGGGAAATTCAAATAAAAACCACAGAGATATCACAACATGCCTGTTAGAATGGCTATTATCAAAAAGACAAGAGATGATGTGTTGATGAGGGTGTGAAAAAAGGGAACACTTGTACACTGTAGGTGGGAATGTAAATTAGTACAGTCATTGAAAACAGTGTGGAAGTTTCTCAAAAATGAGAAATAAAGCTACCATTCTATACAGCAATCCCACTTATTGGTATGTACCCAAAGGAAATGCATTCATTGCGGCACTATTTGCAATAACGAAGATACAGAAACAACCTGTTTCCATCAACAAATAAATGAATAAATAAATCAGGGTATATATATGTGTGTGTGTGTATATATATATAAAATATATATACACATATGTATATGTGTATACATGTAATATATACATATATGTATATGTGTGTATATATTACATATGTGTATGTGTCTATATGTTACATATGCGTATATATGTATATATGTGTGTATATATATATACACACATATTTACATGTATATATACACACAATAAAATAATATTCAGTGATAAAATAAAGGAAATCCTGCCATTTGCAGCAACATGGATAGAACTAGGGGTCATTCTATTAAGTGGAAGTGAAATAAGCCAAGCACAGAAAACAAATATTTCATGTTATCACTCATGTGGGATCTAAAAACCTGTATCTCATGAAGATAAAGTAGATTGGTGGTTACTAGAGGTTGGAAGGGAAAAGGTGAGGGATGAATGAAGGGAAACAGAAGAACATAAATGTATTTATCACCACTGAACTTTACACTTAAAATTGGTAAACATTGCAAATTATCTGTATATATATGTACCTCAACAAACAATAAATTTTAAAAAATTATAAAAGGAAATGCAAATCAAAACCACAGTATCACCTCACACGTATTATTATATCCATTATCCATTATCAAAAAGACAAGAGATACATGTTGGTAAGGGTGTGGAGAAAGAGAACCCTTCTATACTGTTGGTGGGAATGTAAATTGATACAATCATGGAAAACAGTATGGATATTTCTCAAAAAATTAGAAATAGAACTACCATATAATATAGCAATTTCACTTCTGGGTATATACCCAAAGGAAAAGCAGTCAGTATCTCAAAGAGATTTCTGCACCCTCATGTTCATTGTAGAATTGTTTGCAACAGCCAACATGTGGAAACAGCCTAAGTATCCACTGCCTAATGAATCAATGGAGAAATCACGGTACATATACATAATGGAATATTATTCAGCCATGGAAACGAAGGAAATCCTGCCATTTGCAAAAACGTGGATGAACCTTGAAGACATTATTCTAAGTGAAATTAACCAGACACAGAAAGGCAAATACTATATCATTTCATTTAAATGTGGAATCTAAAAAAATATAACTTACAGAAGCAGAAAGAATGGTGATTGCCAGGGCCTGGAGATTAAGGGGAAATGGTGAGATGTTGGTCCAAGGGTACAGACTTTCGGTTATAAGATGAACAAGTTCTGAGTGTCTAAGGTACAGCATGATAGATGTGTTAATTAATTTGAGTGTGGTAATCATACAAAGCATTTGTATCAAATTATCATGTTGCTTACCTTGAACAAATACAATCTTTATTCATCCATTAAATATTTAAAATAAAAAGGCAAGGAACCACTAAACAAGAAAGTAATCACTAAAAACAGTGAAATATTTGATAGGGTAAAATTATTTTTCAGTTACTTTTCCTCTAGATCATCCATTTAAATGATAGATTCAAGGAGAAATAAGTAAGCATTTACAACAAACAATATTCCAAGTTTTATGCTTCTAAACATGAAATTAAACTTTATACTAGTGTCTCTGTTCTTAATTAAGAGGCTAAACATTTTATTAATCAAAAGCAGCATGCTTCATTAGGAGAAACATTCAGTTCAACTTAAACAAGTGTTTGAGCCTTATGTTACTTTAGGGAGACATATCTTTCAGTTAGTTTACTTGTATAAGGAGAATATCCATACCTGTTTTACCCATCTCAAAGGTGAGAAGAGAAATAACATTTATTAAGCAGCTACTAAATGCCAGGCATTTTTCTATGCATTTTATAAACATTATGTCATCTAATCTTCAAAAGAGACATGCAAAATAGAAAGTATTCTTATTTTGCTTATAGCAAAATACAGTACAGAAAAGGCAGATAACAGTAAAATTGAGTTAGAAGAAAAAAGTCTTGGTGCCAGGCAAATCTTACTTTGAATCATATCTATGCCATATGCTAGCTTTGTGACTTAGAGAAATTTGACTTAAATTTTGTTATCCTCTTTCTTTATCTATAAAAACAAGGTAAACCTACCTATAATAGAGCATGTTTGGTTACAGGTACCAAACTAGTTTAAATTGAAAAGACATTATCATAGGAATCTATAAGGAATTTTCACAACCCAATTTCTTTGAATACCTCTCCCAGCTCCCCTCACCACTATTCTGTCTTCCAACTGCCACATATTGTGTTCTTACTGATTCCCTCTCTGCAGCTATTGCTTTTCCTGCTACTCTATACTGAATTGACTTCTGTGGATGCATATAGCTAAAATAACTGACAGTTCAGCCTTCATAAGCTTACACCTCCAGTATTTACCAAAATTTTTATAAATTTTGACTTTTATTTCAGTTAATGACAGAGATAATCTGATTGGCTTATTTTGAGTTAAGAATCCGTTACTTGTTCAATCAGTGGTAACTAGGGACCAGGGTCACCTCATACAAAGGACCCTACATAAATCTGTCCCTTTATTGGAAATTGTGGGAAACCATTTCCAGATAATAAAGATAAATGCTTGATTAGCACATCAAATATATCTGTTAACCATATCCTTTGGCCCATTGTAAGTATTCAAAGTAATATAACATGTCTCACATAGAAAATGCTTAAAACATTTTAACTATTGCTGTTACTTTAGTATCAATACAGGAGGCCCATTTAAATAGCTTATATTGAGGACCTGCCATGTATCAAATGCATTATTGACATTGTCTTATTTAATCCAGTACCTTCCACATTGCCTGGCAGATTAAAAATTTAATAGTTGTTGGATTATACAAGTTATCAAAACAAGCATTGAAGTGTAAACTTTATTACCCAAAAATTACAGAAGACATAATGAGAGCTTATAATCAAATGATGTTGAATGTATATTTTGCAGCTCTTGGATGAAATATTCTATAAATATCTATTAGATTCACTTGGTCTATAGTACGAATTAAGTCTAATGTTTGTTGATTTTCTCTCTGGAAGATCTGTCAAATGCTGAAAGTTGATTGTTGAAGTCTCCATCTATTATTGTATTGAGGTCTGTCTTTCCCCTTAGCTCCAATAACATTTACTTTACACATCTGGGTGTTCCAGGGTTGGGTGCATATAAATTTAAAATTTGTATATTCTCTTGCTGAATTTACTCCCTTATTATCATATGGTGACCATTTTTGTCCCTTCTTATAGTTTTTGTTTTGAAATCTATTTTGTCTGATATAAGTGCCATGAGTCCTGCTCATTTCTGGTTTCCAATGGTATAGAATAATTTTTCTATCCCTTTATTTTCAGTCTATGTGTCTTTATAGGTGAACTGTGTTTATTGTAGGCAACAGATAAATACTTCCTGTTTTTCATCCATTCAGCCAGCTGATGGCTTTTGATTGGAGAGTTTTACCCATTTACATTCAATGTTATTATTGACGAATGAACACTTACTCCTGCGATTTTGTTATTTGTTTTCTGGTTCTTTTATGGTCTTCACTTCCTTCTTTCTTTCCTTTCTGTCTTCCTCTAGTGTAGGTAATTTTCTCTGGTAATTTTATTTAGTTTCTTGCTTTGTATTTTTTGTATCCATTGTTTGTTTTTTGCTTTGAGATTACCACGAGGGTTGCAAATGCTATTTTGTAACTCCGGTATTTTAAACTGATAACAACTTAGCACTATTTGCAAAAGCAAACAAATTAACAAGCAAAAGAAAAACTAATAATAACTCTATGCCTTAACTTCATCCCCCACCCCCAGCTTTTTAACTTTTTGTTGTTTCTATTTATATCCTATTGTACTATGTCTTGAAATATTTTTAGTTATTATTTTTTTCATTGTTTACTCTTCCTGCTTAGGATAAGAGTAGTTTACATACCACAGTTACAGTGTTATAACATTCTATGTTTTTTTGTGTACTTACTATGACCAGTAATTTTTTGTGCCATCAGGTAATTATTTATTGCTCATTAATGTCCTTGTATTTCTGATTGAATTATTCCCTTTAGCATTTCTTGTAGAACAGGTCTGGTATTGATGAAATCCCTCAGCTTTTGTTTGTCTGGGAAATGCTTTATTTCTCCTTTACATTTGAAGAATAATTACACCAGATATACTACTCTAGAGTAAAAGTTTCTTTTTGTTTTTTTTCTTTAGTACTTTAAATATGTCATGCTACTGTCTTCTGGCCTATAAGGTTGCCACTGAAATGTCTGCTGACAGTCATATTGGAGCTCCATTATATGGTACTTCTTTTTTTCTCCTGCTGCTTTTAGGATACTTTCTTTATCTTCGATGTTTGGGAGTTTGTTTATTTATTTTATGTATTTATTTTTATTTTACTCTAAGTTCTGGGAAACATCATCCTGATACCAAAACCTGGCAGAGACACAACAAAAAAAGAAAATTCAGGCCAATATCCCTAATGAACATCAATGTGTAAATTCTCAATAAAATACTGGAAAACCAAATCCAGAAGCAAATCAAAAAGCTTATCCACCATAATCAAGTCGACTTCATCCCTGGGGTGCAAGCATGGTTCAACATACGCAAATCAATAAACATAATCCATCACATGAACAGAACCAATGATAAAAAACACGTGATTATCTCAATAGATGCAGAAAAGGCCTTCGATAAAATTCAACATCCTTTCATGTTACAAACTCTCAATAAACTAGGTATTGATGGAACATATCTTAAAATAATAAGAGCTATTTATGAAAAACCCATAGCCAATATCATACTGAATGGGCAAAAGCTGGAAGCATTCCCTTTGAAAGCTGGCACAAGACAAGGATGCCCCCTCTCACCACTCCTATTCAACATAATATTGAAAGTTCTGGCTAGGGCAATCAGGCAAGAGAAAGAAATAAAGGGTATTCAAATAGGAAGAAAGGAAGTCAAATTGTCTCTGTTTGCAGATGACATGATTGTATATTTAGAAAACCCCATCATCTCAGCCCAAAAATCCCTTAAGCTGATAAGCGACTTCAGCAAAGTCTCAGGATACAAAATCAATGTGCAAAGATCATAAGCATTCCTATACACTAATAATACGTAAGCAAAGAGCCAAATCATGAGTGAACTCCCATTCACAATTGCTACAAAGGAGTAAAATACCCATGAATACAACTTACAAGGGACGTGAAGGACCTCTTCAAGGAGAACTACAAAACCACTCTTCAAGGAAATAAGAGAAGACACAAAAAAATGGAAAAACATCCATGCTCATGGATAGGGAGAATCAATATCATGAAAATGGCCATACTGCCCAAAGTAATTTATAGATTCAATGCAATTCCCATCAAGCTACCGTTGACTTTCTTTGCAGAACTAGAAATAACTACTTTAAATTTCATATGGAATCAAAAAAGAGCCCATATAGCCAAGACAATCCTAAGCAAAAAGAACAAAGCTGGAGGCCTCAAGCTACATGACTTCAAACAACACAGCAAGGCTACAGTAACCAAAACAGCATGGTACTGGTACCAAAACAGATATATGGACCAATGGAATAGAACAGAGGCCTCAGAAATAACACCACACATCTACAACCATCTGATCTTTGATAAACTTGACAAAAATAAGCAATGGGGAAAGGATTCCCTGTTTGAAAACAGAAACTGGACCCCTTCCTTACACCTTATACAAAAATTAACTCAAGATTTGAGTTTGTTTATCAAATGCCTTAATGCAGTCCTTTTTGTGTTAAAACTGCTAGGTGTTCTATAATGTTTTTCTACTTGGATATGGATATCTTTCTCCAGGTTTGGGAAATTCTCTGTTATCATCTTTTTGAACAAACTTTCTTCCCCCAACACTTTCTCTACTTCCTCTGTAAGGCCAATAGCTCTTAAGTTTGCAGTTTTAAGGCTGCTTTCCAGATCCTGTAGCCATGCTTCGTTTTTTTTTTCTTTTATCTCCGCTTACTGTGTGTTTTCAAACAGCCTGTCTTTAGGCCCAGTAATTCTTTCTTCTGCTTGATTAATTCTGCTATTAAAGGATGCCGAAGAATTCTTCAGTATGCCAATTTCATTTTTCAGCTCTAGAATTTCCGCTTGATTATTTTTGATTGCTTCTATCTTTTTGTTAAATGTGTCTTATAGGATTCTGAATTCCTTCTTTGTTCATTTGGTGAGATCATGTTTTCCTGGATGGTGATAATGCTGATAGATGTTCTTCAATATCTGGGCATTGAAGAGATATGTATTTATTGTAGTCTTCACTACTAGACATGTTTGTACTCCTCCTTCTTGGAAGGCATTTTCAGATGTTTAAAAGGACTTGGATGTTGTGATCTAAGCTTTATCTGCTTTTGGGGGCGCACCAAGCACACTAATGCTGTGGTTCTTGATGGTCTTAGACAATATCCAAGAGAATTCTCTGGATTACCACTAAAAAACTTTTATTCTCTTCCCTTACTTTCTCCCAAAAATATAGTCTTTCTCTGTTCAGAACCTCCTAAAGCTGAGGGTGAACTTACTCATGTACCCTTGTGCCCACCAACACTATGACTGTACTGGGTCAGACCTGAAACCAGCACAGCACGGAGTCTCTCCCAAGGCCTGTGGTAACCACTCCCTAGCTACTGCATATGTTTCCTCAAGGCCCTGGGGCTCTATAATCAGTAGGTGACAAAGTCAGCCAGGCCTGTGTCTCTCCCTTCTGGGAAGTGAGGTCCCCCAGGCCCCAGGTGAGTCCAAAAGCAACATCCTGGCATCAGGGGCTAGAGTAAAAAATATTAGGAGTCTACTTGGTATTCTATTGTATCTCAGCTGAGCTAGCACTCAAACCATACGATGTAGTTCTTCCACACTTTTCTCCCCTTTCCAAAGGCACAGGAGCCTCACCCTGAAGCCATCTCCACCTCAGGCCATGTGGAGTACTCTCAGACTACCCTGGATATTCTCTTAAGGTCCAAGGTCTCTTAAGTCAGCTTGTGGTGAATTTTGCCTGACCTGAGACTCCCCTGCATGGTCGTAGGCTCCCCTCTCACCCAGGGCATGTCCAGAAATGCCATCCAAGTGTCACATCTTAGAATCAGAGATCCCAAGGGCCTGCTTATTCCTCTACCCTCTGTGGTTGTGATGGTACCTAAAGTGCAAGACAAAGTCCCCTTTACTTTTCCCTCTGCTTTTCTCAAATAGAAAGAGTTTTGGCCCATAACCACCAAAACTGGCAATGTGCTGAGTCTCACCTGAAGCCAGCAAGTCTTGGAGGCTCATCCAAGGACCTTGGTGTAATACCAAGGTAAAACTTGTGGTTATTCAGAGTCCAAGGGCTCTTCAGTTAACAGATGAATGCTGCTAGGAATGAGTCATTTCCTTCAAGGCAGTGGGTTTCCTTCTGGCCCAGGATGTGTCTAGAAATGGCATCTGGGAACTAGGGCCTATAACAGGGGTCTCATGACTCTGACCAGTGCCCTGTCCTGTAATGGCTGAGTTGGTATCCAAGATGCAAGACAAAATTCTCCCCATTCTCCCCTCTTCTCTCCTCAAGTATAAGGAATGAGTATCTTTTGAAGCTGTTAGATGTGCAGCCTGGGGTTAGGGGAGGGGTGATGTCAGCACTCCTTGGGCTGCCCCAACTTGTGTCTCAGTAGGTCATGTTTCTCCCCAGTTTACTGTCTCTGGGCCTAGTTCAGCACTAGGACTCACCTAAGAATTGCAGTCCTGAATGGTATTGCCTAGGTTTTCTTCTAGGGTTTTTATGGTTTTAGGTCTAACATTTAAGCCTTTGATCTATCTTGAATTAATTTTTGTATAAGGTGTAAGGAAGGGATCCAGTTTGAGCTTTCTACATATGGCTAGCCAGTTTTCCCAGCACCATTTATTAAATAGGGACTCCTTTCCCCATTTCTTGTTTTTGTCAGGTTTGTCAAAGATCAGATGGTTGTAGATGTGTGGTATTATTTCTGAGGGCTCTGTTCTGGGCATGGGCAAGGACTTCATGTCTAAAACACCAAAAGCAATGCCAACAAAAGCCAAAATAGGCAAATGGGATCTAATTAAACTAAAGAGCTTCTGCAAAGCAAAAGAAATGCTCATCACAGTGAACAGGCAACCTACAGAATGGGAGAAAATTTTTGCAATCTACTCACTGACGAAGGGCTAATATCCAGAATCTACAAAGAACTCAAACAAATTTACAAGAGAAAAACAAACAACCCCATCAAAAAGTGGGCAAAGGATATGAACAGACACTTCGCAAAAGAAGGCATTTATGCAGCCAAAAGACACATGAAAAAATGCTCATCATCACTGGCCATCAAGAGAAATGCAAATAAAAACCACGATGAGATACCATCTCACACCAGTTAGAATGGCTATCATTAAAAAGTCAGGAAACAACAGGTGCTGGAGAGGATGTGGAGAAATAGGAACACTTTTACACTGTTGGTGGGACTGTAAACTAGTTCAACCATTGTGGAAGATAGTGTGGCGATTCCTCAAGGATCTAGAACTAGAAATACCATTTGACCCAGCCATCCCATTACTGGGTATATATCCAAAGGACTATAAAACATGCTGCTATAAAGACACATGCACCCGTATGTTTATTGCGGCATTATTCACAATAGCAAAGACTTGGAACCAACCCAAATGTCCAACAATGATAGACTGGATTAAGAAAATGTGGCACATATACACCATGGAATACTATGCAGTCATAAAAAAGGTTGAGTTCATGTCCTTCGTAGGGACATGGATGAAGCTGGAAACCATCATTCTCAGCAAACTATCGCAAGGACAAAAAACCAAACACCGCATGTTCTCACTCATAGGTGGGAATTGAACAATGAGAACACTTGGACCCAGGAAGGGGAACATCACACACTGGGGCCTGTCGTGGGGTTGGGGGAGGGGAGAGGGATAGCATTAGGAGATATACCTAATGTAAATGATGAGTTAATGGGTGCAGCACACCAACATGGCACATGTATACATATGTAACAAACCTGCACATTGTGCACATGTACCCTAGAACTTAAAGTATAATTAAAAAAAAGAAAAAAGAAAGAAAAGAAAATCCTGAGGAATCAAAAAAAAAAAAAAAAAAAAAAAGAATTGCAGTCCTTATTTTTTTGCAGTCCAAAAAAGAATTGCCTAGACTACCTTACCTTTCAAGTTTACTTGGAGTGTTGTAGCCCTTGGTGGCAAGGTTTGAAGGCACACAAGTTCAGACCTCAGCAATCAGCAATTCCCCTGTGGCTAAGGCTGGTTGAAATTCTCCCTTGGTAGCCAGGCATCATCTGAGTTTGGTCTGATTTTCCTTTCTGTTCTAATAGGACAGCACTGAGTTCCATGCCTCACGATTGTGTTCTCCCTCCCCCAGTGCCCAGAGATGCTCTCCATACCATGCTGAAGCTGCAGGGGGTGGGGGTGGTTCCGGCCACTCAGGACTGTTTTTTTCTATGTCTTCAGTGCCTCTTTCTGCTATATGAAGTTAAAACCAGTTACTGTAAGTGCTCATCTGACATTTGGTTCTTGTGAAGGTGATTTTTCTGTGTAGATATTTGTTAAATAGTTTTCTTTGCAGAGGGGGACAATCGGTGAAGCTTTCCTTTCAACCATCTTGCTCAGCCTCTAATTTTATGAATCTTTCTATTTCACAACAATCATTATCATGACTCAGGTCAACCTGTTTTATGATATTTGTCATTTGCACTTTCTGTAACAAGTAATTTGAAGACATGCAACTTTTTCCTTTAGTTGTTTACATATGTGTCTCCTCTACTAAGTCTTGCATTCCTTGAAGGAAGGAGCAATGTACTGTGCAACCTTATACTACTTGTAACTGATACAGTCATGGTGCATAGTAAATGATATATAAATACTCATTGAATGAATGATCAAGAATGGAAACTGAACCATGAAGGCTAGTTTGTGATTTACACAAACATTGGCAAAGTTCTGGCACAAATTTTATATGAAAAATTTAAACACTTAAAATCAACAGAACTTGTATCTAGAATCTGAATTGTTCTAGTCATTATCTCAGTTTTTACTTTTTAAAAATACAATTAATGTACAAATATAATTTTAGCTGTGAACAGTGAAGTTTAATTGGTTGATGACACAATCTGGTTTTTGATAAGGGTATGAAAACCATGTGCCCTCTAACTTTTCACTGTGGCTGTTTTTGCTTTGTTTTGGTGAGCAACTATTGAGTTTTTATTGTGTGCCAAGCACTGTACATACATTACTTTATTAAACTATCATATGAGAATAGGAGAGTTAAATTGACTTATTTAATGCCATACCTCTAATGAGAACAAGTGATATAGTTTCAATCTTTACCTGATCTCAGGTAAAGATCGCAAGGTTTTTTGTCCTTGCGATAGTTTGCTGAGAATGATGGTTTCCAGCTCCAAGCATATGTTTACTAAACTAGACAGCATCTGATTCTCAGTCTCCTAAGAGGCTTTCCTACATTTTCCATGAAGAAATAGTGATAACAGAGACTCACCAAAATTAACATATACAAAACCTTATTTTCCACTAGCCCTGGAGCAAAGCTGTTCATTCCAGAAAGATAGATATGTCTATGAAACAGATAATGAAAGAAAACTACATTAATTAATCTCTGGTGATCAAATGGTAAGAATCTTTGCAGGGTGCAAAAAAGAACAAATATAAGAGCAACTAAAAATGTTATGTGTGTTATGATGGAATAGTCTTGTCAGTAAACTTTGTAAGCGATGCAGTTAAATGATGCAATTTGAGGGTCAGGAAGAAGACTAATGCTTACAGGGAGGCTAACACTTGAAATTTTGTAATTTGCCTGTAAGCAATGAATGTTGATTTTTATTAACATGCAGATACACTTGGGTTGGAAATACATCAAGTAGTTATGAATAAATTTATCTTCGTATGACGTAATGAATTGAGCATATATTTGTTAGGGTTAGAAAAATAGATCAAAAGAGATTCTGGGTAATAATGACACTGAGTAAAACATATGCAATATTAGGGGAAAATAGGTTCTTAAACTTAAGAAAGCACATAGAAGTCAAATTCAGCAGAAAAATGTCTCGCAAAGCCTGAGAGATCCAGAAATACTAGGTTTAGATTTTTTTTACCCTTTTGTTGGAACCTCGATATGAGGTTAGGGTTATCTACCCTGATACAGTTAGAATCTTGCTTTTCGCCTATATTGTGAATTAATGATATTCTGCCCTAGAGGGAAAAAATAGTTCCTTATTTGGGGTTATTTGCAGAAGTGTGAAAGAACAGTTTGAAACAAATTCCTTATTTGGACCTTCTTTGTTTTCTTCTCAGGTGGTAACTTCAGGTCATGATTCCTTGCTTGATTTGGACCCCAGTGAAATGGCTATAGCCTGAAGGAAATCTTCCAGGTAGATAGACAGAGGGAGCAAGAAAAACTGCATTCTCTGCAGTTTTACCTCTGTGTGCAACCATGAAAGAAAAGCACAGATTGAATAGATCAGCCCGGTCTGTGTGAACCAGGTTCAGGTATGAGGATCAAAGAAAGGAAAGGTGTCTGTGGCTTGAGAATATGGTCACAGGGAGAAACATGCAAGCACACACACACACACGCACACACACACACACACACGACACTACTGCTATAAATGGAAGGATGATCTTTGTGGGAAAATGTGTAAAAAACCAACCTGGCTAGGTACAGAAGTATGTGTAGGCTTTAAAATCAGACACACTTATTTTCAGACTTGGCTCTGGAACAGTAAGCTATTTGAGTTAGAACATGCCACATAATCACTTAGCTTTAGTTTCCTCGTCTAAAAATAGCTGTTATCTTCGTACCTTTTCAGAGGACTTTTCTAGAAATTAATGATACAGTATATAAAAAATATTCAGCACAGTGTCTACTATAGAATAAAACTCAATAAATGGTATCAATGATTATGATGATAAGCATGTCAATGATGATGATAACAGTAACAATGATAATGATACTGTAATTATTTTTAGCATAAGCTTTAGGCAATAAATTGTGATAAATACTGTATATCATTTTATACTGCATAAAACTTTAATATTAATTAAAACATAGCATATCACACTCACCAATCACCTACTTACTGATTTTCGAAGGACTCTTCATATCATTTTGATAAATAAGATTCACATTACATATTTTTCCTTAGGTATACAAATATTACTTCTACCTGTTTTTTCTTTCTAATTGGATAATTCAGAGAACAAACATTTAAAATTAGTAAGGATATGGAATATTGGAGCAACAAAATTAATAAGCTTGATCTAATACATGTGCGTGCACACACACACACACACACACACACACACACACATGGTCAACCCTCCTTATCTGTGGGTTTCAAATTAATAGATACAACCAACTGTGGCTGAAAAAGCATTGGGAAAAAAATAGATGATTGCATCTGTACTAATTCCTGTCATTATTCTTTAAACAATACACTAAAACAACTATTTACATAGTATTTATATTGTATTAGGTATTATAAGTAATCTAGAAATGATTCAAAACATATGGAAGTATGTGCATAGATTATATGCAAGTATTTCATCATTTTATATGGAATTTGAGCACCTGTGGATATTTGTATCTGTGGAGCATATCTGTGGGGATGGGTTATAGAACCAATCTCTGATGGATATCAGAGGATGACTGTGTAGGGAGAGAAAGCGAAAGAGAGAGTCATCAGTAACAAATAATGGAGAAACTAGAAACCTATTAATGTTTTTCATATGCCCTTCATCTGAATATAGCTACAATGTGTTGACAGCTTCAAGTAAACATACAGAAGAGCTGTATATACAATTCAAGATCAGTGGTTGGATCTTCCTACTAGACCAGTCTGTTGAAAGAAGTTGGTAATTAATGGAGTTTGCACAGGTATGAGAAATCTATAGTAACACCCACAAGCCTAATCTAAACTTAATTGTGGTGAACAAATAATTATTAAACACCTGCATACCCAAACCTTATACCTGAATAAAAAGGCAAGTGTTTTCCACAAATATAGGAAAAGTACAAGAGAAAGGATCTTGTGAAAGAGTGTCATAGAAAGAGAAATAATATATGACCTCCTCCCTCAAAGTTATTTTAATCTAATAGCAGAGGAAAGTATTTATATATAACTATAAGACAAGCTAAATAGGTATCCTTAAAAAGGTATAGTCACAGGAAAATGTTATATCTGAAGTGGTTCATTCTAAAAGTATGCTGAATTCTTAGCGGTAGGTAATAGGACAAGCTAGTTATAGATGAGCCAAAGGCAATATAACTGTTCTTTTGACTCTTGAGAGTGAAAAGCCAAAAGTATGATTTCTAGTTTCCAAAAAGGCATAGTGAACTGGACTAAAAGAAACATCAATTTCCTGGTTGTCAGTTATGGAATGAAAAATCAGAGTGGAAATTTCACTTTTTAAAGGATGTGATAGATTATCACAATCAGCCACAATATTATGTAGCTCCTCCCATTAAGAAGTTAAATCTATATTTGTACCCTTTGAATTTCACCTTGGTCATGTGAATTGTTTTGGCTATTTGAATATTATTAAATATAATACAAGCAGAGACTTTAAAAGTATTTGCACATTAGACCAAGCCCTCTTTTGCTAATTGGAACTCTTCTGTACCTATTGTGAAAGAGCATAGAAAACATAGATAAATCGGACTTCATCAAAATTAAACTTTTGTGCTACAAATGATACCATCAAGTAAGGAAAAATATAGACCACGGAATGGGAAAAAGTATGGGAGAAGATATTTGCAAATCATAACTCCTAGAACTTAATAATACAAAGACAAATAATCAGATTAAAATATGGGCAAAATATTTGAATAGATGTTTCTCAAAAGAATATATACAAGAGGACAATAAGCATGTGAAAAGATGCTTAATATCAGTGGCCATTAGAAAAATGCAAATCAAAACCACAATGAGGTACCACTTCATTACAAATAGAATGGCTATAATCCAAAAGATAAGTGTTGACAAGCATGTGGAAAAATTGAAATCATCATACACTGCTGGTAGGAATGTAAAATGGTGTAGCCACTTTGAAAATAGTCTAAAGCTTCTAAAATGCTTAAACATAGGTTTATAATATGACCCAGCAATTCTATTCCAAGATATAGGCCCAAGAGAAATAAAAAGATATGTTCACACAAAAATTTGTACATGAATGTTTATAATATTCACAGTAGCCAAAAGGTGGAAACAACTCAAATGTTTATCAATGAATGAATTATCAGTATGTTGTAAATCCATTTAACGGAATATCATTCAGCAATAAAAAGAATGAAATGTTAACAGATGCTTAAACTCAGATGGACCTTGAAAACATTATGCTAAGTGAAAGAAGCCAGTCACAAAAGACCACATATAATATGATTCTATTTATATTAAGTATCCAGAATAGGCAAGTGTGTAGAGACATAAAGTATTAATGGTTGCCTAGGACTGGGGTGAATGAGGATTGGGGAGAAATACTTTAAGTGTATCATGGTTCTTTTTAGGATGATAATAATGTTCTAAAATTGATTGTGATAATGATTTCACAACTTTGGGAATACACTAAAAACCATTGAATTGTATAATTTCAGTGGGTAAATTGTTTGGTATGTGAATTATGTCTCAATAAAACTGCTACAAAAGAATCAAAGTGAAGGACATAAAACAATACCTGAGCAACTTGAAAAAAAGTTTTTAAAAATGAAGTACATATTATAAAAATATTAACGATGCCAAAATTAATTTACAAATTTAATGAACTTTCAGTTAGAATACAACTACTGAGAGCTAGAATTCTTAAAATTGGTTAAAAATAATTTAAAAGATTACATAATAAATGTCTGAGTATATCCAATAAAATAGTAGAAAAGGCAAATAGAACTTGCCTTAGTAGCTATAGAATGTATCAGAAAGCCACTATAATTAAAACAGTATAGTATTGCTATAAAATTATGAAATTAGGTTATTTAAAATAATAAAGATATTTGATGCATAGTGTATGCTTACAGGGTTTTGATGAGTGAAAGGTATCACCCATGAATTTTATACTCCGGAGTTTTCATTTATGTGTGAAGGTATTTAAAATAATTTCTTGCATGTACATAGACTTAAGATGTGGAAAACAATTATCGACATATTTCATGTTATTTAAAAGCAATAAAAGTACTCATAGATGAGGATGTTGGAATATAAAAGGATTGAAGAGAGTTTTGAAAATCTAAAAGCAATGGTAAACATGGCTTCAGAATATATTACACTTCTTATGAGTATATTATATTTTTGGAGAGCATATTTAAAATAATAGACACTAGATCATACCAGCTCAAATTAGCAGATAGGAGGATGTGTAAAAATGTTCTCATTTTACATAACTACTGTCTCATTCTAATGCTGATCATCAAGTAAATATAGATTTAGGAATTATTTAAAAATTAAAATTAGGACCTTATATGAATAAATACGTTTCTTTGCCAATATTGCTTTTGTCTTTACACACAATATCTATTACACGTACATTGGTGAACATACAATAATTCTGTCTTTCTAGTCATATATATTCATTGTAGGACTGTAAATAAAACATCCTGTTCTCCTTAGCCAAGGAGTAGTTGTATGTCCCAGACTAGTGAATTCATACCTGAAACACAAAAAAAGGAGAAATCATTTTAAGTTAATTTATTCTATTGGTGGTATCATGATGAATATTCTCTGATACCTGGACCCCTATTTCTTCCCTGGAAGCTACATATTTTTTTTCTGATTCTGGTTCTGTAGCCTTCCTATCAGTCCTATGATCCCACTGATACCTTTCCCAAAAATTGTTTATTCTGTCCAAACTAGTGAGACACAAGTTTTATTGTTTACAGCCAACGAAGGTAACTGATACGATTATCAACACTTAAAACAAGTTTTATAATTTTGAATAGAGGTACAAGTCTAAGAAAAAAAAACACACAGAAAATTAAAAATTCAAAGAAAAATAAAATAGGATGGAAATTTAAATGACATATATAATATCAAATATATATAGTGAAACAATAAATATACCATTATGTACTAAAATAGACTTTGTGTAGGAAAAGTATTAAAGATAAAAAGTCTATGTAGAAGGAGGCCACAGTATGTAAAGTAAATGAGTGAGTCTAGGTATATGTGCAGTAGAAACACATACCTATGTGTATCAGAAGACATAAACAAAAGTGTTCATGGTGGCATTTGATATAATAGTCCCAAACTCAAAAAAGTACACATAACAAAAATATTAGAAAGAGAGCATTTCATATACATGTTCACAATTTCTTCCAAAACCATGAGACAAATATCTATGTTATTGACAACATTGCACATCCTAGAAAGAAAAAGTCATGCATATGCTTATAAAATACATATAAAACATAATTTCATATAAAATACCTGAAATTATACATAATATATTACACAGCATGGTGAGTGTGGTGAAGAAAAATAAAGCAGGGTAAACAAGTGGAGACTATGGTGATGGTGAGGTAGATTACAGAGGGTGGTCCTAGCTGCCCTTGGACAAAAACAAGAAACATGTCAAATTGATGGAGAAAACAAACCACCTGACAGTGCACAAACTGCATCAATGTCTTGGGGTTAGAACATCCTGCAGCAAGGAGAAAGATGAGGAGCAGAAGGGAAAATTCCCAAATTTGTGCAAGCGTCGTAACCTATGATTAGCGTCTTTGGGCTAACTTGTGCTCATTCTAATAGTAAGAAGCACACCCCTGGATGGAGAATTAAGATGCTAATGACACAAGATATAATGTACTATTATGTACCGCCACTGCACATGCAGGCCTGAAAACCACCCGCAACATGCTTAATATTATAGCAGCACTTCTTTCCCGCCTCTGTATAAATAATCATGTAAGACCCCCATAAATGGAGTTTCCCTAGTGCCAGTTGGTGCTGTCTCATTCTCAAGCAGCCCACTCTAACTTCGCTTTCAGAATTTATTTTTGCCTTGCAATAAAGCTTCTTTGCTTACTTTAACTTTGATTTAATTCTCAAATTCTTTTGTGCGGTGAAGACAAGAACCTGAACCGGCTCACCAACAAGAAATGGGGTGTTATTTTATATAAGAAGGTCAGAGGAGGCTACTGTGATAGGATAATACTTGAGCATGTACCTGAGAGACATGAGAGTGACTCACAAAGATTCTTTAGGAAAATGTTGTAGGCAAAAGAATCAAAAGTAAAAATTCCCTGTTTTGCAAACATGATCGATATTTGCATAACAAAACATGGAACATATTATGGTGGGAGGAGACTGACCAACAGTGAGAGTAATAGAATATGTGATAGGAGAAGCAGCTGAGGGCTGTCATCTTTACAGGGCCCTGTAAGCCACTGTAAGTAATTTAGTTTTTACTTTGAGTGAGAGGGCTCATTTTTGGTAGGTTACTAACCTATATCTGTAAAGGATCAATCTGGGACAATATGATGAATAGACTATAAAAAAGCAAGTGTGGATTCATGGAGAAGCATTAAGAGGCTACTGAAAAATAATCTGAATGAGAGAATAATAGTGGTTTTGACTAGGTAGTGTAGGGAGATGATGAGAGTGGTCAGATTATTACAAAGTTATATCTGATTAATTGAATGTGTTATCTGAAAAGGGAAGACAAAGTCAATGACCACTTTAGGGAATTTGACCTGCACAACATGAAGAAGAATGAAGTTGCCTTTAACTACTGAGATGTGTATCATATATATGTATGTATGAAAATGACTTGAAGTATACGTATGTATCACACAGTTACAGTAGTTACATCTATGTGTGGAATTAGAGATTTTTTTCTTTTTGCGTATCTATATTTGGCATTATTTTTATTCAGAAATGCATTGGCTTTTATTGCAGTCATACAAATTACCATGAACTTACTATCTTAAAACAATATAAGTTTATTATCTTCTAGTTCTTTAGGTCAGACATCTGATACTGTTCTGACTGAGCTAAAATCAAGGTCTTGGCATGGCTGTATTCCTTTATGGAGGTTCCGGAAGAGAATCCATTTCTTTGCTATTCCCAGCTTCTGAAGTCCATCCACATTCCTTGAGTTGAGGATCCCTTCCACCTTCTTTACAGCCAGGAATCTAATGTCTCTCTGAACCTTTTTACATTGTCACAAATTTCTCTTTCAGCACAGCAGGAGAAAGTTCTTCACTTTTAAAGATGCATATGATTAGGTGGAGCTAACCTGGATAATATAGGATAATCTACACACCAATATGTTTTTAACCGTAATCACATCTGTAGAGTTTCTTTTTACCATGTAGATAGATATTAACAGGTTCTAAGAATTAGGATGTGGACATATTTGTACAACCATTATTTTGCCTACCACAACAAATGGCCATTTCTGGAAGAAACATGTATGTGAATGAGGCAATATTCAAAATATATTCTTATGCCCAAAACCCATTAATGATTACTGTTTAATTTTTAGCTAAATTCCTTCTAAATTCTAAGCATGCAGACTTTCTCTTCTTTTTCCAATTAAAAATATAATATATGCAAATTTATTCACTCAATATTTATTCAACAGTGCCAGGCCATATGTTTGACAGTGGATATACAAACTACAACCATAGTTTTATAGCATTATATTATAAGCACTTACACTGTTATTAAATAATTTAAAAATATAACTTTCAAAGCATAATAAGAATGTACTAAAATTCATTTAACATTTGTATTAGTCCGTTTTCACACTGCTGATAAAGACATACCTGAGACTGGGCAACTTACAAAAGGGAGAGGTTTAATTGGACTTACAGTCCTGTGTAGCTGGGGAAGCCTCACAATCATGTCACAAGGCAAGGAAGAGCAAGTCACATCTTACATGGATGGCAGCAAGCAAACAGAGAGAGCTTGTGCAGGGGAGCTCCTCTTTTTAAAACCATCAAATCTAGTGAGACTTATTCATTATCAAGAAAACAGTACATGAAAGACTTGCCCCCCATGATTCAATTACCTCCCACTGGGTCCCTCTCACAACATGTGGGAATTCAAGATGAGATTTGGGTGGGGACACAGCCAAACCATATCAACATTGGTCCAATATTGGGCCATAAAGTCAGTATATTATAATTTAACCATAAACATATATGCACTTTTGTGTATTTCCTGATTATCTGCCCAAAAAGTCATCCTAGAAGAGGATCAACCACAAAAAAGTACATAAGCATTTTAAAATATAATTTCAACAATGCAAGAGTTTTTGGTGTATTTATATACCAATTTATGTAATCACAGTAACAGGGTACCAGGTATTTTGTCTGTATATATTGATACAAATATGATGTGTATCATTCTCCTTTTCCACTTGACAATCTATCTCAGAGAACTTTCAATTTCAGTACGTATAAATGTAGTTTGTTATTTTTAAATATCGTATAACACTGAATAAAATATATATACCATGTTCAATATGGTGACTGTCAAAGTGTTGGATATTTACACATTTCCTCTTTGTTTGTTATTATAATCTTTTGTTTCAGATTCATAAACTGATTTCCAAAAGGCTGAAGCAATTTAGATGGTAAGTACTATCATATGTTTATGGGGCTGACTATCTCATATACCCTTGCCAATTGTTTTAACATAAATTTATTTTATTATAAACAATGTTGAATATTTCATTGGCTTATGACCATTTATATTTCTTTTTTATTAATTATTTATATTTCTTACCACAAAATAACACTCTTTATATATCAGTTAGTTTGTTAATTTTGACACCTAAAATGATCATGATTGACCCTGCATATTGGTGATCAATAGTGCTAGTGGCTGAGTTGTAATTAGGAAAGTCAAGAATTAACAAAGAGATTATACTTCTGTGCATGAGGACCAGAAAATGAAGAGCTCTGAGATTAGGGATAGACTTCAATGAGAAGGTTTCCACACAGGAATGAATAGTTCAGTTCAGTATGGCTGATATATGGATCTAGTGTATTAGAAATATAATAAATAATCTTAGAAAAGTAGTTAGGGACCATATTGTGGAGAGCCATAAATTCAAGATTGAAAGTCTTTTTCCACCCTATGGTAAATAAAAAGCAGAAAGTGCATTAGAACTGTGCTGTAGAAACATTAATCTCTTCAGTCCTAAATTGGAGTCAGGAAAGGAGTCCTGCTACTAATAAAAAAAAACGAAAACAAATCTGAAGTGGTAGAAGTAAAAAACTTGTTTACTTGCAACTGATTTGATGTGAGAAGTGGGGTGAGGTGTGAAAAAAATCAAAAATGATTATAAGGGTTGGTGTGAGGACGATGACAATAAAATCAGTTAAAAAAAATGGTAAGGGAAATCGTGAGCTACAGCAAAGCAAAGTAGTTAAGGCCAAGAACTGTAGCACTAGATTGCTCAATCTAAAATCCTGGCTCTACTATTTGCCAGCTGTGTGATCACAGCCACTAAAACTTTCTGTGGCTCCGTTTTTCCATCTCTAAAATAGGAATGATTTTAAGAAATAGTATCTTCAGAAGGTTGTTGCAAGAATGTACACCTTAATTTATGTAAAGCACCTAGAACACTGCTTGGCACTTTACTATTATTTACTGGTTTTTAAGGAAAGATGACCTCACTAAAAACTGATGAAGATCTTAACAGATACCTCCATAAAAAATACATATGACAAATAAACACATGAAAACATATTCCACATCATATGTCATCAGGGAAATGCAAAGTAAAACAACAGTGAGATACCACTACACACCTATTAGATTGGCCAAAATTCAGAACACTGACAGCACCAAATGCTGGTGAGGATGGAGACCAACAGGAACTCTCATTCATTGCTGATGGGAATGCAAAATTGTGCAACCACTTAGGAAGACAGTTTGGCAGTTTCCTACCAAAGTAAACATACTCTTATGATATGATCTATCAATCACACTCCTTGATATTTACCCAAAGAGTTGGAAATGTGTATCCACACAAAAACCTGCCCATGGATGTTTATAAGTAGATTTGTCTATGATTACCAGAACTTAGATGCAACCAAGATGTTCTTCAGTAGATGGATGAATAAATAAACTGCCACACATGCATACATTGGAATATTGTCCAAGGCTAAAAATAAATGAGCTATCAAGCCATGAGAAGACATGGAGGAAACCTAAATGTGTAATACTAAGTGAAAGAGGTCAACCTGAAAATGCTACATATTCTATGATTCCCACATATTTTATGATTCTAACATGTGGAAAAGGCAATACTACTGAGATGGTAAAAATATTAGTGGTTTCAAGGAGTTAGAGGGCAGGGAGGGATCAATAGGTAGAGCACAGATAATTTTTAGGGCAGTAAAACTACTCAATATAATACTATGATGGTGGAACCATGTCATAATAAATTTGCCCAAACCCATAGAATTCCCATCACCAAGAGTTGACCCTAATTTAAACTATGTACTCTGGTGATAATGTTGTTTTAATGTAAGTTCATCAATTGTAACAAATGTACCACTGTGATGGGGGATATTGATAATGGTAGAGAGAGTGCATATATGGTACACAGAGTATATGGGAACTCTCTGTACCTTCCACTTAATTTTGCCATGAACCTAAAACTCTAAAAAATATAGTCTATTGGTAAAGCTTTCAATTGTATTTTGAAATTACTTCATTAGTTTTTTCAATTCCAGAAGCTCTGATGAATTCCTTTTTAAAGTGTCTATCTTTTCCTTCATTTCCTTCATTTCCTTCATTTCCCTGATTGCTTTAGAACTTTTTTGTGTTGATTTTCAAACTTCTCCTGGATCTTATTGAGTCCCTAGCAATCTAAGGTGAAAGATCTCTACAAGGAGAACTACAAAACATAGATGATGCAAATGAATGGAAAAATATTTTATGCTCATGGATAAGAAAAATCAATATCATTACAATGGCCATATCGCCAAAGGAATGTACAGATTGAACACTATTTTTATCAAACTACCAATGTCATTTTTCATAGAACTAGAATTAGGAAAAAAACTATTCTAAAATTTATATGAAACCAAAAAAGAGCCTGTATAGCCAAAGGAATCCTGAGCAAAAAAAACAAAGCCAGAGACATCACATTACCAGACTTTACATTACCAAACTATACTATAAGGTTACAGTAAATAAAACAGCATGCTATTGCTACAAAAACAGATACATAGACCAATGACAGAATAGAGAACCTAGAAATAAAGCTGCACACCTACAACCATCTGATGTTTGACAAAGTCCACAAGAATAAATGATGAATAAGGACTCCCTATTCAATAAATTGTGCTGGTATAACTAGCTAGCCATATGCAGAAGAATGAGACTCAACCCCTTCCTTATACCATATACAAAAAATAACTCAAGATGGATTAAATATTTAAATGTAAGAACTGAAACTGTAAGAATCCTCAAAGAAAGCTTAGGAAACACCATTCTGGACCAGCCTGGGGAAATAATTTATTATTAAGTTCTGTAAAGTATTTGCAACCAAAACAAACAATGACAAATGAAACGTAATTAAACTAAACAGCTTCTGCACAGCAAAAGAAACTACCAACAGAGTAAACAGACAACCTACAGAATGGGAGAAAATATTTAAAAACTATGTATCTGACAATGGTCTAATGTCTAGAATTTATAAGGAACTTATACAATTGAACAAGCAAAAGACAAAAAATATAACTGGGGAAATGACACGAACAGACATTTCTCAAAATAAGACATACGAGCAGCCAACAGACATGAAAAAATGCTCAATATCAATAATTATTAGAGATATGTAAATCAAAACCGCAGTAAGATACTACTTCACACCAGTCAGAATGGCTACTATTAAAAGTCAGAAAACAACAGGACCAGTCACGGTGGCTCACGCTTGTAATCACAGCACTTTGGGATGCCAAGGTGGGCAGATCACTTGAGGTCGGGAGTTTGAGACCAGCCTGGCCAACATGGTGAAACCGTGTCTCTATTAAAAATGCAAAAATTTGCCAGGTGTGGCTGCACACGTATGTAATCCCAGATACTCGGGAGGCTGAGGCAGGAGAATCGCTTGAACCTGGGAGGTGGAGGTTACAGCAAGCCGAGATCATGCCACTGCACTCCAGCCTGGGCAAAAGAGTGAGTCTCCATCTCAACAACAACAACAAAACAGATGTTGGTGAGACTGCAGAGAAAAGGGAATGCTTTTATGCTATTAGCGAAAACATAAATTATTTCAGTCACTGTGAAAAGCAATTTGGATATTTCTCAAAGAACTTAAAACAGACCTACCATTCAACCCAGCAATCCCATTATTGGGTATATATCCATAAGAAAACAAATTGTTCTACAAAAAGCACACATTTACTCGCATGTTCATTGTCACACTTTTCACAAAAGCAAACACGTACAATCAACCTGTCCATGATGGTGGACTGGATAAAGAAAATGTGGTACATATACACCATGGAATGCTATGCAGCCATAAAAATAATAAAATCATGTCCTTTGCAGAAACATGGATGCAGTTGGGGGCTGTTATATTAAGCACAGGAACAGAAAACCAAATACCACATGTTCTTACTTATAAGTGGGAGGTAAACATTGAGTACTCATGGATATAAAGATGGCAACAATAGAAATGAGGATTACAAGGCAGGGGCAAGGGTTGAAAAACTATCTATTGGGTACTATGTTCAGTACCTGGGTGGTGGGATCATACATAACCACACCTCAGCATTATGCAATATAGGCAATATACCGGAGTAACAAACCTACACATGTACCCCCTGAATAGAAAATAAAAGTTGAAAAAATGTATTTAAAAAAAAGACAAAAATCAAAGATGACATTTTAAGTTTTAAAATGTTGAGTTTATTAATTATTCAGTTATGAGGAGTTAAAAATGGTTTCCAAAGCTCAAATTATAAGAAGGGCTTGATATACAATTTGGGGTCAATTTTATAGGTATAACTGAAGCACTCTAGCAGTGAATGGAATAAACACAGGAAAAGAAAGAAAAAGTAAAGAGGGGCAAAGTGAGAAAAGGGTAAAGTTGAGAGAGTATTTAAATTTATGAAGTCAAAGACCATGGAGAAGAAGACACCGACAAAGATCAGTAAAATTGTTAAGAAAACTAATAGGATGATGAAGACTCAGACAAACAAGAGAAAAATTTTACAAGAAAAGGTCAGACAACAGTATGAATGGCTGCAGAGAGCATGGGCTTTTTTTTTTTTTTTTTTTATATTTTGGAAGCCCTTGAGTTTTCAGAGCTTCTATCCACATGCAAGAATCTCTTCTGGAGACCTGATCAAGCCTACTTTAAACTGGATTTCCATTTCAATGAAGTTCACTACCAAGACGTTTTTATCTCCCCTGAGGGTTACAGCAACTAGCAAAGTTCTCCTGGGTAGATGTGACCATGATCTATATCTGCTTACAAAAATGAGGAGGAAATACAGCCATCCTTGTACTATTTGGATTATAAAAATGCTGTGTTATGGTTTTACTGAAAGTGGCTCTCCAAGTTCAGAAAGATAATTCATTCCTCCTCTTGGTCCTAGGGAATAGACTGCCACTAGAACTTAGAGAGTTATCAGAATAGATGACAGGTGCAAACATAAATGTTAAGGGGAAAAGAATGCATTAAATCTCTTGTGAAAATAATCCAATGAAAAGTTCAATTATTCAGGATGAATTTTTTGAATTTCTCCTTCTGTAGTTGGGCATTAGAGCAGGAATGGATAAAATCAGAAAAGATAGTCGGTATAGGAAATTCTTAGTATAAGCTAATTCATTACAATTTCAGGGGCCTTTAACACCTCACTAACAGCTTGCCTGAAGGTTAGCATTTACTGTTTTGAACTGCCAACATCTTGCTTTTATGGGAAACATTTATATGCTAAATTGTCTATTATGTTAAGCTGTAAGTTGTCATTCAGCAGCATCGGAAATAAGATTTGACTATAAGTAGTTCTATTTTATTAGTGCTATGCCAGACTTCCTAATAGCTCAAAATTCCTAAAGGCTGAAATTGATTGCATCTTTTTCAGAAGGTGCTTGTCTAAAAGAATTTGTTATAAATACTACATTTGCATAGACTTGAAGTTTTCAGAACTGGGTCATCAGGAAAAGTGAAAAAAAATATTTTATTTGATCTTACCCTTAAGCAAATAATAAGTGACACATTTAAGCAATTATATCAAGAAAATAAAAGTACAATCAACTAATGACTATTCTTTTCTTAATGATTTGAGAGTCAATTAGCAGGAAACTCCAGGGAAATGAATGTTGAGTAATAATGTGGTATTAAAAGCATTCTCACATATACAGAGAGTTGCCAGGCATTCCTATGGTTCATTAGAGTTCACAACTCTATTGACCATTGTATAATATAAAAAACTTAACAAAGAAAATTCAATATGTCAAATCTCAATTTGATGTAGAAAGGTAGAAAGAATATTGCTTAAATGCATACATTGAAAAGCAAATTGAGAAATTCTAGTCAGAAATATAATTTCCACACATGGTAGATAGAATAGGTTAAAAATATGTTCCACTTAGGAAACACTATGCCACCCACCATTTTTCCACACTTCTTTCAGAATCTTTTTCTTCTATACTTAAAATGTATTGGCTTTAAAATACAAGGTGAACATAACATTTATAAATCAAGTCATAGCGTTTTAACTAATATTTTGCATTTATGCATCATTGTATAAAGAATTTCATTGCCTTGAAGATCTTTTTTTCCCTTCTATCAAAACCTTTGTATAGATTTTTCCCCCTTACTATTGAAAGCATTAGCTATGTAAGAAAAACTAAATAAAGTAAAACAAATATTTATTGAGCACATAATATGTATCATATACTAGGTCAGCTTCTATTGGGCAGATTGCTCACCACTCTATCATTTGTTTTGTCCCTTTCCATTTTGTCATAGCTATTTAATATAGATTGGATTAACCCTATACCCAGTAACAACAGTGGGAACTTATTTTTTCAAGTAATTTATTTTGCCAATATTACTTGTTCAGTGTGGGTACATAGAAAGTGTCTTTGCAAAGATTTTAACAGTGAAAAAATTATGGCAGTGAAAGAAGGTCTGGACTATCCGACTCCATCTGGCTTCCAACCTCCAAACTTCCCTTGTTCATACCTGGGTGTAGGCCGACTTAAGTTTGGGAGGAATTTAGTTTATAGTTTAACTTTAAAACAAATATAACTGTCCCTACCCAAAACACATGCCCTCCTTACTTGGGGACAAAACTGGCTTTATAAAACCAACAAATTAGCCAGAAGACTAGAAATTATGGCTCAGGAGTCATGCAGCCAGAGGCCACAAGATTCCTAACCTCACGATTTATCCTATAGATAACATTACTATTATAAAATCTAAGATTTGTGTTTAAGGTAGTTTTCAGATCTTGCATTTTGTTGGATAAGTTGGTGTCACTCAGAATGGTAAACTGGCTCATTTGTTGTTTTGTTTTATGCTCCCCACCCTCAGGAACCAACTCAGTGCAAGAGGACAGCTTCAACACCCTATGATTTCATCCCCAACCCAACCAATCAGGATTCCCCATTTTCTAGCCCCCTGCCCACCAAACTTTGAATTTTCGGGCAGGATTATTTGAGTAATAATAAAACTCTGGTCTCTCAGCTAGCTCAACTATTTCTCTATTGCAATTTCCCTTTCTTGGTTATCAGCTTTATCTGAGCAGTGGGGAAGGTAAGCCCATTGGGTGATTACAGTATGTATTGGTTCATTTTCATACTGCTATAAAGAACTGCCTGAGACTAAGTAATTTATGAAGCAAAGAGGTTTAATTGACTCACAGTTCAGTATGGCTGGGGAAGCCTCAGGAAACTTACAATCATGGCAGGAGGTGAAGGAGAAGCAAGGCACCTTCTTCACAAGGCAGTAGGAAGGAGAAGTGCTGAGCGAAGGGGGAAGAGCCCCTTATAAAACCATCAGATCTCGTAAGAACTCACTCACTATCACAAGAACAGCATGGGGGAAACTGCCCCTATGATTCAATTACCTCCACCTGGTTTCACCCTTGACATGTGGGGATTATGGAGATTATAATTCAAGATATGATTCAGGTGAGGCACAAAGCCTAACCATATCACAACGTGACTGAGAAAATCTAATCATAAGACTTTTTGTTCATTATTTGGAGGAGAGGTGCCCTCATCTTTCATAAGAAAGCATGTAGACCTGGGGGCTGCTGTCTGACACCTCACTGCAATGAGAGTAGTCAGCCTGAGAATAAAGCCCACATGAGAGAAGGGAAGAGCCAAGAGAATTAAGAAAAACCTAGCTACAATCCTGGTAGTATCACACATCTCTGGATCCAACCAACCCTGCATCCCGTCCTAACTCTAAACCCATATATAATAATTACTTTTAAAATAATTTTGAATTGCACTTTTATGACTTGTAAACCAAAGAAACTACCCTTCTCTTTGCGTCTCAGTCTTTCATTTGCTATTAATCTAACAGCATTTTAATGCCATTTCACATATCTTTAGATAATATTAATAGAAAGACAACAGTATTTTCAAGAAACACAAATAGAGAGAATCACCTGGTAGCAGTTATAGAATATTAGAAAAATTTACTTGTTAACCTGAAAATTATAAAGTTAAATAATTAGAATATTATCTGATTACAAAACTTACTTATGGAATCATGCACCCAGAAAGTTGCCAAGTGAGATTCCTGAAAGAACTGCTATATCAGACACATACAATGATAGAGACATTGGATAATAGAATTGCAGAGATTCAAAGACATGACACCTGAGCATCCTTGCTCTTTTTCCTTTGTTCCAGTAATATCTGGTCTTATTTCTTCTCTCGCACTTACCCCATTTAGTTGTTTTTCCTCCACTTATCTATGAGCTCCTCAAGGTAAAGTCCGTCATATTTTGCTTTATGTTTTCAACAGTGACCACAATATATTGCACATGGTAGACCCGTGGAAGTGTTTTTGAATGGTTAAATGAATGAAGGTGCATTAACAGAGTAATGTGAACATTCAGAGAAGTGAGAACTCCCAAGTACTAGATTGAACCTAGAAAGCATCCTATTTCTCATCATCACTCAGTACAGTGCTTATAAAAAAACTAGTTTGAGCAACCTATTTTGGAAAAGTTTTATAAACAAATATTTAATTGCTCACTAATAGGCCCAGGGGTTAAACATCTAAGAACTATATATTATTTTTAAAAGATAATTCTTGTTTCCTTTCAAAATACACTTATTTATATCATAGAAATAGAAATACATAACAGACAATTTGAGAAACAAAAACAAGTCACTCATAATAAAATCACCCAAACATAGCCACTGATATTATGGAAATCATAGTGCACTTGTGCTTTTATAGGCTGTTTTTTTTTCTAATTTTATTTTGTATAATAAGCACTATTCTGTTTTGCAATATAGCCTACAAAACTGTGTTTTTAATAATTAAAAATAGTATGTCCAGTGAATGTACAAAAAAAATTTATGTAGTGATACTCTATGTTGTTAAAGACTCAAATGCTTTCCAATTGGTCTTACTATAAATAATACTGTGATGAACAACCTCATCCATATGATAGTTTGATAAATAATGCCATAGGTTGTACTGTCAGATTGAAAGTATTAAGCATTCTAGGATTCCAAATATACATAGTTCCAAAATATTTCTAATAATTTACAATGATGTCAGCAATGTATAAGTGCACCTGCTTTGCCACATTTCAGTAAAGCAAATAAACATTTTCAAATATATGCTAATGTAATTGGTGAAAAGTAAAGACACTACATTATCATTTTAATTAACTTTTTTCTAGTAGAGTTATTTTTTCCATATATTTTCTCTTTACTGAATTATCTTTAGCTTTTGTAGCAGCCTTTGTTGACAGCCTGGAAATACCTTTTCACAGCTACTGCCTGTGCTGCTAACAACTCTTATTTATAACCCTAACTAGAAGATTGTCTTTGAAAGATTGAAGCCAACTCCAGCAGAAGTGACTAAGTTGTGTCTTCCACCCAGATCAGCACTTAATTAGTGGAACAGGAGAACAAAACTCACTCCCTTGCCTCAAAAGATGATGGGGCCAAATGTGAGGTAAAATTTGCATTTCAGATTTCCCTGTGGGATCAGACTGAGGCTGGACTTCATCTGGAAAACACATCTTTGCATAGCCTCTTTTATTTCCCTATACTGCCTCCCTCAATTCCTTATAGGTATCCCCTAAAAGCAGTCCTTAAAAATAATCTCCCATTCCAGCATATGCTTTTAGGGAGCCCAACCTAAATATATATACTTTACATATTTATGTAGTATGAGTTTAGTGTATATTTTTTAGGTCTTAATTTGTTTTTAATCTCCATTCCAGAATTTGGTAAATAGAGTTTTGTTTTCATACAGTATTTTAATAGGAAAGCAGATCTATATGATTCTCTTAACACTTTTGGAATATAAATACTCTTTTTGTTTTTTTTTTTGTTTAAAAATATGAGATTTAATATGGGAAAATACAAAGATTTTAGAAGGATTGGAGAGTCTCATTGTAAATTTGTTATTCCACCACCACACACACACACACACACAAAAAAAAAAACAACAATAAAAACTTTCTTACCCTGAAGCATTGTACAGCATAGTAAATAACATCTAGTCACTCATCTGTTCAGGCCAAAATCTTCAAAGTCATTCTTGCTGCCTTTCTGTAACATTGTATTAGTCCATTCTCTCATTGCTATAAAAAATGAAACTGGGTAATTTATGAAGAAAAGAGGTTTAATTGGGTCACGGTTCTGCAGGCAGGAAGCATGGCTTGGAAGGCCCCCAAAAACTTACCATCATGGTGGAAGGTGAAGATGAAAGAGGTACATCATACATTGTCAAAGCAGGAGGAGGGGGTAGAACAGGGATATACTTCTTTAAACAGACAGATATTGTGAAAACTCACTCACTACAAAAAAAATAAACAGCAAGGGGCATATCCACCCCCATGATCCAATCACCTCTCACTCAGCCCCTCCTTCAACATTATGATTAAAATTTGACATGAGATTTGGACAGGAACACAGGCACAAACCCTATCATTCCACCCCTGGTTCTCCCCAAATCTCATGTCCTTCTCACATTTCAAAACACAATTATGCCTTCCCAACAGTCCCCCAAAGTCTTAACTTATTCCAGCATTAACTCAAATGTCCAAAGTCTAAAGTCTTAACTGAGACAAAGCAAGTCCCTTCAGCCTATGAGCCTCTAAAATCAAAAGCAACTTAGCTACTTCCTAGATACAATGGGGGTACAGGCATTGGGTAAATACACCTATTCCAAAAGGGACAAATTGGCCAAAACAAAGGGGCTACAGGTTCCATGCAAGTCTGAAACCCAGCAGGGCAATCATCAAATCTTAAAACTCCAAAATGATCTCCTTTAACTCCATGTCTCACATCCAGGACACACTAATTCAAGGCATGGGCTCTCAAAGCCTTGGACATCTCCACTTCTGTGGCTCTTCAGGGTAAAGCCACTTTGGTTGGTTTCTTGGGCTGGCATTGAGTGTCTGTGGCTTTTTCAGGTGCACAGTGCAAGCTGTTGGCAGTTCTACCATTCTGAGGTCTGGAAGATGGTTGCCCTCTTCTCATAGCTCCACTAGGCAGTGCTCCAGTGGGGACTCTATGTGTGGGCTCCAATCCCACATTTCCTCTTCACACTGCTCTAGTAGAGGTTCTCCATGAGGGCTCTGCCCCTTCAGCAGACTTCTGCCTGGACATCCGGGCATTTCTATACATCCTCTGAAATCTAGGCAGTGGCTTCCAAGCCTTAACTTTTGCCCTCTGTGCACCCACAGGTTTAACGTCACGTGAAAGCCATCAAGGCTTATGGCTTGCACCCTCTAAAGCAGTGGCTTGGATGTACCTGGAGCCCTTTGAGCCACAGCTGGAGCTGAAGGAACTGGGATAGAGGCAGCAGTGCCCCAAGGTTGTGCAATGCAGAAGAGCATTGGGCCTGGCCCACAAAACCAATGTTTCCTCTTAGGCCTTTGGGCCTAAGATGGCAGGGGCTGCCAGGAAGGTTTCTGAAGTTCCTTCAAGGTATTTTCCCCATTGTCTTTGCTATTATTATTCAGCTCCTCTTTACTTATGTAAATTTCCCTAGCAGGCTTAAATTATTCCCCAAAAAATGAATTTCCCTCTCTGACAATTTGTTCAAACTGCAAATTTTCCAAACTTTTATGTTGTACTTCCCTTTTAAATATATGTTCCAGTTTCAGATCATTTCATTGCTAAGGCATATGAGCACATGTTGTTAGAAGCTGCCAGTCACTTCTTGAACACTTTGCAGCTTGGAAATTTCTTTTGCCAGATACTATAAATCATCTCTGTCAACTTCAAAGTTCCACGGATACCTAGAGCAGGGGCACGATGCTTCCAGGCTCTTTGCTAAAGCATAGAAAGGATGACTTTTAGTCCAGTTCCCAATATAATCCTCGTCTTAATCTGAGACCACTTAAGCCTGGACTTGTTTGTCCATATCATTATCAGCATTTTGGTCACAACAATTTAATAAGTCTCAAGGAAGTTCCAAATTTTCCTCATTTTTCTATCTTCTTCTGAGCCCTCCAAACTGTTTCAACCTCTGTCCATTACTAGGTTCCAAAGTGGCCTCTGCATTTTCAGGTATCTTTATAGGAATGCCTGACTTTCTGCCTCTGATTTTCTGTATTGAGCAATGTGAGTCCATTCTTGCTTTGCTATAAGAAACTGAGACCAGGTAATTTATAAAGAAAAGAGATTTAATTGGCTCATGGTTCTTTAGGCTGTATAGGAAGCATGGCTCGGGATGCCTCAGGGAACTTAAAATCATGGCAGAAGGTGAAGATGAAGGAGACATGTCTTACATGGCCAAAGCGGGAGAAAGAGGGAGCAGGAGGAAGTGCTACAAACTTTTAAACAACCAGATCTCATGAGAACTCACTCACTGTCATGAGAACAGCAAGGAGAAAAGAGACTCCAATGATTCAATCATCTCCCACTAGGCCCCTCTACCAACTTTAGGATTACAAATCTACATGAGATTTGGGTGGAGACCTAGACCCAAACCATATCACACACCTAATATCAAATCCATCAGCCACTATTTCTAGCATCTGTTAACCATCTTTCTACCCTCTCGGCCCATGAGTTCAATTATTTTTATTTTTAAATCCCACAAATAAGTGAGAACATGAGATGATTTTCTTTCCATGCCTGTCTTACTCAACTTAACATAATTATCTCTAGATCCATCCATGTTCTCACAAATGCCTGAATCTCATTTTTTATGCACCATTTTTTATAAGTTCCCCATTTTACTATCCATTAATCTTTTGATGGCACTTAGGTTGCTTCCAAATCTTGGCTATTGTGAACGGTACTGCAACAAACATGTGAATGCAGATATCTCTTTTACATATTGATTTTCCTTATTTTTGGATGTATGCCCAGCAGTAAGATTGCTGGATCATATGGTAGCTCTATTTTTAGTTTTTTGTGGAACCTCCATGCTGTTTCTTTATAGTGGCTGTGGTAACTTACATTCCAATCAACAGTGTATGAGGATTCTCTTTTCTCCACATCCTTGCCAGCATTTGTTACTGCCTGTCTTTTGAATATAAGCCATTTTACCTGGGGTGAAATGATACCTCATTGTAGTTTTCATTTGCATTTTTCTGATGATCAGTGATGGTGAGCACGTTTTCATATGCCTGCATGCCATTTGTATGTCTTCTTCTGAGAAATGTCTATTTAAATCTTTTACTCATTTTTGATTGAATTATTATATATTTTCCCATAAAGCTGTTTGAGTTCCTTTTATATATATGTATGTATATATACAGTATAAAACCAGTATATATATATACTGGTTATGAATCCATTGCCAGTTGGGGAGTTTGCAAATATTTTTTCCCTTTCTATGGGTTGTCTCTTCACTTTGTTGATTATTTCCTTTGCTATGCAGGAGCTTTTTAACTTGATGTCATCCAATTTGTCTACACTTGCTTTGGTTGCTGGTGTTTGTGGTGTATTACTCAGTAAATCTTTGCACAGACTAATGTGTTGGAGAATTTTTCCAAAGTTTTCTTGTAGTAGTTTCAAAGTTTGAGATCTTAAAGTATTTAATCTATTTTAATTTTATTTTTGTATACCATGAGAGATGGGGTTCAAGTTTCCTTCTTCTCCATATGGATGTCCAATTTTCCCAGCACATTTATTGAAGAGAGTATCTTTTCTCCAGCACATGGTCTTGGCACCTTTGTAAAAAATTAGTTTACTGCAGGTTTGTAGATTTGTTTCTGGGTTATCTATTCTGTTCCATTGATCTATGTGTCTGTTTTTATGCCAGTACCATTATGTTTTGGTTACTATAAGCTCTGTAGTATAATTTGAAATCAGGCAATTTGATTCCTCTAGTTTGTTGTTGATGTTGTTTTTTACTTACTTAGCTGTGACTATTCTGAATATTTTGTGACTGCATATAAATTTTAGGATGGTGTTTTCTTTTTCTTGAAGAATGTATTTGGTATTTTGATAGGGGTTGCTTTAAATCTGTAGATGTTTTTGGATAGCATGGACATTTTAATAAAATTGATGCTTCCAATCCAGGAAAATGGAATATTTTTTCATGTCTTTGGTTTCCTATTCAATTTCTTTCATCGGTGTTTTATAGTTTTCATTATCATAGAGATCATTCACATATTTTGTTAATTCCTAGATATTTAATTTTATTTGTGACTATTGTAATTGGGATTACGTTTTATTTTCTCTTTCACAATTTTTACCATTGGCATATAAAAATGCTACTAATTTTTGTACATTGATTTTGTATCCTGAAACTTAACTGAATTTATTAGTTCTAATCATTGTTTTTGTGGAGTCTTTGGGTTTTTCCAAATATAAAATCATAACATCTGCAAACAAGAAAAAATTGACTTCATCTTTTGCAATTTCGATGTCCTTTATATCTTTCTGTTGTCTGATTGCTCTAGCTAGGGGTTCCAGTACTATGTTTAATAACAAGGGTGAAAGTGGGCATCCTTATTGTGTTTCCAATCTAAGAGGAAAGGCTTTCAGTTTTTCCCCATTCAGACTTAAACCATATCAATTTTGAAGGAAAGGCTTTCAATTTTCTCCTACGCAGACCCAAACCATATCATTAGTTATGGTTACAGAAGCATAACTATGGTTCTGTAATATATGACTTTTATTGTGTTGATGTATGTTCCTTCTATCCCCAGTTTTTTGAGAGTTTTTATCATGAAGAGATGCTAAATTTTATCAAATGCTTTTTCAGTATCAATGTTAATGCTAATACAGTTGTTGTCCATCTTTCTGTTCATATGATGTGTCACATTGATTGATTTGCTTGTGTTGAACCATCCGTGCATTCCAGGGATAAACTGGACTTGGTCATGATGAACTATCTTTTTAATGTATTGTTGAATTTGATTTGCTAGCATTTTGTTGAAGATATTTGCATCAATATTCATCAGAGATATTGGCCTACAGTTTTCTTCTTTTATGTATCTTTGGTTTTTGTATCAGAGTAATACTGACCTCGTATAAGGAGTTTGGAAGTATTTCTTCCTCTATTTTTCAGAATCATTTGAGTAGAATTGGTATTATTTTCTAAATGTTTGGTAGAATTCAGTAGTGAAGCCATTGCGTTCCAAGCTTTTCTTTACTAAGAGACTTCTTATTATGGCTTCTATCTTGTATCATGTCATTGGGCTGCTTAGATTTTTTATTTCTTTATGGTTCAATCTGGGTAGGTTTTATGTGTCTAGGAATTAGTGCATTTCTTCTCGATTTCCCAATTCATTGGCATATAGTTGCTCATAGTAGCCACAAATTATCCTTTGAATTTCTGCAGTATCAGTTGTAATATCTTCTTTCTCATCTCTTATTTTATTTGAATCTTACCTTTTTGTCTTTGTCTGGCTAAAGGTTTGTCAATTTTGTTTAGCTTTTCCAAAAATCAGCTTCTTGTTTCATTCATGCTTTGTATTGTTTCCTTCATTTTAAATTCATTTATTTCTGCTTTGATCTTTATTATTTCCTTTCTTCCACTAATTTTGGGTTTGGTTTGGTTTGCTCTTGCTTTTCTAGTTTTTTAAGCTGCATCATTAGGTTATTTACTTAAAGTTTTTCTTCTTTTTTGATGTTTGCACTGATAGCTATGAACTGCCCTCCTAGTACTGCTTTTCCTGCATCCCATAAGGTTTGGTATGCTGTGTTTTCATTATCATTTGTTTCTAGAAATTTTTCTATTTTTTGCTTATTTTCTTCATTGACCCACTGGTCATTCAGGGACATCTTTTTAAATGTCCATTTATTTGCCCAGTTTCTGAATTCTTCTTGGTATTAATTGCTAGTTTTATTTCATGTGGTCAGAGAAGATGCTTGATATTATTTTAATTTGTTTTGAAAGTTTTAAGACTTGCTTTGTGACCTAACATATGGTCTATTCTTCAGAATTATCTAAGTGCTGAGAAAAGAATGTATATTTTGCAGCTGTTAGATAAAACGTTTTGTAAATATGTATTCAATTTTGTAAGTATTAATTGGTCTACAGTGCACGTTAAATCCAATGTTTCTTGGTTGACTTTCTGTTTGAAAGATCTGTCCAATACTGAAAGTGGGGCATTATGGTAATGAGGCCTATCTCTCACTTTAGCTCTAATAATATTTGCATTATGTATCTGGGTGCTCCATTGTTGGGTGCATATATATTTACAATTGTTACATCTTCTTGCAGAATTGACCCCTTTTTCATTATATAGTGAGCTTCTTTGTCGCTGCTTATAGTTTTTGTCTTGAAATTTATTTTGAATTTTTACTATTTTTTTATTTTTAGTAGAGACAGGGTTTCTCACCTTGTTGCCCAGGCATGTCTCAAACTTCTGAGCTCAGACAATCTGCCCGCCTTGGCCTCGCAAAGTGTTAGGATTACAGGTGTGAGCCACCACATCCAGCCATTGAAATCTGTTTTGTCTTATATAAGTAGAGTGACTCCTGCTCTTTTTCGTTTACATTTTCATGAGATATCTTTTTCCATCTCTTTAATTTCAATCTATGTGTGTATTTATAGGTGAAGCATCCTTCTTGTAGGCAAAGTATTAATTGGCCTTGTTTCATAATTCATTCAGCCTGTCTATGTCTTTTGATTGGAGAGTTTATTTTATTTACCTTAAATGCTATTATTGGTAAGGACCAATTTCTGCCACTTTTTGTTTTCTGTTTGTTTCCTGGTCTTCTCTTCCTTCTTTCATTTCTGTCTTCCTTTTGGTAAAATGATTTTCTCTGGTGGTAAGATTTTGTTTCTTGAATTTTATTTTATTTTTGTATCTCTTGTATAGTTTTTGGTTTGAGGTTACCAGGAGACTTGCAAATACTATCTTATAACCCATTATTTTAACCTAATAAATAGTTCATAAAAACAAAAAAGCAAAAATAAAACTAACAAAATGACTACATCTTAACTTTGTCCACCCATTTTTTTAACTTTTTGTTGTTTCTATTTATAAATTATACAAACTTCATGTTTGTATATTGAAAAGTTGTAGTTATTATTTTTCATTGGTTCATTGTTTAGTTTTCTACTTAGCAAAAGAGTAATTAAAACACCACAATTACTGTGTTATAATATTCTGTTTCTCTGTGTACTTACTATCATCAGAGAGTTTTGTACTTGCATGTGATTACTTATTGCTCATTAACATCCTTTTATTTTTTATTGAAGTACTCCCTTTACTGTTTCTTTTTCTTTTTTTTTTTTTTTTTTTTTTTTTTGAGACAGAGTCTTGCTCTGTCGCCCAGGCTGGAGTGCAGTGGTGCAATTTCAGCTCACTGCAAGCTCCACTTCCTGGGTTCACGCCATTCTCCTGCTTCAGCCTCCCCAGTAGCTAGGACTACAGGCGCCCACCACCACGCCCTAATTTTTTGTATTTTTAGTAAAGACGGGGTTTCACCATGTTAGCCAGGATAGTCTCGATCTCCTGGCCTCATGATCCACCTGCCTTGGCCTCCCAAGTGCTGGGATTACAGGCATGAGCCACCGCACCCAGCCTCCCTTTACCATTTCTTTTAGGACAAGTCTAGTGTTGATGAAATCCCTCAGCTTTTGATTGTCTGACAAAGTCTTTATTTCTCCTTCATGTTCAAAGGATATTTTCACCAGATATGTGATTCTAGGGTAGAAGTTTGTTTGTTTGTTTGTTTTTTCCCTTCGGCACTTTACATAGGTCATTGCACTTTCTCCTAGCCTGTAAAGTTTCCAGTAAAAAGTCTGCTGTTAGACATTTTAAAGCTCCGTTGCTTGTTATTTGTAGTTTGTTTTTTCTCTTGTTGCTTTTAGCAAGAGCAAACTTTTGGAAGTTTGATTATTTAACATCCATTGTATGTTATTTCTTTTCTCTTGCTGCGTTTAAGATATTTTCTCTATTCTTGAACTTCAGGGGTTTGGTTATTAAATGTCTTGATATAGTCTTTGTGCTAAATATGCTTGATGTTCTGTAACCTTCTTGCACTTCGATATTAATTTTTTCTAGATTTGGGAAGTTCTCTGCTGTATTCCTTTGAGTAAACTTTGTACTCTTACCTGTTTCTCTCTCTACCTCCTCTGTAAGAACAAGGACTCTTAGATTTGCTCTTTTGAGGTCATTTTTTAGGTCCTACAGGCATGCTTCATTGATTTTTATTATTTTTTCTTTTCTCTCCTCTGTGTATTTTCAAATAGCATGTCTTCAAGCTCACTAATTCTTCTGATTGATGAATTCTGCTATTAAAAGTATCTGATGCTGCTGGGCATGGTGGCTCATGCCTGTAATCTCAGCACTTTGAGAGGCTGAGGCGGGCTGATCACCTGAGGTCAGGAGTTCAAGACCAGCCTGACCAACATGGAGAAAGCCCATCTCTACTAAAAATACAAAATTAGCCAGGCGTGGTGGCACATGCCTGTAATCCCAGCTACTGGGAAGGTTGAGGCAGGAGAATCGCTGGAACCCAGGAGGCAGAGGTTGCGGTGAGCCGAGATCATGCCATTGCTCTCCAGCCTGGGGAACAAGAGTAAAACTCCGTCTCAAAAAAAAAAAAAAAAAAAAATCTAATGCATTCTGCAGTATTCCAGTTGCATTTCTTTTGCTCCAGGGTTTCTTCCTGAGTCTTTGTAATCATTTTAATCCCTTTGTTAAATTTTTCTGATGTAATTCTGAATTCTTTCTTTGTATTATATTGAATATCTTTGCATTTCCTCAAAACTGCTATTTTAAATTCTCTGTCTCAAAGTTCACATATTAGTGTTTTTCCAGGATTAGTCCTTAGTGCCTTATTTCTTTCATATGATGAGGTCATGTTTTCCTGGGTTATCTTGATACTTATAGATCTTCATTTGTATCTGGACGTTGAAGACTTAGGTAATTGTAGTCTTCCCCGTCTGGGATTGTTTGTACTCATCCTTCTTGGGAAGGCTTTTCAGATATTAGGAAGGACTTGGGTGTTTTTATCTAAGCTGTATCTGCTTTAAGGTGTGCCCCAAGCCTATTAACACTGTAGTTCTTCCAGAATTTCAGAGGTATCCTCTTGATGGTCTTGGGCAAGATCTGAGACAATTCTCTGGATTACCAGGCAGAGACTCTTGTTCTCTTCTCTGTCTCTCAAGCAAATGGAGTCTCTCTCTTTTCTGAGCTACCTGAGGCTTGAGGTAGAGTGACACAAGCACCCCATGGCCACCACCACTAAGACTGCACTGGGTCAGATCTGAAGCCAGCATAGCACTCTGTCTCATCAAAGGCCTCCTGTAACCACTCTACTGCCTATGTTTGTTCTAAGCCTTGGGACTCTATAATCAGCAGTACACAAAGTCAGTAAGGTCTGTCTCTTTTCTTTCGGGACAGTGAGTTCCTCCAAGCTCTTGCTGGGTCCAGAGTTGCTGTTTAGGAGGCAACTCCTAACAGCAAGAGTAAAATACCTTAGAAGTCTACCTGGTATTCTATTGTACTGTGGCTGAGGTGGCACTCAAATCACAATATGCAGTCCTTTCCACTCTTCCCTACCCTTTCCAAAGGCAGAGGCACCTCACTCTGTGATCACTGCTACAACAGGCCCATGGGGAGTACGGCCAGACTACCATGAATATTCCCTCAATGCCCAAGGGCTCTTCAGTCAGCTTGTGGTGGATGGTATCTGGCCTGGGACTTACCTTTCAGGGAAGTGGTCTCCCCTCTGGCCCAGGGAATCTCCAGAAATTCCATCCAAGAGCCAAGTCCTGAAATTGCCAATCTCAAGGGTTCACTTGTTACTCTACCCTCCCCACGGCTGAGCTGATACTTGAAGTCAGCAAGTCTCAGAGTCCCACCCAAGGCCCTCAATGTCATACCTTTGTATCACTGCTGGTAATTCAAGGCCAAAAGCTCTTCAATAAGCAGATGATTAATCCTTCCAGGACTGTATTTTTTTTTTTTCTTCAAGGAAGCAAGTTCCCTTCTGGCCCAGGGTATGTCTAGAAATGTTAGTTGGGAGCCTGGAAAGAGGGCCTTATGATTCTGACTGGTTTTCTATCCTGCTGTGCCTGAGTTGGTATCCATGATACAACATCCTCACCACTCTTCCCTCTCCTCTCCTCAGGTGGAAGGAAAAATCACAGACTGGGAGAAAATATTTGGAAGATACATATCCGATAAAGAAATTGTATCCAAAATATACAATGAATTCGTAAAAGTCAATGATTGGAAAACAACCCATTTAAAAATAGGAGAACCTTAAAGTCTTTCCTCTAAGACCTGAGAAAATAATTTTAAACCTCACAAAAGAAGATTTATAGATAGTAAATAAAGACATAGAAAGATGCTTAACATTATTTTCTATTAGGAAAATGCAAATTACAAGAATGAGATATTACTAAACACCTGTTAAAATGACTAAAATACAAAATGTCTAACTATACCGAGTTTTATCAAGGATGTGGAACAACAAGAACTCTCATTCATTCCTGGTAGGAATGCAAATGGTACAGCTACTTTGTAAGACAGTTTGGCAGTTTCTTCAAAATTAATCATAGCCTTACTATACCATTCAGCAATTAAACTCTTAGGTATTTACACAAGTGATTTGAAAATTTATGTCCATAGAAAACCCTGCATGTGAATGCTTATAGTTTTTATTCATGATCACTAAAAACTAGGAGCAACAAAGATGTCATCAATAGATGAGCAGATAAATAAACTTGTACATCCATAGTATATAATACTATTTTCATTGATTAAAAGGAAAAAGCTATTAATTCACTTGCCAATATGGATAAATTTTAAATGTCTCTTGCTAATTGAAAGAAGCCAGTATGAGGAGGCTACATACTGCATGATTCCATTTATATAACAATCTGGAAAATAATAAACAGTAAAGATGGTAAACAGATCAAGAATTGTCAAGGGTTTGAGAAAGGGAACAGGGGTCTAGATGACACACAGGAAATTTTTTTTTTTTTTCAGGATGGTGAAACAGTTTCATATGGTACTCCAGTGGTGAATATATTACACTACACCTTTGTCAAATCCACAGAACTTTACAACAGAAGAATAAACCTTTAAGTATGGAAATTTTAAAACATCAACTAGAAGGGAAGGGTATCCAAGAATAAAATGTAGATTATGACAACAGAACCTAACTGTATTATAAATGTATAATATAACCTCACTGAAACAAGGAAGGGGATAGAGATGCTGACCTGAATAGTTTTGGAAATGAATAGAATCTATAAGACTAAAGACAAAGAAGTGATACATGAGCACTGTACTCTTATTATACCTATGTGGGTATAATAAAATTGAACAAATAAGAAAAATGATTCATGGATGGTGGAGACTAGGTTTTTTCACTGTGGGAGTTAGAGATTACAGATAAGCAAGGAGAGAGGCCAGAATGAACCTTTTAGTACTGATTAGAGTTGGAGATATAAGTATCAATTCATTTTTATTTCAATATAAATACATTTGTGTGTGTGTGTGTGTATGTATATATATATATATATATATATGGAATTATAAACCTGTGTATATACTGGGGTTAGTATATATTAGCACTATCTGTTGAAAGGCCTTAGAAACAATGAGATGCCAGTAACAACAAACACATCTAGTGCCCAGGAGTTGTTGTCTAATTCCATTCTTCAACAAAAAGAACTGAGGATCCTTGGAGAAGAGGATGGAGCTAGGCCTGAGGCAGAAAATATATAGGATTGGCCTGGAGAAGTTTATAGGGCAGGAAAATGAGAGAGATTAAAAAAAATCAAGCCCACAATGATGAAGATTTGTCAAGGAGACACCAGAACCAACCGAAAGAGCTCCTAATGGCCAAAGTTGGGGTAATTTAAGCAATAAAATACACTTCAAGAAAGTGGAGCATAACTCCCCTTCCCTTAAAGTGTGGAACTGGCTTTCTGACTGGAAAAGAAAGGAGGGAAAAGTAACTTTATAGTGGAGAAATTTTCAAAAACTACCTCAACTGTTGATCAAGGTTAGCATCATCAGTATTAAGTCATGTTGGTAGGATTTACCCTTGATATCATATGATTAAAATAGCACTTTACCTCCCAAAACTCATAACCACAATCTAACTATGAGATAAACAGAAGACACCCCAAAATCAAGGGAAATTCTACAAAACACCTGGCCAGTATGCCTTAAAGCTGTTAAGGTTGTAAAAAACCAAAGTAAATCTGAGAAACTGTTATATTCCAGAAGATCCTAAGGAGACATGATGACTAAATTTAGGATGTATCCAGGATGGAACTCTGGAAAATAAACCAAAGAAACCTGAATAAATCATGGAGTTTAGTTAATGATAATACTAATATATATTTGCAATGTTTTAATACATTTGAAAAAAACACTTTTCCACAAACCATATAATAATTTAATTTTACATTTAAAAATAACTTACATAGTATAATTGGATTATTTGCAATACGAAGGATAAATGCTTGAGGTATAGACACCCCATTTCACATGACATGATTATTATGCATTGCATTCCTGTATCAAAACATCTCATTTTATATATATATATATATATATATATATATATATATATATATATATATTTACCCCATACATATACATACCTACTGTGTACCCACTAAAATTAAAATTAAAAAATTTAAGTAAATCATGCTAATCACACCAGGCAAGGTGGCTCATACCTGTAACTGCAGCACTTTGGGAGGCTAAGGCAGGAGGAGGGCTTGAGGCCATGAATGCAAGACCAGTCTGGACAACATACTAAGACCCCATTTCTACAAAAACAATTAGCCAGGCATGGTGACATGCACCTGTACTGCCAGCTAATTAGGAGGCTGAGGTAGGAGAATCACTTGAGTCCTGGTGTTTGAGGCTGCAGTGAGCTATAATCATGGCACGGCACTCCATCCTGAATGACAGAGTGGGACTCCGACTCCACACACACACACACACACACACACACACAAATTGTTTCTTTCTTCATATAATGCAAGGCAAAACAGGAATGGGAAAAATATAGCTTTGAGAAATTATCTATAAATGGAAGTAATTCAGCAGAAGTAGAAACCTAGAGCTTTGATGACTATGAGAACCTAGGTTTTCTAGGAATTCATGGAACTCCTGGAAATAGTTTGACACTTTCATAAGACCTGAAAAGGGATTCAAGTTCATTCTAACTAGATTTTACTGGTCAATGAATCCTTAGTTAATATTTGGGATACAATAAGTTAGGGTACAGAAATATTTTAGGAAGGAGAATCTTTTAAATCATTCATAGAACAGAGAAATTAGAAATAAAACATTATGATTTTATCAGTAAAATTATAACTTACATGGTAAGGCGTATTACACAATAATGTTAAAAGTCTGAGATATGGGTTGTTTATATTAATTCTGTGAATATTAAAGGGGAAATTTGAAATATGTATTTAGTATTAACTTTAAGAAAAACGAAGAAAGAAAGGGCCACAAAATACCACTTACTTCAAAGCAGTCATCCACGGGCACGAGTGAGGTGCAAAAACAGCTGGGGTTGCTCCAAGTCAGGAATATATTTCTGGAAAATGATATCCACCAGGGCTAGGAGTATAAATTTCTAAGGAGACTCTAATGCCTCGTTGAGAGATATTGACATATTCTCTGATAGGTCGACTGTCCTGTGATACTAGTGGATAGAATACTCCTACAGGCCTACCAATGGACATAGTTTCAGATTATCGATTGTAATTCGAGTGATGGCTAACACACCATGACTCTTGTATAAGTACAACCTATATATCTATTAGCAAAGAAGGTCTCTTTCCACTTGCAGAAGTCCCCTTGCACTGGGGATAAATAAGTAGATAGAAACCACATAAACTGGAACTCTTCCCTCACAAGATAACTTCCAGATTTCTAATATTTTGAAATGTGTTTAGCCTAATTTTCCTCAATTTTAAGTGGTAAAACTGCATGAGGATAGAAACTTTAATTTTTTTGATAGCCCTTCTCAAGAAGTGACCAGTTATACACATGCATATCTCTCATAACAAAGATTCTGAATTCGTTTTTGATGTTTGACCATGAAAGCTTCAAAGCTCAACCACTCCATTGTCCTCTTTTTCTCAAAGCTGAGAAAATTAATGAAACAACATGTACATTCTCTAGTTCACTTTTTTGGTGCCAGAGAGAAGTGCGAACCACTCAAACTCTAAAAACCCTCACTCCAGCCAGCCCCACTTCCAAATCATAATAAAAAATAAAGCCACTGGCCCCATCCCTTCACTGAAATCATTTGAACCAACTTTTGTGTCTTCCTTACTCTTCATAGGAAGCCTCTTTATGTTAACGATATGCCTTTTCCTATATCCTCTTGGTGTCTCAATACTTAAACTAAGTTTATTTGGGGAAAAGTTGATCTAATATTTAATGGCAAACCACAAGACATTTATATAACGGAAAGAGAACTCTCACAGAGTATGTACACTTGCTATCTGTGAGACACAAATATTTTCTACTCTACTGTATTCTTAATTATTTCTTTAAAAATGCTTTGGTCCACTTAATTTATTTAAAAATTCTCTAATGGGTTGTGATCCTCTAATGGTACTTTAAAGAAAGTGGTATTTTGTGGTCCTCTCTTCCTCTTCTTTAAGGTTGATACTAAATGCCTATTTCAAATTTCCTCTTTAATATCCACAGTGTTAACATAAACTTCTAAAAAATTTTTTCAGTTTCTAAAACTGACTTATCTCAGGTCATGTAAGTGGAATTATAAAAAAGCTTAGACTAAAACCCAATCTTCTCACTCCCTGCCCAACTGTCTTTTCAGTTATACCATGAGTGTTTTTTGTAGCAGTAAAAAAAAATCTCCTTTGCAAAAAAGCAAGCCATCTGTTAATATGATATAATGTCTACAGGAAAAGAACATCATTCTGATGCTCATATTCAGACTTCCAGTGCTACATTAATATTCTTTTCATGTTTGGGTATAAGTGAGTCTTTAGTAGCTTAAATATATTACAGTCAAATTTACTGGGACATTATGGGTTTGAAAAGGCACCAGCTAGCTGATTTTCAACTCACCATTTTTAACAATAGACACTTGGTATGCAGTAGAATAAAATGTTGACACGAGTTTGAAAACTGGTTCTCCTTTATTAAAAGAATATACATGCTATTTTAGAATTGTTAAGCTGCTCATCAAAGATGAACTGCTGACATTTAAAATATCAAAGTATAACTAATATCGAAGCAAGTTCTACATGCAAAGTCAGCATTAAGAATTATATGTGTTGAGAAAAGTTATAAAATAATACTTTATAGGCGGATTTGTGTGCCTAAGTTTAATATATACTAATGTATGTAAACAACAGTGAACACAAAAAATTAGATCACTATAACTTTTAAAAGACCTTTGCTACTATTATCTGAATACTTCAGGAAATAATTTTTTCCCTTAAGAAACTGTTTGAACTCAATACATGAATTAAATCCAATTCATACGAAGATATGACATCTTTAATTAACTTAAATGAATTCAAATTAAAAAATATGATCTGATTCTTATCCCAGTCATTTCATTTTCTTTGTGCATGCTTCAGACCTAGATAATGAAATACTTTGCTCCATCAGAAGAAATCAACATATGTACACAAAGACATATATAGAAATGTGCATTCAAAATTAGACGGTGTGCTGGTCAGTTTTGAGAACTCAGTGAGGTATGGAGCTTACATTTAACTCAATTCCCTTTTGAGACTTAGGTCAGTATGAATAGGCATAGCCTGCTTTATGATGTTTTCTATGGATAAAGCCCCCTTGTGAATTCAGATCTCCTAGACTCTGATCTCATTTACTGTTCACAGAACTCCTAAGTTTTGAAAAAGAATTAATTAAATCTTATCTCTATCCCCCACTAAATTCTTGGAACCTCAATTTACTTGCCTGGGGAATAGAAATAGTAATGTATAAGAGAGAGAGTTGTAAACATTAAATCAAATGTAATTTTATAGGCCTGGTATTCTATGAGTGTTAATTGCATTGCATTTACTATGATTGTTATCACGACCAAGTTTGGAAAATGTCTGACGGTTTTTGGTAAGCTATGTTCCCTGAAAAAAATGTTTACATCAAGTCTTTATTTAGCCCTCTCATGTCCTTCGTGCCAACTATACAAGATAGCAAAAAACAAGGTAAATTATCAGGGTGTCTGCCACCTGAGAGGATGTGTATTGTGGGCATGGATGATTTTAGTCAGAAATCACCAATGTTAATCGAGCTTAGGAAATAATCATTCTATAGAGTAAAACCTATTCATTAGGTGAGGTGGGAAGGTACCTTGTATATTTTTCAGGAAGAGTTAAGCTCATGATTCTAGAACCAAATATTTCTACTTTTATTCCACAAGAAGTTTTGTGTGTTTGCTGATCTATTGTTAATTTTTCCTCTTCTTTTATCTTGGGCTTTAATTGGATCTTAACTGGACTTTGGCAGTCAATAAATAAAGAAGAGTACAGCAGTTTATCAGTTTGGGTATCCTATGCTTGGTATTCTTCCTGGAATGTAGAAGTTACTGCTCTCCATTAGACAAAGGAATAAGTCAATACTCAGGTTGAAAAGAAAGCTCAGTATTTGACTTTATAAACAAAGTTCTTTTTTAACACAGAAAGAGAAATTCTAATAGAAATCATCTGAATGATTAGTCTTAATCATTGGAAAACACACAAAGCAATATTGCCTTGCCAACTGCTAAAGTACTTAGTACCTAATGTTTTCATTTATTTTAGGAGAAAATTATTCTAAAACAAAAATAAAGGCTGATAATATTTTTGCACTAACATTTTAACCATTTTATAATTCTGCAAATAATTATGAATTATATTTCTTTTAATACATTTTCATCAACCACTATTTTTAACCTACTAGAAAGTTTTAAAAGAAAAATGAATTTCCAAGCATTAATGTGTTTAGCTAGAGGCATAATTTTCTGTAACTTGTTGACAAGATAATTGCATCAGTTGTTGAATCTTTCTGCTTCTGTTTTCTGAATGTTTCAATGTATTCATTTAGGTATTCCAAAGATAAAATATTTTTAAATAACTTTGATTTTATCAGAAACAGTGATAAATTTAAATTCCATGGCTCTTTTAAACTATTAGAAACTACTTATATATTAATAAAAAATGTCAAAAGATGTAGGTTCTTGAGTTGCTTCAAAAATAAGACACTAAACTTAAAAAAGAATTTTACTTTACAGTATATTCTAAAGAACCTCTATTGCTTCTATCAAACAAACTAACTACATTTGAATCTACCGTATTAATTTACCAATAATAATACCATTTTTTCAGTATTTTCACTTTTATCTTGATAATTTCAAGAATCTTCATTTTGATTACTACATTAAATATGATATAGTAGTTAGTAAATAATAACAATTAAGTAATTATTAAACAATAGGCCTTTATTATTACTATTAATGGGAATAGAAAAAATCTCAAATTATCAAAAATTAGTTTCATCTCCCTTTATCAAAAGATGGAATCTAGTTTTAAAGTCTGTGTACCTGGACTGGCTTTTTGACTTGCTTTGACCAACCGAATGAAACAGAATTGATGTGGTGCATTTTCTAAACTTAGGCCTCAGGAGGCCTAATAGCTCCATTCTCTCCTAGAAATGCTGTCACCATTTGACTAAGACCATGTTAGTCTGTTGGGAGATGAGAGATCATGTAGTGAGAGCGGACTGGTAATCCCAGCCTTTCCATCTATGCAAACTGTGGCCTTAGACTGAACACTGACCCCAGCCAACACCTCACAGAGTAGAGATGAACCATCCTGGCTGAGACTAGCTCAAATTGCTGGCCTACAGAGTTGCAAGCAAATGAATGATTATTGTTTTAAGCCATTAATTTTTGAGGTGGTTTTCTATACAGCAATAGTCATCTAATATAGGGATAATAGAAATATATATTACACTACTGGGGATGAATTTAAATATAGATCCTTTTAAAGGAATTTTTACATTATACAGATACACTAGTCATGAGTTTGAGTCTTGGTTCTTCACTCACTACCTGTGTGACCTTGGGCTAATGACAGAACCTCTAAGTCAGGGGTGTCCAATTTTTTGGCTTCCCTGGGCCAAACTGAAAGAAGAATTGTCTTGGGCCACACATAAAATACACTAACATTAATGATAGCTTATGAGCTAAAAAAAGTATTTTAAGAAAGTTTACGAATTTGTGTTGGGCCACATTCAAAGCTGCCCTGAGCTGCATGCAGCCAGCAGGCCCTGGGTGAGACAAGCTTGCTCTGTCTTTCTTCATTTGAAATATGGGGTTCAAAATCATTTTTAAGGTAGTTTTGAAGATTAAATGGACTAATTGATTTAAAGTATGTAACAAACTGCCTGATACCTAAAAAATGCTGAATAAACATGAAGTTATAAACATCTGCATTACCTATAAAATTTCACAGAATGTTAAAAAAAGTTTTTTGTAATGACTGTGTGTAATGAAATGAATGATTTTGTAATGAAATTCGTCATCTAAAAAATTCCTCTGCATAGAAAAATAACAAATTGAGCCTCAATATCATAAAATAATTAGAAGATTTTCATTTGTATCGAGTTAATGACCATGAGTCAATCAGACATATATTTCAGTGTTTTAAATATCATTATTTTAACTTTAGTAGATAAATTATTCTGCATTCACATTTCTGGAAAGCACATGTGGCTTGCCGTTTATCGTGACTCTCTTGATTTTAGCTAATTTAATCAGCAATTTAAAATGATGCATATTAGTAGTCCATTTGCATTCAAAAAATTCTCTTCATTTTATATTATACAAAATTAATGGGGACAAATTACTTACTCATGTGAAGTAAGAACTACTTACTACTTCATATTAGAACTACTACTGTACAACCAAACCCCTTCAAAGAGAAAGAGCCTCTAAGAGTTTGTAAGAGCAAATAAAGATATAGAAAAATTATATTCTATTTTTTCTTAAAAAAAATAAGTGTGTAAATAATTATATATTTTGCCTACTCAGTTGTTCCAATTAAGCCTTTCAAACAGAACTTCTTCAACTAGGTTCTATAGATGAGTTTCAAGAAGTCCTAGCCCATGAAAATTATATGCAACAATTTGTATATAGGTGCAAAATTACATGTATTTGATGGGGATAGAGGAAGAAGACAAAACTTTATCAGATTTCCAGAGGGAGCTATGACTCAATAAAGTTTAAGGGATTGAGGACTAAGAATTTTAAAACTGGTAGACAAGAGATGCGAAAGAAGACTGTTGAAATAATCCAAATAGTAAGTAATAAGGCTGATAATACGTCAGTGGTAGTTGGATGAAAAGGTTAGATTTGAGAAATATTTCTGAAGTAGCTGCTTTATGTCAAGTACCCTAGGAAACAGTCTCTGAGATAGAAATTTGCATTCAAAAGATTGTTGAGGAGAGCTCTTGGAACCAACCCTGTAAGGCCCTGAAGGAAGCAGGACTGGGTAGAAGGCGAAATAAAACTGCAATGCTTTTATAACAGAGACCTCAGCGCATCTTAAAAGCAGCTCTGAGCTTGGTGTGGCCCCTCAGAAATGTGTGGCACTGAGGCAATAGAGCGAGGCCTTTTCATTCCTGCATTGACCTGTGAGAAGATGCAAGCTACCTCTAAGGAAGGGACATGACTTTGGTGAGGTATCTTCTTTTAGCAGAGGGCAATTCCCAGAGAGGGACACAGAGAAAGCCCAGCAGCTGAAAGCCTGAGTGTCATGGTCTTGAAGGGAAATCTAAGTTGCTCATCACATGTCCATTAGGAAATACGTTACTAATATTTTAAAATAAAGACGTCTATTACAATGTGCCAGATCCATTATAGGTAGTATAAATGCAGCAGTAAACAAGAAAAATCATATCCCTACTTACATGCAGTTATGTTCTAGAGTTGGAAAGAAAAAACATAAATAAGTAAACAAGTAAGTAAACAAGATTGTGATAAGTGCTTCAGATAAAACAAACCAAGGCAACGTTCTGGAGAGTTACCTGTAATCTCTTTTTATTAATAGAATCAAAGATGATCTCTAAGGAGGTGATAGGTGAGCTGAGTTGTTAGAGACCAAAAGGAGCTAGACTTGCACATATTTGGCAAATATTTTATGCAGAGAAAAAAAGAAATGCAAATATTCTAAAGAAGTTAAAAACTTTACTACTTTGAGGAACCATGTAGCCAAAGTATACTGTGTGAGGTGAATAGTTGTAATGAGGGTCAAGAAAAAGGCAGAGATCAAATCAGTTAAAACCTTACAAACCACGTGTTACACACTCAGTTCAAGCATTATCCCAAAGCCATGAATTTGTCTGGCATAGCCTTAGCAATGGCTCTTGCTGTTTCTTTCTTTTTCTTTTTTTTTTTTTTTTTCTTTTTTTTTTTTTTTTGAGACAGAGTCTCCCTCTGTCGCCCAGGCCGGAGTGCAATGGCACCATCTCGGCTCATTGCAAGCTCCGCCTCCTGGGTTCACGCCATTCTCCTGCCTCAGCCTCCCGAGTAGCTGGGACTTCAGGTGCCCACCACCACGCCCAGCTAATTTTTTGTATTTTTAGTAGAGGCGGGGTTTCACTGTGTTAGCCAGGATGGTCTCGATCTCCTGACCTCGTGATCCGCCTGCCTCAGCCTCCCAAAGTGCTGGGATTACAGGCGTGAGCCACTGCGCCCGGCCGGCTCTTGCTGTTTCTAAGGTCGTGAAGCCAGGTGTAGTTGCTACAACTTCCACAGCTATGAATCAAACATCACCAGGCATGACATTAATTGGTAATTGTATAGAATATCTTCTAGAAAATAGAAGAGGAGGGAACATTTTCTCGCTGACTTTATGAGGCCGTTATTACCCCGCTACCAAAATCAAACAAAGAAAGTATAAAGAAGAAGAAAACTACAGACCAATATCTGTTATAAATATAAATGCAAAATCTTCAATAAAAATTTACCAAATTGAACACAGTAATTTACAAAATATTTATACACTGTAACCAAAAGGAATTTATTCTAGGTGTCAAGACTGTTTCAAAATATGAAAAGCTGTCCACGTAATGAATAGGTTATGAAAGAATATTATATTATTATATCAATTGACGCACAAAAAGCATTTGACAACACCTAATACCCATTTATGATAAGAATTCTCAGAAAACTAGGAATACCAAGGGAACTTCTTCAACTTGATAAAGAGTATCTAAAAAACATCTACAGGTTACATGATATTTAATGGTGAAAAATCTAGTGCTTTTTCCCTCTAAGATCAGGAAGAACATGATGTCCACTTTTGCCACTCTTGTTCAACATACTACTGGAATTTTTAACCACTGCAATAAAACAAGAAGTAAGAAGTAAAAGACATCCATATTGGAAAGGAAGAAAAAACTCTTCATGGCGATGACATGATCTTGTATATAGAAAATCCTAAGAAATTCAGCAAAATCTATTAGAGCTAATATACCATCCCTATTTGAAGATGGTATGATCATCTACATAGAAAGTGTTAATAATTTTTTTTTAAAAAACTCTTTCCAGTTTTCATCAGGTTGCAGGACACAAGATCAAAACACAAAATGAATGGCATTCTTACAGGCTAGCAAGGAACTTTCCTACATTATTGCTTTACAAAAAAAGACTCTTGAAGGGATGACAATACAAACTACAAATTGAGACACAATATTTGCAATCCATGTATCTATCAAAGATTTGTATCTGGAATTTGTAAGAAAAAAGCCCCTTATCAAAACCTTCATAAGCCAACAGTGAAAAAACAATCAAATAGAAAATTGACAAAATACATACAGACATTTTACTAAAGAGAATAATCAGATGGCAGATAAGTACATGAAAATATATTCAGCATAATTTCCCATTAGGAAAATGTAAATTAGAACCACAACGAGATATCTCTACAGACCTATCATAAAGGTTAAAATAGAAAATAATGACACCACCAAGTGCTAGCAAAGATGCAGAGAAACTGGACCATTCATATATGGCTGGCATAAATGTAGTATGGTACAGTCACTGGTAAGGAATATGGCAGTTTCTTTCAAACTAATTTTGCAAGTACTATGTTACTCAGTAATTGCACTCCAGAGCATTTACCCCAAAGAAATGAAGACTTATGTTCACACAAATACCTGTACATTAATGTTTATTTCTGCTTTATTCATTATAACCCAACACTAAAATCAATCTAGATGTCTTTCTTCTTTTCTTTCTCTTCTTTTTTTGTTTAACTTTTATTTTAAGTTCTGGTTACAGGTGCAGGTTTGTTACATAGGTAAACATGTGTCATGGGGGTTTGTTGTACAGATTATTTCATCACCCAGGTATTAAGCCTAGTACCCGTTAGTTATTTTTTCTGAACCTCCTCTCCTCCCACCCTCCACCATCTAATAGACTCCAGTGTGTGTTGTTCTCCTCTATGTTTCCATGTGTTCTCATAATTTAGCTCCAATTTATAACCAAAAACATGTATTTGGGTTTCTGTTTCTGTGTTGGTTTGCTAAAGTTAATGGCCTTTAGCTCCATCCATATCCCTGCAAATGACATGATCTTGTTTTTTTTATATGGCTGCATAATATTCCATGGTGTATATGTACAACATTTTCTTTACCCACTCTATCATTGATGGGCATTTAGGTTGATTCCATGTCTTTGCTATTGTAAAAGTGCTGTAATAGACATATGTGTGCATCTGTTTTTATAATAGAATGATTTATATTCATTTGGGTATATACCCAGTAACGGTATTGCTGGGTCAAATGGAATTTCTGTCTTTAGGTCTTTGAGGAATCGCCACATTGTCTTCCATAATGGTTGAACTAATTTATACTCCCAGGGTTTGTTACACAGTAAACATGTGTGCCATGGTGATTTGCTGCACAGATCATCCCATCACCTAGGTATTAAGCCCAGCATCCATTAGCTATTCTTCCTGATGCCCTCCCTCACCCATGTCAACCCTCTGACAGGCCCCAGTATGTGTTATTCCCCACCTTGTGTTCACGTGTTCTCATCATTCTGCTCCCACTTATAAGTGAGAACATAGGGTATTTGGTTTTCTGTTCTTGTGTTAGTTTGCTGGGGATAATGGCCTCTAGCTCCATCCATGTCCCTGCAAAGGAGATGATTTCATTCCATTTTATGGCTGCATAGTATTCCATGGTGTATTTGTACCATATTTTCCTTATCCAGTCTATCATTGATGGGCATTTAGGTTGGTTCCATGTCTTTGCTATTGTGAATAGTGCTGCAATGAACATACATGTGCATGTATCTTTATAATAGAATGATTTATATTCCTTTGGGTATGTACCCAGTAATGCGATTCCATCCTTGCCAGCTTTGAAGCAATAAAATATATTTCTTTCAATGGGTGAATGCTTAAACAAATTGTAGTACATGCATACTGTGGAATGCTCTTTAGCAATGAAAATGAACAAATTATTTATGCACACAATAACTTCGATGAATCTCTGGGGAATTACACTGAGTGGGGAAAAAAAAGGCAATCTTAAAAGGTCACATGCTCTATGGTTCCATTTATACAACTTTCTTGAAATATGATTATAGAAATGAAGAACAGATTAGTGGTTGTCAAAAGTCAGGGATGATAAGGGATGAGGCAGACAAAAGGGAGGAGGGTTTGGCTATCCAGGATCAACAAGAGGAAGTCTTGTCTGGGCACGGTGGCTCACGCCTGTATTCCCAGCACTTTGGGAGGCCGAGGCAGGCGGATCACAAGGTCAGGAGATCGAGACCATCCTGTGAATGGTGAAACCCTGTCTCTACTAAAAATACAAAAAATTAGCCAGGTGTGGTGGCGGGCGCCTGTAGTCCCAGCTACTCGGGAGGCTGAGGTGGGAGAATGGTGTGAACCCAGGAGGTGGAGCTTGCAGTGAGCCGAGATTGCGCCACTGCATTCCAGCCTGGGCGACAGAGTGAGACTCTGTCTCAAAAAAAAAAAAAAAAGGCCAGGCGGGGTGGCTCACGCCTGTAATCTCAGCACTTTGGGAGGCCGAGGCAGGTGGATCACGAGGTCAGGAGATCGACACCATCCTGGCTAACACAGTGAAACCCCTTCTCTACTAAAAAATACAAAAAATTAGCTGGGTGTGGTGGCAGGCGCCTGTAGTCCCAGCTACTTGGGAGGCTGAGGCAGGAGAATGGTGTGAACCCGGGAGGCGGAGCTTGCAGTGAGCCGAGATCGCGCCCCTGCACCCCAGCCTGGGCGACAGAGCGAGACTCCGTCTCAAAAAAAACAAAAACAAAAACAAAAACAAACAGACAAAAAAAAAAAAACCCAAGAGGAAGCCTTGTAGTGAGTGAACTGTTATGTATCTTGACTGTGTCAAAGTTAATACTCTGGTTGATATTGTACTGTAGTTTTGTAAATATTACCACCAGGGTAGGATAAAGAGTACATGGGATCTCTGTGTTATATTTTAAGACTGCATGCAATTTATAAGTATCTCATAGTGAAAAGTTGGATTAAAAGTAATAAATACTCTAACTTTCTAACCCATAATTTTCTAACCCATAATTTCCAAAATTTCCTTAGCTAAAAAAAAAAAACTGTTTTTCTGATATGGTCATATAAATATTCCATATAACTAATTTCCTGTAGTTCATATTATCTTTTAAAAAGCTACACTTTATATTATATTTTAGATAATAAAAATGGAATAAAGTCTAGAAAACAAAGACCATTGCCAAAATAACCATACATAATATGCAGACCTGCTAATGCCTAGGTTAATTTTTGAGTCACTATATAGACAACTGAGATTTTGTAGGACTTAGAGAAAGGCTGTGATTTTTAGAAATAGTATGTAATACTGAAAGTGCTGTATCTAATATCACCAACAATTGAGTATAAATAGATAGCTGCATTACAGTTAATCTATCATAAATGTTTTATTTATCCTTATATGCATGTATCATGTTACTTAGACTGTTTGAATATTTTTGTTATTCAGGGGGTTTTATTTATAATGACATTATGCATAGAACAGTGTGATTTGTATAATAATAAAGAAAGTTTGTAAACATTTCCAATTGTACTTTAGAATTGTTACTTGATTCCTGTCCCAAGTAAGGACATTTGCAATGGTTAATAAAGAGAGAGGGAGAGGATTTTGGTAACAGCCTATCAGTTTCTGAGTCAAACACTGGAAATATATCTTACTTGCAAATAAAAATGTTAAAGTGAAAGTCTTCAAAAAGAGGGGGAAGAAACTACATTTCACAATGTAAATTATTTAAATATCATAATATGTAATATGGTAAATGATTGATTATCTTTCCCAGAGTGAGTGTCTTTCTCCTCTTCCGTATCTATTTAAAGCCCCTCTTTCTTCAGGTTCATTTTAAGTACCATTTCAAATTTAATCTCCGTCAGGAAAAATAAATTCAACCAACAGTGATAATCATTGTTAACCACATATAGTACCCTTATTGTTTTATCTACATAATAAATATGCTTTTATATATTTATTACTTAGCAGTACAATATGGTATTATTAGCCATTATATTTATCTACTATTTTTTCTTCTAAGTAGTTTGGAAGAGGTCATTTAGGACAGGGATTACGTCAAACAAGTCCTCATCTCTGTAACTATATAGTACGTGAACTTTTCAAAGTGACATGGTTATTAAGTAATCTAGCAAAGATTTGAACACAACTATTTTAATACTAAGTTCTGTACTCTTGACATTGTTTTATGTTCTCCTCTGCTGATATGACTGAACAAACTCATCTAAACATTGACAAATAGGGTTATAGGACTCATTAAATAAATTGTAGTAAATACAATAGGGTTCTAACTTATTTTTGAAAGGAATGAGGGAGACCTATATTTACTGACATAGAAAGACTTTCAAGACATTTGGGATCAATTTAAAAGCCAAGCATAGGGCAATGAGTCTAATATATGTAATATGCTGCAATTTGTGTAAAATAAATGAAAAATCTATGTTCTAATATGTTTGTATACGCATAGGCTACCTCCAGATAAATATATAAGAAACCAACCAAGGAACTGATTTTATTTTTGTTGAATAACTTCTATAAAGCTTGCATTATTTTTTTTACCACATGTATTAGAAGAAAAAGTCCTATGGCATGATGACAATGTTATTTTCTCCTAATGGTAAGAATTTCTTAGGCTAGGAATCACATTTGCGGCAAGAGAGGTTTTTAAAAATGTAAAAACTACTGGGTTGAGGAATATACTTCATCAAATAAAAACTTTTTGTAACATTTTTATGTATAATAATATGTGTATACTATTACTTGAAGGATAATTTAAATCGTAGAGTATAAGTTACAAAGTACTTCCCACCTGCGACTCATAAAAAAATCAAGTTGATTGTTCAACAGAGAGATTATGTCATATGTTTATGAATATGCCAGGACCCAGTGTCATCTGTTAGCTCAATTCCTGTGGAGCTATACATATTTATGAAATCACAAGTAGAAGTTATAAATGTGCAGCACTAAGATTTGCAAAGTAAAATGTGCTGCTGCTTATTCTCACTCATCAAATTCATTATTTATTTACAATATTTATAATTGCTAAATAAAAGAGTACATCATTTAATTTATAAAATATAAAACTATGGGGAAAACTTGATTACTACAGTATTGTGAGCCTACTTGTAGTTATTAAGCAGAAAGCAGAAACTTATATTTCAAAAATCCTCTAAGGCAAGTTTTGAAATCCTTCTATGACTTCTTTCATGGTATAACGGGTTGGTAATATATCTGTTTAGTTGTTCTGCTCCTTATCTGCTGGATTCGGTTGAATTTAACTTTCAGTGTCATTTAAAAATTACATTATTTCCTCTTGGAGCAGGAGTGATTGACTTTGTCTACACTGACTACAGTGATTAGTTTGATCAATGTAGATAGCCAGACCAGCTAATTCATACTTCAAAGGTGTTGATTTGTTCAGATTTGGGAAGACTGCCTGAATTTATCAAATTAGTCAGGTATTATTCAAATAATTGCTTTTCCTAAGACCTGCCCTTTCTGTATCTGACAACATTTTTAGCTCTAATTAATGTACTATTTAAGTTGTTAAGATGCAATTATCTCCTAAAATATTTAATTATTGAGGCAGTGTGACTATGTCAGCTTATAAATGTTCTATCTTGAATAGTAAATGTTACAGTTTCACAATATGTTTACATTAGTTTGATTAGTGCCAAATACTATGGAGAAAGTATTGCTTTAATATAGTCTCATATACCTGTATAAATACGCTGGGTCTGTGTGCAGTAAAAACGTCTATATTTTAATTGCTTGACAATAAGTTTATTATGTTTTTCCTTCAGCACCAGTTCCCCAAAGAAACATCTACACAAAATTCAGAGTAAGAATATTTCCAATGAAAACAAAAAGCTGACTGGGCACCTAATAACTATAAACCTGATGGTAAACAAAAGGTAGCTCTATCTTAAAACTCCTTCAGTCAGAAAATATAAGTAACAGAAAAAAATAGGAAATAATCAAATTGATACATACTATTTCATACCATTTTTATCCTTTTCTAAACATCAATTTCTTAAGATGATACCATAAAAATAATACATGAAAGTATATTAGAGGCATACACTTCTACTTTATTGCAAAGACTGTAATCTCTTTGGCCCTATGGTCCAATACAATATATGGTAGCAGGTATAGAAAGTGCTTAATATGTTTTTACTTGTGGTAAAATACACATAATATACAAATTCACCTTTTAACCATTTGAAGTGTAGCTAGCAGCAGCATGAATTGTATTCACATTGCTGTGAAAACATTGTAAATATCCGTCTCGAGATTTTCTCATCATCCCAAACCGAAGCAACATACCTATTAATAAATAACTCCTCATTCTCCCCTTCCCTCAACCCCTGGTAACCACTATTGTGTACTTTCTGTCTTTATGAATTTGATTATTCCAGGTGCTTAATATAAGTGAAATTGTACAATAATTGTCCTTTTCTGTATAATTTATTTCACTTAGCATAATGTTTTCAAGGTTCATTTATGTTGTAGCATGTTTCAAAATTTCAATTTTTCAAGGCTGAATGATATTCCACTGCAGGTGTATACTAATTTTGATTATCCATTCATTGGTAATGGACATCTGGGTTGTAACCACATTTGGCTATTATAAATAATGTCGCTATGAACATTGATATACAAATATCTCTTCAAGTATCTGCTTTCAATTATTTTGGGTATATGCCAAGAATTGGAATTTCTAAATCATCATATAGCAATGGTACATTAAGTTTTTAAGGAGCTGCCACACTGTTTTCCAAAGCTGCTGCACCATTTTACATTTCCACCAACGGTGCACAGGCTTTCAATTTCTGTGCATACTTATCAACAGTTGTTACTTACGTAGTATTCTTGTTTGTCTGTTTGGTTGTTTTTGTTTGTTTTGTTTTGTTTTAAGAACCATCCTACTGTGTGTGAAGAGTATCTGATAGTCTTTTGTTGTTGTTGTTTGTTTGTTTTTGAGACCGAGTCCTGCTCTGTTGCCCAGGCTGGAGTGCAGTGGTGCGATCTTGGCTCACTGTAAGCTCCGCCTCCCGGGTTCACGCCATTCTCCTGCCTCAGCCTCCCGAGTAGCTGGGATTACAGGCACCTCGCACCACGCCCGGCGAAATTTTTGTATTTTTAGTAGAGATGGGGTTTCACCGTGTTAGCCAGGATGGTCTCGATCTGCAGACCTTGTGATCCGCCCACCTCGGCCTCCCAAAGTGCTGGGATTACAGGCGTGAGCCACCGCGCCAGCCCTGATAGTAGTTTTGGATTTGAATTTCCCTGATGATTAGTGATGTCGGGTATCTTTTCATGTGCTCATTGGCCATTTGTATATCTACTTTGGAGAAATGTCTATTCGAATGCTTTGCCCATTTTTTCAATTGTTTTTGTCGTAGTTCAGTTGTAGAGGTGAGGTTTTTATATACTCATATCCCTTATCAGATATATGATTTGCAAATATATTCTCCCTTTTCACACTTATGTCAGTGTCCTTGGGTGTATAACAGTTTTTAAATTTTGGTGAAGTCCATTTCATCTATTTTTTTCTTTTATTGTCTCTATTTGGTGTCATATTCAAGAAATCTTGCCTAATCCAATGTAATGAAAATATTCTCATATATTTCTATCTAAGAGTTTACTACTTCTAGCTCTTATTTTTAGGACTTTGATCCACTTTGAATTAATTCTTTACATAGTAATTAATTAATCCGACTTCATTTTTTTTGCATATTTATATCCAATTTCCCCAGGGCCACTTATTGAAAAGACTATTCATTTCTTACTAAATTGTCTTGGAATCTTGCCAAAAATCATTTGACTATGAATGTGAAGATTTATTTCTGGGCTCTCTATTCTATGCATTTATGTGTCTGTCTTTAGGATAGTATGACACTATTTTCATTACCATAGCTTTGTAATAAGTTTTGAAATCAGGAAGTGTGGCACCTCCAAATCTCTCTCTCTTTAAAATGATTTCTTGGCTATTCAGAGTCCTTTGAAATTCCACATGAATTTTGGGGTAGATTTTTCTAATTTTGCCGTAGAATGTCATTTGGATTTTTGATTGGGTTTGCATTGAATCTGTACATCTCTTTGGTGGTATTGACATCTTCACAATATTAAATCTGACAACCCATGAACACAAAAGGTCTCTTCATATACTTATAAATTCTTTAATTTCTTCCAGTGATTTTTGTAGTTTTCAGTGTATATGTTTTTGTCTTCTTTATATGGTTAATCCTAAATACTTTACTCTTTTTGGTGCTATTATAAACTGAATTGTTTTTCTAATTTTGTTTTCATAATATTTATTGTGAATGTGTAGAAACAAAACATATTTTTGTGTTAATTTTGTATTCTGCAACTTCGTTTAATTCTCTTATTTGATCCAATAGTATTTTATAGCATCCTCAATATTTTCTATTAAAAAGATCCTGTCTTATACAAACAGAAATAATTTTACTTCTTCAATTTCAATTACGTTTAATTCTTTTTCTTACCTAACTGCCCTGGCTAGAACTTCCAGTTCTATGTTGAATACACCCAGTGAAATCAAGCATTCTTTTTTTAAAATTTTAAGTTCGAGGTTCGTGTGCAGGTTTGTCATATAGGTAAACTCATGTCATTGGGGTTTGTTGTACAGTTTATTTCGTTACCTAGGCACTAAGCCTAGCACCCAATAGTTATTTTTTCTAATCCTCTCTCTCTCCTACCTCTCCACCCTTAAGTAGGCGCCAGTGTCTGCTGTTCTAGTCTTTGTGTCCATGTGTTCTCGTCATTTAGCTCCCACTTACAAGTTAGAACATGAGGTGTTTGGTTTTCTGTTCCTATGTTAGTTTGCTAAGGATAATCTTTCAGAACTTAGATGAAAAGCTTTTAGTCTTTCATTATTGACTATGATGCTAAATATGGATATTTCAAGATATTTCATATATGGCCATTATTTATTGAGGTTGTTTCCTTCTATTCCTAATTTGCTGTGTTTTTATTATAAGGAATGTTTAATTTTGTGAAATGTTTTTCTGCATCAAGACAACCGTTTCTTCTCCTTCATTTTCTTGGAACACTATCATAATACATCACATTTAAGAAAAATTGCACTTTGTCATAGTGTATAATCCTTTTATTATACTTCATAATTTCATTTACTAGTATGTTGTTGAAATTTTTTGCATCAACATTCATTAGGTATAGTAGCCTGTAGTTTTCTTTTATGTAGTGTCTTTGGATTTGGCATTAGGAAAATGTTGGCCTCATAGAATGAGTTAAGAAGTGTTCATTCTCTTTATTATTTTGGAAAGGTTTTAAAAGAATTGCTGTTTATTCATTTACCAATATTTTTAAAAGAATTCATTAATGAAGCCATCTGCTCCAGGGCTTTTTTTGTTGTGAGATTTTTGATTACTGATTCTTCTCCTCATTGTTTATGAATCTGTTCAGATTTTCTGTTTCTTCATGATTCAGTCTTGGCAAGTTGTGTGTTTCAAGGAATTTGTTTATTTCATCTAGGTAATCCAGTTTTTGGTGCACACTTGCTCATAGTACTCTCTTATGATCCTATTAGTTCTGTAAGATTGTTAGAATTATTCCGTTTTTTTTTCTGATTTTAGTAAATTAAGTCATTTTTTTTTTTGTTTTAGTCAATGTAGTCTTTGGCTATAATTTTAAAATTTTGTAGTTCATTTTGAAGAACCAACTTTTGATTTTATTGATTTTTCTTTTTTTTGTATTCTCTGTTTTAGTTAGCTCTGCTATAATCTTTATTATTTGCTTCCTTTTGCTAGCAGTAGGTTTAATTTTTTCTTTTTAAAACATTTTAAGTGGTGTAATTAATTATTTTAGTTAACCTTTTTCTTTTTTTGATGTGTTTCCAGCTATTAATTTTCCTTCTGAGCACTACTTTTGCTGCATTCATATATTTTGGTATGCTGTGTTTTGGATTTAATTTGTTTTAAAATATTGTCTAATTTCTCCTCTGATTTATTCCTTGATCTATTGGTTGTTTAAGGATATGTTGCTTAATTTTTATCTACTTGCCAGTTTTACAGTTTTTCTTCTGTTATTGATTTCTATATTCACTCCATTGTGATTTGAAAAGATAATTTGTATAATTTCAGTCTTTCAGAATTTATCAAGACTTGTTTGGTGGCTTAACATATGGTATATCCTGAAGAGTGTTTCATGAGTAATTAAGAAAAATGCATATTCTACTGTTGTTTGCTGGAGTGTTTGGTAAATGCTTGTTATACCTACATGTATTATAGTGTTGATCAAGTTCTTGTCTTCCTTCCTGATCATCTGTCTTATTTTCTATCAATTATTGAAAGTGGGTTATTGAACTTTCCTACTATTATTGCAGAGCTTTCTGTCTCCCCTTTTCATTCTGTCAATATTTGCTTCACATATTTTGGAGCCCTATTGTTTGATGCATATATACACATACACACATATATGACATTTATTTTTATAGATTCAAGGAGTACATGTGCACGTTTATTACATAAATCAATCACTGATGGATACTTAGGTCAATTTCATTACTTTGCTACTGTGACTAATGCTGTGATAAACACATGAGTACAGGTGTCTTGGATATGATTTTATTTTCCTTTGCGTACTCAGTAGTGGGATGATTGGAATTAATGGTAGGTAGTTCTATTTTTAGTTCTTTGAGAAATTTGTCTTCCATAGACATATTACTTTACATTCCCACCAACAGTGTATACGTGTTTCTTTTTCCCCACATTCTCACCAACATCTGCTATATTTTGACTTTACAAACTCTAGTAACATTTCTATAAACCAATAATATTTATGCTGAGAACTAAATCAATAAGTCAATTTCAATTACAATAGTCACATGACAAAAATTAAATACCTCAAGAAATGTAACCAAGGAAATGAAAGGTATTTACAAGGAAAAATACAAAACACTAATAAAAGAAATCAGAGCTGAAACAAACAAATGAAAAAAAATCACTTGTTCATGGATTGGATAAATCAATGTTATTAAAATGACCATACTGTCTAATGTAATTTACAGATTCAAAGCAACACTTATGGAATTACCAATTTCACTTTTTCACAGAATTAGGAAAAAAAATTCCAAAATTTATATAGAACAAAAAAGATTGCAAATAGCCAGAGCAATCCTAGACAAAAAGAACAACCTGGAATCATCACATTATCTGGCTTCATTATACTGCATGTTTATAGTGACCAAAATCGGCAATGTACTGGTACTGGTCCAGCTACTATGAAAGGTATGAAGATTCCTTAATAAACTAAAAATAGAACTACCATATGATCCAGCAATCCCACTGCTGAGTATTTATGCAAATGAATTGAAATCAATATTTTGAAGGGTTATCTGGATTCCCATATTCACTGCAGTATTATTCACAGCAGACAAGATATGGGATCCACCTAAGTGTCCATCAGTGGAAGAATGGATAAAGAAAATGTGGTATAAGCAAACAAAAGAATGCTATTCAGCCTTAAAAAAAGAAAGCAGTCTTGTAATTTAAGACATTATGCTTGAACCTGGAGGACATTATGCTAAGTGAAATAAGCCAGTCACAGAAAGACAAATACTGAATTATCTCACTTATATATAGAATCTGTAAAACTTGAACTCATAGAAGTAGGGGGTAGAATGATGGTTACCAGAGGCTGGGGAATGGTGGGAGGGAGTTGGGAGTTGATGGTCAGGGGACACAAGGTTTCAGTTAGACAGGAGGCATAAGTTTTTATTTTTATTGCAATAATAATGTATATTTCAAAGTAAATAAGAGTAAATGTCTCATCACAAATAATGATAAGTGAGAAGATAGATATGTTAATTTGCTTGATTTCATCATTCTTCATTCTATAAGTAGATCAAAGCATCACATTGTACCCTGTATATATATACAATTATGATTTGCCTATCAAAAATATATGAATTAATAACAAAAATATATATTTCCATATATAGTGGGTATATCAAATCCATTTAATCTAGTCAAATTGATCTACTCAAATATAATCCAGTAATAAATCTACATGTATGTATATGGAATCCATATAAGTATATAGATATACATATGTATTGTCCATATTAACATAGTATCTGTATATACTTCCACACATATTCCACATATATTTGACACAGAGTGGGTGACAGAAATGAGTTTTACAATTGACCCTATGGTTGGTGGGAATCTACCCACCAACTGGGTCATGTGTTGAATGAAAAAAATAATCTCTTTTTCTTGCCTAAACACATGTTTACAACAGAATGTCAAGTGAGCTTTGAGAAATCTCTACAGCCATAATTTCTGTGCCTGCCTCAGATTAAAACAAACACACTGCCCCAAAAGATTTGTAATTGATGACAAAAATGCAACTACTTAAGTATGTTTGTATAACAAAGCTAGTATTTATAAATAAACATACCTCTGAAAATATTTATCACCTTCCAGCAATTCAAACAGGCCACTGACAAGATGTAATGAAATCACAGTAAAAATTCAGTGAATTATTTTGGTGAAAATTAACACGGAAATTCTAAAGTTCATAAGGAAATTAAAAGGCCCCAAACCCTTTGCTTACCAAATATAATCATTATTTGTGCTTCTGAAACCATATGTTGGATTTCCCTACGTTTAAACTTTGTATAAAACAAATTATGCAGCATGTGGTCACACATGTGGCTTTTTTGTCTCTGTATTATATTAGGAAGATTCTTACATGTTATAGCATACATTTACCTGTTATTAGCAGTGGGGACTGCAGCTTCTTTCACTAATCTTATTTTTGTCTGAAGCTTTGTTTTTTGTTTTGTTTTGTTTTTAACAGATCATGTCTATTTACCTACGTGAAGTAGACTCTGTGACTCACTAGACTTATACTTTCTTTCTCAGAAAACAAGTGAAGGCAGCTTGTTACTTCCCACCCTTCGACACACACATACAATGAGGGTTTGAGAAATGAAGTGTAGGAGCCAGACACAATGGCAGATTACAAATAGAGTTGAGTGGCACAAGAATGGGCTCTATTAAACATACCTTATTCACATCCTCAGATTCTCTTGGCCTCTTGCGTCTCTTGGATTCCCAACTTCTTGATCTGTCTCGACTAGCACCAGATAAAACCAGTTCCTTTCAGTTACTTGGCTTGAGGATAATTAGCCATTAGCCTGCGGTTTCTGGTTCCACTTACCTTTTGTGAATTCAGATTAAATGCAACGCCTTAGGGTTTGGGGTATGTTTTCCTGAATGGCTTCTGAGGAGCTGAATAATGTAACCTGGGAGGTTAGAAAATAGGGGTGACATTTTACCAGTGGAAGATATAAAATGAGGAAAAACCCGGCAGAAAAATTCCATCTCCCTTTTTCATTTCGATGAACTTACAGAGGTATGATTTCTCCCTGAAAACTGTCTGAAAAGAGCCTCTGTGGCTAATCAGTTGTAATTGATAGGAAACCTGCTTCACAGTCTGTTGTGGAGCAGAAGCCAGAATAGAAATTAATCACCTTGCATTACGTTTTACCTTTCCTCGTTTTCATTTCCCCTCACTCAGTGTCTCCGTATAATACTTCCCACATAAGCATTAGCAATTTATCCTTCCCTCAGGCTCTGTTTTCTAGGAAACATAGGCTAAAATAAAGTGTATATGCCAATGAATATATATAGTTTTAACATTTACAAATGAAACAAATGTGCTGTCCACAGAGGTTATGACCATTTTGATTCCCTCTGACAACACATGAGAGTGCTTACTTTGCAAGATTCTAACGGAGTATATGATCACATCTTTAAATTATATTTTCCCCTCTGATCAGAAAAAAAGTGGTATGCTATTGCGGTTTTAATATGCATTTACCTAATCTGTCATATTTCAGATCCATAAATCCATCCAGAGTTTATATGCCATTTGTATTTACTTTTCTGTAAAGTGCTCACTCTCTTGGCTCATTTTTCTACTAGAATTTTCATTTATATATATATACTTTTTAAAATAGAACAGATATTTGTCCTTTGACTGTTATTTTTAGCTAATTTTTTTTTTTTTTTTTTTTTTTTTTTTTTGAGACCGAGTCTCGCTCTGTCTCCCTGCTGGAGTGCAGTGGCGCGATCTCGGCTCACTGCAACCTCTGCCTCCTGGGTTCAAGCGATTCTCACGCCTCAGCCTCCCAAGTAGCTGGGGTTAGAGGTGCATGCCACCACACCCAGCTAATTTTTGTATTTTTAGTAGAGATGGGGTTTCACCATGCTGGCCAGGATGGTCTCTGGATCTCCTGACCTTGTGATCCGCCCGCCTAGGCTTCACAAAGTGCTGGGATTGCAGGCATAAGCCACCGCGCCCGGCCAGCTACCCATATTTTTATGAGTTTATAGTTTGCTCTTTGGTTTTGTATCCGGTGGTTTTGCCATACCAAACTTTGGTTTTAATTTTATTTATTCATAGTATTTGTAATAGTTACCTTTATTTGTCAACTTGACTCCGGTAAAGGACATTCAGATAGTAAAACATTATTTCTGGGTGTGACAGTGTAGGTGTTTCCAGAATAAATTAGCATTTGAATCAGTAGACTGAGTAAACAAGATCTACCCTCACCAATGTTTTGGGCATCATCCAATCCACTGAGGGATTGGATGGAACAAAAAGGTTGAGGAAGATGAATTCATTCTCTCTCTCTCTCTTTTTGAGCTGAGATATCCATCTTCTCCTGCCCATAGATCTCAGAGCTCCTGGTTCTTTGGCCTTTGGATTTTGGACTGTATACAAAACTGCCTAACTTATACCACTGTTCCCCCCATCTCCCCACAAACAGTTTATACGTCTTTAGACTTGGACTGGGAGTTACAGCATCAGTCCCTCTGGTTCTAAGGTCTTTGGACTCAGACTGAATTACAACACAGGCTTTCCTGGTTCTCTAGCTTAGAGACAGCAGATTCTGGAACTTTTTGGTCTACATAAATGTGTGGGCCAATTTCTATAATAAATCTTTGTGTGTGTATCTCCTATTGGTTCTGTTTCTCTGAAGAACCCTGAATAATAACCATAATAAACATTTCTTTTCATTACTTTTAGGTTTTATTTATCATGAATAGAAAAGCATTCTTACATGGAACAGTCATCTATGCATTTACCCTTAGATATAACAATCTCAATTCTAGCATCCCAAAAGTGTTGTGGCAAAAAAAAATGTATTCAAAGACTTTTTATCATAGCCCTATTTTATGTAGACTGTAAAGAACTCAAATATTCATCTAGAGTAACTTAGTTGAGTAAACTATTCATCTACACAATAAATTATTATGGCACTGCAAAAAAATGAATAAGAATTATCTTTATATACTGCTATGCAGTGATCTTTAGGAAATACTATTAGGAGAGAAAAAAAGACAGAGAAGATTGTACATGGTATGCTACTATATATTAAATAAAAGGGGATATGGAGTCATATATATATATATATATATATATATATATGCACACAAACTACCTTATATTAAAAACAAATGGTACACCAATCTGTTTGCAGATGACACAATTGTACCATTGTCTCAGCCCAAATTCTCCTTAAGCTGATAAGCCACTTCAGCAGTCTCAGGATACGTAATCAATGTGCAAAAATCATAAGGATTCCTATGCACCAATAGTAGACAAACAGAGAACCAAATCATGAGTGAACTCCCATTCACTATTGCTACAAAGAGAATAAAATACCTAGAAATGCAACTTAAAAGGGATGTGAAGGATCTCTTCAAGGAGAACTACAAATCACTGCTCAAGGAAATAAGAGAAGACACAAACAAATGGAAAAAACATTCTATGCTCATGGATAGGAAGAACCAATATCATGAAAATGACCATACTGCTCACAGTAATTTATAGATTCAATGCTATCCCCATCAAGCTACCATTGACTTTCTTCACAGTACTGGAAGAAACTACTTTAAATTTCATATGAAACCAAAAAAGAGCCCACAAAGCCAAGACAATCCCAAGCAAAAAGAACAAAGCTGGAAGCATCACACTACCTGGCTTCAAACTATACTACAAGGCTACAGTAACCAAAACAGCATGGTACTGGTACCAAAACAGATATATAGACCAATGGAACAGAACAGAGACCTCAGAGGTAACATCACACATCTAAAACAATCTGATCTTTGACAAACCTGACACAAACAAACAATGGGAAAAGGATTCCCTATTTAATAAATGGTGTTGGGAAAACTGGCTAGCCATATGCAGAAAACAGAAAAAGGACCCCTTAATTACACCTTATACAAAAATTAAATCAAGATGGATTAAAGCCTTAAACATAAGACCTAAAACCATAAAAACTCTAGAAGAAAACCAAGGCAATACCATTCAGGACATAGGCATGGGCAAAGACTTCATGACCAAAACACCAAAAGCAATGGCAACAAAAGTCAAAATTGACAAATGGGATCTAATTAAACTAAAGAGCTTCTGCACAGCAAAAGAAAGTATCATCAGAGTGAACAGGCAACCTACAGAATGGGAGAAAATCTTAGCAATCTATCCATCTAAAAAAGGGCTAATATCCAGAATCTACAAAGAACTTAAATTTACAAGAAAAAAAACAAACAACCCCATCAAAAAGTGAGCAACAAATACGAACAGGCACTTCTCAAAAGAAGACATTTATGCAGCCAACAAATGTATGAAAAACAGCTCATCATCACTGGTCATTAGAGAAATGCAAATCAAAACCACAATGAGATACCATCTCACACCAGTTAGAATGACAATCATTAAAAAGTCAGAAAACAACAGATGCTGGAGAGGATGTGGAGAAATAGGAACACTTTTACACTGTTGGTGGGAGTGTGAATTAGTTCAACCATTGTGGAAGACAGTGTGGCGATTTCTCAAGAATCTAGAACCAGAAATACCATTTGATCCAGTGATCCCATTACTGGGTACACACCCAAAGGATTATAAATCATTCTACTATAAAGACACAAGCACATGTATGTTTACTGTGGCACTGTTCACAATAGCAAAGACTTGGAACCAACCCAAATGTCCATCAATGATAGACTGGATAAACAAAATGTGGCACATATACTCCATGGAATACTATGCAGCCATACAAAAGGATAAGTTCATGTTCTTTGCAGGGACATGGATGAAACTGGAAACCATCATTCTCAGCAAACTAACACAAGAACAGAAAAGCAAACACCACATGTTCTCACTCATAAGTGGGAGTTGAACAATGAGAACACATGGACACAGGGAGGGGAACATCACACCCTGGGGCCTGTCAGAGCATGGGGGGCTGGGGGAGGGATAGCATTAGGAGAAAAACCTAATGTAGATGATGGGTTGATAGGTGCAGCAGACCACCATGGCATGTGTATAACTGTGTAATAAATCTGCACATTCTGCACATGTATCCTGGAACTTAAAGTATAATTAAGAAATAATTATAATAAATAAATAAATGGAAAGTTTAAAAATGTAAGGCTAAACATACATACATATATACACACACAGATATTCCTAGGAATTGCAGATTGTAGGAATATTTAGGGAATATTTTGACTGTATAACTGTGAGAGTATATCTTAATGACAAAAATAACCAAAAGTAAATCTTAATTTTTTAGCAACCAGACTGCTAGTAATAGTGTTGATACTGTTATTCTGAAATGTTAGCTATTGCAAGTGCAAACAATAATTATTTGATGTTGTTAGAGTTTTTGGCTTAAGACATAAAAATAGAATTGAAGAAGTTAAGTAAAACAAACTGAAAATTGTTGTAATTCTAAATTTGAGTTTGAGTTACAGTATGTCTATATGTATGTCATGATGTATTTTTTCTTCAATGATACATATTACTCAAGAAATGATTCTTAAATTTCTTCCATTAAAAATTCGAGAAACATTAACCAATTCAGCATTATCATCTCATAGATTCTGGTCTCTAAATACCATTTTCATTTAAAGAAAGCACCATCTTTGGAAAAATAGTTAATTCCAAGTCTGCTTTAAGAAATGTATAAAATGAGTTTAAAACATGTTTTCATAATGGAAAAGCAGGGAAACTAGTAATTACTATTTGGTCATGTCAAAATGACTTGAGCCAATTTGAAAGGGCTGTAACAATAAATAATGTAAAATTTGAGCATCAAAGAAAAAATGACTGCAATGATTACAGCACATCCAATATGTTAACATGTATGATTTTATAATTATAGTGTTACAATCTTATTGATCAGTTTTGGAGGATTTCAGGGAACCAACCTCTTATTCTGAGATGTGACAAGGGTGGAGAAATCAAGCCTTTATCCCATATCTGTGATACAAAGAGTCCCTCAGCCTTAACAAATAGCTGAGGATGGAAACTTTTTTTCATAGAAGTTTTACAGATAATAAGTGGAGGAATGATAGAATACCACCATTCTTCAATATTTAATAAAATAATAAATCTAGATGATTATGATTTATGGCTATTAAAACTATTGAGTAAAAAGCTGATGAGGGACTTAATATTGGATGGATTAGACCAATAACAGTTCAACCTATGTATCAATCTTAACATCAGGAATTCTTTGCATTCTGGTGAAGTACACCAACTATATCTTCTTCTTGCCAAAAATTCCAACCTGAAACTGATCAAGACTCTAGAAGTAGTTACCTGTTTACAGAAGATACAAAGCACTGAAGATCCAGTTGAACAACATCACAGGAATGTAATCAATAAATTGTAAAATAAAAAGAAACACTTTAGGGTGAATTACCTAGCTGTTTCAATAAGTAAATTCCAAGAGAAAAAATAGGGAGGGGGAAACTAGAGACATGTGAACCAAATGACATTGTCTGGAATCTGATTTGAGCAAATAAATTGTAAAATAGATACATTTATTTTTTAGGTACATTAAAGTTTCAGGGTTGATTTTTTAATAAATACGCATATTTTACACATACAAACTGAACTATTTTGTGGGTGAAATTACATGGTTTCTGATTTTGCTTCAAAATAATCTGTTCTCTGTGTGGTGGGAGATATGATGGGGGTTGGAAGTTGATGGATAATAAACCTGAAACAAGATTGGCTATAGGTTGCAAAGTGCTGAAGCTGAGATGTAGATGCACAGTGGTTTATTATTCTATTCTCTCTACTTTTGTGTATATTAAAATTTTTCATATTAAAACATATTTCAAAATAACATTTCACAGTATCAAGTATTTTTCTTTCATTTTTGCTACTTTTAAAATTGTATATATTTACATTTATATATATTTACATTTAAATTTTTATTCATTTGAAATTTATTTAGTGTTGGAATTGAGGTACAATTTAGCCATTGGAAAAAAGAAGAAATCTTGTCATTTGCAACAACATGGATGGAACTGGAGATCATTATGTTAAGTAAAATAAGCCAGGTGCAGAAAGACAAACATCACATGTTTTCAATTATTTGTAGGATTTAAAATCAAAACAACTGAACTTATGGACATAGAGAGTAGAAAGATGGTTACCAGAGGCTGAGAAAGATAGAGGAGCAGGGGTCAGGATAATATGGGCATGGTTAATGGGTACAAAAAATAGTTAGAAAGAATGAATAAGACATTATTTGATAGCACCACAAGGTGACTATAGTCAATAATAATTTAAATGTATATTTTAAAATAACTAAAACAGTATAAATAGATTGTTTGTAGCAGAAAAGATAAATGCTTGAGAAGTTGGATACCCCATTCTTCATAATGTGTTTATTACACATTGTGTGCCTTTATCAAAACATCTCATGTGCCCCATAAATATATACCCCTACTGGGTACCCCCCAGAATAAAAATAAATTTAAAAGAATTGAGGTAGAGATACAGTTCAACTTTTTTTAAGATGGCAATCCAGTTGTCACCCAAGAGACAGAGATTGGAGCTCTAGTCTACTAAAATTGTCTAGAAACCTCGGGGCAGTTTGTCAGAGAGGAGAGCTGTGCACATAAGGAGCTCTAGAAACCTGTACAGAAGACCTTTTGAGTCTTTGACCTTTTTTTCACTTTTTACTATGTACAAATACATAGTTGTGCAGTGCATGTGCCCAGAGTCCTCAAGGTGAGTAAGAACTTCAACTGAGGAAAGAAGAGATATTTGAGAATAATTACCAGGGAGCCATAAAGTAAGCAATCACTAGAGCTCCCAAAGGGTTGGGAAGTGGTTGATTTTTGACCAGTAAGAATGGAGTTTTTTTTTTTTTTTTAACACTTTGAGAATTCAGTAGATACCTCAAAAGGCCACAATTTATGAGTTAATTTAGTCCTAGAGTAAAGGCCACCCTAGCCTCACCATAATGTATCCTAAAAATAAGCCTCAATGGAGGTTGCCGTGAGCCTAGATGGTGCCACTGCACTCCAGTCTGGGTGACAGAGCAAGACTCTGTCTCAAAAAACAAACAAACAAAGCAAACAAACAAATAGAGCCTCAAAAGGGTACAGGGGATATGCAAGTAATTTAACTTTCTGCCAAAACAAACTTAATACTCGATTAATGACTAAAACCCAGACACTCAACAATATAACAACCATAATGTTTTTCATTTACAATAAAAAAATAACAAAGAGGCAGAAAAAATGTGATCTGAAGAAGAAAATAATTAATCAAAAGAAACTGATCCAGAAATGAAAGAGATAATGCAATTAGCAGATGTGGACTTTAAAATAGCTATTATGAATTTGTTGACTTTTTAAAGGAAAATGTAAGTATAATGAGGATGCAAATAGGGGATTTCACATAAAACTATAAAAAGTACTGGTTGAAACTTCCAGGGACAAAGTATTCAATATCTGACTGTAAAAAACAAAACAAAACAAAAGTGGCTGGATTTAATAACAGATTAAATGTAACAGAATAAAAGATAAACGCACATCAACAGAAATCATCCAAACTAATGTCTAACAAACATTTACCTAGAAAATTCCCAAATGTTTGTATATTAAGCCACAGACTACTAAATAGCACATGGTTCAATGAAGAAATTAAAAGAGAAATTGAGGCCAAGTTTAGGAAAGGAAAGAAACAACCCACCAGTACATTCTTCCTAAAACCCCAAAATTTCTTCTTCGTCTCTCTAGCCAAACTTTTTGTACATCCATTATCTCCCCAATTACATTTATTAATTTGCACATTCAATCAGCAAAAAAAGCCTCAACAGGAGCTTATTCTATATACCAGGTGCCTTCTTCCTTACGATAGTGGTAGAAAAGTTTGTTTTTTTTTAAAACTGAAATTTAGGTGTACTTTAGAGACAGATCATTATCTTTATTAGTATAGAAGAAAGCATCAGCTATTTATTTCCTACGGTTACAATTTGGACAAAAGATGTAAGCTTCAAAGTTCCTAGAGTGAAATTTAATCAATAAGGAGTTTTTTTTTTTTTTATTCCACAGAAATCTAAGCACACTTGTCTTATATTCTTTCTGCAACCCGTATTTTTCCTCTACTGGTTCCAGCATAAAACTAATAAGACGAAGCTTGCAATTCTGAACCCCTTAAGTCCAGTGGGTTTCCACAGAGAAACATCTCTTTGTGAAAATATTCTATATTGTTTACTCAAACGAAGTCTCATGAACTGATCCCAAAGGCAAGATGGGAAAGCACATGATAAAAACTTTACATAAACCCATCGTCTCTTTAAAAATAAACATTCACTTTGGGAGGCTGAGGTGGGTGGATCTTGAGGTCAAGAGATGGAAACCATCCTGGCCAAAATGGTGAAACCCCGTCTCTACTAAAAATACAAAAATTAGCTGGGCATGGTGGTGCATGCCTGTAGTCCCAGCTACTCGGGAGGCTGAGGCAGGAGAATCACTTGAACCTGGGAGGCGGAGGTTGCAGTGAGCCGAGATTGCACCATTGCACTCCAGCCTGGGTAACAGAGCCAGACTCCATTTCAAAAAAATAAAAAATAAATAAATAAACATTCAAGGTCATTTTGTTTGTTTTGTATTTGGATAAAGCACCTTTTGTTTGTGCCTCCACTGTTTTACAATTACATCTTGGATTCGTCTATTTGTGCCACTTCCACAGACAAGTCCATGTGCAGAAGGTTGTCTCAGTAGCAACAGCTTGTGGGAGAGATACAGGTAGACAATATTAATTCAACTTTGCAGTTTACATAACTGTAGTGTTTGCAGTTCACATACATTTGTTCATATGGTCCTCTGATCAACCTTGTGAAGAATCTATTATCTTTTTATTTCACAGTGAAGCAAAAAGTGGCCTGGAAATACTAAATGATTCCCTTCAATGTTATTGGTAGCAAGTGCCAGAGCCTGATCTTGAGTCAAAAAACAGCTGGCATGAAGTTTCTTGCTCTTTTCTTCTACAGTTCACATAGGTTCTGATCTCTCTAAAGTGCAAGAAGCTAGCATCTATTTTGAAATACTTTATACTCATGAAAATGTGGGTGATAAAAATGTAACTTTATCTGGCTTAAGTTCAACATTAAACAATGTATTTTGTAACTATATGAAGCTTACCTTCAAGTTTTAGAACTTTCTTTTATCTAAACTCTCAAACTATCCACATCCAACTTGGACTGTTGTGCTTTTTATTAAAGAAACATTATTATTTTTTATAGGATTAAGACTCTACCTTCTTCATGAGCATGAATTCAGCCTAAAGTAATAATTTTTTTTAAAAATAGTAAATTTATATTCTAAGTTTTACTTATTTGAATTCTGGTTTTAAATTTTCTCAAATTTAATTTTTGAAATAATACTGGGAAGTTCTCCCAATAATCTTACATTCAGGGTTGCTCAAGCCAACATAATCATGGATACATGTTATTATGGTTATTAATAACATCACCATCATCATTATAATTACGATAGCTAAGCATTTATTGAACACTTTCTCCTTCTCATGCGTATTATCTCATATGATCTTCACAACAGTTTAATGAGAAGTTATTCTCATTATTTCCATATGTAAAATGAGAAAACTAAGGCTCAGAGAGTTTAAATAATGTGTCCCAGGTAACATAGCCCCTAGGGTTGGAGGCAGAGTTAGGGCCCAAGCAATTTTTCGCGAAAGCATGTGAGTTTGCCCCCATACTACACTGCTTCTTTTCTATGATACCTGATCTTTTACCTCAGAGTACTTCTACTTTTTTAACTTCAAACCTCTTTGGTTTTTGCCAGCATCATTTAGGCTTTTGCAATACCAATAAAAAAAAATTGTATATTCTTAGTCTTACATGTATTACTCCCTTAGAGTTGCATAACACAGTTTGAGAAATCTTGTGTAACCTCCACTCTTGTTTCACTTGTAATTACAATTACAATGATTTTAAGTTGAAAGAAAAGCTGTATTTGGGTTTGATAAGATAAACATATCTATATATATGCATATAATTTAAATAGATATTTGACACTATACGCAATTGTGGGACCTTGTTGAACAGTTTCTTTTAAGTATATTGATTTTGTATCTGGTGCTGGAGCTTGAAGTCTGCAGAATAGGCAGTTGGGAAGGGGATAAATGTGAAGTGGGAAATAAAAAGAATAAGCCAGATGATATGAAGATGGACTGGATTTCCTGTTGGTCTCTCACTGCTTCTAAATTCAATGATGTTGGTGCCATGCGGAAGATGGTATTTTTCATCAAGGAGTTAAAAACATCTGACCCAGGAGCCAGAGAACCTTGAGGATCCATGGGGAGGAGAAACACCTGAAGGCCTGTTCCTGCCTCCATGCCAAAATGATCAGTCATAAGTGACGACATGTGTGAACGTGGTGCCCCTGCACCAACCTTCCAAGTATAAAAGTAATTTGGCTGCTATTTCATTTCTGCCTTCCAAATCTCACACAAAATGACTCTTGTGACCCTTGATAACTCAGAGCTATACAGGGAATGAAATTCTGAGAAACATAATTCCAACTTAGCAGCTAAGTTGACAATACAGCTCCACTACATATGCTATCCATAGTATAGCAAAGCCCACTGAGAATTAGAACCTAGGTCTCTGTTGACACTGAGCACACTCTGAAACTCTGAAATTCTGGTTATGAGAGATTGCAAGTTACCTTATTATTGAAGTCAAATTGTCTGTTCTTGCAATTGAATGCATCCTGATATAATAATCAGCACATTATTAGGAACATCCACCCTCACAAAGTAGAATGTAAGAGAATGAAACACAGGGAAAGGAGATTTTTGTTTATGAGGAATGATGGAAGATGGAAGATAAATTAGCAAAAATCGACAATATGGAGGCTTTTTTGAAAGCTCTGAAATATCAGTAGTTGAGATAGGGAACCATTAAGGAGAAGTCATATATTTTATGTTTTGGCAGGAAGTCAGCCCAGTTGGCAGAGAAGGAATGTTTTTAATTGTCTCCCTCATGTACATTTGTTTCAGAACAAATATCCTTTGCAATATTATGTTTTTGATTTTTAAAATGCACTTCTCTAGTTCATATTGTAAAACTAGGAAAGAAGCATTAAACATGCATTTTATGGATGGATTCCCGGGGGGAAGTACACACCACACTCAAATCCACTTTAGTGACATTACATGACACAAGCTGAAGTGTTTTACTAAATTAAAATAAAAACAAGGGGCTTTCCTCTTCACTAAATATACTAGAGTGCATGACAATATTCTTTACTACATAAACTTGTCATTTTTCAATATGTGTCTTCTTATTTTCTATCATCACTAAAGCTAAGCTCTGGTTTGAAACTCAGATTCCTATGCCTAACAATAAATTAATACTTTTTAAACACACAAAAAAACCAGAATCCTGCTACACACTGAAGGAAAAACACAACAGTGTTACACTCTGTAAAATCATCAATGTAAAATCAGGTACACTAAATCAGGTACACTAAATCTTGAGTATTCATTTGCCTATGTAGTTTAACAACCAATCTTAAACAATTTTTATGGAACTATTTTGTTTATAGGATAAACTCCAAATTCCTTAGAGATACCTTTTGAGACATGGCTTAGTACCCCTTTCAAACATCCCTAAAACACAGTTTTTCCCAACTACCCTATCTCCTTTGAACACGAGCATGACGCTTATCTTTCTCATTTCATTCTTTTGGCAGAGGATATACCTCTCCTCCACCTAGGAAATGCCAGCTTAGATACTGCTTCCTCTGGGAAGAGAGGTTCTGCATCCATTACCCAAGCAGAATCAATTCTGTTTTCTCTTTTATCTATATTTACGTAGCACTTTGTATCTACCTTGGTTTTGGCATGTAACAGACTCACATTTTCATTGATTGTTTATGTATTTCTTCTCTTGCTAAACTGCAATCTGAACCATTTGAAATCATAGTCATCTTTTCAGAAGTATTTACTAAACTCTCAAGATTTGAAAATGAATATGACATTGTAACAAATCTATGGATAAGGTGTGATGGAGACCTCAAAGGTTGAAACATTATTATTGGTTTTCACCTGGAAGAATGAGAGCACTCTAGATATTACATGGATTTTGAAGAACGAAGAGGAGTGCCCCTCATAGACACATGGGAAAGGTGAAAATTTAGGCCACATGACGAGGCAAAGAAAACAGCTTTGGCAACCATATAATTTTCATCCTCCTTTCTGTAGCATCTCACACAATACCTGGCACAAGTTAATATCTCAACAGATTTTTTTAATGAGTATATAAAGCAACAAAGAAAATCTCAGCAAATTCCCAAAGGTAAAATATTTTACAGATCACATTCTCTAACCAATATCCAGTAAATCGAGAAGTTACACAAAATTATAGCATTTGAATGACCAACAAGATATATTTAACGCACACACACATACACACTTAGAAATTAACAATAATTATTTTAAGCTACTCTTGGTTAAAGTAGTAACCAAAGTGACTATGAAGATAGTAAGGAAAGAAAAAGAGAAAGATATAAGCTAGCCAAATATAAAGTTAGCATACAGGAAATAGCTTTCAATTTACCTATAGTTACCAACCAGAAAATTCACTGCAATACAAAATCCCGTTTACATTAGAAAGAAATCCATATTCTGATATTCGCTGCTCAGCTAGTTCCCACTTTCTTCTGCTAGAGAGCACTTGACGCAAGGTGCTCTAAAAAATTTGGTGCCTTAGTATTATCTCCTGCTAAAGCAACTGTGTTGCAACCACCATTTAGAAATTTTCAGACACAATTGGCATTTCAACCTGCAGAGTTTCAAATCTCAAGACTTTTTGTTAAATTACACATAAGCATCAGCAAGAGATTTTCCTTTAACAGATCTATCTTTCCTTCCTTCCTTCTTTTTTTTCTTCAGAGTCTCTCTCTGTCACCCCAGGCTGGAGTGTGGTGGTGCCATCTCGGCTCACTGCAACGTCCACCTCCCAGGTTCAAGCGATTATCCTGCCTCAGCCTCCCAAGTAGCTGGGACTACGGGCCCACGCCACCATACCCAGCTAATTTTTGTATTTTTAGTAGAGACGGGCTTTCACCATATTAGCCAGGCTGGTCTCAAACTCCTGACCTCATGATCCACTTGCCTTGGCCTCCCAAAGTGCTGGGATTACAGGCATGAGCCACTGCCATCCAGCTTCTTTCTTAACAGAGCTACTTGAGTGCCTAGTTCTAGTGCGAGTTCAACTATGTCAGGCAAGAACTTTGCTAAAAATAGCAAGAAAGAGGCTAGCATACGTAAACATCATGAATTTTTCTTACCATCTCCTTTAATACTACAATGTCAGTTGACACATAGGTCTATTTTCTAACGTAAAGCAGGCAATTATTTAACTAAATGCTTTGTCACTGTCTAACAAGGCTTTCCAGCCTGCTATCTGTATCTGAAATATTAATATGCAGCTCCAGATTTCTTCCATTTAGCAAATTCTATAATTAGGTTCTATTAATTTCAGCATCACACTTACAAGTATAAAATCTGTATCAGACAGAATTGACTCATGCATATAAAGGTATATATATATAAAATATGTATGTGTATCTATAAATTGAAATTGCATCTCATTACTTTGATTTGCATATATATAAAATAACAGTGGCTTAAATAATTTTTTTTTTCTTTCTCAATTAAGAACTCAAGCTGCCCTTGGCTGATATTGTATCCGGAATTGGTTCCTTCCGGTGGGTTCTTGGTCTCACTGACTTCAAGAATGAAGCCCACTGTGAATGTTACAGTTCTTAAAGATGGTGTGTCTGGAGTTTGTTCTTTCGGATGTTCAGATGCGTCCAGAGTTTCTTCCTTCCAGTGGGTTCCTGGTCTAGCTGACTTCAGGAGTGAAGTGGCAGACCTTCCCAGTTAGTGTTACAGCTCTTAAAGGTGGTGCCTCTGGAGTTGTTTGTTCTTCCCGGTACGTTCCTGGTCTCACTGACTTCAGGAATGAAGCCCCAGACTCTTGCAGACCCTTGCTGTGAGTGTTACAGCTCATAAAGGTAGAGCGGACCCAAAGAGCGAGCAGCAGCAAGATTTATGGTGAAGAGCGAAAGAACAAACAATCCACTTCATTTAAGGGGACCAGAGTGGATTGCAGCTGCTGGCTCCAGTGACCAGCTTTTATTCCCTTATTTGGCCCCGCCCAAGACCTGCTGATTGGTCCATTTTACAGAGCACTAATTGGTCCATTTTACAGAGTGCTGATTGGTCCATTTTTACAGAGTGCTGATTGGTGCATTTACAAACCTTTAGCTAGACACAGAGCGCTCTTTAGTGCATTTTTACAGAGTGCTGATTGGTGCATTTACAAACCTTTAGCTAGACACAGAGTGCTGATTGGTGCGTGTATACCGAGTGCTGATTGGTGCATTTACAAACCTCTAGCTCGACAGAAAAGTTCTCCAAGTCTACACTTGACCCAGGAAGTCCAGTTGGCCTCACCTCTCAATATGGTGGCTTCACTCCTGCTACCATTCTACTCTACTAGCTTTAAATCTAGCACTGATCCTCCAGAATGTTTCATATTCTCAAGTGACTGCAGGAGATGCAGTTATCACATGGACTTTCAAGACAGATAAAAGGAAGTAGGAAAAGAAAGGGGGAAAAATATATATATATGTATGAGCAAAGTCAGTGCTTTTTGAGGAGATTTTAAAGAAACCCCAACCAATGACTTCCACTTATTTATCATTGGCCATCCCTAGATGCAAGAGGGATTGGATAAAATAATCCTTTGCTCTTCCTTATATTCTTCTGGAATATAATCAAGATTCTGTGTATTTACATATAAAAAATGAATATTAAATAGTCCCTGATATGGCTTGGATTTGTGTCCCCGTCCATATCTCATGTCAAATTGTAATCTCCAGTGTTAGAGGAGGGGCCTGCTGGGAGGTGACTGGATCGTGGGGGCATATTTCCCTCTTGCTATTGTTGTGATAGTAAGTTCTCATGAGATCTGGTTGTTTAAAAGTGTGTAGCTCCTCCCCCTTTGCTCTCTCTTTCTCCTGGCCCAGCCACGTAGGATGTATCTGCTTCCCCTATGCCTTCTGTCATGACTGTAAGTTTACTGAGGCCTCCCCAGCCATGCTTCCTGTACAGCCTGTGGAACTGTGAGCCAATTAAACTTTTTTTCCCTTATAAATTACTTAGTCTCAGGTAGTTCTTTATAGCAATGTGAGAATGGACCAATACAGTCCCAATTTCGCAGGCTTTACAACAGAGCCTACATTCCAGAATTCAAAAAAGTTAATTGGAGATAAAGATCTGAACTTTATTTAAAAGTCTATACAATTATTAGGACAATATTTAGGATAAATCTTTACAACTTTGTGAGATATAAAAAGGATGATGGGCAAGGTTAATTGCATAAAATTTAAATGAACAACACAAAATAGTCTGTATGTCAAAAGATACTATACACAAATACTTAAAGAATTTTTAGATAACATCTAAAATTTAGATAATGGTCTAAAAATCAACAAGCATTTCAGGTAAGAGAAAACACAAATGGCCGGTAAACATGAAAGATACTCAACCATGCAGTAATTAGGGGAGTGCCAATCAAAGTAATGAGATACAATTTCAAGTCTATCATTTAGAAATAATTAAAATAATACAACAACAATTTGAAAGTTAATATCAAAGTCCAGTATGGCATGAACTAACATGCACTCTTACACATGCTACCTTTCTGGAACATAATTCAGTATCTATCAGAATTCTAAATGCACACACTCACTGGGCAAGCAATTTCAATTATAGATAGCACTTGTAAATGCATACTTGTGCATATATGAAAATATATCTGTATAAGGAGAGGTCAAAACAGCATTGCTTAATTCAGCAGAAATATGAAAACTCCTTACATGTTTATCGACAAGAAAAAAGAAAAATGATAATATTATTTATTAGTTAATTAAAAAAAGAAAAAAGAAAAAAGATTATTTTATAATCTGTAATGCTTAAAATAAAGAAAATGTATTGTATGTACTGACATAAGCATAATTTGAAGTCAATTTGGTAAGAAATAACATCTTTACTATGTTGAGACTGCCAATTCATTAATCAGATATGTTGCTTCATTTATTTAGATCTTATTTTATTAATTGGCCTTTAATAATTTTTAGCATATGGTTTTTAACATGTTAAGTTTTGTATCTAAATATGTTATATTTTGGAGAGATTGCAAATGGTATTATGTCTTAAATTTTTGTTTCCACAAGTTCATTGTTAGTATACAAGTATGGGATTGATTTTTGTGTATTGATCATGTATCCTGCAACCTTGAGGAACTCACTTATTAGTTCCAGGAGACTTGTTTGTTTTTATTGCTTATTTCTTCTGATTTTCTATGTAAATAATAATATCACATGCAGACAGGAACAGTTTTATCTCTCTTTGTAATCTACATGATTTTAATTTTCTTTTCTTGACTCATTGAAGTAGCTAGAACTCCCAGGACTATGTTGAATAAGAGTGATGAGAATAAGCAATTTTACCTTTGTTTCTGATGAACTTAAGGCAAAAGCATTCAGAATGTCAGCATTAAGAATAATGTTAGCTTTAGTCACACACACACACTCTCTCTCTCTCTCTCTCTCTCTCTATATATATATATATACACAGTTGTTCTCTTTTCTCTCACTCTCTCTCTCTCTATATATATATATACACACAGATATATATATCTGTGTGTGTGTGTAAAATTGTATACTTATATCAAGTATAAATTTTTCTCCTCTCCTGATTTGCTGAGTTTGGGTGTTGGATTTTGTCAAATCCTTTTTTCTTCATCAATTAATATGATCATATAATTTGTCCTTGCTAGCCTTTTGATAGGTTGAACTATTTTGATTGAAACACAATTGATATCATTCACAGTGACAGCTTTGCGTATCTGGAATAAAGCTCATGTTGTCATGGCATATTCATCTTTGTATACATTGCTGGGTTTATTTTTATATGTATATATATATTTTTTTTTAGAAATTTTCAACCTGAATTTTAACTAATTCCATCTTTTAAATGTTCCTGAACTATTCATATTTTCTACCTAATCTCGGTTAAGTTCTAGTAGTTTGTGATTTTTAAGGAAGAGGATCTATTTCTTCTAAGATGTTAATTTACAACCATGGAGTTTTCATAGTGCTCCATCTATTATTCTTTTAATGATTATATAATCTCTAGTAAAAGCTCCTACTAAATTCATGATATTGGTGATTTGTATCTCATTTATATTTTATCAGGCTTGTGAGACATTAATTTTTATTTATTTTGTCAAAGACACACATTTTATTTTATTGATTTTCTCTATTGTTTTCCTTCTTTCAGATTTACTGATAACTGTGTTTATCTTTAATATAGCCATCCCCTTGCTTGATTTAATTTGATTTTGCTCCTTAATAAGAACTTAAGTTATTAATTTAAGACATTTTCTTGTTGTTGATGAAAGAATTCAATGCTATAATTTTTTATCTCTACACTGCTTTAGCACTATTCACATATTTTGATGTTGTATTTTCAGTAATTATGTTAAATGTAAGTGGACTAAACACTCCTGCCATAATTTAGTAAAGGGGAAAATAGATTTAAAAACTGCATCCTCAGTATAGAGACAATAACAAGCAATAGGGAAAAAACTCCCTGTTCAATAAATGGTGCTGGAATAACTGGCTAGCCAAATGCTGAAGAATAAAATAGGACCCCTACCTTTCAACATTTCAAACAATAACTCAAGGTGGATTAAAAATTTAAACTTGAGAGCTGAAAATATAAAAATCTTAAAAGAAAACTTATGAAATTCCATTCCAGGCATCAGCCTTGGCAAATAATTTTTGGCTAAGTTCCCAAAAAACAATCACAACAAAAACAAAATTGACAAGTGGGACCTAAGTAAACTAAATAGCTTCTGAATAGCAAAAGAAACTGCCAATAGAGTAAACAGACTACCTACAGAATGGGAGAAAAAAAAATTGCAAACTATGCATCTGACAAAGGTCTAATATTCAGCATTTATATGGAAATTATACAAATTTTCAAGAAAAAACAACCCCTTTAAAAAGTCGGAAAATGGCATGAACAGATATTTTTCAAAATAAGATATACATGTGACCAACAAGCCTATTAAAAATGCTCAGGATCACTAATAATTGCAGAAATGCAAATCAAAAGCACACGGAGATAGCATCTCACACCATTCAGAACAGCCATTATTAAATTAACAAAATATACCAGATGATGGTGAGGTTGTGGAAAAAAAAGAGCACTTCCACACTGCTTTGGTGGGAATGTAAATTAGATCAGCTGCTGAGGAAAGCAGTTTGAAGATTTCTCAAAGAACTTCCAACATTGCCATTCAACCCAGCATTCCCATTACTGGGTATATACACAAAAGAAAGTAAATCATTCTAACAAAAATACACACGCACTTGTGTGTCAATTGCAGCATTATTCACAATAGCAAAGACGTGGAATTACCCTACAGGCCCATCAATACTGGACTAGATAAAGAAAATGTGGTACCTATACATCATGAGATGCCACACAGCTATATAAAAGAAGAAAATTATATCCTTGTCAGCAACGTGGATATGGTTGGAAGTCATTATTCTAAGCAAATTAACACAGGAAAAAAACCAAATACCGTACATTCTCACTTACAAGTTGGAGCTAAACTTTGCATACACATGGACATAAAGATGGGTACAATAGACAGTGGGCACTGGGGACTACCAGAGAAGGGAGAGTTTTAGGGAGGAGAGGGCTGTAAAATTAACTATAGGGTGCAAGCTCACTACCTGGGTAACAGGGCCATTTGTATACCAAACCTCAGCAACATGCAATTTACTCATGTAACAAACCTGTACATGAACCCCCTGAACATATAATAAAAGTTGAGTAAAATAAATAAATAAAGTTCTCAACTCAGGAACTCAAATTTTAGCCAGGTGCATGGCTCAGGTCTGCAACCCCAGAACTTTGGGAGGCTGAGGAAGGTGGATCACTTGAGCTCTGGAGTTCGAGACCAGCCTGGGCAAGATGGGAAAATCCCATCTTTACTAAATAACACAAAAATTAGCCATGCGAGGCAGAGTACCCCTGTATATAAAATATGTGATCATACATTACTTTTTTCTTCCTTCTTTCTGTCGTTATTGTCACAAATTACATCGTAATATATTGTTTAATATTAAGTATTGATTTATAATTATTGTTTTGTGCAATTGTTTTTTTAAAACATGGGGTAAAAATACAAGTTATAAGTAAAAAACAAATGTATACTATCTTTTTTATTTATTTATGTAGTTATCATTACTGATACTCATATCTTCAAGTGAATTTGAGTTACTGTCTAGTATCTTTTCATTTCTGCCTTGATATGGTTTGGTTGTGTCCCCACCCAAATCTCATATTGAATTGTAACTCCCATAATTCCCACATGTTGTGGGAGGAACCCGGTCAGAGGTGATTGAATTATGGGGGCAGATCTTTTCTGCACTGTTGTCATGATGGTGAATGGTCTCACAAGAATTGATGGTTTTAAAAATGGGAGTTTCCCCACACAAGCTCTCTCTTTGCCTGCTGCCATCCATGTGAGACATGATTTACTTCTCCTTGCTTTCCACCATTTGTGAGGCCTCCTGAGCCACATGGAACTGCAAGTCCATTAAACCTCTTTCTTTTGTAAATTGCCTGGTATTGGGTATGTCTTTATCAGCAGCACAAAAATGGACTAATACAGTAAATTGATACCAGTAGAGTGGGGCATTGCTGAAAATATACCCAAAAATGTGGAAGTGACTTTGGAACTGGGTAATGGGCACAGATCGGGACGGTTTGGAGGGCTCAGAAGAAGACAGGAAAATGTGGGAAAGCTTGGAACTCCCTAGAGACTTGTTGAATAGCTTTGACCAAAATGCTAATAGTGATATGAACAATAAGGTTCAGGCTGAGGTGGTCTCAGATAGAAATGAGAAACTTATTGGGAATTGGAACAAAGGTGACTCTTGTTATGTTTTAGCAAAGAGATTGGCAACATTTGCCCCTGCCCTAGAGATGTGTGGGACTCTAAACTTCAGAGACATGATTTAGGGTATCGGGTGGAAGAAATTTCTAAGCAGCAAAGCATTCAAGAGGTGACTCAGGTGCTGTTAAAGGCATTCAATTTTATAAGGGAAGCAGAGGATAAAAGTTCAGAAAATTTGGAGCCTGACAATGCGATAGAAAAGAAAAACCCATTTTCTGAGGAGAAATTCAAGCGGGCTGCAGAAATTTGCGAAAGTAATGAGGAGCCAAATGTTAATCCCCAAGACAACAGGGAAAATGTCTCCAGGGCATGTCAGAGTTCTTCGTGACAGCCTGTCCCATTACAGGCCTGTAGGCCTAGGAGGAAAAAGTGGTTTCATTGGTTGGGCCCAGGGTCCCCATGCTGTGTGCAGCCTACGGACTTGGTTCCCTGCATCCCAGCCACTCCAGCCATGGCTGAAAGGGGCCAACATAGAGCTTGGACTGTGGCTTCAGAGGGTGCAAACCCCAAGCCTTGGCAGCTTCCACCTGGTGTTGAGCCTGTGAGTGCACAGAAGTCAAGAGCTGAGGTTTAGGAACCTCCTTCTAGATTTCAGAAGATGTGAGAAAATGCCTGGATGAACAGGCTGAAGTTTCCTCTAGGGTTGGGGCTCTCATGGAGAACCTCTGCTAGGGCAGCGCAGAAGGGAAATGTGGGGTCAGATTCCCCACACAGGGTCCCTACTGTGGCTCCACCTAGTGGAGCTGTGAGCAAAGGGCCACAGTCCTCCAGAACCCAGAATTGTAGATCCACCGACAGCTTGCACAGTGTGGCTGGAAAAGCTGCATACACTCAACACCAGCCCATGAAAATAGCCAGGAGGGAGGCTGTACCCTGTAAAGCCACAGGGGTGGAGCTGCCCAAGACCATGGGAACCCACCTCTTGCATGCAAGACATGGAATCAAAAGAGATAATTTTGGAGCTTTAAGATTTGACTGCCCTGGTGGATTTCGGACTTTTATGGGGCCTGTAGCCCCTTTGTTTTGGCCAATTTCTCCCATTTGGAATGGCTGCATTTACCCAATGCCTGTACCCCCATTGTAGATAGGAAGTAACTAACCTGGACTGTGGACTTTTGAGTTAAAGCTGAAATGTTTTAAGATTTTGGGAGACTGTTGGGAAGGCATGACTGGTTTTGAAATTTGAGACATGAGATTTGGGAGGCCAGGGGCTGAATGATATGGTTTGGCTGTGTCTCCACCCAAATCTCATTTTGAATTGTAACTTCCACAATTCCACCTGTTGTTGGAGAAACCCAGTGGGAGGTGATTGAATTATGGGAGCAGGTCTTTCCTGCACTGTTCTCATGATAGTGAGTGAGTCTCCTGAGATCTGAAGGTTTTAAAAATAAGAGTTTCCCTGCCAAGCTCTCTCTTTGCCTGCTGCCATCCATGTAAAACATAACTTACTCCTTTCCTTCTGCCATGATTGTGAGGGCTCCCCAGCTACATGATACTGTAAGTTCATTAAACTTCTTTCTTTTGTAAATTGCCCAGTCTCAAGTATGTCTTTATCAGCAGCATGAAAATGGACTGATATAAGCCTGAAGAACTACCATTAGTATTTCTTGTAGTCTAGACTGGCTAGTTGTGGATGTTGTTCACTTTTATCTAAGAATATTTCAATTTCTCCTTTATTTTTTTCAAATCAAAACTTTTGTTTGACAGGCCTTTCTCTTTGTACTTTGAATATTTCATCCCACTAACTTCTGACTTTATGATTTCTGATAAGTCAGTTGTTAATATCATTTAGGATTACTTTTAGATAATATGTTGCCTATCTTTTGCTCCTTTCAAAATTTTCTGCTTGTCCTTCAACAGCTTGATTATAATTATGTGTCTAGGTGTGTATCTCTTGGGAGACATTCTGACAATTCCTCAAAATGTTAAACATAGGTTACTATATGACCCAACAATTTCACACTTTTCTATATACTCAAGAGAATTTCAAACATATATTTACATATTAACTTGTACACAAACATTCACAACATCATTATTCATAATAGCTACGATATGGGGAATGACCCAAAAGTCCATCAGATGCTAAAAGGTTAACCAAAATGTGGTATATTCATAAAATTGAATATTGTTTGGCAGTAAAATCTATGAATTACTGTTATATGCTGCAACATTGGTGAATCTTAGAAACATGCTAAGTGAAAGCAGTTAGACACAATAGGGCATGAATCGCATGAATCTATTTATATAAGTTATCCAGAATAAGTCAATCCATAGAGACAGAAAGGGAATTAATTGTTGCCAGGGCCTTGCAGGAGGGAAGAACAAGGAGTGATTGCTAATAGATACAGAATGACTAAAATATTCTAAAAATTTATTGTAGTGTTGGTTTCACAACCATCACAGTTTATTTGTATATATATTAGGATGGTACAAAAGTAATTGTGGTTTTTCCATTAAAAGTAATGGCAAAAACCACAATTGCTTTTGCATCAACCTAACCTAATACTAAACACCAGTGAATTGTACAATATAAAAGGGTTCATTTTAGGGTTAATTTTATGTCTTGTTAATTATATCTCAATAAAGCTAGTATAAAAAAAGAAATGGAGTGCTAATACTAAAAATGAATAAATAAGTCAATAATTGACAGTCAAAAATAGTGTGATCTCTTTCAACTTTTATAGCCATCATCATTAGTAGTTGTAATAGTAGTGATAGCAGTAGCATTTCATTGTTATTGACTGGAGTATTTGCTCTTGGAGATATAAATTTATTTATATCAGAGTGCAGGAGAGTAAGATTGCAGCCATTTCTAACAAAGAATAATACTAGATGAAGACGGATGTTACACTAAGCTCAGGGCATACAATGCAAATGCACAGAGCATAATTATTTTTATTTTAGAAAACTTCCAGTTTAAATTTACTTTCTATATTAATTTGAATATCTATGTGACTCTTTAATAAGTACAGTATTAAATTTATTTTTATTCTGATATTATTGTGTTAATAAGACCCTTTTTGGAAATAAATAATGCATCATTTAGAAGTAAAATCTGTATGTGTTATAGAATTATGAAGCGACAATATCTCCAGTTGAGAAAACTGTGTAGAGATAAAGAAGAAAACATAAGAAATATAAACATGGTAAGTAAACGGAGCTGAGTTTTTCAAAATTAGTCAATCTTTTTAATCTAATCAAAAATATTAAAATATGTATCACGTGATGATTCAATTTAAAATGCACACTCAGAAGCTATCAACTTTTTGCCTACTTTCTTTCTTTATGGCTAGGAATGTTAGAATTGTTATAGTTATCAAACAAAAACATTTCTAAAACAAATTCTACAATTACTTTGAAAAAATAATAAAGAAAGCAAATGCTATGTAATTTTATGTGCTTGAATTTGAAAATAAACTGTATAAAATACCAGACAAACAGATTTGTGGTAGTAAGCTGACAAGAGTAACTAGTGAGTTTCTGCATTTTTCAAATGCTTGAAGTAAATACATCTATAGGCTGAATGTCTGTGTCTCTGCTCCGAAATTTATGTTGAAATCCTAACCCACAATGTGATAGTATTAGGAGTTATGGCCTTCTGTAGGTGATTAGCTTATGACATCAGATCTCTCATGAATTGCATTAGTGTCCTTATAAAAGAGAGCTTAGAGAGCTTCCTTCTCCCTTGCCTCCCCAATTAAGTGAAGTCACACTGAGAAGACAGCTGTCTCTGAATCAGGAAGCAGGCCCTAACCAGACATTAAATTTGATAGTGCCTTGATCTTGGACCTCTCAGTCTCCAAAACTGTGAGCAATAAATTTCTGTTGTTTCTAAGCCACCAAGTCTATAATATTTTGTAATAGTTGCCCAAATGGAATGAGACAATATCATATAGCTAAAAGCTTCCATAAAGAGTTCACAGCAAAATGAAAAAGTAACCGTATCAATGTGAGTGATTTAAAAACAAAAAACAAATTTTTGTATAAATTATGAAAGCTAAATTGTTCTACATTAAATAATTCTATAAGATGCTATTCTATAAAACTTGTATTTAGTCTAATGATGTCCTTAAGGAAATTAGTCATTATATTACTTGCAGTCTGATTCATGAGGATTTTCCATATAAATTTCTTCCTAGTCTTAACATCAAAAATATTTGTGCATTTTTCTGAGCCAGTCTCCTGTTTTCATCTGATAGGCCCTATTAACTATGTTTTGGTTTCTCTAGTATGTGTATGGATTTAATGATATGTATTTTTCATACAAGCTTCATTCTCAGATATGTTTTATATTCTACTATTGTCATTTTTTTCTTTGTCATAGAATTTATAATATTTCTCTCCTTTTAAATTTTCTTGTAAGTAGCCTTACATTCATGTTGGTGCAGGATGAAAAATAAATATTAGGTGTCAATTGACTATTAGACACTTGTTAGGTGTCTCAAAATCAACTGAATTCATAATGTCCAAAACTGAACTTATATCAATTTCTTTGCAATGCATATATAGTACAGGAATATCTTATTTTATTGCACTTCACTTTATTGTGCCTTGCAGATATTGTGTTTTTTCTTTTTTACAAATGGGAGGTTTGTAACAATGCTGTGTTGAGCAAGTCTATTAGTACTATTTGTTCAATAGCAAGTGTTCACATAGCATCTATGTATCATATTTTTGTTATTCTAACAATATCTCAAAGTTCATTATTATTATTATTATACCTGTTATGGTGATTTTTAATCAGCAGTCTTTGATGTTACCATTGTAAGTGTATGGGATGATGAATCACTCCCATATAAGAAAGAAAATGTAATTGATCAATTTTGTAGATGTTTTGACTGCTCCAACTACCAGCCATTCCACATCTCTCTGCTTCTCCTTGGGTCTCCCCCTTTCCTGAGACATAGTGCTATTAAAATTGGGCCAGCTAATAACCCTATAATGGCCTCTAAGTGTTCAAGTGAAATGAAGAGAAACAAATCTCTCACTTTAACTCAAAAGCTAGAAATGATGAAGCTTAGTGAGGAAGGCATGTCAAAAGCAAAAATAGGTTAAAAGCTAGCCCTCTGTGCCAGTTAGTCAAGTTGTGGAGGCAAAGAAAAATTCTTTGAAAAAAATTAAAAATGCTGTTCCAGTGAACACACAAATGATAAACAAGCAAGACACCCTTTTGCTGATATAGAGAAAATTTTAGTGGTCTGGATATGAGATCAAATCACATAGTATTTTCTTAAGCTAAAGCCTAATTCAGAGCAAGGCCCAAACTCTCTTCAACTCTCTGAAGGCTGACAGAAGTGAGGGAGCTGCAGACAGAAAATTTGAATCTAGCTGGGGTTGGTTCATGAGGTTTAAGGAAATAAGCCATCTGCATAATATAGAAGTGCAAGGTGAAGTAAATGCTAATGAAGAAGCTGCAGCAATTTATCCAGAAGATCTAGCTAAGATAATTGATGAAGGTGTCTACACTAAATAACAGATTTTTAGTGTAGATAAAAAAACCATATATTGGAAGAAAATGTCATCAAGGGCTTTCATAGTTAGAGAGAAGTCAATGGTTGTCTTCAAAGCTTCAAAGGACAAGCTGACTTTCTGTTAGGGGCTAATGCATTTGGTGGCTAACTTGAAGCCAGTGTTCATTAACTATTCTGAAAATCCAAAGGCCCTTACAAATTATGCAAAATGCACTCTGCCTCTGCTCTATAAATGGAACAACACAGCCTTGATGAGAGCACATCTGTTTTCAGCATGGTTTACTAAATATTTTAAGCTCACTGTTGAGACCTACTGCTCGGAAAAAAAAAAAAAAGATCCAAAATGTTACTGCTCATTGAAAATGCAGCTAGTCATTTCAGAGCTCTGATGGAGATGTACATGATCATTAATGTCCTTTTGATACTTGCTAACACAACATCCATTCTATAGCACATGGCTAAAAGAGTCATTGGGACTTTCAAGTCTTATTATTTGATAAATATATTTTCTAATGCTATAGCTACCATAGATAGTGATTTCTCTGATGCATCTGGGAAAAGTAAATTGAGAACCTTCAGGAAAAAACTTGCCATTAAAGATGCCCTTAAAAATATTTGTAATTCATGAAAGGAGCTTAAATTATTAATATTTACAGGAGTTTGAGAGACATTGGTTCCAATTTTCATGGATAACTTTTAGTGGTTCAAGACTTCAGTGGGGGAAGTAACTGCAGATATTGTAGAAATAGCAAAAATACTATAATTGGAAGTGGAGCCTGAAGATGTGACTGAATTATTGCAATCTCATAATGAAAATTGAAAAGATGAGAAGTCATTTCTCATGAATGAGCAAAGAACATAGTTTTATAAGATGAAATCTATTCCTGGCGAAGATGTCGAGGACTTTGCTGAAATGACAAGAACGGATTCAGATTATTTCATAAATGAAGTTGATAAACCAGAGACAAGGTTTGAGAGAATTGACTCCAGTTTTGTTTTTGTTTTGTTTTCTTTTAAGGTTAAGAGGTATATGCTTGTTGGCCACATGTATGTCTTCTTTGGAAAAGTGTCTATCTATGTTCTTTGCCCACTTTTTAATGGGATTTGTTTTCACTTGTAAATTTGTGTAATTTCCTTATAGATGTTGGATATCAGACCTTTGTCAGATATCCAACAAATTTTTAGCTTGCAAATGTTTTCCCATTCTATATATTGTCTGTTTACCCTGTTGATAGTTTCTTTTGTTGTGCAGAAGCTCTGCAGATTAATTAGATCCCAGTTGTCAATTTTATTTTTGTTGCAATTACTTTTGGCTACTTTGTCATAAAATCTTTTCCAGTTCTTATGTTCAGTATGTTACCACCTAGGTTGTTGTCCAGAGTTTTTATAGTTATGGGTTTTACATTTAAGTGTTTAATCCATCTCAAATTGATTTTGTATATGGTGTAAAGAAAGGGTCCAGTTTCAATTCTCTGCATATGGTTAGCCAGTTATCCCAGCACCATTTACTGAATGAAGAGTCCTTTCCCTACTGCTTGTTTTTTGTCGGTTTTGTCAAAAATTATACGGTTGTAAGTATGTGGCCTTATTTCTGGGCTATCTATTCTGTTCTATTGGTCCATGTGTCCTTTTTTTTTTTTGCACCAGTACCGTGTTGATTTTGATTACTGTAACCCTGTAGTATAGTTTTGATATGGACAGGAGGGAGGGAAATGCTGAGAAGAGGGCAGTTCCCTGACAAAGGCCCCACCCTCAAGCACAGAAACTGCATTCCTAAATGAGAACAGTTATACCTGTTTTCCCACGTGAATGTTGCTTTTTCCAAAACCACCCTGGCACATCATGCCCCCCATCGTGTACCCATAAAAAACCCGAATTCCACTGGTAGAAGAGTGGAGCAATGTGGCAGAGGAGTAGAGAAGAGAAGAAGCAACTGAGAGTCAGAGACTACAGACGGACGTGGCTTAACTTCAGACAGCATGTCTTCGGAGAGGAGCTCAGCCAGAGCCAGCCGGGCTTCAGGAAATAATCACCTTCTTCCGCATCTTTCCACTTCCAGCTCCCCTTCCACTGACAGCCACTTTCACTACTTAATAAAATCTCCACATTCACCATCCTTCAAGTCCATGTGACCTGATTCTTCCTGGATGCTGGACAAGAAACCCGGTACCAAGATGGCAGGGTGTAAGAGGCTTTCACCCTGACTCTTCACTGAGCTGGTTAACAGCCATCTGCAGATGACTAATACTAAAAGAGCTTTGTTTGTAACACACACCCTCTGGGGCTCCAGAAGTCATGGGCAACCACTAGACGGCCATGGGCTGGTACAGGGTTTGTTCCTGCCAGCTCCTAAAGGCACTTGCCCCAGCTCCTGCATCAGCTCATCTATGTGCTCCCCCTTCCACAAGGGTTTTGAGCCCAGCCACATCCTGTTGCAAGTCCCTTGAGGGGGTCAAGGAAATGTCCTTTCTCAGTTTGAAGTCAGGTAGCATGACACTTCTTGCTTTGTTCTCTTTCCTTTGGATTGCCTTGTCTATTTGGGCTAGTTTTAGTTTCATAAAAATTTTAAAATAGCTTTTTCTAGTTCTTTGAAGAATGTCACTGGTAGTTTGACAGCTGTAGCATTGAACCTGTAAATTGTTTTTGACCGTGTGGCCATATTAATGACACGAATTCTTCATTCACAAACATAAAAGGGTTTTCTATTTGTTTGTGTCATCTCTGATCTCTTCCAGCAGTGTTTTGTAATTCTCATTGTACAGGTATTTCACTTTCCTGGTTAGCTATATTCATAGGTATTTTATTATTTTTGTGGTACTGGAAATGGAATTGTGTTCCTGATTTTGTTTGTGGCTTGGCTGTTGTTGGTGTACAGGAATGCTAGTGTTTTTGTATGTTGATTTTGTGTCCTGAATCTTTGCTGAAGTTGCTTATTAGTGTAAAGAGTTTTGGGACCAAGACAACAGTTTTTTTTATAGATATACAATCATGTCATTGACAATTATGGATAGTCAACTTCCTCTCTTCCTATTTGGACATGCTTTATTTACTTTGCCTGCTTGGTCTGGCCAGGACTTCCAATATTATGTTTGATATGGTTTGGATCTGTGTCCTTGACCAAATCTCATGTTCAAATGTAATCCCCAATTCTGGAGATGGAGCCTCATGGGGGCTATTAGTTCATGATGGTGGTTTCTCATGATTTAACTCCATCCCCCCTTGGTGCTGTCATTGCAACAGTGAGTTCTCATGACATCTAGTTGTTTGAAAGTGTGTGGCACCTCCCTCCTCTCTCTCTTGGCCTTGCTCCTTCCATGCAAGATCCTATGCCTGCTTTGCCTTCTGCCTTGAGTAAAAGCTCTCTGAGGTCACCCCAGAAGCAGATGCTATCATGATTCCTTTGCAAACTGCAGGACTGTGAGCTAATTAAACATTTTTTTTTTTTGTAAATTAACCAATCTCAGGTATTTCTTTATAGGAATGTAAGAATGAACTAATACAATGTTGAATAGTAATGATGAGAGAGGACATCATTGTCTTTTGCCAGTTTTCAAGGGGAATTCTTCCAGCATTTGTCCATTCAGTATAATGTTGGCTGTGGGTTTGAAATAGATGACTCTTATTATTTTAAGATGTGTCCCTTCAATACCAATTTATTGGGAACTTTTAACATAAAGAGATGTTAAATTTTGTCAAAAGCTTTTTCTGTATCTGTTGAGTTAACCATGTGTTTTTTGTCTTTAGTTCTGTTTATGTGTTGAATTATGTTTATTTATTTGCATATGTTGAACCAATCTTGCATCACTGTGATAGCCTACTTGATGATGGTGGCTTAGCTTTTTGATGTGCTGCTTGATTTGATTTGCTAGTATTTTTTGAGGATTTTAGCATCAATGTTCACCAAGAATATTGGCTAAAGTTTTCTTTTTTGTTGTTGTGATTCTGCCAGGTTTTGGTATCAGGTTGATTCTGGCCTCATAGAATGAGTTAGGGAGGAATCCTTTTTCCTCAATTTTTGGGAATAGTTTCAGTAGAAATAGTATCAGCTCTTCTATATACATCTGATAGAATTTGACTGTGACTGCATCTGGTCCTGGGCTTTTTATTTTTGGTTGGTTATTTATTACTGATTCAATTTCAGAGCTCTTTATTGGTGTACTAGTTCATTCTCTTGCTGCTATGAAGAAATACCTGAGATGTGTACTTTATAAAGAAAAGTGGTTTAATTGACTCACAGTTCTGCATGGCTGGGGAGGCCACAGGAAACTTAAAGTCATGGCAAAAGGCACCTCTTCACAGGGTGGCAGGGGAGATAATGAATGAGGGCTGAAAGAAGGGGAAAGCACCTTATAAAACCATCAGATCTCATGAGAACTTACTATCATGAGAATAGCATTGGGGAAACCAACCATGTGAATCAATTACCTCTCACCAGGTCCCTCCCACAACACGTGGAGATTATGGGAATTATAATTCAACATGAGATTTGGGTGGGGACACAGCTAAACCATATCATTCTACCCCGACCTATCCCAAATCTCATGTCCTCACATTTCAAAACACAATCTTGCTCTTCCAACAGTCTCCCAAAGTCTTAATTTATTCCAGCATTAACTCAAAATTCCAAGTCCATAGCCTCATCTGAGGCAAGGCAAGTCGATTCTGCCTATGAGCCTGTAAAATCAAAAGCAAGTTACTTACTTCCTAGATACAATGGAAGTTCAGGCATTGGGTAACTACACATGCTTCAAATGAGAGAAATTGGCCAAAACAAAGGAGCTACAGTCCACACTCAAGTCAGAAATCCAATACGGCAGTCATTAAACCTTAAAGTTTGTTTGACCCCATGTCTCACATCCAGGGCATGGTGATGCAAGAGGTGGGCTCCCACAACCTTGGGCAGCTTTGCCCTTGTGGCTTTGCAGGTTATAGCCCCCTGTACTGACTGCTTTCACAGGCCGGCATTGAGAGTCTGTGGCTTTTCCAGGTGTATGGCAGAAGCTGTCAGTGGATCTACCATTCTAGGGTGTATAGGATGCTGGCCTTCTTCTCACAGCTCTTCTAAGCAGTGCCCCAGTGGGGACTGTGTGTAGGGGCTCTGACCCAACATTTGCCTTCTGCATCACCCTAGCAGAGGTTCTCCATGAGGGCTGTGCCCCTGCAGTGGATTTCTTCCTGGACATCCAAGCATTTCCATACATCCTCTGAAATCTAGGTGGAGGTTCCCAAAGCTCAATCCTTGTCTTCTGTGCACTTGCAGGATAAATACCACGTGGAAGTTGACAAGGCTTATGGCTTACACCCTGTAAAGCAATGGCCTGAGCTGAACCTTGGCCCCTTTTAGCCATGGCTGGAGCTGAAGCAACTGGGACACAAGGCACCATGTATCAAGGCAGTATGGAGCAGGTGGGCCCTGGGCCCAGCCCAGGAAACCATTTTTTCCTCCTAGGACTCTGGGCCTGTGATGGGAGAGCCTGCTGCGAAGGTCTCTGACATGCACTGGAGACATTTTCCCCATTGTTTGGGGATTAACATTTGGCTCCTTGTTACTTATGCAAATTTCTGCAGTGAGCTTAAATTTCTCCTGAGAAAATAGGTTTTTCTTTTCTATCACACTATCAGCCTGCAAATTTTCCCAAACTTTTATGCTCTGTTTCCTCTGGAATGCTTTGCTGCTTAGAAATTTCTTCCACCAGATACCCTAACTCATCTCTCTCAAGTTCAAAGTTCCACATATCACTAGGGCAGAGGCAAAATGCCATCAGTCTCTTTGCACAGCAAGAGTGACTTTTACTCCAGTTCCTAAGAAGTTCCTCATCTCCATCTGAGACCACCTCAGCCTGAACATCATTGTTCATATCACTGTCAGCATTTTGGACAAAGCCATTCAACAGGTGTCTATGAAGTTCCAAACATTCACATCTTCCTGTCTTCTGAGTTCTCCAAGTCTTTAGGAAGTTCCAAACTTTACCACATTTTCCTGTCTTCTTCTGAGACCTCCAAACTATTCCAACCTCTGCCTGTTACCCAGTTCTAATGTTGCTTCCACATTTTGGGGTATCTTTATAGCAGCACCCCACTGTCTGCAGTACCAATTTACTGTATTATTTCATTCTCATGTTGCTGTGAAGAAATACAGAGACTAGGTGATTTATAAAGAAAAGAGGTTTAATTGACTCACAGCTCTGCGTGGCTGGGGAGGCCTCAGGAAATTTACAATCATGGTGGAAGGCACCTCTTCACAGGGTGGCAGGAAAGAGAATGAGTGAGAGCTGAGTGAAGGAGGAAGACCCCTCAGATTTCATGAGAACTTACTATCATGAAAATAGCATGGGGGAAATCACCTACATGATTAAATTACCTCCTACCAGGTCCCTCCCATGACACATGGGGATTATGGGAACTACAATTTGACATGAGATTTGGGTGAGGACATAGCCTAACCATATCAATTAGTATGTTCAGGGATTCAATTTCTTCCTGGTTCAGTCTTCGGAGGGTGTATGTGTCCAGGAATGTATTCACTTCTTCTAGATATTTTAGTTTCTGTGCATAGAGGTGTTCATACTAGTCTCTGATAGTTATTTGTATTTCTGTCATGTTACTAGTGGCATCCCCTTTGTTGTTTCTAATTGTTTTTATCTGGATCTTCTTTCTTTTCTTTTTTATTAGTTTAACTAGTGACCTATCCATCTTATTAATTTTCTTCAAAAAAGCAACTCCTGCATTTGGTTATCTTTTTCATGTCTTAATCTTGTTAAGTTCAGCTCTGCTTTTGCTTATTTCTTGTCTTCTGCAAACTTTGGGATTGGTTTGCTCTTGCTTATCTAGTTCTTTTGTAGCAGGACGAGACGCAGACAAAATCCCTCAGACACCGAGTTAAAGAAGGAAGGGCTTTATTCGGCCAGGAGCGTTGGCAAGACTCACATCTCAAAAACCGAGCTCCCCGAGTGAACAATTCCTGTCCCTTTTAAGGGCTTACAACTCTAAGGGGGTCCGCATGAGAGGGTCGTGATCAATTGAGCAAGCAGTGGGTACGTGACTGGGGGCTGCATGCACTGGTAATTAGAATGAAACAGAACAGAACAGGACAGGGATTTTCACAATGCTTTTCCATCCAATGTCTGAAATCTATAGATAACACAAGCAGTTAGGTCAGGGGTTGATTTTTAACTATCAGGCCCAGGGTGTGGTGCTGGGCTATCTGCTTGTGGATTCCATTTCTGCATTTTAGTTTTTACTTCTTCTTCCTTTAGAGGCAGAAATTGGGCATAAGACCATATGAAGGGTGGTCTCCTCCCTTACTTTTTGTTGTGATGCTAGGTTGCTAAATCAAGATCTTTCTAACTTTTGATGTGAGCATTTAGTGCTATGAATTTCTCTCTGAACACTACCTTAGCTGCATCTTAGAGATTCTGCTTTGTTGTATATTAGCTCTCATTAGTTCCAAAGAACTTCTTGATTTCTGCCTTAATTTCATTATTTACCAAAAAGTCATTCAGGAGCGGGTTGTTTAGTTTCTACTCAATTGCATGATTTTCAGTTATTTTTGTAGTCTTGGATTCTATTTTTATGATTTCGATTCTTTTGAATTTGCTGAGAATTATTTTATTTTGGATTGTGTGGTCAATTTTAGTGTAGGTACATTGTGATGATGAGAAGAATGTATATTCTACTGTTGTTCAGTGGACAGTTTTGTAGATGTCTATCAGGTTTATTTGGTCCAGTATTGAGGTCAGGTCCTGTATATGTTCGTTAATTTTCTGTCATGATGATCTGTCTAATACTGTCAGTGGGGTATTGAAGTCTCTCACTATTCTTGTGTGGGAGACTAAGTCTCTTTAAAGGTCTCTAAGAACTTCCTTTATGAATCTGTGTGTTCCTGGGTTAGGTGCATATATATTAGGGACAGTTAGGTCTTCTTGTTGAATTGAACTCTTTACCATTATGTAATTCCTTTCTTTGTCCTTTTTGATTTTTGTTGGTTTCAAGTCTGTTTTGTCTGAAATTAGGATTGCAACTCCTGGGTTTTTTTCCATTTGCTTGGTAGATTTTTCTTCATCCCTTTATTTTGAGCTTATGTTTGTCACTGCATGTGAAATGGGTCTTGTGAAGATAGCATAGTATTGGGTTCTCTTTCTTTATCCAGCTTGACACTCTGTACCTTTCATTTGGGGCATTTAGCCCATTTACATTCAAGATTATTATTGATATATGTGTATTTGATCATGTTACAATGTTATTAGGTGATTGTTATGCAGACTTGTTTATGTGGTTGCTTTAAAGTGTCACTGGTTTGTGTACTTAAGTGTGTATTTCAGTGACTGGTAACAATCTTTCTTTCTCATATTTAGTGTTTCTTTCAGGAACACTTGTAAGTTCTAGTGGCAACTAATATCCTCAGCATTTGTTTGTCTGAAAATAATCTAATTACTCCTTCACTTATGAATCTTAGTTTGGCCGGATATAAAATTCTTGGTAGGAATTTCTTTTCTATAAGAATGTTGAATATAGGACCCTAAGCTCTTCTGGCTTGTAGGTTTTCTGCTTTGAGGTCTGCTGTTAGTCTAATGGGCTTCCCTTTGTAGGTGACTTGCCCTTTTCTCTAGCTGCCTGTAACATTATTTTTTATTTTTGACCCTGAAGAATATGATGGTTATGTATCTTAGGGACAATCTTTGTGTGAAGTATCTTACAGGGGTTCTCTGCATTTCTTGAATTTAACTATTTACCTTACTAGCTAATCTGGGGAAGTACTCATGGATGATATTCTGAAATATGTTTTACTAGTTACTTTCATTCTCCCCTTCTCTTTCAGGGATGCCAATGGGTCATAAATTCAATCTCTTAATTCCATGTTTCTTGGAGATTTTGTTTGTTTCTTGTCATTTTTTAAATTCTTGTCTGACTGTCTTATTTCAGAAAGCCAATCTTCAGGTTTGGAGATTCTTTTCAAAGCTTGGTCTATTTTTCTATTAATATGTGTGATTGCATTATGAAATTCTTGTAGTGTATTTTTCAGCTTGATCAGTTCAGTTACTTTTCTATACCGGCTACTTTGTTTGTCAGCTGCTGTATCATTTTACTGTGATTCTTAGCTTCCTTAGGTTGGGTTTCAACATATTCCTAGATCTTGATCTTCATTCCTATGCACATTCTGAATGCTATTTCTGTCATATCAGCCAATTCAGCCTGGTTAAGAATTCTTGCTGGAGAAATAGTATGGACATTTAAAGGAAAGAATGCATTCTGGCTTTTTGAGTTGTCAGAGTTCTTGTGCTTGTTCTTTCTCATCTGTGTGGGCTGATATTCCTTCAATCTTTGAAGTTATTGTCTTTGGGAATTTTTTCCTTTTATCCTATTTGATATCCTTTAGGGTTTGATTATGATATAACGTAGGTTTAGTCTCCTGGCTTCATTTCTTGAAGGTTTTAGGGGGGCAAGGCTCAGCTCAGGACTCCTTGACTGCATCCTCTAACTCTGGGAGAATGGCATCAGGCCCTGGCTTTGTTCTCTGTCTTCTCTAGGTTAGGAACCTGAGTGCTAGAGAGGCCAATGTGCTTTCAGACTGCTGGTCATGACAGTCCAATATGTGGTGCCAGCCAAAGTACTTTATATGGCAGTGGTAGTGGGATCCATCCTTGTCACACATGCCAGCAGTAGCAGCAGTGGGAAAATGGTGGGGTGCATATTCGTTGGCTGTGGCAGGGTGTTAGCAGGTGTTTAGGTGCCAACCTCCAAGCAGATGTTCACAGCAGCAGTGGTGGCAGCACAGCTAGAGTGAATGCCAGGCTAGTGTCATGGGCAAGGCCAGCAGACTTAGGGGAGCTCAGGTTGGATGGGCTTCTTCTCATGGGCAAGACTGGCATGCAGAGTTTAGGTTCCACAGTTCCCCTAGGACTAACATCTCCTATGGAGTCAAGTTGAGCCTAGGGAGATGGCCATCCCTGACCATGCTTCTCTACAGACACTCACACCAAACCCTCTGGACTCTACACTGGCTGGAATTCTGCCCCTACCATAACTCTTAGCAGCTCTCTCTGTCAACTCAAGTGTCCATGGTGGTCGAGGAGTCTCCTTCTGCCAGTATTCCAGAGACCCGTGGTGAGAACAGGTTGTTGATTGCTTGTTCAACTCACCCTTTTCCTCAGGGTTCTTAGGGGCTAGGAACAAGTCCTGATGCACAGTAGACCCGTGCAAGGTTCCTAGCTTCCTCCCCTTTCAGCCCAGCATCTGTGTTTTTTCTCCATCCACTGTCAATGCCTTCTCTGTGAAGATCTACTGAGAGTGTGCCAGTCTTCCTGAAGTCCCATTTTTTTGGTGGGAGATGTTTATCCTGGCTGCATCTAATCAGCCATCTTACCTCCTTCTCTGATTCCAGTTTTAAATGAAATTCTACTACGGGTAAAATTCAATGAAAAAGCATCACTTGTTATGGAGAAAACTTTTATGAAAGGAAGAGTCAATTGATGCAGCAAATTTTAGTGTTGTTTTAAGAAATTGCCATGGCTAACCCCAACTTTCAGTAATCACAACCCAGATCAGTCAGCAGCCAACAATATCAAGGCAAGACCCTCAATCGGCAAAAAGATTCTGACTCACTGATGGCTCCAATGATTGTTAGCATTTTTCAGCAATAAAATATTTTTAATAAAGTTATATACATTGTTTTTTGGACATAATGCTATTTCACACTTAATATAGTATAGTGCGAACAGAACTTTTATATTTACTACCAAAATTTGAATGACTTGTTTTATGGAGGTGCTCTGGACCCAAACTATTTCTGAGGTATACCTGTTTTTCTTATCTCAATGTACTGCACCTTCCATGGGAAAAATTATAAACTATGAGATCATCCTTGACCACCTCCCACTTCCTCTTTCTTCCTCTCCAATATACCACTAATTCTGTAGATTTTACATAGTCAGCTTTTACCCATTTTCAATAATAAAAGATTTATAAGCTATCATCCTTTTTCATCTGGACTAGTACTACAATATTCTTTTTTTTTTTTTTTTTTTTTTGAGATGGAGTCTTGCTCTTTCACCTAGGCTGGAGCTCAGTGGTGCGATCTCGGCTCACTGCAACCTCCACCTCCCGGGTTCACGCCATTCTCCTGCCTCAGCCTCCTGAGTGGCTGGGACAACAGGCGCCCACCACCACGCCCGGCTAATTTTTTGTATTTTTAGTAGAGACCGGGTTTCACCGTGTTAGCCAGGATGGTCTTGATCTCCTGACCTTGTGATCCGCCTGCCTCGGCCTCCCAAAGTGCTGGGATTACAGGCGTGAGCCATCACGCCCGGCCTTACTACATTATTCTTATGAGTGATGTAATGCATCTAAGCATCTACCCTTTTCCCTTATCAATCTATGCTCTCCTCTGCATCCAGAAAGAGTGTTACAAATACAAATGTTATCAAGTCACTCAGTTGTTTGAAAACTTGGAATGACTTCCCAATTCTCTTAGGAAAACAAAAGAGCTTGACATTAGTCTGTAGATACTATAAGTTTTAGCCCTTACATCTCCTTGTACGACTCTCTCTTTTGTTCTCTGTGCTCCTGTCATGCTGGGTTTCTTTCAGTTTTTTTTTTTTTAAATATATGCCCCAGGGCCTTCACATTTGCTTTTTTCCCTACCTATAAATCTCCTAAGCAGTCCCTCTCTCACTACCATAAAACCCTACCCTACCTAATCATTAATTCCTCATTGAAATCTTTCTTAACTTTTCTGACTAGATTAGATCCCTTTATTGTACAATTTCATATTAATATGTACTTCTCCTTCATGGCACATAACACAGATTATGTTACTTTTCTTTGTGTAATTATTTGGTTAATATTTATCTCCCCAACTATCTGCTATGGGTCATGAAACCAGAGGCAGCGACTATTTTTCCCACTATTTCTACCCAATTACCTACTTCAGTGACTGACATGTAGTACATCTTCAGTAAATCTAAATAAATTAATAAAAGAAACAAAGAGAGTGAAAGAAGTAATACACACACACACACACACACACATAAAAAGAGAAAGAGAATTCTGTAAGTGTTCTTGTATTTGTGTAACATATTTAATATTGATTGTCCCTGTCCTAGGATTTATGTGATAACTTATTTGAAAAAGACAAGGAGATTTTAGAGTTTTTCCAGAGACACAATGCTGAGAGCAATGCTGTCCAGTGGAACATCCTGCAATGATGGTACTGTTCTTTATTGGTACTGACAATAGAGTAGCTACTACTTACATGTGGTTGTTAAGCAACTGAAATGCAGCCAGTGTGACTGAGAAAGTAAATTTTTAATCTTATTTTATTTTGACTACTTTCTATTTAAGTAAATACATGTGTCTGTGTTGCATGGAGTGGATATAGAGATCAATTTTAAGCAGGAAAAATTCATAAAGAAGCCTAGTATGTCCCTGGTAGAAGTTGAATTATCTTCCAAGCCCTCAGATTTTTCACCTTCCACTAATTAAACAAAATATTATGAAATCCTAAAGTTTCCCAGAGTTGGCCATTGGATTTCAGAGGAAGGGTAAGGTGAAAGCCAAGTGATTGAGGATAGGTACTTTCCACTGCTTTCTACTCCTATACTTTCAAAAAAGAGCAGAATTTTGTGTATTTGGTAAATTAATTTTTCACTTAACTTATTTGCATAAAGATCTGTACCACTTGAAAATTTTGAAAACCACTACCTTGTACAACAGATTGTACCCATATTCAGAAAGCAGTACACGATATGTTTCCATTATGTGGCTGTACATATTTATAGGAAGGGAAAGTTGCTATTCATGCGGAATGATAGGAGAGGCACAAGATGGTCTCTCTACCTCTGTTTTTTCTCTCTCACCCACCTACCATAGTACAAATGAATATATGTACATAGAATATGAAAGATGTACAAAATAGGTCTAGAAATTATCTTGTCAAAACTTGTCCCATAACAATGAATTCCTAACAGAATACCTGACAAAGCAAATTAACTGTTTTAGAGCAGAGACTGGAATAGAGAAGTCAGTGTAGTTGAGTAAACCAATTTTCCTAAGAGAAAGATAATAAGTTATTTTAAAATTATTATTATTATTTCGTTTCTCTTTCCTTCATTCCTCTTGTTCTCGACTTTCCACTTAGCTCTTTAGAAACACAATTATAATCTTTACCTTCCCTTTACCAGACACTCCCTATACAGCAAGCTTATCTACATGCTTATTTAGAAGCTCCAGAGCCAGAACTCTCTCCCAGCAGATTTCCTTGAGACAACAGTCAATTTACCACCTAAATTATGCTCACAATGGAACTCTCTCTCACCTGGAAAGCATCTTGCGACATCAGCCACTTTACAACCTCACTCTGCCCATAATAGCACCAGCTCAACCACCTGGTAGATAACTCAAAGTCATGTAACTCCCACACCTGCTCACTCTCTTCTCTGCATGCCTTTTAGTGAAAGCTGCCCTTTAAAACTCCTGCTTTCTGCCCCTAAAGTAAAGCAATTCCCTTAAAGGCAGGAGCCTGTACCTCTTCCCCTTTGCTAAGCTTTGAAACAGTCACTTCCTTTATACCAGACCTTGCTCTTGTTAATTGAACTCTGCAAGTGGTGAGTGACTGAACTTGCATTTCAGTTACAGCAGTAATGACTGTAATGTTTTATAAATACATACCAATAGTGGACCAAGTTGCCAGAGACAATTGGAGCTAAGGCAGAATAAGTTGGTTGTGGCAGATAGAGGCCAAACATTCAAAGAAAAAAAAAAAAAAAAAAAAAACAACTAAAGCAGTAACTGCAGTAACTCATGCTGAAACACAGAGGAGCAATTAGAAAGGCCACAGCTGACAACCAGGCAAACAAATTAGTGGTTAGCAGGTAGTCAGGAAGCTGAGATTCATTACAATAAAGACTAAAAGATCAGATAACAGTTTTACTAGAGAGGTGAGTGCTTCTGAAAATCATGCTGGCTATTACCCTACTGTTAAAGAATGTAACTAATGTAACTGACCTCCTTTTATAACCTTCTTAGTGGTGGTTCTCATTTTTTAAGAAGTCTGTGTTTTCCCTATGGTCTTGAATATGCTTGCTGTCTTAACAGTCATTCAACTTTTTCCTGAGCATTTACAGTAAATGGAAAAGGAAATGAAGAAGATTGAGCACCTGTTACTTGCCTGAAAGTGTAGCAGAAGAGAGCTAACCAGATAGCTAAATAAACACTCTCATGGAATATTAATCAACAATTTGATACATAAATAAGTACCATTACTAATAAGATTTTACAAGTAGGAAGCTCAAAAAAGTGAGGTAAAGAATCCAAGTTTACATAGCTAGTTTTAAGTGGTGAAATGTATCAACTCAAGACTTTTATTATCCCCTATGCCCTCTTTTATGTATTTTATGGACTACTAAGACTCCTCTTAGTATGTGAGGCTGAAAACTAATCTCTGATTAGTCCAGATTTTGACAAAAATATTGCCAGTACTCTAGAACTAAGTTATTATTTTCAGAGGATCTCTTTTAGAATGTATGATTCCTGGGAGGATATTAATTAAACCGTACAACACACTGCAATACAATTTTTTTTAATCAGATAAGTCATGGGAGGCCAAGACTCCAGGGAATCAGAGCAAAGGGTAGGATCATAATGGGGGCAATGGGGGTTATAGTGAGAAGTATTGGAAGGCATGGGGGTAAAGAAGTAAAAACATTAATAGAGGCCAATTTTTAGAGAAAACAGGATAAATCGACTTTTTAATAGGCAATCTTTATTATACTGTTTGATTTTTTTTAACAGCCAGGAGAAAGTTCCAGCTAAAATATTTCACCTGTGGCCATATTGATTATTTTACAATAGGCTATCATTTCTTACCATATTTTTAAAAGCTATGCTTTGTGGTTATTAAGAGGTGATTCTACAATACTTTTCTGAATGATAGCTTTCATCTGACAATGCATCATATTTAATGAGTAGTAAAACTGTAATTCAGTCTTTGATCACTGTCAACAAACAACTTGGGCTGGCAAGGAGCTATAAGTGTATGCTGCATTGACAATTTATTTTCTTTTAGGCTATTTTATAGTAAAAAAAAAATCACCTGGTATAAAATGTTGTGTTAATTGTTTATAACTAACTAGTAGAATTTGACCGCAGAGTTAATCTTAGGCAATAATTTCTTCAACTACCAGTGGAATTTTGCACTCAAAGTTGTTAAAGACTTCTTTCATTCAAATCCCTGAAGTGTGGTGCAGTTCTAGTCATTGTAAAGATTTTTCAGGAGATGGGAGAAAGATCTAATAAGGTCATTTTTCACAGTGTTATACTGAGAGTTGTCTTGGATGGAATGGTTCTGCAGTTCATCAGTTTTGATATTTATATTCAGTACCTCTGAGTAGTTAAAGATCAATGACACCATAAAATGCATTTATCTCATACATACTTTAAAACATCTCACAACAAAGCATTTAGAGAACTGTGTCAAAAACATGACTAGATCTTGTAACTTACAAAAAGGGACACATTTTGCCTTTTTATATTTTCCATTTTTAAAATTTTTTTAAAGAGTGTGTTTATTATAAAGATATTTTAGGAGCAAAGATAAAAAAAATGTATTCCAAAAATGAGCCTGTACATTCTAGGGCTTCTGATATTGTGACTAAAGTGAGATATATTCTATTAACCTTTTCCAAATAGGATTGTACTTGTTTATAAATGATGTCCAGCATTTGGTCCCAAACGCAAATTTTAACTTCATAATCATATAAAAAACTTGAACTGATATATCAAACCCACATACTATCTAACTTTTAAATGTATATCTATTTTTATTTCATAATCACAATAACAGTAAAATGCAATATTTCTCTGACTTCTTATAATAATTTCCCCCTATCCTTCTACAAGAATTCAGGGAGTTTCCAGACCCTTTCTCTTGTGGGCTTATGCGTGGGAGATTCTTATGTTATCTTCTCTCAGTGTCAGCATCAGTATGTCACATGCTCCTTAAATCTGGGTTTCTGTAGTGACATGTTCTGCTACTTCACTGTGCCTGAGAAATGATGTGCTATGATCCAATGATAATTATATTGCATCGGCTCAGTTGTCCTGCACACTTTATGATAAGCTTGTGAAACAGAGCTGTCTTCTGTTTTTTGTTTCTTATGCATATTTCCATGATGATGATCTATGTTAGTTACTCACTTCTAAATGAGTAAAAATAAAAGGGAGTACAACACAGTGGTTAACAAAATGGACTCTGATACTTCAGTACTTGGGTTTGATTGTCAACTCTACTACTACTAGCTATGTAGCATTCAAAAAACTACTTGATTCCCCTTTGCCACCATAGCCCATTTACTAAATGTGGGTAATGACAATCAGATCTGCCTCATAGGATGGTTTATGAAAATTAAAAGATTTAATGTGCATAAACTACTTAATTCATGACACATAATAAGCATTATATCAATGTATTATTATTATTATTATTACTGCTGATTCCTCTCTTCAAGGTACCATTATGAGTACAGGGTGACTAAGCCCTATGTGACACCTAAAACTTAAGAGTTTGGTTGATACAATTAAGCAAAAACTATTAGGCAGAAAGTCTCAGCAACAAGGACTATCCAATCTGTTGTATAGAATTCCGAATTCCAACATCCATTTTTGTTTTAAAGATATGTGTCATTATTATTTGACATGGAGATAAAATAGACTTCTACTCAAGATGATGAATTATGAAGAATATGTCAAATCAATAAAAATGCAGAATAAATAATTGTTAGATATAGTTATGACAACTGTCACTATGAAGGATTAAAAAAGGAGCACATCAGGAATTAGGATGTTAAATAACATTAATGATGTAGCTTAAATAGAAAATCCTGTTTTTAAGACATTACTCTGTAAGAAGCACCAATATGGCTGAGTAGAAGCAGCTGGTGTGTGCTGTTCTCATGGGGAAAAGAAAGAGTGGTGAGGAAACACTACCTCTTCAAGTGATAATCCAGGAAGCCTCATTGGGATTCATAAAAAAAGCAATGGTGCCACATGAACACCAGTAAAAACTGAGGCAGGACAGCTGCCTACCTGGGATTGGTGCAGAGCCAGGGGAGGCTCCCTACCATGAGAAAAGGGTGAGTGAGGGAGAACCCTTGGGGACTCAAATTTATGCCACAAACCTTTGAGGTTATGGGCACTAAAGATCCCCATTGGCACCCCCAGGCTTATAGTCCAACACAGAGAGCTTCCTGGTGTCTCAGCAGAGCCACAGCTCAAGCTCATGTTCGGCCCCATTGGTCTTGTTTCCTTGTGCCAGCTTTCATAGCCCTGCCAACAAGGGAGGCCAGGCTCTCTCACACATCCCTAAGATAGGGGCCATATTCATGATAGTGAGGAGCAGAGAGACCACAAGTCCCACCTCTGCTGTATCTCATCAGGCAAGGTCCATTGGCTGGGGTCCCCAGAACAACCACCCGACCCCTGTCTGAGCACTCCAGCTGGTTGTGGCCCTGCATTTCTCTGAAATACAGCTACCGGAAGTAACTTACAGGTCTGCTGCAATTGCTATGGTTGTGGACCCCACACCTGCTGCTCTCAGGCTGGGGAGGCAGCAAAGAATCCAAGAAATATAGTGGGCCTCCAGCAAGCCACAGCTGCCCTATGAAAAGGTATCCAGATTGTTTTCCACATCTGACCCTGCTTCTGCTGCTCCTCACTGGGCAGAGCCTCCTGGCTTTGGCCCACAGTGCAGCCACCTCACACCTGCTTAATCACATCGGTCCATGGCAGCTCTGTATTTCTCCAGGATGGAGCTCCCAGAGACAACTGACAGACCCTCTGCCATTGCTGCCACCATTGCTCCCCCCAGGTTAGGAGGAAACAAAGAGCCTGATTGTTTTCACATGCCTACAGTATGCCACAGCCATTTTATGTAGAAGAGTTTAGACTGCCTTTAATGTGAACTGAGCACCCTGTTCTTTGTCAGGCAGTCCTCCACTCCCCACCCTCAGCTTGGGTCTGCAGTACAGCAGCCCCACTCCTGGCTGATCATCACAATCAGCAATGGCTCTGCATTTCTCTGGGGTGGAGTTCCCAGAGGCAACTAACAGCCCCTCTTCCACTGCTGCCACTGTAGTACCCTGCCTTGCTGCCCTAGTGATGGAAAGGGAACAATTCACCTGATTGCTGTGTTTATATCTCCAGCATGCCATAGCCGCCCTACAGAGGGAAGGCCAGACTGTCTTCCCTGTTAGTCCCTGCCCCCACTACTCTTTACAAGGCAGGGCTCCCTAGCATGGGTCATAGCACACCTGCCACATCCCCAGCTGTTTACTAATCAGCTATGGTTTTTCATTTAGCTGAGGTGGAACGCCCAGAGTCATCTGACAGGCCCTCTGCCATTGCTGCTGCCATGGTCCCCACCCCTGCTGCCTCCAAGCTGAGGAGGGAAGAAAAAACTTCACCACACTCCAGGGTGGCAGTGCACAGCTTGGGAGTGGTGAACGGAGATCTGTGACCAGCACTCTGAAAGGAGAGGAGTTTACACTCCCAGAGCACTGAGAGGGGTAAGTTGCATGGGCTCATGGGCTGTCACAGGAGGGGAGCATGCCTGCCTCCACAAAGCCAGCCCAGAAAATGTGAGGCCTATTTCCCTCCTGCCTGCTGTCTCTGCCTGAGGAAGCCCCATGAACCAAAAGAGCTAAGAAAAGAGAAACTGACACAGTGCCAGTGATGTGAGGAAGCTCCCCTAAGGTCCAGATGTATAGCTAATGAGGTCATCTCTCTCTCTGTTGCAACACAGAGCACAGCTACAAACGCCAGGAAATAAAAAGAAGCCAGTGGCTTAGTAAGAGCCTACCTACTGCCAGTACTCTTAAGAACTATCTACTGCATCTCGGCCCAATGTAAAACACCAAAACTACTTAGCTAATATACCCCCCTATGGAACCAAGGGCAGTAATTCAGTCGCAAAAAAAGAAAGACTCTACACAGAGCATTGGCTTTCTGGAACCATCTACAAACAAAGCTAACTGACTATATTCAACTTATAACCACAATTAAAAGAACATCAACCCTTCCAGATGAGAAATAATTAGCACAAGAACCCTGGCAATTCAAAAACCAAAGTGTCTATGTACCTCCAAGGGAGTCCACTAGTCTCCAACAATGAATCTTAAGTTGAAAATAATAGATATAGAATTCAGAATCTTTATGGCAAGGAAGTGCATTGAGTTGCAAGAGAAAGTTGAAACTCAATCCAAGGAATCCAGTAAGATGATCCAAGAGCTGAAATACAATATAGCTATTTTAAGAAATAACCAAACTAAACTTTTAGAGCTGAAAAACTCCCTACAAGAATTTCATACTTCGATGTAAAGTATTAACAGCAGAATAGACCATGCTGAGCATAGAATTTCAGAGCATGAAAAATGGTTCTGTAAATCAACTCAGTTAGACAAAAATGAAGAAAAAAAATTGTTAAAAAATGAACAAAACGTCCAATAAATAATGGGGTTATGTAAAGAGACCAAGTGTTTGACTTATTGGCATTCCTAGGAGAGAGAAGAAGGGGGAAAAATAACTTGGAAAATATATTTGAGGATATAGTCCATGAACATTTCTCTACTCTCACTAGAGAGATGGACATTCAAATCCAAGAAATAGAAAGAATTTCAGCTAGATATTTTACAAGATGACCAACCACTAAGGCACATAGTCATCAGATTCAGCAAGCTCAATGCAAAATAAAAAAGCCTTAAAGGAAGCTAGAGAGAAGGATAAAGTCATATACAAAGCAAACTCCATCAGCTAGCAGCAGACATCTCAGCAGAAACATTATAAACATAAGTGATTGCAGACCTATTTTCAGGATCCTTAAAGAAAAGAAATTCCAAGCAAGAATTCATATTCTTCAAAACTAAGATTCATAAGTAAAGGAGGAATAAATTCTTCTCAGACAGGCAAATACTAAGGGAATTTATTCCAACCAGACCAGCCTTAAAAGAGGTTCTTGAGAGAGTGCTACACATGGAACCAAAGGGGGAAAAAAAGGCTAGCACAAAAACATACCTAAGTACAAAGATCACAGACACTATAAAACAATCACACAAACAAGTCTACAGAATAACCAGCTTACAACATGATGACAGAATCAAAATCTTACATATCAATACTAACCCTGAATGTAAATGGGCTAAATGCCCCCACATAAAAGACATGGAGTAGCAAACTGGAAAAAAAGATAAGACCTAACTATCTACAGTCTACAAGAGACCCAGCTCACATGCAGTGAAACACACAAGCTCAAAGTAAAGAGATGAAGAAAGATCTGTCATGCAAGTGGAAAACAACAACAAAAAGTAGGAGTTGATATTCTTGAAGAAGGGCATACATAATAATACAGAGTACCAACAAGAAAACTTAACTATTCTAAATATGTAGGCACCTAAATAAATATGCACTCACATTTATAAAACAAGTTCTTCTTGGCCTATGAGAAGACTTAGAAAACCACACAATAATAGTGGGAGATTTCAACACCCCAAAGAGCATTGAGGGAGAAAACTGTCAAAGAAACATTAGAGTTAAACAGTACACTTGACCAAATGGACATGATACACGTCTACAGAACACTCCATCAAACAACCACAGAGTATATATTATTTTCACCTGCACACGGAACAAATTCTAAGACAACCACATGCTTGATCATAAAGCATGTCTCAACAAATTCGAAACAGTTGAAATCATACCAGTTAACAACCTCAGGCAACAGTGCAATAAAAATACAAATGAATATCAAGAAAATCTCTCAAAACCACACAAATAATTTGGAAATTGAACAACTTGCTCCTAAATTACTCCTGGGTGGACATCAAATTTTCGTCAGAAATAAAAATAATTGAAATTAATGAAAATAGGGACACAACTTACCAAAAATGGAAACATTTTTCTTGAAAAGTTGAACAAGGCAAGGATGTCCACTCTCACTCCTCCTATTTAACATAGTACTGAAAGCCCCAGCCAGAACAATTAGGCAAGAGAAAGAAATAAAAAAAACATCTAAATAGGAAAAGAATAAGTCAAGCTATTTTTCCTGACATTATGATTCTATACCTAGAAAATACTAAAGACTCCACAGAAAGGCAACCAAATCTGGAAAATAATTTTGACAATGTTTCAGAGTAAAAAAAAAGTCACTGTACAAAAATCAGTGGCATTTTTATAGACCAAAATGTCTAGGTTGTGACTCAAATCAAGAACACAATCCCACTTACAATAGCTACAAAGAAAATGAAATATCTAGGTATACAACTAACCAAGGAAGTGAAAGATCTCTCCCAGGAGAACTACAAAACATTGCTGAAAGAAATCAGAGACATCACAAATAAATTAAAAAAAAATTTTGTGCTCATGGATTGGAAGAATCAATATAATAAAAATGGCCATACTGCCCAAAGCAATTTACAAATTCACTGCTAGTCCTATCAAACTACCAATGTCATTCTTCACAGAATTAGAAAAAAACTATTCTAAACATTATATGGAACTTAAAAAAGAACCCAAGTAGCCTAAGCAAAAAGAACACAGCCAGACACATCATACAAACTGAGTTCAAACTATATTATAAGGCTACAGTAAAACAAAACACCATGATATTTGTCAGGCCTCTGAGCCTAAGCTAAGCCATCATATTTCCTGTGACCTGCGCTTACACATCCAGATGGCCGGTTCCTGCCTTAACTGATGACATTCCACCACAAAAGAAGTGAAAATGTCCTGTTCCTGCCTTAACTGATGACATTGTCTTGTGAAATTCCTTCTCCTGGCTCATCCTGGCTCAAAAGCTCCACTACTGAGCACCTTGTGACCCCCACTCTGCCTGCCAGAGAACAACCCCCTTTGACTGTAATTTTCCTTTACCTACCCAAATCCTATAAAACGACCCCACCCCTATCTCCCTTCGCTGACTCTCTTTTCAGACTCAGCCCACCTGCACCCAGGTGAAATAGACAGCTTTATTGGTCACACAAAGCCTGTTTGGTGGTCTCTTCATATGGACGTGCATGAAATTTGGTGCTATGACTCAGATCAGAGGACCTCCCTTGGGAGATCAATCCCCTGTCCTCCTGTTCTTTGCTCCATGAAAAAGATCCACCTACGACCTCAGGTCCTCAGACCCACCAGCCCAAGGAACATCTCACCAATTTTAAATCGGGTAAGCGGCCTCTTTTTACTCTCTTCTCCAGCCTCCTTCACTATCCCTCAACCTCTTTCTCCTTTCAATCTTGGTGCCACACTTCAATCTCTACGTTCTCTTAATTTCAATTCCTTTCATTTTCTGGTAGAGACAAAGGAGACATGTTTTATCCGTGGACCCAAAACTCCAGTGCCGGTCACAGACTAGGGAAGGCAGCCTTCCCTTGGTGTTTACTTATTGCAGGGATGCCTCTCTGATTATTCACCCAGGTTTCAGAGGTGTCAGACCATGCAGGGACGCCTGCCTTGATCCTTCACCCTTAGCGACAAGTCCCACTTTTCTGGGGAAGGGGCAAGTACCCCAACCCCTTCTCTCTGTGTCTCTACCCCTTCTCCACCTTTCTGGGGGGCAAGAGACCCCCAACCCCTTCTCCTTCACCCTTAGTGGCAAGTCCCACTTTTCTAGGGGAGGGGCAAGTACCCCAACCCCTTATATCTCTGCACCCCGATCCCTTATTTCCACACCCCAACCTCTTATATCTCTGTGCCCCAATCCCTTATTTCCATGCCCTGACATCATATCTCTGTGTCCCAACCCCTTTCCCACTTTTCTGGAGGGTAAGAACTCCCAAACCCCTTCCCTCTGTGTCTCTACTCTCTCTTTTCTCTGGGCTTGCCTCCTTCACTATGGGCAACCTTCCACCCTCCATTCCTCCTTCTTCTCCCTTAGCCTGTGTTCTTAAGAACTTAAAACCTCTTCAACTCTCACCTGATCTAAAATCTAAGCATGTTATTTTCTTCTGCAATGCCACCTGACCCCAATACAAACTTGACAGTAGTTCCAAATAGCCAGAAAACAGCACTTTCAATTTTTCCATCCTGCAAGTTCTAAATAATTATTGTCATAAAATAGGCAAACGGTCTGAGGTGCCTGATGTCCAGGAATTATTTTACACATTGGTCCCTTCCTAGTCTCTGTGCCCAGTGCAACTCATCCCAAATCTTCCTTCTTTCCCTCCCACCTGTCCCCTCCATCCCAACCCCCAGCATCGCTGAGTCTTTCTAATCTTCCTTTTCTACAGACCCATCTGACCTCTCCCCTCCTCCCCAGACTGCTCCTCACCAGGCCGAGCTAGGTCCCAATTCTTCCTCAGCCTCCGCTCCTCCACCCAATAATCCTTTTATCACCTCCCCTCCTCACACCTGGTCCAGCTTACAGTTTCATTCCGTGACTAGCCCTCCCCCACCTGCCCAGCAATTTACTCTTAAAAAGGTGGCTGGAGCTAAAGCCATAGTCAAGGTTAATGCTCCCTTTTCTTTATTCCAAATCAGATAGCGTTTAGGCTCTTTTTCATCAAATATAAAAATCCTGCCCAGTTCATGACTCATTTGGCAGCAACCCTGAGACACTTTATAGCCCTAGACCCTAAAAGGTCAAAAGGCCATCTTATTCTCAAAATACATTTTATTACCCAATCTGCTCCCGACATTAAATAAAACTCCAAAAATTAAATTCTGGCCCTCAAACCCCACAACAGGATTTAATTAACCTCGCCTTCAAGGTGTACAATAATAGAAAAAAGTTGCAATTCCTTGCCTCCACTGTGAGACAAACCCCAGCCACATCTCCAGCACACAAGAACTTCCAAACGCCTGAACCGCAGCAGCCAGGCATTCCTCCAGAACCTCCTCCCCGAGGAGCTTGCTACAAGTGCCAGAAATCTGGCCACCAGGCCAAGGAATGCCTGCAGCCCAGGATTCCTCCTAAGCCACGTCCCATCTGTGCAGGACCCCACTGGAAATCAGACTGTCCAACTCACCTGGCAGCCACTCCCAGAGCCCCTGGAACTCTGGCCCAAGGCTCTCTGACTCCTTCCCAGATCTTCTTGGCTTAGCGGCTGAAGACTGACACTTCCCGATCACCTCGGAAGCCCCCTAGACCGTCACAGACGCCGAGCTTCGGATAACTCTCACAGTGGAAGGTAAGTCTGTCCCCTTCTTAATCAATACGGAGGCTACCCACTCCACATTACCTTCTTTTCAAGGGCCTGTTTCCCTTGCCTCCATAACTGTTGTGGGTATTGACAGCCAGGCTTCTAAACCTCTTAAAACTCCCCAATTCTGGTGCCAACTTAGACAACACTCATTTAAGCACTCCTTTTAGTTATCCCCACCTGCCCAGTTCCCTTATTAGGCTGAGACACTTTAACTAAATTATCTGCTTCCTTGACTATTCCTGGATTACAGCTACATCTCATTGCTGCCCTTCTTCCCAATCCAAAGCCTCCTTTGCGTCCTCCTCTTGTATTCCCCCACCTTAACCCACAAGTATAAGATACCTCTACTCCCTCCTTGGTGACTGATCATGCACCCCTTACCATCTCATTAAAATCTAATCACCCTTACCCCACTGCACACCAATATCCCATCCCACAGCACGCTTTAAAAGGATTAAAACCTGTTATCACTCGCCTGCTACAGCATGGGCTTCTAAAACCTATAAGCTCTCCTTACAATTCCCCCATTTTACCTGTCCAAAAACTGGACAAGTCTTACAGATTAGTTCAGGATCTGCGCCTTATCAACCAAATTGTTTTGCCTATCCACCCTGTGGTGCCCAACCCATACACTCTTGTCCTCATTACCTTCCTCCACAACTCACTATTCTGTTCTTGATCTTAAAGATGGTTTTTTCACTATTCCCCTGCACCCCTTGTCCCAGCCTCTCTTTGCTTTCACTTAGACTAACCCTGACACCCATTAGGCTCAGCAAATTACCTGGGCTGTACTGCCGCAAGGCTTCACAGACAGCCCCCATTACTTCAGTCAAGCCCAAATTTCATCCTCATCTGTTACCTATCTTGGAATAATTCTCATAAAAACACACGTGCTTTCCCTGCTGATCATGTCCGATTAATCTCCCAAACCTCAATCCCTTACAAAACAACATTCCTTTCCTTCCTAGCCATGGTTAGTGTGGTCAGAATTCTTACACAAGAGCCAGGACTGCACCCTGTAGCCTTTCTGTCCAAACAATTTGACCTTACTGTTTTAGCCTAGCCATCATGTCTCCATGCAGTGGCTGCTGCCACCCTAATACTTTTAGAGGCCCTCAAAATCACAAACTATGCTCAAATTACTCTCTACATTTCTCATAACTTCCAAAATCGATTTTCTTCCTCATACCTGATGCATATACTTTCTGCTCCCTGGCTCCTTCAGCTGTACTCACTCTTTGTTAAGTCCCACAATTACCATTGTTCCTGGCCCAGACTTCAATCTGGCTTCCCACATTATTCCTGATACCACACCTGACCCACATGACTGTATCTCTCTGATCCACCTGACATTCACCCCATTTCCCCATATTTCCTTCTTTCCTGTTCCTCACCCTGATCACGCTTGATTTATTGATGGCAGTTCCACCAGGCCTAATCACCACACACCAGCAAAGGCAGGCTATGCTATAGTACAAGCAACTAGCCCGCCTCTTAGAACCTCTCATTTTCTTTCCATCGTGGAAATCTATCCTCATGGAAATAACTTCTCAGTGTTCCATCTGTTACTCTACTACTCCTCAGGGATTATTCAGGCCCCCTCCCTTCCCTACACATCAAGCTCAAGGATTTGCCCCCACCCAGGACTGGCAAATTAGCTTTACTCAACATGCCCCGAGTCACAAAAACTAAAATACCTCTTAGTCTAAGTAGACACTTTCACTAGATAGGTAGAGGCCTTTCCTACAGGGCCTCAGAAGGCCACCGCAGTCATATCTTCCCTCCTGTCAGACATAATTCCTCAGTTTAGCCTTCCCACATCTATATAGTCTGATAACAGACCAGCCTTTATTAGTCAAATCAGCCAAGCATTTTTTCAGGCTCTTAGTATTCAGTGAAACCTTTATATCCCTTACAGTCCTCAGTCTTCAGGAAAAGTAGAACAGACTAATGGTCTTTTAAAAACACACCTCACCAAGCTCAGCCACCAACTTAAAAAGGACTGGACAATACTTTTACCACTTTCCCTTCTCAGAATTCAGGCCTGTCCTCGGAATGCTACAGGGTATAGCCCATTTAAGCTCCTGTATGGACACTCCTTTTTATTAGGCCCCAGTCTCATTCCAGACACCAGACCAACCTGGACCGTGCCCCCAAAAAACTTGTCATCCCTACTATCTTCTGTCTAGTCATACTCCTATTCACCATTCTCAGCTACTCATACATGCCCTACTCTTGTTTACACTGCGGGTTTACACTGTTTCTCCAAGCCATCACAGCTGATATCTCCTGGTGCTATCCCCCAAACTGCCACTCTTAACTCTTGAAGTAAATAAATAATCTTTGCTGACAGGACTATGGTGAATTTCCTCAGGCACTCTAATTAGATGTCCTAGGTCCTCCCAATTCTTAGACCTTTAATACCTGTTTTTCTCCTTCTCTTATTCCGTTTAGTTTTTCAATTCATACAAAACCATATCCAGGCCATCACCAATAATTCTAAATGACAAATGTTTCTTCTAACAGTCCCACAATATCACCCCTTACCACAAAATCTTCCTTCAGCTTAATCTCTCCCACTCTAGGTTCCCACGCCACCCCTAATCCTGCTCGAAGCAGCCCTGAGAAACATTGCCCATTATCTCTCCATACCACCCCCAAAAATTTTCACCGTCCCAACACTTTACCACTATTTCATTTTATTTTTCTTATTAATATAAGAAGACAGGAATGTCAGGCCTCTGAGCCCAAGCTAAGCCATTATATCCCTTGTGACCTACACGTACACATCCAGATGGCCGGTTCCTGCCTTAACTGACGACATTCCACCACAAAAGAAGTGAAAATGGCGTGTCCCTGCCTTAACTGATGACACTGTCTTGTGAAATTCCTTCTCCTGGCTCATCCTGGCTCAAAAGCTCCCCTACTGAGCACCTTGTGACCCCCACTCTGCCTGCCAGAGAACAACCCCCCTTTGACTGTAATTTTCCTTTACCTACCCAAATCCTATAAAACCGCCCCACTCCCATCTCCCTTCACTGACTCTTTTCGGACTCAGCCCACCTGCATCCAGGTGAAATAAACAGCTTTATTGCTCACACAAAGCCTATTTGGTGGTCTCTTCACACGGACTCACATGAAAATATTAATATAAAAACAGACACATAGATTAATGGAAAAGAGTAGTAAACTCAGAAGTAAAACCACACACTTACAATTATCTGATCATCAACAAGGCTGACAAAACCAAGCAATGGGAAAAGCACTACCTATTCAATATATAGTGCTGGGATAACTGGCTAGTTATAAATGCAGAAGAATGAAACTGTACTCTTGCCTTTCATCATATACAAAAATTACTCCAAGATGAATTAATTAAATTTAAGATATCAGTCTATAAAAAACTTAGAAGAAAACCTAGGAAATATCCTTCTCAACACGGGCCTTGGCAAATAATTTTTGGCTGAGTTCTCAAAAGCAATTGCAAATATATGCCAAAAGTTGGCAACTGGTACATAATTAAAATCTTCCGCACAGCAAAAGAAACTATTAATAGAGTAAACAGACTACCTACACAATGGGAGAAAATATTTGCAAACTACACATCTGAAAAGGTTTAATATCCAGAAACTACAAGGAAATTAAGCAATTCAATAGTTTAAAAAACAAATAAAAACATTAAGAAATGGGCAAAATATAATCATAGACAAAAGACATACATGCAGTCAAAAATTACATATAAAAATACTAATCATTAGAGAAATGTAAATCAAAACCACAATGAGATACCATCTTACACTGGTCAGAATGCCTGTTCTTTTTTTTTTTTCCATGTTTCTTTCATTTTTTTTTTTTATTATTATACTTTAAGTTTTAGGGTACATGTGCACAATGTGCAGGTTAGTAACATATGTATACATGTGCCATGCTGGTGTGCTGCACCCATTAACTCGTCATTTAGCATTAGGTATATCTCCTAATGCTATCCCTTGCCCCTCCCCCAACCCACAACAGTCCCCAGAGTGATGTTCCCCTTCCTGTGTCCATGTGTTCTCATTGTTCAATTCCCATCTATGAGTGAGAACATGTGGTGTTTGGTTTTTTGTCCTTGCGATAGTTTACTGAGAATGATGATTTCCAATTTCATCCATGTCCCTACAAAGGACATGAACTCATCATTTTTTATGGCTGCATAGTATTCCATGGTGTATATGTGCCACATTTTCTTAATCCAGTCTATCATTGCTGGACATATGGGTTGGTTCCAAGTCTTTGCTATTGTGAATAGTGCTGCAATAAACATACCTGTGCATGTGTCTTTATAGCAGCATGATTTATAATCCTTTGGGTATATACCCAGTAATGGGATGGCTGGGTCAAATGGTATTTCTAGTTCTAGATCCCTGAGGAATCTAGGGATTTCTAACATAACACACTGACTTCCACAATGGTTGAACTAGTTTACAGTCCCACCAACAGTGTAAAAGTGTTCCTATTTCTCCACATCCTCTCCAGCACCTGTTGTTTCCTGACTTTTTAATGATTGCCATTCTAACTGGTGTGAGATGGTGTCTCATTGTGGTTTTGATTTGCAATTCTCTGATGGCCAGTGATGATGAGCATTTTTTTCATGTGTCTTTTGGCTGCACAAATGTCTTCTTTTGAGAAATGTCTGTTCATATCCTTTGCCCACTTTTTGATGGGGTTGGTTGTTTTTTTCTTGTAAATTTGTTTGAGTTCATTGTAGATTCTGGATATTAGCCCTTTGTCAGATGAGTAGGTTGTGAAAATTTTCTCCCATTTTGTAGGTTGCCTGTTCACTCTGATGGTAGTTCCTTTTGCTGTGCAGAAGCTCTTTAGTTTAATCAGATCCCATTTGTCAATTTTGGCTTTTGTTGCCATTGCTTTTGGTGTTTTAGACATGAAGTTCTTGCCCATGTCTATGTCCTGAATGGTAATGCCTAGGTTTTCTTCTAGGGTTTTTATGGTTTTAGGTCTAACATTTAAGTCTTTGATCCATCTTGAATTAATTTTTGTATAAGGTGTAAGGAAGGGATCCAGTTTCAGCTTTCTACATATGGCTAGCCAGTTTTCCCAGCACCATTTATTAAATAGGGTATCCTTTCCCCATTGCTTGTTTTTCTCAGGTTTGTCAAAGATCAGATAGTTGTAGATATGAGGCGTTATTTCTGAGGGCTCTGTTCTGTTCCATTGATCTATATCTCTGTTTTGGTACCAGTACCATGCTGTTTTGGTTACTGTAGCCTTGTAGTATAGTTTGAAGTCAGGTAGCGTGATGCCTCCGGATTTGTTCTTTTGGCTTAGGATTGACTTGGTGATGCAGGCTCTTTTTTGGTTCCATATGAACTTTAAAGTAGTTTTTTCCAATTCTGTAAAGAAAGTCATTGGTAGCTTGATGGGGATGGCATTGAATCTATAAATTACCTTGGGCAGTATGGCCATTTTCACGATATTGATTCTTCCTACCCATGAGCATGGAATGTTCTTCCATTTGTTTGTATCCTCTTTTATTTCATTGAGCAGTGGTTTGTAGTTCTCCTTGAAGAGGTCCTTCACGTCCCTTGTAAGTTGGATTCCTAAGTATTTTTTTCTCTTTGAAGCAATTGTGAATGGGAGTTCACTCATAATTTGGCTCTCTGTTTGTCTGTTATTGGTTTATAAGAATGCTTGTGATTTTTGTACATTGATTTTGTATCCTGAGACTTTGCTGAAGTTGCTTATCAGCTTAAGGAGATTTTGGGCTGAGACAATGGGCTTTTCTAGATATACAATCATGTCATCTGCAAACAGGGACAATTTGACTTCCTCTTTTCCTAATTGAATGCCCTTTATTTCCTTCTCCTGCCTGATTGCCCTGGCCAGAACTTCCAACACTATGTTGAATAGGAGTGGTGAGAGAGGGCATCCCTGTCTTGTGCCAGTTTTCAAAGGGAATGCTTCCAGTTTTTGCCCATTCAGTATGATATTGGCTGTGGGTTTGTCATAGATAGCTCTTATTATTTTGAAATACATCCCATCAATACCTAATTTATTGAGAGTTTTTAGCATGAAGTGTTGTTGAACTTTGTCAAAGGCCTTTTCTGCATCTATTGAGATGATCATGTGGTTGCTGTCTTTGGTTCTGTTTATATGCTGGATTACATTTATTGATTTGTGTATATTGAACCAGGGTTGCATCTCAGGGATGAAGCCCACTTGATCATGGTGGATAAGCTTTTTGATGTGCTGCTGGATTCAGTTTGCCAGTATTTTATTGAGGATTTTTGCATCAATATTCATCAAGGATATTGGTCTAAAATTCTGTTTTTGGTTGTGTCTCTGCCTGGCTTTGGTATCAGGATGATGCTGGCCTCATAAAATGAGTTAGGGAGGATTCCCTCTTTTTCTATTGATTGGAATAGTTTCAGAAGGAATGGTACCAGTTCCTCCTTGTACCTCTGGTAGAATTCAGCTGTGAATCCATCTGGTCCTGGACTCTTTTTGGTTGGTAAGCTATTGATTCTTGCCACAATTTCAGATCCTGTTATTGGTCTATTCAGAGATTCAACTTCTTCCTGGATTAGTCTTGGGAGAGTCTATGTGTCGAGGAATTTATCCATTTCTTCTAGATTTTCTAGTTTATTTGCGTAGAGGTGTTTGTAGTATTCTCTGATGGTAGTTTGTATTTCTCTGGGATCAGTGGTGATATCCCCTTGATCATTTTTTATTGCGTCTATTTGATTCTTCTCTCTTTTTTTCTTTATTAGTCTTGCTAGCTGTCTATCAATTTTGTTGATCCTTTCAAAAAACCAGCTCCTGGATTCATTAATTTTTTGAAGGGTTTTTTGTGTCTCTATTTCCTTCAGTTCTGCTCTGATATTAGTTATTTCTTGCCTTCTGCTAGCTTTTGAATGTGTTTGCTCTTGCTTCTCTAGTTCTTTTAATTGTGATGTTAGGGTGTCAATTATGGATCTTTCCTGCTTTCTCTTGTGGGCATTTAGTGCTATAAATTTCCCTCTACACACTGCTTTGAATGTGTCCCAGGGATTCTGGTATGTTGGTTCTTTGTTCTCGTTGGTTTCAAAGAACATCTTTATTTCTGCCTTCATTTCGTTATGTACCCAGTAGTCATTCAGGATCAGGTTGTTCAGTTTCCATGTAGTTGAGCGGTTTTGAGTGAGTTTCTTAATCCTGAGTTCTAGTTTGATTGCACTGTGGTCTGAGAGACAGTTTGTTATAATTTCTGTTCTTTTACATTTGCTGAGGAGAGCTTTACTTCCAACTATGTGGTCAATTTTGGAATAGGTGTGGTACGGTGCTGAAAAAAATGTATATTCTGTTCATCTGGGGTGGAGAGTTCTGTAGATGTCTATTAGGTCCACTTGGTGCAGCGTTGAGTTTAATTCCTGGGTATCCTTGTTAACTTTCTGTCTCGTTGATCTGTCCAATGTTGACAGTGGGGTGTTAAAGTCTCCCATTATTATTGTTTGGCAGTCTAAGTCTCTTTGTAGGTCACTCAGGACTTGCTTTATGAATCTGGGTGCTCCTGTATTGGGTGCATATATATTTAGGATAGTTAGCTCTTCTTGTTGAATTGATCCCTTTACCATTATGTAATGGCCTTCTTTGTCTCTTTTGATCTTTGTTGGTTTAAAGTCTGTTTTATCAGAGACTAGGATTGCAATCCCTGCTTTTTTTTGTTTTCCATTTGCTTGGTAGATCTTCCTCCATCCTTTTATTTTGAACGGGCAGACTGCCTCCTCAAGTGGGTCCCTGACCCCTGACCCCGGAGCAGCCTAACTGGGAGGCACCCCCCAGTAGGGGCAGACTGTCACCTCACACGGCCAGGTACTCCTCTGAGACAAAACTTCCAGAGGAAAGATCAGATAGCAGCATTCGCGGATCACGAAAATCCGTGGTTCTGCAGACATTGCTGCTGATACCCAGGCAAACAGGGTCTGGAGTGGACCTCTAGCAAACTCCAACAGACCTGCAGCTGAGGGTCCTGTCTGTTAGAAGGAAAACTAACAAACAGAAAGGACATCCACACCAAAAACCCATCTGTACATCATCATCATCAAAGACCAAAAGTAGATAAAACCACAAAGATGGGGAAAAAACTGGAAACTCTAAAAAGCAGAGCACCTCTCCTCCTCCAAAGAAACGCAGTTCCTCACCAGCAATGGAACAAAGCTGGATGGAGAATGACTTTGACGAGTTGAGAGAAGAAGGTTTCAGACGATCAAACTACTCCGAGCTACAGGAGGAAATTCAAACTAAAGGCAAAGAAGTTGAAAACTTTGAAAAAAATTTACATGAATGTATAACTAGAATAACCAATACAGAGAAGTGCTTAAAGGAGCTGATGGAGCTGAAAGCCAAGGCTCGAGAACTAAGTGAAGAATGCAGAAGCCTCAGGAACTGATGCAATCAACTGGAAGAAAGGGTATCAGTGATGGAAGATGAAATGAATGAAATGAAGTGAGAAGGGAAGTTTAGAGAAAAAAGAATAAAAAGAAACGATCAAAGCCTCCAAGAAATATGGGACTATGTGAAAAGACCAAATCTGCATCTGATTGGTTTACCTCAAAGTGATGGGGAGAATGGAACCAAGTTGGAAAACACTCTGCAGGATATTATCCAGGAAAACTTCCCCAATCTAGCAAGGCAGGCCAACATTGAGATTCAGGAAATACAGAGAACACCACAAAGATACTCCTTGAGAAGAGCAACTCCAAGACACATAATTGTCAGATTCACCAAAGTTGAAATGAAGGAAAAAATGTTAAGGGCAGCCAGAGAGAAAGGTCGGGTTACCCACAAAGGGAAGCCCATCAGACTAACAGCGGATCTCTCAGCAGAAACTCTAGAAGCCAGAAGAGAGTGGGGGCCAATATTCAACATTCTTAAAGAAAAGAATTTTCAACCCAGAATTTCATATCCAGACAAACTAAGCTTCATAAGTGAAGGAGAAATAAAATCCTTGACAGACAAGCAAATCCTGAGAGATTTTGTCACCACCAGGCCTGCCCTAAAAGAGTTCCTGAAGGAAGCACTAAACATGGAAAGGCACAACCGGTACCAGCCACTGCAAAATCATGCTTGTTCTTAAAAAATAAAAAACAGCAGATATTGGTGAGGTTGTGGAAGAAAAGAAATGCTTATACACTGTTGATGAGAATGTAAATTAGTTCAGACACTATGGAAAGTAGTTGAGAGCTTTCTTAAATAACTTAGTTATTTCTTAAATAACACAGAGCTACCATTTGACCCATTAATACTGTTACTGAATATATACACAAAGGAAAATAGATCATTAAATCAAAAGACACATGCACTCATATGTTCATTGCTAGGCTCTTCACAATAGCAAAGACATGCAATTAACCTAGTGCCCATCAGTGGTAGGTTAAATGAAAAAAATGTCATACATATACACCATAGAATATTATGCAGCCATAAAAAAATTAAATTATGTCTTTTGCAGCAACATGGATAAAGCTGGAGGCCATAATTCTAAGTGTACTAACACAAGATCCAAAAATCAAATACTGCATGTTCTCACTTGTAAGTGGGAGCTCAAAATTGTGTACACATGGATGTAAACATGGGAATAATAGATACTAGAGACTACTAGTCAGGAGAGAGTGTGGGGCTTGGGTTGAAAAACTACTCATCAGGTACTAGGCCCAATATCCTGCATGCAATACAACCCTGTAACAAACCTGCACAAGTACCCCCTATACCTAAAGTAAAAGTTGAAATAAAAAAATCTCAGGATAAAAAATCCTTTATGTTTTTAAAAAATTAATAAGTAAGCTTGAAAGCAAGAAGACACAGTCTTCAGGTAACATACATAATCTAATAAGAAACTTATAGCCATTAATTAGAGGGATGTAATCCTTTATGAAACTCTGAGATAATTGACATATTCCCCAGGATAGTTATTTTTTTTTGTCAAAATATCTCATACATTTCAGGATATTTGGCTTTTCTGGACCCATTCACACTAAATGCCAATAAGATCCAATAGTCATTGCAACAAGTAATAATGCATCAACTAGAAGAAAATTTATTATGAGGTTAATGAAGCTCAAATTTAAGGGTCTGCCATTACATAAACTCCTCCCAGAGCCCTGTACCTAATTTTGTATTTGTAAATTTGTATTATTCTTTAAAAGACATTAAGAGTTGTATAAAACTTCAGACCCCGCAATTCTAGATTTTACCCTGACTCAAACATTTTCAAACTCCGTCAGGCTAGGGAAGGAGGGACAGATACATTCTCAATTGAGAAACCGTGTTTTCAGGAAAAGGGATATTTACACACAAGTGAGGATTGGAACTGAGCCTATAGTCTATTTGTGTGTTGGATTCCTGAAAGTCCTCCCTTCTATATATCTGGAAGTGTGAAAATGATTGTGACATGTGTGACCCTAAATGTGGATAAGGAAGACTCTTTTTCCCGGCCTCAAAAAATGGATTACTAGTGAATTTTTTGTCCTGAAATATGAGTCTAAGGAATTCATCTGCAATAAACCAATATCACTATGTGTTTCAACCATGTGTGTTTGAGGGCTGAAATTACCAACTTATGTAAAAATTTTCAGCCAAAAAATTAAGACAATAAATCCTATGAGGATGATCTTATTAATAAAAATTACAAAATACCTCCCAAATCTCACCACTACAAGGCAAAGTTAGCATATGTAACAAATAGAAGAATTCACACTGGAGAAAATAAAAATAATAACACGAGCATATGTTATGTCACAGGAATTTAAGGTGTCACATTCCTGTGACAATCTGGAAAAGCCAAAAAAAAGTCCTACAACTTGAAGATCTTTATAATCTGTCTTTAGGCATAAAATTAAAGTTTTTTTTGTTTTTTTTTTTTTTAAATCAGGCCTATGAAACCAGTTCAGACTAAGAACCTCAGGAATGCTCTGGATTCCAGCTTGAGATGATCTTTGGGTTTGACTGTTGACTCTATCCTATTCGGACAACAAAATCAACTTCTAGGAGTTTCAGAACTTTTAGAAATGTGATATAAGCTATTGTTCATTTTCTTATAAACATAGTCACATATGTATATAACAAATTTTGTATACAACATCAAGATCATCACAAATTACCCAACATTTATTACTGTACCCCAAAGCAGTCATAAACCCTGGTTAACAACACCTATTATAGATAATAATATCTATGTATAGAAGCAACTGTTGAAATCCTTTGGATTTTATGTATCGCAAAAAATTGGGGTTCTACGAAGAGGCTTATATCTCAGCCCTTGTTTATTTCCTCTATGTTGTACTTCCATTTGGTACAGATATAATATATCCTGTATATATTATTTAGCTACAGAAAGCATCAAGTAATTTGAGCAAATTCATACTTTTTCATAGATCATTAAATTTCACAATGCTCTTAATCTATACCCTTTCAGAGGTGGAGAGTAGGAGATCCAAGCTAAAATGTTAAAAGTATATAACAAATAAATATGTTAAGATAAAATAAAAGTTGAAATTAGTATATAATTGAAATAGTGATAGAAGATAAATAAGATAAGGTCAGAAGTGATGATGGCTTAAAGATGCATGTTAAAATTACATAGTATATTTTCCATACCAGGATGCAAATGTGACTTAAGCTTTCAAGTAGAAAATGTGAACCCCAAAAATCTGAGACAGGTCTCAGTTAATTTAAAAAGTTTATTTTGCCAAGGTTGAGGATGCAGGCCTGTGACACAGCCTCATGAGGTCCTGACAATATGTTCCCAAAGTGGTCAGAGCACTGTTTGATTTTACGGATTCCAGGGAGACATGAGACATCAATCAACATTTCCAAGATGAGCATTGGTTTGGTCTGGAAAGGGACAACTCAAAGCAAAGGTGGGAAGACTGAAAGCAGGGAGAGGACTTCCAGGTCATAGGTAGGTAAGAGAAAAATAGCTGCATTCTTTTGAATTTCTGATTAGCCTCTCCCAAGGAGGGAATCAGATATGCATTTATCTCAGTGAGCAGAGGGGTGACTTTGAAAAGCATGGGGGGCAGGTTGGCCCTAAGCAGTTTCTAGCTTGACTTTTCCCCTTTCACAAAAATGTAAAGCATTATTTTCTGATATTGCTTAATCCAAGAATATATTTAAAAGCATATAAATCTGGGATCAGAAAACACTTTCTTTAAATAGTGAATAGTTTAAATATTGTGAGCCATATGGTCTCAAACTCATATTCTTTGCTTTTTTTGTTTTCTGTTTGTTTTATATTAGTTTGTTTTACAGCCCTTAAAAACTGTAAAATACTTTCTTAGCTCCCAGGCCATACAAAAACAGATCCATAAGTTTGCCAACCTCTGATATGGAAATTTGATTGACTAAGGATTCTTTAAACAATTTTGCATAGATATTGCCTCTTTCTACTGAAATTTGCTAAGACAGCAATGCTAAATTTCAAGTCGTGCTTACTAATAAGTACCTGATTTATAACCCTTCTTATTTACCAGTTAATTATGAAAGCTATATTATTTCCCAGCAAGTCAAGTTAGGGATATAATTGCTATTGTCTTGAAAAAGTTTAGAAACCTGACTGTTATTTTGGTTTTCTTGAGAGCAGATGCCAATATGAGATTAGATATTCAAGACATATGTTTAAAGTAATGTTTATGGAAGATAAACAGAAAAAGCAGAGATAATCTTCATACAGTAATACTGAAACCTGTGAAAGAACAAACCATAGGGAGGTGGATTGAATATGAAAAGTTCCAGACTGTAGCACAGCTTTGAAAAAGATTTGGTCAGGCCATAAAATAGTGCTATGTCCCACAGAGAATACTCATACTCTGTTATTGACTGAGGTATTCCAGAAGAAATGTGGACTCAGCACAAAGCAGAGATATATCTAGAGGAACAGTGGCTAGGATTTTCAGCCAACTACACTTCCCAGAGCAAAAGATCTGAGTGACACATTTCCCTGTCTGCCTACACTGACAAAAAAACACAGTTTTTTAAAGAATGGCAAATTTGTCAAATAATTATGTACAAAAAAGCATCAGTAATTTAAAAGAGAATTATTTCAGCCTTTTTTACATTTTATTTTTTAAGTGGAAGATTTTTATTATTTTATTTTTATAGATTTTTAATTTTTAATTTTCATGAGCACATAGTGGGTGTGTATATTTATGGGGTATATAAAATGTTTTGATAGAGGCATGCAATATGAAATAATTAATCACTTCACAGAAAATGGGGTATCCATTTCCTCAGGCATTTATCCTTTGAGTTACAAACAATCCAATTACACCCTTTAAGTTATTTTAAAATGTACAATTAAGTTATTGTTGATTTTAGTCACCTTGTTGTGATATCAAATAGTAGGTCTTATTCATTCGATAATAGAATTGAATTGCTAGTTGTGGATTTTTGCATCTATATGATTGGTCCGTATTTTTATTTTTATTTTTTGTTGAGATGGAGTCTCGCTCTGTCGCCCAGACTGGAGTGCAGTGGCGGGATCTTGGCTCACTGCAACCTCTGCCTCCGAGGTTCAAGCGATTCTCCTGCCTCAGCCTCCTGAGTAGCTGGGACTACAGGCACCTGCCACCACGCAATTTCTGTATTGTTAGTAGAGACGTGGTTTCACCATACTGGCCAGGCTGGTCTCGAACTCCTGACTTTGTGATCCTCCCACCTCAGCTTCCCCAAGTGCTAGGATTACAGGCGTCAGCCACCACACCCTGCCTGTCTGTATTTTTTTTAATGTGTCTTTGGTTTTGGTATCAAGGTGATACTGGCCTCATGGAATGAGTTAGGGTGAATTCCCTCCTTGTCAATTTTTTGGAATAGTTTCAAGAGTTTTGGTTTTAGTTTTTCTTTGTATGTTTGGTAGAATTCAGCTCTGAATCCATTTGGTTGTGGGCTTTTTTTGTGGAAGAGGTTTTTTATTACAGATTAAATCTCACTACTCATTATTGGTCTATTCAAGAGGTCTATTTATTTGTGGTACAATCATCTGGAAAGGTTCTATGTTTCCAGGAATGTATCCATTTCCTCTAGGTTTTCTAGTTTGTGAGCCTATAGTTGTTCATAATAGTCTTTGAAGAACTTTTGTATTTCTGTGGTATCAGTTGTAATGTCTTCTTTTACGTTTCTGATTGTGTTTATTTGGATCTACTCTATTTTCTTGGTTAATCTGGTAATGGGTTTACTAATTTTGTTTATGTTATCGAAGAACCAATTTTTCATTTCAATCATCTTTTGTATTTTTTTTTTTTTTTTGGTCTCAATTTGATTTAGTTCTTCTCTGACCTTTGGTATTTCTTTTCTTCTGCTAACTCTTGTGATGATTTCTTTTTCTTGTTTTTCTAGTTCCTTGAGGTGTGATGTTAGGTAAATTTGTAATCTTTTTACCTTTATGATGTAGATATTTAATGCTATAAACCTCCCTTATAATACTGCTTTTGCTGTATCCCAAAAGTTTTGATGTCATGTTTTTATTTTTATTTATTTCAAATGTTTTTACAATTTTTTTCATTTCTTCATTAACCCAGTTGTTATTGGAAAGAGGTCCCGATCCAGATCCCGAGATGGTTCTTGGATCTCACACAGGAAAAAATTCAGGGTGAGTCTGCAGTGCAAAGTAAATACAACTTTATTAAGAGAGTAAAGTGGTGAAAGAACAGCTACTCCATAGAGTAGGACATTCCTGAAAGTAAGAGGAGGAACACATCCACCCTAGTTACAATGCTTGTGTGTGTGTGTGTGTGTGTATGCATGTGTGTGTGTGTATATATATATACACATACATATATATACATATATACATATGCACATGTATATACGTATATACATATATGTATATGCACATGTATATACGTATATACATATATGTATATGCACATGCATATACGCATATACGTATATGCATATGCATATGTATATATGTATATATGTATTGTATATATGTGTATATATGTGTATATGTATATATGTGTATATGTATATATGTATATATGTGTATACGTATATATATGTATATAAGTATATATGTGTGTATATGTATATATGTATATACGTATATATGTGTATATACATATATATATACATATATACGTATATATACACACACATATATATGTATATACATATATATACACATACATATATATACACTTACATATATATATGATACAAATAGATCTTGGGGAGATGTGTTCTGATGCAAGGGTTTGTGATAAAGGATTAATTAATTACTACATTTTGCAAGAATCAATATTATTATCTTTAAAGCAAAATTAGGAATGCCCTTGTTCTCCAGATATGGGGATATCTGGACATGCCCAAGTCTGGGTCTGTTTCAGTAAACTTCATTAATTTGTTCCCTTAATGGTAAGCATCTAGAGTCTAGGAATTTCTAATTTTCTGGGAATGCAGCCAAGCAAGTCTCGGCGTCATTTTCCTGGTCCTCACTCAAAACGGAGTCACTCTGGTTTGAACGCCTCTAACATAATGATTGTGCAGGAGCATGCTATTTAATTTCTATGTATTTGTTTAATTCACAAAGTTTCTCTTGGTATTCATTTCTAGCTTTATTCCACTCTGGTGTGAGAAGATACTTGATGAGGTTTTAATTTTTAAAATATATTGACTTGTTTTGTAGCCTAATATGAGATCTATCTTAGAAAATGTTACATGTACTGATAAAAATACTTTGTAGTCTGTAATTCTTGTGTAGAATGTTATGTAAATATCTGTTTAGTCCATTTGATCTAAGATCTAATTTAAGTCCAATGTTTCTTTGTTAGTCTCTGTCTTAATGATCTATTTTGAGCTGTTAGTGGGGTGTTGAAGTCTCCGACTATTATTGTATTGCTTTCTATGTATTTTTTTAGGTCCAGTAATATCTGTTTTGTAAATTTAGATACTTCAATGTTAGGCACATATATATTTAGACCTGTTATAGCCTCTTGCTGAATTGATCCCTTTATTATATAATGACATTCGTTGTCTTTTTAAAATTGTTTCTGATTTAAAGTCTACTTTAGCTGATATAAGTATAGCTACTCCTGCTCACTTTTTGTTTCCATTTGTGTGAAATATCTTTTTCTACCCCTTTACTTTCAATCTGTATGTACTTTTATTGGTTAGATAAGTTTCTTTTAAGCAGGATATAGTTGGATCATTTTTTAAGTCCATTCTATCGATCTATTTTTTAAGTGCAGCATTTAGTCCATTTGTATTCAGGATTAATATTAATATGTGATTCATTGTCCTGGTAATATTGTTAATTGTTTTCAAATTGTTTTTACGAATTTTTGTTTCCCTTTTATTCTCTTTTTGTCTTTGTGGTTTCAGAAAATTCTGTCATGTTGCCATTTCATTCTTTCTCTTCCCCCTTTATGTGCTTGTTTTCTGAGAACTGTGTGTTTTATACTTTCCATATTTAAGGCTTCTTTGAGCATTTCCTGTATGGCTAGTCTAGTGGCAAATTCACTTAGCATTTGCTTATATGAATAAAATTTTATTTCTCCTTCATTTGTGAAGCTTATTCCAAATAAAATTCTTGGTGGACAGTGTTTTTCTTTTAGCACCTTAAAAATGCAGTTTCATTCTCTTATGGCCTGTAAGGTTTCTGCTGGAAAGTTCAATGTTAATCTAACAGAGTTTCCTTCATAGCTTACTAGATACATTTTTCTTGTTAATTTTAAAATTCTTTCTTTTACTTGAACTTTAGACATTCTGAATACAGTGTTTCATGTTAAAGTAATTTTTGCATTGTGTTTGTTTGTGTAGCACTGGGTTTCTGTACCTCAATGCCTAACTCTCTTGCTAAACTTGAAAAGTTTACATCGATTACTTCCTTAAATATGTTTTCTATAACTTTTATCTCTATTCCCCCACAGTAATACCAATAATTTGTAAATTAATCAATTTATTTAGTCCCAGATGTCTCAAAGACTTTTTAAAATCAACTTTTAGATTTTGTCATCAAATACTCCTGAATGCAGGAACAGCATAATAGGAGATACTCAGTGCCCTGGATTACCACACTTAATTGAAATAAACCATGATGTAAATAAAATAAATGTTGAGATGGATTGTTTATCCAGTGAAATAATGAGTTTACTTCTTCTTGCTGATGGAGTAGCAGTTAATACTAACAAAAAAGAAGAAATTTCAGATGTTGTGGTAAGAAGGAAACTAAATTTTTCAATTATACCTCAGAATGTTTTAATGAGTAGCTCTGAAAAAATTATGCCATCACAAAATGACATCTCACAAACTAACATTTCTCAGTCAGTTCTATTTGATAATAAAAATCTCATTACTGAATGCCACCTTGTTAATTCAACCTAAACTGTCATAGTCCATTCGTTTAGCTGGAGAGACATCAAGAACATGCCAGACACATTTTATTTGGTGGTAAGCTGATTGCTTTTTCACATTTAAGCCTCTCTGTGTAGAACAATCAGAAGAATTTTAAATTTAAAAGTAAAACAAAATACTTCCTTCTGTATTTTTAATGCTGTAATATATTCTTTTTTTTGGACAGGATCTCACTCTGTGTGTAGACTGGAGTACGGTGACATGACCACAGTGTGCTGTAGCCTCAACCTCCTGGGCTCAAGCTATCCAAAGGAGCTGGGACTACAGGCACACACAGCTATGGGTGGCTATTTTTTTTTTTAATTTTGTAGATACAGGGTCTCACTAAGTTGCCCAGCCTGGTCTCAATCTCCCGACCTCAAGCAATCCTCCTGCCTTTGCCTCCCAAAGTGCTGAAATTACAGGCATGAGCCTCTATGCCTAGTCTGTAATATATTCTTTAGACTATTAAAAATTTGGGTAATATGTATGTATATTCACATCTATTGAATCTACTTGTGTAATATTATCTGTTTAAATGTTAATTGTTAAGTGAACTGTATGTTTTCAGCTATATATCTCAGCAATATATTCCAATTTAGATACAATACTGTTTTTCAAGGGAGGTGGAAATATTTTGTACATTAACCATGCAAAATAAAATTGTACTTTGAAATACATTGATTTTTAGATGTTAAAACAACTTTGCATTCTTGGGACAAATCTGAGATAATTGTTTATGATCCATTTAACATGCTGCTGTATTCAGTTGGCTAGCATTTTGTTGAGCATTTTTACATCTGTTATAAGAGATATCAGACTGTGTGTTTTTTTATTTTGTTTTCTTTGGTTTTCATATCCAGATATTATTGGACTAAAATAAAGAGTTGGGAAGTATTTCTTTCTGTTCTGTTTTTAGAAGCATTTATGAGTAATTGGTATCAGTTATTTAAGTGCTTGTTAGAATACAGTAGCAAAGTCTTTTTTTCTGGGTCTTTGTGAATATATTTTTGGTTAGTAATTTAATCTCTGTGCATGTACTTCTTTTCAGGGTTTTCCTTTTTTTTTTAGTCACTTTCAGCATTTTGTGTTTCTCTAGGAACTTTTCTATTTTATGTAAGCTATTCAATTTGTTGGCATACAATTGGTTATAGTATTCCTTTATAATATTTGAGAAATTTCTGAATAGTTGGTAGTAATGTCACCTAATACTTTAGCTGTGGAATCAGGTCTCCCTTCCTTCATTCTTGGTTAATTGAACTAAAAGTTTTTCAATTTTGTTGAATTCTTGAAGCACCAGTTTTTGGTTTTGTTGCACTTCTGTATTTTTTTCTATTTTAGATTTTACTAATTTCCAGTATAAACTTTATTCTTTTTTCAATATACTTACTTTTAGTTTTCTCTTTTTTCCATTTTCCTAAGGCAGTCAGTTAGATTATTGATTTGAGAACTTTCTTCTATCTGAATATAGACATTTTTAACTATATATTTCTCTCTATGCACTATTTAGCTACATCTCATAAGTTTTTGCATGTGTTTTATATTTTTATTTATTTCAAATTATTTTCTAATTTTCCTTGTGATTATTTATTTGACCCATTTGTTGTATAGAAGTGTATTGTTTAATTTTCACATATTTGTGAGTTTCCAAATTTTCTTTATTATTGGTTCCTAGTTCCATTCCATTATAACTGAACCAAAATAATTTGTACTATTTCAATCCTTATAACCTTATTTGTCATTTTTTGTTCTCTTTATTTGTTCCTTAATTTCTGTTACCATTTGCTGTCATTACTACGGACTTATACAGCCTTGGTCTCACCTACATCCTTCATGATATTATTCACACTAATATCACATATTTGTTTGCTATATAATCCAGATACAATTATATACATGTTGTCTTATACAATTGTTTTTAAATTTGTTAAGAGAAGAAATAAGAAATATCTGCTTCTGTGTTAATTTTTCAATTGCATAATTACCTTTGCTGTTGCTCTTTGTTTTTGTATGTGTACGTAAATTATTTTCTGCAGTCACTTACTTTTATCCTAAAGAACTTCCTTTGCTATTTATTATAAAGCAGGTTTGCTAACAACACATTCTCTTAATTTTTAAATAGTTTTGAAATGTCTTTGTCTTCATTGTTGAAAGATATTTTTTCTAAATATAAGATTTTTGATTGCCTTTTTTTTTCTCAAAGCACTTCAAATATGTATCTCACTGCTTTATGGTCTCCTTTGTTTCTGATAAAAAGGCACTTTTTAATCTTATTGGAGTTTCATTGTAAGTTATAAATAAGTTTGCTCTTGCTGATTGCAAAATTTTCCTCTTGTCTTTGATTTTCAGCATTTACATTATGAAGTTTCTTTGCCTATTTTTCTGCTTTGCTTACATAGCATTTGTTGAGTTTCTAGAATGTGTTGATTAAAGTTTTTCATCAAATCTAGCAAATTTTGAGCATTATTTTTTGAAGTATTATTTCTGCTTTTTTTACTCCTCTCTGTTACTTTCTTTACTGGTAAGTTTGTGTGCTTAATGTTCCACATTTCTGTGAGAATATGTTCATTTTTATTTATTCTAATTTTCTTTATCTATTTTATTTTATTATTATTATACTTTAAGTTTTAGGGTACATGTGCACAATGTGCAGGTTAGTTACATATGTATACATGTGCCATGCTGGTGTGCTGCACCCATTAACTCGTCATTTAGCATTAGGTGTATCTCCTAATGCTATCCCTCCATTGCGGCACTATTCACAATAGCAAAGACTTGGAACCAACTGAAATGTCCAACAATGATAGACTGGATTATTCTAATTTTCTTTTAATTTTTGATTTATATAATTTCTATCAATTTATCTTCAAGTCTGCTAATTCTTATACCATGAAGTATCTTTAGTAAATTGTTCATTTTTCATTATTGTATCTATCAATTCCATAGTTTTCATTTTAATAACTTATCTCTTTATTAATATTCTCTGATGAAACATTGTCAATTACCTGTTTGATACAGTTTGGATTTGTGTGCCCACTAAATCTCATGTCGAATTGTAATCCTCAATGTTGAAGGTGGGACCTGGTGGAAGGTGATTGGATTATGGGGGCAAATATTTCATAAATGGTATAGCACCATCTCTCTTGGTGATGTCCTCATGATAGCAAGTTCTCATGAGATCTGGTTGCTTAAAAGTGTTTCGCAGCTCTCCCCTCTCACTTTTGCTCCTGCTCTGGCCATGTGACATATCTGCTCCCCTTTTACTTTCTGCCATAATTACAAGTTTTATGAGGCCTCTCCAGAGCCCAATCATATGCCGCTATATTTCCTGCACAGCCTGCTGAACCATGAGACAAGTAAACCTCTTTTCTTTATAAAGTACCCAATCCCAGGTATTTCTTTATAGCAATATGAGAAAAGACTAATACAGAAAATTGGTACCAAGGCTTAAAGCATTGTTATCAAGATACCAAAAAATGTGAAAGCAGTTTTGGAATTGGGTAAGAGGCAGATGTTGGAAGTGTGTTGAGGGCTCAGAGGAAGACAGAAAGATGAGGGAATGTTTGGAAATTCCTAGAGATTGGTTAAATTGTTGTGACTAAAACACCAATAGTGATATGAACAATGAAGGCCAGGCTATAGAGGTCTCAGACAGATAAGAGAAACTTATTGGGAACTGGAAAAAAGGTCATTTTTGTTATGCTTGAACAAAGAATTTGGCTGCATTGTACGTCTGCCCTAAAGATCTGTGAAACTTTAATGTTCAGAATGATAATTTAGGGTATCTGGTGGCTGGTGAAAGACATTTCTAAGCAGCAAAGCATTCAAGAAGTGTCCTGGCTGCTTCTAACAGCCTATGCTTATATGATATGCATGAGCAAATAAATGACTTAAGGCTGGAACTTGTATTTAAAGGGTAAGTAGAGTATAGAAGTTTTGAAAATTTACAGCTTGGCCTTGTGGTAAAAATGAAAAGCTTATTTGCAGGGGAAGAAATCAGGCAAGCAGCAGAAATTTTCATAACTAAAAAGGAGCCAAGTTTTAACAGCCAAGAAAATGGGGAAAAAGCCTCAAAGGCATTTCAGAAATCACCGTGGCAGCCACTCCTATCATGGACCCTGAGGCATAAGGGGACCAAATAGTTTGTGGGCCAGCGTAAGGACCCCAATGCCCTGCATAACATGGTTACAATGCAACCTGCATTCCAGCCATTCCAGCTCCAGCCATACCTCAAAGGTGCCTAAGTACAGCTTGAGCTGCTGCTTCAGAGGGTGAAAGTGGAAAGTCTTTGTGGTTTTCACATGGTGTTAAGTCTGTGGGTGCACAGAATGTAAGAGTAAAAGGCATGGGAACCTTGACCTAGATTTTAGGGGATGTATTGAAAACCCTGCATGTCCAGAAAGAAGCCTGCTGCAAGGGTGGAACCTTCACGAGAACCTCTACTAGGACAGTGTGAAGAAAAAAATGTGGGTATGGAGCCACCACACAAAGTCCCCACTGGGACATTGCCTAGTGGAGGTGTGAGAATAGGTCTATTATCCTCCAGACCCAGAAAAATTAGATCCACTGACAACTTGTACCCTGCTTGGCTTCTGGAGAGGCCTCATAAAACTGACAATCATGATGGAATGTAAAGGAAGAACAGACATATTCCATGACCAGAGAAGGAGCAAGAGAGAGAGGGAGGAGGTCATACATACTTTTAAACAATCAAATCTCATGAGAACTCACTATCATGACGACAGCACCACCGTGGATCATGCTAAACCATTCATGAGAAATCTGCCTCAATGATCCAATCACCCACCACCAGGCCCCATCTTCAACACTGAGGATTACAATTCCACATGAGATTTGGTGAGGACACAGATCCAAACCATATAATTCCACTCCTGGCATCTGCAAATCTTATGTCCTCACATTGCAAAATACAATCATGCTTTCCCAACAGTCTCCTGAAGTCTTAACACATTCCAGCATTAACTGAAATTCCAAGGTCCAAAGTCACATCTCATTTATAAGTTGGAGCTAAATTATGAGAACACATGAACACAAAGAGGAAAACAACACACACTGGGGCCTATTGGAGAGTAAAGGGTGGGAAGAGGGAGAGGATCAGGAAAAATAACTAACAAATATTTTGCTTAATTCCTGGGTGATGAAATAATCAGTACAAGAAACCCCCATGAAACAAGTTTACTTATGTAACAAAGCTACACATGTACCCCTAAACTTAAAATAAGAAATGAACATAGAATACTGTTTGAGGTCAGTGTTTGAGATTAGTTCTGACCCTGTAATGTCACTTAGTGGTGTCTTTCCTTGGTTCTCTTTGGTAAATTAGCTGGGCTAAAATTTAGCCTTTATCTCTGATGAATTCACTTCCACTGTTTTTGAGCATACCCTTAGGCTTGAACTTCTTCAAACTCTGTTGAAAATAAATGTCAGTTCCTTTGAGAAGAGCTTCAGAGCTCTCTGTTTTATGGTCCTTTTCCTTGGGCAAATTCTATTAACAATGACTAGGGGCAGGGACAGTTATGTCCTTCACTCTGAGTGACACCTCTGTTATTGGAAATCAGCACACAGCAGAGAGAGATAGTCGTACATTCTGTTCTGTGTGGCTTGTCTTTCCAGTTTTAGAATCTTTGCTTTATAAATAAGCTGGGAAATTATAATTAAAAATGTGCCAGTATTATCAGTGCACTGTGGCCAATTTAGAGCTTCTTTCCTATATGAGTGGGACTGGGTGAAAGAAAAAAGCCTCTCTTTTTAGTCGCAATAACCGAAAACACAGCTTCAGTAACAGGTAACTGGGGAGAAAAATGATAAAAGGTGATGTTGTGCCCCTCCTGGAAGATACCATAGCTCTCCAACTGGGAGCTAAGGGGAAGACAAGTTTTGGTATGGCTGTATTTCTGTAGAGTTTTTCTCATGCTGAGTTAGGAGGGGAGTGGCGGAAAATGTAGTATGGTTCAAATAAAATAGATTTTTATGTTCTTTAATTAGGTTTTATATAGTAATGGTTTTTCATTTGCTGTCTGTATCTAGGAACACTTTCCAAGACTTTAAATGTTTTTTTAAATATAATTTATCCCAGTTTAACTGCGGAGTCGGCCTATACTACTAGGAGGGAAATCTTACCAGGTTGCTTCTTAATCATAGAAGAGGCAGTAGCTCCCTTGGTGGTTTAGTTCTGCAATATGACTGCAAATTGTTCCTGAAAGTATAACCTAGAGTTTATTTCTTCAGTAGTTTGAATTAGTTGGTAAGCTATTCCCTTTAATAAATTCATTTCTGCTTAAATTAGGTAAAATTCATTTCATTTTCAGCAACTGAACACTTACCAATAGACTTCAAGGTACTCAGAGCATGCTGATTATACAGTGATCTAAACATCTTGTTTCAGGTCTTAATTTCACATTTACAAACATAAATCTTGGCCTTTCGCACCTATGTGATTTTGCATTTATATATTGTCTCTTTTCAAGCCAGGTGACCCTAGAGAAATTATTCTTGTTTCCAGAATCATAGATACAGGTAAGTTTTTTGTCCGAAATTTACTCTCTTGCTAGCTAATTTTTCTATGCATATCTCTTTAATGTCTATAATATATCTCTCATAATTATTCTGGATAAGGTGAGTTTAAGCTGTTTCTGAATTGTGCTTGGTTTTGACTTCTGATTTCACTTTATTTCCAACCAATGGCTGATTATGCTACACCTTATACCTTGCTAACAATTAGAAGCAGATTCTTCACCAGCCAGTTAACTTCAATGACCATTTTGAATAGGAGATTTTACTGTTGTCTGAACTGTAATCAGGGAAATATAATTATCTTAGAGTCATATCATAGAAGTACTTAGCATTCAAGTACCCCTCATTAGCTGGGCTTCAATCTCTGATCCTTTCATGGGCCAAGTCTTAGAGAATAGTTCATAATTCTGCAAGTTGGTGGATATATAATGTCCAGGCTAGCTGACAAGCAAGGTCTTTATTACAGTACACACAACAGCATTATTGTTGCAAACATCTTCTGATAAATATAATGATTCTAAATCCTTTTTTTAGAAGAAAAAGTCACATTTGCCTTTTACAATCTCTTGTTAATTAATAAACATTACTTAGTAGAGAAGTTATAGGTTCTTAGCAAAATTGAGTAAAAAGTTAAAAGAGTTTCCATCTGCCTCTGGTCTCACACGAGGACAACCTCCCTCACTATCAACATCCTGACTCAGAGTGTTACAATTGTTACAATCAATGAACCTACATTAGCAATTTATTATCAAACAAAGTCCACAGTTTACCTTGAGGCTCACTCTGGGTGTTGTACGTTCTATGGATTTTGACAAAGGTATAATAACATGTATTTACAATTATGGTGTTTTACAGAATGGTTTTCCTGTCCTAAAATTTTTTTGTGCTCTTTCTATTCATATTTCCCTCCCCTCTCAACCCTTGACAACCACTAATCTTTTTACTATCTCTATAGTTTTTCCTTTTCCAGAATGTCATATAATTGGAATCATACAGTATGTAGCCTCTTTAGATTGGGTTCTTTCACTTGGTAACATGCATTTAGAGTACCTTCATGCCTTTTCATAAATAAATAGCTAATTTATTTTTAGTGCTCAGTAATACGCCATTGTCTGGCTGCATCACAGTTTATGTATTCAATACCTACTTAAGGACATCTTGGTTGCTTCCAAGTGCTGGCAATTATAAATAAAGGTGGTCTAAACAATTTTATTCAGGTTTTATGTGGAAATAAGTCTTTAATACTTTTGGGTAAATATTAAGGAGTGTGATTATAAGAACTTATGGTAAAAGTATGTTAAATTTTCTAAGAAACTACCTAACTACCCACCAAAGTGGTTGTACCATTTTGCAATCCCAGCAGTAATGAATGAAAGATCCTGCTTTTCTACATCCTCTCCAGCATTTGATGTTGTTAGTGTTTAGATGTCATCCATTTTAATAGGTGTGTAGTAGTAGCTCATTGTTGTTTTAATTTGCAGTTCCCTACAAAAATATGATGCTGAGCATATAATATTTTCATGTGCTTACTTGCCATCTGCATATATACTTTGATAAAGTATCTGTTCAAGTCTTTTGCTCATTTTTAAAAATTGAGTTGCTCCATATATTACTATTGAGTTTTATAAGTGTTTGAAATGCTTTTTCCTCGGTGCCATAAAGAAATAGCACTTGAAGGTAAATTTAATTTCCTCAGCAAGGCCATTTTAACTTTCTGCAGAAAGCGTACACTTGCCAGCGGTTTTGCCATGAGAGTACACCGAACAAAGGAGACAGGGTCATTTATAACCTGACACATCCACCCTACTGCTGTGTCTGGTTTCCGTTGGCTGGAATGGAACCTCACATTCTGCATTTTTCCCGACTGGCAAGCAACTTAGAACTTTTTAAAAGAAGCAAAGGCAGAGGAGAAAAAAGAAGGAGGAAGTAAACTTGTGGAATGTTGAGAAAGGTAAAAACACCTTCAAATAAGGAAGATGAAAAGGCTATGACTTAATGCTTGCTTGGACCAGTATAAGCATGCCAGGGCAAATATTTAGGCTAAATTGTGGGAGCTAAGAATATAAAGTACATTGATTTCTTTATTACGGCTAGCAGATATTTAAGAATGTTAGAACAGCTCTTTGAATAAATTTTGCTTCTAAGAGAAGTTGCTATTTATTCCTAATTAGATGGGGAGGAAAGTCTTTGAAGAGGAACCTCTACTTTACTTTTTACATAAGTTTTTAAATATATATTTAGATAATAGTCATTTATAAAATGTGTCTTTTGCAAATACTTTTTTCCAGTTTTGGCTTGCCTTCTCATTTTCTCAAAAGTGACTTTTTTAAGAGCAGAAGTTTGTAATTTCAATGAAGTCCAGCTTATCGATTATTTATTTCATAAATCATGCCTTTAGTCTTGTAAAAATTATCACCATACTCAAAATAATCTGGTTTCTCTTTTCTGTTATCTTCTAGAAGTTTTATAGTTTTGTGTTTTATTTTGATGTCCATGATTTGTTTTCAGTTAATTTTCTTGAAAGATATTAAGTTCTGTGTCAACATTCTTTTATTTTAATAGATATGTCCATATATTCCAACACATTTGTTGAAAATACTATGTTTGCTCAATTTTATTGCCTTTGCTCCTTTGGTCAAAGATTAATGAACTACATTATGTGGGTTTATTTCTGGTCTCTGTATATAGTTACACTGATCCATTTGTTCTTTCACAAATAGAAAACTGTCATTATTACTTTAGCTTTACAGTAAGTCTTGAAGTCAGGTACTATCAGTACTCCATATTTGTTCTTCTTTAATATTGAATCGGCAATCATGAGTTCTTTACCTCTTCATATAAGCATTAGAATCAATTTTTCACTATTCACACTACTTGCTGGGATTTTGATTGGGATTGGTTGTATATATAGATAGATCAAGTTAAAAAGCTCTAGCATATTAAAAACATTGAGGCTTTCTATCTATAAACATGGAATATATCTCCATTTATTTAATTATTGATTTCTTTATTAGTTTTGTAGTTTTAAAAAATATAGCTCTTGCACATGTGTTGTTAAATTTATACCTATGTATTTTATTTCTGTGGGTGCTAATGTAAGTGGTAATGTGTTTTTAATTTAAAATTCTACTGTGTCTTTTTTTGCTAATATATAAATGTCAACTGACTTCAGTAAATTAAACTTATATTCTGCAACCTGGCTATAATTGCTTATTAGTTCTAGGAGGTTTTTGTTGATTCTTTTGGATTTTCTACATAGATATTAATGTCTTCTGTCAACAAAGACAGTTTCGTTACTTCCTTTTCAGTCTGCATAACTTTTATTTCCTTTTATTGTCTTATTGTGTTACAAAGAAATTCCAGGATGATGTTTAAAAGCAGTGGTAAGATGGTATGTCCTTGCCTTGTTCCTGATCTTAGTAGATAAGCGTCAGGTTTTTCACTATTAAGGTGGTGTTACCTATACTATTTTTTGTAAATGTTACTAATCAAGTTGAAAAAGTCCCCCACTGTTACTAGTTGTTTTAGAGTTTTAATTATAAAATGATATTAAGTTTTGTCAGATGCTTTTTCTGCATCACTTTATATGATCAAGTGGTTTTTCATCTTTAGTCTGCTGACATTAGGGAGTTTTAAGTATTCTTGAAATATTGACTACTTTATCCTTATTTAACACCCCCCTTTAATAACTTTCTTGATTCTAAAGTCTTCTCTGAGATTAATACAGTTGCTTCTGCTATCTTTTCATTAGTGTTATTATGGTATATCTTTATCCATCCTTTTACTTTTAATCTATATGTGTTTTTATATTTACAGTGGGTTCTTTTTTCTGGTCAAATTATAGTTGAGTTTTGTTTTTAATATCCACTCTGACTGTTTCTGCCTTTAAATCAGTGTATCTAAACCATTGACATTCAAGGTAATTATTGATACAGTTGGATTAATATCTACTACAATTATTACTATTTTGTCTAGTTGTTGCCCTTGTTCTTTGTTTCTATTTTTGTTTTTCATACTTTTTCTATCTTTTGTAATTTTAATTGAGAATTTTATGTGCTTTCTTTTTCTCTCTTTTTTTTAGCATATCGATTATATTTATTTAAAAAATTTTTTCTAGTGGTTGTTCTAGAGTTTGCAATACACATGTACAACTAATCCAAGATTACTTTCAAATAACACTATACTATTTCATAGGTAGTGTGAGTACCTTATAATAACAATATATTTCTAATTTCTCCCTCTTATTTCTTGTATAATTTATGTTATCCATTTTATTTACATGTAAGCATTTCACATGAGTTGTTGGTGTTATTATTTTGAACAAATTATTATTTTTAGGTCAATTAAAAATAAGAAAATAAAAGTTTTTATACTACCTTCACTTAGTCATTCTCTAAGGTTCTTTCTTTCTTTATGTAGATATGCATTTCTCACTCATATTGTGTTAGTTCATTTTTTGTGTTGCTATATAGAATTAACTGAGGCTGAATAATTTGTTTAAAAAAATAGTTTACATTGACTGATAATTTTGCAGGCTGTACTGAAATCACGGCACCAGCATCTGCCCCTAGCGAGGGCCTCAGGAAGATTTCAATCATGGCAAAATGTGAAAGGGGAGTAAGCAAGTCACATGGTGAAAGAGAGAGCAAGAGAGAGAAGAAGGAGGTCTAAGACCTCTCCAAATGACCAGATTGAATTTAAATTAACTGAGCGAGAACTCTATCACCAAGCAGATAGCACTAAGCAATTTATGAAAGAACCACAACTGTGATTCAATACCTGCCAACAGGCCATATCTACAACATTGGGGATCACATTTTAACATGAGATTTGGAGGGGACTCTCATCCCAATGATATAAAATACTATTCTTCTTCTCTCTGAATAACTTCTTTTAATCTTCCTTGCAAGGCATGGCTAGTGGCAGCAAAAATTCTCAATTTTTGTTAGATAGAGTCTTCATTTATCTTTCACTTTTGAAGGGTAATTTTATAGAATTTAGAATTCTAGGTTGTTGATACTTTCCTCTTAACTGTAAATATTTCACTCCACTCTCTTAATGCTTGTGTGATTTCTGAGGGGCTGTTGGTTTTAATTGTTATTTGTTTTTCCGTAGGCAAGAGGTTTCCTACCCCCGTCCCCAGCTTCTTTCAAGATTTCTTAAGTTTTCTGCAGTTTGAACATTATATGCCTAGGTATGTTTCTTTTTTGTATTTATCCCACATGGTATTCTCTGCTTCCTGGATTTGTGCTTTTGTGTATGACATTAACGTGCAGAAATTCTCAGTCGATACTGCCTGAAATATGTCTTTTTTTATGTTCTCTCCTTTCTTCTCCTTCTGGCATTCCAATTAGGCATATGTTACACGTTTTGTCATTGAACAACAGTTCTTGAATATATTGAATTTTTTCCATCTTTTTTCTTTGAATTTTAGTTTTGGAAGTGCCTATTGTCATATTCTCAAGCACAGAGATTGTTTCCTCAATTATTTCTGGTCTGCTATTGAGCCTTTCAAAGGCATGCTTCATTTCTGTTACAGTGTTTTTTATCTCTAGCATTTCTCTTTGATTATTTCTTATAATTTCCATCTCTTGTATATTAGCTATATTTTTGTGTTATCTACTTTTCCATTAATGCCCATAACATATTAATCATAGTGATTTTTAAAAATCCCTAGTCTGACAATTCCAACATCATTGCCATATGTAACTCTGGTTCTTGTGCTTGCTTATTTTCTTCAAACTGTACTTTTTGTCTTCAAATATGCCTTGTATTTTTTAAATTAAAATATGGGCATGATGCACTTGATAAAGTAACTGAGGTAAATAGGCCTTTAATAATGTAGTGATAAATTATGGAAAGTGAAGATAGCATTGTACAGTAACATAATTAGATCTCAGTCTTTTGATGAGTTGTGGTCCTGGATTGTAACCTCCACTAGTGCTTCTTGTGTTTTTTCTCCCTTTTTAGGTGGAATAGAATGGCTAGGGGGGCTGGAGTTGTATATTTCCCTTCTCTTATGTGCAAAGCTAGAGTTGGCTAGAGTCAGATATTTACCTTTCCCCAGTTAGATTAGGCTCTGGTAAAATGCCAGCAGGTTAGATTCTGATAACATAGTTTCCTTGAAGGCAGACATTATTTAGAAGTACAGCATGCTCTAGTGTATTACAAAATGATTCATTTTCCCATCCTCCCTGCTGGAAGCACAAGGAGATTATTTTTTCCTGATATTTACTGTGAGGACCTGGTGTAGCTTCTGGAGGTAAAATTTACAAAAGTATAGGGGATCCCCACATCCCTGACCACCATGGAGTTTTTAACTTTTTAGATTTGTCCATATTGAGACTCCACCGAGTCATCAATTACAATTTATGTTTTCCTCTCCAAGCATTGGTTCTGATAGAGGTTTCTGCTAGTGATCCACCCCTGCGCCCCCCAACCCTGTGGTTACATTGTAGTCTCTGTATTTTCGTGAATGTCTCTCCAGTTTTGAAGGTATTAGCTTTTCCTGTGACCTTACTTATTTGATAGATCTAAGAAGAACTGTTGACATGTAAGTTTGTTTAGCATTTTACTTTGATTTTAGGGCAGAGTGGTAATTTCTAAATTTCTTACATACCAAATCAGAGACCTGTCTTTGAAAACTTTAAAGAATGGGAAGTTTATCCAAATGACCAAAAATGAATCAGAAATAGTCTGTTGAATAAAAACATTTCAGAAAGCAACAGACCAGGACATTATTTTTTTGGAACCTGAAACAAACTGACGAAAGTAAATGAGATCTTATTTATGTAGAAATTGCAATTTAAGGTGTTTAGAATATATTTATGCTAAAGACATTTACAGGACATTATAATTGTTAAAAACCCTCTTTATATCTGTAAAGCACATGTTTACTCTTCTTGTTATATCTATCAGTTACCATATAAATACAGAAATCAGATTTTTTTTTGCTCAAGCAAAAAAAATAATTATAATGTGAATTAAACAACTTAGTATATTGACCATTTGGGGATTTAAAAATAATAAAAGAAACATGAATAAAGTTCTCTACACTAAACCATTTAGAATACCAGTAATAAAAGGTTTAAAATAAATATTTATGCAATGGAATATAACCTTCAGCAATTATTCTATGCCAAAAAAAAAAAAAAAAAAAAAAACAGGGCAAAATTAGAGCTTTTTCCAAAAAGTAAAGAAAAACAGGCAACAAGCCTGAAAAAAACTATAATATTTTGTGTGGTTGGCTTGAATAAGAAATTGCATTTATTCCCCAGGACAAAAAAAAAAAAAATCAATTACCAACCCTTAGCATTCCCTCCCTGAGTTATCATACCTCATCCAATAAGTAAAAAAGATAAACCTTAGTCAGCATAATAAACTACTAGAGTCTCTCCTACTTTCATTGAAATTGGGACAAAAAAAAATAACCAGCAGATAATTTTTTTTTTTTTAAAGTTGATGTATTGCTCTATTCTTGTTTTAATTTTTTAATGGTAACAATTTAACTTTTTACTGGTAAAATCTAATTTGAAAAGATATTTTTAACTGAAAAGCAAGGAAGGTAAATATATTCTGAAAAAATACACTAAGGCAAGAAAAAATACATTTATATTAATGAATAAGCAACTTTTCTTTCCCCCCAAAAATGTATAATAAACACCAGTTCAGAATCTTGATTACCCCTGGTGTTAGATGGAGGGTAAGTATGAGGAATAGGAGAAGAAAGTGATTGAAATTATGTAGGAGAATAGCAGCTTTCAACTGTTATTATGGAATTTTATTTTCTAAGCTAGTTACTGAGGTGTCATTTAATCAGTCTTTATAATTTTTAATGTATTAAATATTTTAGAACACATCTTTTACATTACATCTAAAGCAGTAGGGCCACAAATAACTTAAAAAGATTGTTTCCCTTTTCTCTTTCTACCTCTAAGGAAGGTTATGTCAAAACCACAATGCAAAAGCCAATGCATTTCTTATACGTATTGTTTGTAAAAATCACACACAGAATATACTTTGTCATTTCAGTGGCTATCAATTTATATGCTCAGTGTAGGTTATAAAAAATTAAATCAGGCTAGGCGCAGTGGCTCAGGCCTGTAATCCCAGCACTTTGGGAGGCTGAGGCAGGTGGATCACCTGAGATCAGGAGTTCAAGATCAGCCTGGTCAACATGGCTAAACCCCGTCTCTACTAAAAGTACAAAACTTAGCCGGGCATGGTGGCAGGCGCCTGTAATCCCAGCTACTCAGGAGGCTGAGGCAGGAGAATCACTTGAACTTGGGGGGTGGAGGTTGTAGTGAGCCAAGATTGCACCACTGCACTCCAGCCTAGGTGACAAGAGTGAGACTTCATCTCAATAAAAAAAAAAAATAATAATTAAATCAATCCTCTTTAGCCTGAAAGTTATTGCTCTTTTTACTAATGGTTTCAGAGCCTTATATTTCTATGACATTTCCTCTTTTGAGATGAGAAAATTTTAAAATACAAAGATTTTCTGAGAGAACTGTATTAAAATATAAGAAAGTTTTAATTGAACAGATGTTAAAATTATGGAAGGAATTGCCATCTGCTAGTATGTTTCAGGCTCTTGTGAACATGTGAGGAATGCCTGCCTAACCCATATCTCATTCTTTTAGAAGTAGTTTCTATACCTCCAGCTGAATAAATTGTTCTTACTAGCTTATGCCCATCCTGCCCTTATGCCCCATAATATAGTCAGGCCATCAGGATTCTTTTTCTACAATTTAAACTAATCAATTTAGAGATTGACAATCAGAAAATCTTTAAAACAACAAAAATGCAAATACTTAAACCATATCCATTGATAGGCAGAAGGGAGATTTACATAGGGAAACAGGAGAAATGAGCAGATGTCAATAATAAACTGAGATAAAAGATCAAGTGGTCCAAAAAAGGGACAATAGCTAGGTTCCTTACGTATAAATATTCAGATAATACAAAGGCCTATTTTAAAGACATTGGCTAATGTTTTAAGTGATATTGGAAGCAAATGAATGAGTTTTAGCAAGGATTTATATATGTAGACTTAGATTTAAAAAAATCACTTCAGCTTATAATGCAAGATGGCTGACTAGACATATTGGATGACAGACCTCCCCAGAAAGAAGGTCAAAGTTATTGGTAAATGAACATTTTTCTAATGGAAAACTAAAGGAAGACAGCCAGGACCTGTTACAGTGCCCATGCAAAGAAGTTAAGGTGCAGAAAAGAAAAGCAGCAAGAGTCTGGTAGAGATAAACCACTGAGGAACTTGGAACTCTGTGGAAAGTGTAGGTAAGAGTGCTCTGCTCCCATCACTCTGGCAACAATCTGCTATCCAACTGTTGGAAAGCCCCTATGCCCTTCCAACCCCGGGAAATGCTTTCAGTGGTGACTTAGAAACTGCCAGGGGACAAAGAATTGGTTAAACAGCTAGTGTACATAAGCCTGCACTTCCTGCAGATCTGAACTGAGATGTCAGGTGCCATACTGGTTATGCATCTGTTGTGAGACACTGCCCAGTCCAGAGAATTTCTTCCTTTAAGTCATAAAACTACTAGATCCCCTGAAAACATACTCCCAAACCTGCTCTGACTTTGGCAAGCACAGGGAACCAGTGGATGCCCAGGGAGCTGTGGAACCCCTGGTGATCTAACCTTTGGCATGAGATACTCATAAAGAAGTGAGGAGCACAGCCTGCCAAAGCCCCCATGAGACAAAAGAAATGTAGGTATGGTGCCAATCATTGAAGCCTGCAGCACTGACAGCTGAGGATTGTTGTGGAGAAGGGGTTATCTCCCACCCCCCACCAATCAACTGTTGTGGATGCAGCAGTGTTTCTCCCCAGTGGGGCCAGAGGTTGAGCACCTGGAGAAAGTGCTTGTTGTGCTTTTCACAGTTCCTTGCATTTAAAAGTGAGCCCATGCTGCTTGGGCTTGCATAGAGTGTGGGGCCAAACTCCCCATCCCTGCACAGAGTGCCAGTGTACCAGTAATAGATGACTGACAAACCACCCAGTTATCTTCTCTGGAATGGGAAAGAGGTTCTGCCTTGAGCACATTTTGATTATAGCTATAAATAATCTATCCACAACCCAGGAACACATACAAAGTTTTGGCTCCCTGAAAGGGCCCATAAATGAAGCCAAATGGTAATAAACAATGTACATCACAGTCATAATCTCAAGGGAAAAAATAAAATGTCCTATTCAAGCAATATCAAATTCAAAAATAAAAGTTGACACCTTTAGATGACATTCAGGCAAGAACTCTGGCAGTAAAAAAATCCAGAGTGTCTTAACAACTCCAGAGGGTTGTGCTATCTTTTTTTTTTTTTTTTTTTTTTTGAGACAGAGTTTCACTCTTGTTGCCCAGGCTGGAGTGGAATGGTGCAATGGTGTGATCTTGGCTCACAACAATCTCTGCCTCCCAGGTTCAAGTGATTCTCCTGCCTCAGCCTCCCAAGTAGCTGGGATTACAGGCATGAGCCACCATGCCCAGCTTCGTATTTGTAGTAGAGACAGGGTTTCTACATGTTGGTCAGCCAGGTCTTGAACTGCTGACCTCAGGTGACCTGCCCACCTCAGCCTCCCAAAGTGTTGGGATTATAGGCGTAAGCCACCACGCCCAGCTTGCACTAGTTTTTTAGCAATGAATGCTAACAGAAATGAAAAGTCAGAAGTGACAAAGGATTGTATATATGGATTGCAATGAAACTCAATGAGAGCCAAAAAAAAAAACTTCAAATCCAACACAAATAAACCAGAAAAAACTATTTAGAATATAAAAAAAAGAGAGGTAGCTATATATTTTTAAAAAATGGTTAGAACTTCCAGAATTGGGTGAGTGACACAGAAGATGGGTGATTTCTGCATTTCCCACTGAGGTACCGGGTTCATCTCACTGGGGAGTGCTGGACAGTGGGTGCAGGACAGTGGGTGCAGTGCACTGTGTGTTAACCAAAGCAGGGCAAGGCATCGCCTCACCCGGGAAGTGCAAGGGGTCAGGGAATTCACTTTCCTAGTCAAAGAAAGGGTTGACAGATGGCACCTGGAAAATCGGCTCACTCCCACCCTAATACTGCACTTTTCCAATGGCTTAACAAATGGCACACCAGGAGATTATATCCTGCACATGGCTTGGAGGGTCCTATGCCCACGGAGCCTTGCTCATTGCTAGCACAGCAGTCTGAGATCAAACTGCAAGGTGGCAGCGAGGCTGGGGGAAGGGCACCCGCCATTGCCCAGGCATGAGTAGGTAAACAAAGTGGCCAGGAAGCTTGAACTGGGTGGAGCCCAACACAGCTCAAGGAGGCCTGCCTGCCTCTGTAGGCTCCACCTCTGGGGCAGGGCACAGACAAACAAAAGACAGCAATAACCTCTGCAGACTTAAATGTCCCTGTCTGACAACTTTGAAGAGAGTAGTGGTTCTCCCAGCAGGCAGCTTGAGATCTGAGAACAGGCAGACTGCCTCCTCAGGTGGGTCCCTGACCCCCGAGTAGCCTAACTGGGAGGCACCCCCCAGTAGGGGCGTACTGACACCTCACACGGCCAGGTACTCCTCTGAGACAAAACTTCCAGAGGAATGATCAGGTGGCAGCATTTGCGGTTCACCAATATCCGCTGTTCTGCAGCTACTGCTGCTGATACCCAGGAAAACAGGGTCTGGAGTGGACCTCCAGCAAACTCCAACAGACCTGCAGCTGAGGGTCCTGACTGTTAGAAGGAAAACTAACAAACAGAAAGGACATCCACACCAAAAACCCATCTGTACGTCACCATCATCAAAGACCAAAGGTAGATAAAACCACAAAGATGGGGAAAAAACAGAGCAGAAAAACTGGAAACTCTAAAAATCAGAGCGCCTCTCCTCCTCCAAAGGAATGCAGCTCCTCACCAGCAATGGAATAAAGCTGGACGGAGAATGACTTTGACGAGTTGAGAGAAGAAGGCTTCAGAAGATCAAACTACTCTGAGCTAAAGGAGGAAGTTCGAACCAATGGCAAAGAAGTTAAAAACTTTGAAAAAGAATTAGACGAATGGATAACTAGAATAACCAATGCAGAGAAGTCCTTAAAGGACCTGATGGAGCTGAAAACCATGGCACGAGAACTACGTGACAAATGCACAAGCCTCAGTAACCGATGTGATCAACTGGAAGAAAGGGTATCAGTGATGGAAGATGAAATGAATGAAATGAAGCGTGAAGAGAAGTTCAGAGAAAAAAGAATAAAAAGAAACGATCAAAGCCTCCAAGAAATATGGGACTATGTGAAAAGACATAGATTTGTCTGATTGGTGTACCTGAAAGTGATGGGCAGAATGGAACCAAGTTGGAAAACACTCTGCAGGATATTATCCAGGAGAACTTCCCCAATCTAGCAAGGCAGGCCAACATTCACATTCAGGAAATACAGAGAACACCACAAAGATACTCCTCGAGAAGAGCAACTCCAAGTCACATAATTGTCAGATTCACCAAAGTTGAAATGAAGGAAAAAATGTTAAGGGCAGCCAGAGAGAAAGGTCGGGTTACCCACAAAGGGAAGCCCATCGGACTAACAGCTGATATCTCGGCAGAAACTCTACAAGCCAGAAGAGAGTGGGGGCCAATATTCAACATTTTTAAAGAAAAGAATTTTCAACCCAGAATTTCATATCCAGCCAAACTAAGCTTCATAAGTGAAGGAGAAATAAAATCCTTGACAGACAAGCAAATGCTGAGAGATTTTGTCACCACCAGGCCTGCCCTACAAGAGCTCCTGAAGGAAGCACTAAACATGGAAAGGAACAACTGCTACCAGCCACTGCAAAAACATGCCAAATTGTGAAGACCGTCAAGGCTAGCAAGAAACTGCATCAACTAACGAGCAAAATAACCAGCTAATATCATAATGGCAGGATCAAATTCACATGCAACAATACTAACCTTAAATGTAAATGCGCTAAATGCTCCAAGTAAAAGGCACAGACTGGCAAATTGGATAAAGAGTCAAGACCAATCAGTGTGCTGTATTCAGGAAACCCATCTCATGTGCAGAGACACACATAGGCTCAAAATAAAGGGATGGAGGAAGATCTACCAAGCAAATGGAAAACAAAAAAAGGCAGGGGTTGCAATCCTAGTCTCTGATAAAACAGACTTTAAACCAACAAAGATCAAAGAGACAAAGAAGGCCATTACATAATGGTAAAGGGATCAATTCAACAAGAAGAATTAACTATCCTAAATATATATGCACCCAATACAGGAGCACCCAGATTCATAAAGCAAGTCCTTAGTGACCTACAAAGAGACTTAGACTCCCACAGAATAATAATGGGAGACTTTAACACCCCACTGTCAACATTAGACAGATCAACGAGACAGAAAGTTAACAAGGATATCCAGGAATTGAACTCAGCTCTGTACCAAGTGGACCTAATAGACATCTACAGAACTCTCGACTCCAAATCAACAGAATATACATTCTTTTCAGCACCACACCACACCTATTCCAAAATTGACCACATAGTTTGAAGTAAAGCATTCCTTAGCAAATGTAAAAGAACAGAAATTATAACAAACTGTCTCTCAGACCACAGTGCAATCAAACTAGAACTCAGGATTAAGAAACTCACTCAAAACCCCTCAACTACATGGAACCTGAACAACCTGCTCCTGAATGACTACTGGGTACATAACAAAATGAAGGAAGAAATAAAGATGTTCTTTGAAACCAACGAGAACAAAGACACACCATACCAGAATCTCTGGGACACATTCAAAGCAGTGTGTAGAGGGAAATTTATAGCACTAAATGCCCACAAGAGAAAGCAGGAAAGATCTAAAATTGACACCCTAACATCACAATTAAAAGAACTAGAGAAGCAAGAGCAAACACATTCAAAAGCTAGCAGAAGGCAAGAAATAACTAAGATCAGAGCAGAACTGAAGGAAATAGAGACACAAAAAACCCTTCAAAAACTCAATGAATCCAGGAGCTTGTTTTTTGAAAAGATCAACAAAATTGATAGACCGCTAGCAAGACTAATAAAGAAGAAAAGAGAGAAGAATCAAATAGATGCAATAAAAAATGACAAAGGGGATATCACCACTGATCCCACAGAAATACAAACTACCATCAGAGAATACTACAAACACCTCTACGCAAATAAACTAGAAAATCTAGAAGAAATGGATAAATTCCTCTACACATGCACCCTCCCAAGACTAAACCAGGAAGAAGTTGAATCTCTGAATAGACCAATAACAGGCTCTGAAATTGAGGAGAAAATTAATAGCTTACCAACCAAAAAAAGTCCAGGACCAGATGGATTCGCAGCCGAATTCTACCAGAGGTACAAGGAGGAGCTGGTACCATTCCTTCTGAAACTATTCCAATCCATAGAAAAAGAGGGAATCCTCCCTAGCTCATTTTATGAGGCCAGCATCATTCTGATACCAAAGCCTGGCAGAGACACAACCAAAAAAGAGAATTTTAGACCAATATCCTTGATGAACATTAATGCAAAAATCTTCAATAAAATACTGGCAAACCGAATCCAGCAGCACATCAAAAAGCTCATCCATCATGAACAAGTGGGCTTCATCCCTGGGATGCAAGGCTGGTTCAACATATGAAAATCAATAAACGTAATCCAGCATATAAACAGAACCAAAGACAAAAACTACATTATTGTCTCAATAGATGCAGAAAAGGCCTTTGACAAAATTCAACAACCCTTCATGCTAAAAACCCTCAATAAATTAGGTATTGATGGGATGTATCTCAAAATAATAAGAGCTATCTATGACAAACCCACAGACAATATCGTACTGAATGGACAAAAACTGGAAGCATTCCCTTTGAAAACTGGCACAAGACAGGGATGCCCTCTCTCACCACTCCTATTCAACATACTGTTGGAAGTTCTGGCCAGGGCAATTAGGCAGGAGAAGGAAATAAAGGGCATTCAATTAGGAAAAGAGGAAGTCAAACTGTCCCTGTTTGCAGATGACATGATTGTATATCTAGAAAACCCCATTGTCTCAGCCCAAAATCTCCTTAAACTGATAAGCAACTTCAGCTAAGTCTCAGGATACAAAATCAATGTGCAAAAATCACAAGCATTCTTATACACCAATAACAGACAAACAGAGAGCCAAATCATGAGTGAACTCCCATTCACAATTGCTTCAAAGAGAATAAAATACTTAGGAATCCAACTTACAAGGGACGTGAAGGACCTCTTCAAGGAGAACTACAAACTACTGCTCAATGAAATAAAAGAGGATACAAACAAATGGAAGAACATTCCATGCTCATGGGTAGGAAGAATCAATATCGTGAAAATGGCCATACTGCCCAAGGTAATTTATAGATTCAATGCCATCCCCATCAAGCTACCAATGCCTTTCTTCACAGAATTGGAAAAAACTACTTTAAAGTTCATATGGAACCAAAAAAGAGCCCACATCACCAAGTCAATCCTAAGCCAAAAGAACAAAGCTGGAGGCATCATGCTACCTGACTTCAAACTATACTACAAGGCTACAGTAACCAAAACAGCATGGTACTGGTACCAAAACAGAGATATAGACCAATGAAACAGAACAGAGCCCTCAGAAATAATGCCACATATCTACAACTATCTGATCTTTGACAAACCTGACAAAAACAAGCAATGGGGAAAGGATTCCCTATTTAATAAATGGTGCTGGGAAAACTGGCTAGCCATATGTGGAAAGCTGAAACTGGATCCCTTCCTTAAACCTTATACAAAAATTAACTCAAGATGGATTAAAGACTTAAATATTAGACCTAAAACCATATAAAACCCTAGAAGAAATCCTAGGCAATACCATTCAGGACATAGACATGGGCAAGAACTTCATGTCTAAAACACCAAAAGCAATGGCAACTAAAGCCAAAATTGACATATGGCATCTCATTAAACTAAAGAGCTTCTGCACAGCAAAAGAAACTACCATCAGAGTGAACAGGCAACCTACAGAATGGGAGAAAATTTTTGCAACCTACTCATCTGACAAAGGGCTAATATCCAGAATCTACAATGAACTCAAACAAATTTACAAGAAAAAAACAACCAACCCCATCAAAAAGTGGGCAAAGGAGATGAACAGACACTTCTCAAAAGAAGACATTTATGCAGACAAAAAACACATGAAAAAATGCTCATCATCATTGGCCATCAGAGAAATGCAAATCAAAACCACAATGAGATACCATCTCACACCAGTTAGAGTGGCGATCATTAAAAAGTCAGGAAACAACAGGTGCTGGAGAGGATGTGGAGAAACAGGAACACTTTTACACTGTTGTTGGGACTGTAAACTAGTTCAACCATTGTGGAAGTCAGTGTGGCGATTCCTCAGGGATCTAGAACTGAAAATACCATTTGACCCAGCCATCCCATTACTGGGTATATACCCAAAGAATTATAAATCGTGATGCTACAAAGACACATGCACACGTATGTTTACTGCGGCACTATTCACAATAGCAAAGACTTGGAACCAACACAAATGTCCAACAATGATAGACTGGATTAAGAAAATGTGGCACATATACACCATGGAATACTATGCAGCCATAAAAAAGGATGAGTTCATGTCCTTTGTAGGGACATGGATGAAGCTGGAAACCATCATTCTCAGCAAACTATCACAAGGACAAAAAAACAAACACCGCATGTTCTCACTCATAGGTGGGAATTGAACAATGAGAACACATGGACACAGGAAAGGGAACATGACACACCGGGACTGTTGTGGGGTGGGGGGAGGGGGAAGGGATAGCATTAGGAGATATACCTAATGTTAAATGATGAGATAATGGGTGCAGCACACCAACATGGCATATGTATACATATGTAACAAACCTGTACGTTGTGCACATGTACCCTAAAACTTAAAGTATAATAATAATAAAATAAAAAAAGAAACTTATACCAAAAAATAAAGAACTTCTAGAATTAAGAAAAAATTACTGAAGAAACTTCAAAATACAGTTGGAAGCTTTTACAACAGACTAGACCAAGTAGAACAGAGGATTTCAGAGCTTAAAGACTGAACTTTCAAATTAACATAGACAAAAATTAAAAAAATAATAATTTCAATAAACAAAGTTTTCAGGAATATGGGATTATGCAAAACATTCATACCTATGACTTCTTGATATTTCTGAGAGAAAAAAAGAAAAATAAAGCAACTTGAACAACATATTTGAGAAAATAATCCAGGAAAAATGTCTAACTTTGCTACAGAAGTCAACATCCGGATACAAGGTGTAGAAGAGAAAAGAAGCAAGAGTCTGGCAGAGATAAACCACTGAGGAACTTAGAACTCTGTGGAAAGTGAAGGTAACTGTGGTTTGCTCCCATCACTCTGGCAGCAATCTGCTGTCCAACTGTTGGAAAACCCCTATGCCCTTTCAATGCTGAGAAATGCTTTCAGTGGTGAGCACCTGTGGAAAACACCTATGAGATTCTACACAAGATGACCATCACCAAGGCATATAGTCATCAAACTATCCAAGATCAGTATGAAAGAATAAATCTTAAAGGCAACAAGAGAAAATGGATAAATCACCAATAAAGGAAATTTTATCAGACTAACAAGAGTTCTCAGCAGAAACCTTACCACCCAGAAAAGATTGTGGGCCTATTTTTAGCCTTCTTATGAAAAGAAAAATGCCAGCCAGGAATTACATATCCTGTGAAACTGATCTTTATAAACGAAGGAGAAATAAAGTTCTTCCTGGATAAACAAACAAAAAGAGAATTTGTCATGATCAGACCAGGCTCCATTGAGTTATAAACAATGAAATAAAAGGATGGTACTTGCCAGCATAAATACACACATTAGTACAACATTCACAGATAATATAAATCAATTACACAATTGAGACTACAAAGTGTCTAGCTAAAAACACTATGACAGGAAAAAAAACACCTCACATATCGGTGTTAACCTTGGACATGAATGGCCTAAATGCTCCACTCAAAAGACAACATGAAATACAATTTAAAAAATAAGGCTTAACTTTCTTCTGTCTTCAAGTGATCCATCTCATGTGTAATGACAACCACAGGCCCAAAGTAGAGGGATGGATAAAGACCCCTAAGACAAATAATTGGAAAACCAAAAAGAGCAAGGTTTTCTATCTGATATCAGATAAAACAGACTTTAAACCAAAAAAAGTAAAAAAAGGCAAAGAATGTCATTACATAATGATAAAAGATTCAATACAACCAGAAAATTTAATTATTCTAAATATATATGGACTCAATATTTGAGAATTCACATTTATAAAAGAATTACTGTTAGACCTAAGAAAAGAGATAGACAGACATACAATAATAGTGTAAAAATTTAATTTTTACACTATTTTACACTAAAAATTAAATTTTTACTCATAAATTAAGAGAAGTAATCATTAAAGATATATAATACTAAAAGAAAAGAGTGAAATGAGAATGTATCTGTTTCATTACTGCAGCAACATGATATGGTTGCAGCTTTGGTTATAATAAAATTTTAGTTGGAAAGGTTAACATGTGCAACACTTTAGAACTTTACCTTGTGTATATTTTTAATATTTTATAGTGAAATGTTTTGATGTTTCTTTATAAAACAGTTACCTATTTTGTAGCTAATGATTTTTAATAATCTAGGCAAGTATTTAATAATCATTCACTCTAGGTTATTCATACAAAATCATTGTGCTTGAAAATGACCAATTTGACAGAAGAACAATAATTTTTGGCCATTTGTATCATTAGAAAATTTTAGTGGTTAATATAAATTTAATATTTTTCACATAGTTATATAAAGAAGCATAATAATTTTTTAGTAACTCATATAATATGTCTAGTCATGTTGCTGGAATTCATGGAAGTATTAAATTGAACAATTTTGTTTTCTTCAGGAAATTTTCAGTCAAAGCACAGAAAAAATATCTAGGTGTAGTTTGATCTATTAATGATTACTTCTCCTAATTTAATTTTATGAGTTTGTATCAAATGTTAAGGAAGTTGTGTGTGTATGTGTGTGTGTGTGTGTAAACTTTATGTGTGTTTCAAATACTGCAACTCTTGTTCTAAGAAGAATACATGCACATACAACAGAAATATCATTAATGCCATCTGAATTAACTTAGATATAAATTTTGTTGAATGCAGTGCTAAGAAAATAAGTAAAAGATGTATAATTTTCATTGGAAAAGATGCAGTAGACAAATAAAACTGGTATTAAGATAGGAGGTGGAGCACGATGGCAGTGTAGAAGGCTCCGCTGATCATCCCCCCAAAAGTACACAAATTTTACAAAAATCTACACAAGCAAAGCAGCTTCATAAGAACTAAAAATTAGGTGAGCACTCACAGTACCTGCTTTTAACTTTGTATCACTAAAAGAGGCACTGAAGAGGTAGAAAAAAAATCTTGAATCACCAATGCCACACTTCCCTCATTCTCCAGTAGCAGCAGTGTGGTGCAGAGAGCATTTCTGTGTGCTGGAGGAGGAAGAGCCAGCAATTGTGAGGCACTAAACTCAGTGTCATCCTGTTACAGCAGAAAGGAAAACTGGACCACATTCAGCTGAAGCCCACACACACAGAAAGCATTTAAGCCAGCCTTAGACAAAGGGAAATTGCCAATTCCAGCAGCCTGAACTTAAGTTCCCACAAACCTTGCCACTGTGAGTTCAAGTGCTCTGAGTCTCTAAGCAAACTTTAAGAGCTGTCTAGGCCACAAGACTGCAACTCTTAGGTGCATCCTAGTGCTGAACTGAGCCAAGAGACAGAGGACTGGGGGAGCACAAAATCTATTGAGTCAGCAACTGGGCAGCTGAGAAAGTGCTGGCATAACCCTTTCCCTAACCCAAGGCTGAACAACTCACAGCTCCAAGAGAGGCATTCCTTCTGCTTGAGTAAAGGAGAGGGAAGACTGGGCAAGACTTTATCTTGCATATCAGATACCAGCTCATCCACAACAGGATAAGGCACTGGTCAGAGTAATGAGCCCCTGTTCCAGGCCCTAGCTCCTAGCTGACATTTCTAGACACACCCTGTGCTAGAGGGGAACCTGCTGTCTTGAAGGGGAGTACCTAGTCTTGGCAGCAATCATCACCTGCTAAATGAAGAGCCTTTGGACCCTGAGAAACCAGTAGTAATATCAAATGTAGTACTATGAGGGGCTTGTATGAGCATTTAAGACTTGCTAGCTTTAGGTATCAGCTAAACTACAGGAACGTAGAACACCAAGCAGAATCTTTGGGTTCCAATTTGCAAGACTTGAACCTTGACTGGCATTTCTGGACCTGCCCTAGGCCAGAGGAGAGCCTACTGTCCTGAAGGGTAACTCCTAGACTAGGCAGCAGTTACTGTAGTGTGACTTAAATCCCTTGGGCCTTAAGGAAACATTGGAAGTACTCTGACAGTATCTCTCATGGAATTTTGGTGGCAGTAGTGATGGGTGAAGCTCTTTTGCCTTTGGAAAATGGAGGGAAGAGTGAGAAGAACAGCATCTTGTAGTTTGAAAGCAAGCTCAGACACAGCAGAATAGAATACCAGATAGACTTCTAAGGCTTTTAAGTTTATTCTCTGACTCCCAGGCAGCATGTCTGGACCCACCTGGGGACTGGGAAAACCTGCTGTTTTGAAGAAAAAAAAAAACATACCTGGCTGGCTTTGCCACCTGCTGATTGTATAGCCTCAGGCTCTTGAGTGAACATAGGCAGTGGCCAGGGAGGGGTTACAACAGGCCTTGGTCTGTGCCCAATGTAGTGCTGGGTTCAAGTCTGACCCAGCACAATAATAGTAGTAGTGACTAAGGAGGTGTTTGTCAACCCTACTAAAAAGTGGGCAAAGGACAGGAACAGACACTTTGCAAAACAAGACATACATGCAGCCAACAAGCATATGGAAAAAAGCTCAACAATACTGATCATTGGAGAAATGCAAATCCAAACCATAATGAGATACCATTTCAAACCAGTCAGAATTGCTATTTTTAAAAAAGTCAAAACATAAGAGATGCTAGTGAAGTTGTGGAGAAAAAGAAGCACTTTTATACTGTTAGTGGGAGTATAAATTAGTTCAACCACTGCAGAAGAAAGTGTGGTGATTCCTCAAAGACCTATAACTAGAAATGCCATTGGACCCAGAAATCCCATTACTGGGTATATACACAAAGGAATATAAATTATTCTATTATAAAGACACATGCATGTGTATGTTCATTGCAGCACTATTCACAATCACAAAGATAGGAAATCAACCAAAATGTTCATCAATAATAGACTGGATAAAGGAAATGTGATACATATACACCATGGAAGTCTATGCAGCAATAAAAAATAATAAGATTATGTTCTTTCCAGGGACATAGATGGATCTGGTGGCCATTATTCTTAACAAACACAGGAAAAGAAAACAAAATACTGCATGATCTCTCTTATAAGTGGAGCTAAATGATGAAAACACACGGACGCATGGATGGGAACAATACACACTGGGGCCTATGAGAGGGTGGAGGGTGGGAGGAGGAAGAGAATCAGAAAAAATAACTAATGGTTACTAGGATTAATATCTGGGTGATAAAATAATCAGTAAAACAAAACACCATGCCAAAAGTTTACCTACTTAACAAACCTGCACGTGTGCTACTGAACTTAAAATAAAAGTTAAAAAAAGAAGAAACAAACAAACAAAAATCCAAAATAAGGAGAAATTTGCATGAATCCACCCCCAGCTTTAAGTGGCTCCGAACTGAGAGAGAGACTCCATTTGTTTGGGTGAAAGAAAGGGAAGAGAACACTTGGTAATCTAGAGAATTCTACTTGGTAATCTAGAGAATTCTCCCAAATCATGTCCAAAATGATCAAGGTGATACCTCTATGAGTGTGCGAGAACCACAGTGTTACTTTACTAGGGTTGCCATTAAAACAGATATAGTATAAATCACAATACCCAGTTTCTTTTGAATATTAAGAAATACTCTCTAAGAAGAATGGGTAGACACAAACGCAGACCATGAAGACTTCAGTAGATACATAACACATCAATGCCCAGACACAGATGAACATCCACAAACATAAGGATGTTTCAGCAAAACATAACCTCACCAAATGAACTAAATAAGCCACCAGGGAATAATCCTGCAGAAACAGAGTTATGTGACCTTTCTGACAGAGAATTCAAAATAGCTGTGTTGAAGAAACTAAAAAAAATTCAAGGTACCACAGAAAAAGAAATCAGAAATCTATCAGATAAATTTGAAAGAGATGGAAATAATTTTTAAAAATCAAGCAGAAATCCTGAAGCTGGAAAATAAAGTAGACATACTGAAGAATTCATCAGAGCCTTTTAATGGCACAATTGATCAAGCAGAAGAAAAAAATAGTGAGCGTGAAGATAGGATATTTGCAAATACACAGGGGAGACAAGAAAAGTAAGAAGCAATGAAGCACATCTACAGGATTCAGAAAATAGCCTCAAAATGACAAATCTCAGAGTTGTTGTCCTTAAAGAGTAGGTAGAGAGATAGGAGTGGAAAGTGTATTCAAAGGCATAATAACAAAAACTTCCCCAATCAACAGAAAGATACTTATATCCAAGTACAAGAAGATTATAGAACAGCAAGCAGATTTAACCCAAAGAAGACTACCTCAAGGTCTTTAGTAATTAAACTTCTAGAGATCAAAGATAAAGAAATAATTCAAAAAAAAAGGCAATAGAACAAAAAAAAACTGAAATAAAATGGAGCTCCAATACGCCTGGCAGGAGAATTTTTATTAGAAATGTTAGAACGTTGTCACGTATTTAAAATGCTGAAGGAAAACAAAAAAAGCTTTTACTTTAGCATAGTATATCCAGTGAAAATATTATTTAAAAATGAAGAAGAAATAAAGACTTTCCAAGACAAATGTCAACTGAAAAATTTTATCAACACCAGACCTGACCTAAAAGAAGTGCTAAATGGAATACTTCCATCAGAAAGAAATGGATGTTAATGAGCAGTAAGTAATCACCTGAAGGTAGAAAACTCACTGGTATTAGAAAGTACACAAAAAAACACAGAATATTATAACACTGTAACTGTGGTGTGCAAACTACTCTTATCCTAAATGGAAAGAGTAAATGATAAGCCAACAAAAAATAATAACTAAAACAACATTTTTTTTTCAAAAAGTGGTATAGTATTGGACCATCATTTAAGTCTTTCAAAAGGATACTGATTACATAAGTCATAATATACAATTGGCTATCCATTTCCATGGGTTCCACATCCACTGATTCAACCAACCACAAATGGAAAATATTTTAAAAATAAGAATACAATAACAAAAATAATGCAAATTTTAAAACAGTACAGTATAGCAATTATTTATATAGCACTTACATTGTTCTCATTTTTTTAATTCTAAAAACATTAGTTGGGAGTGCCCTTGTGCCACATAGATTTTATTTTTCCAAAGATGGTTGCAGTTGTATCTTCCATTCCACATACTGTTCTAAAATGCATTCTTTTTTTTTATTATACTTTAAGTTTTAGGGTACATATGCACAACGTGCAGGTTTGTTACATATGTATACATGTGCCATGTTGGTGTGCTGCACCCATTAACTCCTCATTTAACATTAGGTATATTTCCTAATGCTATCCCTCCCCACTCCCCCCACCCCAAAACAGACCCTGGTGTGTGATGTTCCCCTTCCTGTGTCCATGTGTTCTCATTGTTCAGTTCCCACCTATGAGTGAGAACATGCGGTGTTTGGTTTTTTGTCCTTGTGATAGTTTGCTGAGAATGATGGTTTCCAGCTTCATCCATGTCCCTACAAAGGACATGAACTCATCCTTTTTTATGGCTGCATAGTATTCCATGGTGTATATGTGTCACATTTTCTTAATCCAGTCTATCATTGTTGGACATTTGGGTTGGTTCCAAGTCTTTGCTATTGTGAATAGTGCCACAATAAACATACGTGTGTGTGTGTCTTTATAGCAGCATGATTTATAATCCTTTGGGTATATACCCAGTAATGGGATGGCTGGGTCAAATGGTATTTCTAGCTCTAGATCCCTGAGGAATTGCCACACTGACTTCCACAATGGTTGAACTAGTTTACAGTCCCACCTAAAACAACATTTTAAGACATACACGGTAGAATAAGATATAAATTAAAATAACAAAAAGTTTAAAAAATAGGGGGACAAAGTTAAGGTGCAGAGATTTCTTAATTTTTTTGCACGTTTGTGTTTTATGCAAATAGTTAAGTTGTTATCAGGTTAAAATAATGCATTCTAAGATAATATTTTCAAACCTCATGGTAATATAAAAAAAAACAATACAACAAATACACATAAAATAAAAATCAAGAAACTGAATCATATAGTCATAGAAAATGAACTTCACTAAAGAAATTCAGAAAGAAATGAAAAAAGGACAAACCAACAAGAAAACAAGTAACAAAATAGCAGGAGTAAGTCCTTACTTCTCAGTAATAACTTTTAATGTAAATGTACTAAACTTTCCAATCAAAAGACATAGAGTGGCTTAATGTATGAAAAAACAAGACCTACTGATTTATCATCTGCAAGAGATACACTTCATCTATAAATACACATATATATTTTGAAAGAAAGAGATGGAAAAAGCTATTCTATGCCAATGGAAATAAAAATAGAGCAGGAGTCACTATACTTATATCAGTAAAAAATAGATTTGAAGATATAAACTGTGAGACAAGACAAAGACGTTTACAAGAGAAAGGGGTTAATTGAGCAAGAAGATAAATGAAATATATATATGCATCCAACCTTGGAACACTCAGATATATGAAGCAAATATTGTTAGAGCTAAAGAGAGAGATAGGCCCCAATACAATAATAGTTGGAGACATAAACCCCCCACTTTCAGCAATGAAACAATTTTCCAGAGAGAAAGAAGAAAAAAAAATAAGAAACATGGGACTTAATCTGCACTATGGACCAAATGAATCTAATAGATATGTACAGAACATTTCATCCAACAGCTGCAGAATACACATTCTTTTCCTCATCATATGGATTATTCCCAAGAATAAACCACATATAAGGTCACAAAACATCTTTAAAAATTCAAAAAAATTAGATAGTATCAAGCATCATCTCTGACCCCAATGGAATGAAACTACAAATCAATAACAGGAGCAATTTTGGAAACTATAAAAATACATGGAAATTAAATAGTATGCTCCTGGATGGCCAGTGGGTCAATGAAGATATTAAGTAGAAAATTGAAAAATATTTTGTGACAAATAATAATGGAAACACAACATATCAAAACCTACTAGGTAGAGCAAAAGCGGTACTCAGAGGGAAGTTTATATTTATAAGTACCTAAAAATGGGGAAAAACTTCAAATAAACAATCTAACAATGCATCTTAAAGAACTAGAAAGGCAACAGCAAACAAAACCCAAAATTACTAGAAGATAAGAAATAATAAGATCAGAGAATAAATAAATGAAATTGAAATAAAAAAAAATACAAAAGATCAATGAAACAAAAAGTTGCCTTTTTGAAAAGTTAAACAAGATTGACAAAAATTTAGTCAGACTAAGAAAAGAGACAATCCAAATAAATAAAACCAAAAATGAATAAAAAGAGACATTACAACTGGCACTGCATAAATTCAAATGCAAATTTTATTTATCATATTTATTTATCATCAGTGGCTACTACGAGAATCTATATGGCAATAAATTGGAAAATACCTAGACACATACAGCCTACCAAGATTGAACCAGAAAGAAATCCAAAACCTGAACAGACCAGTATAAAGTAAAAAATCAAAGCCATAATAACATGTCTCCCACTAAAGAAAATCCAGGGACCTGATGGCTTCCCTGGTGAATTCTACCAAACACTTAAAGAAGAACTAAAACCAATCTGACTCAATATTTTCTGAAAAATAGAAGAGGAGGAAATCCTTCCTAACTCATTCTACAATGCCAGTATTACCTTTATACAAAAAACAGACAAAGACACATCAAAAAACAATACTACAAGCCAATATCTCTGATAAATTTTGATGCAAAAATGCGCAACAAAATACTAACGAACCAAATTCAACAATACATTACAAAGATAATTCATCATGACCAAGCAACGTTTATCTCTGGGATGCAAGGATGGTTCAAAATACACTCTTCAATCAATGTGATACATCATATCAACAGAATGAAAGATAAAAACCATATGAACATCTTAATTTATGATGAAAAAGCATTTGATAAAATTCATCATCTCTTTATAATAAAAACTGTCAAAAAACTGAGTAGATAATAAACATACCTCAACATAATTAAAGCCATATATGACAGACACATAGCTAGTATCATACTGAATGGGGAATAAAACCAAAAAACTTTCCTCTAAGATCTGGAACATAATAAGAATGTCCACTTTCACCACTGTTATTCAACATAGTACTAGGAGTCCTAGCTAGAGCAGTCAGACAAGAGAAAGATCTAAAGAGCATCCAAATCAGAAATAAATAAGTCAAATTATACTTGTTTGCAAATAACATGATCTTATGTTTGAAAAATCTTAAAGACTTCATAAGAAAACTATTAGAAGTGATAAAACAATTTCAGCAAAGATGCAGGATATGAAATCAATGTATAAAAATCAGTAGCATTTGTATAGGCCAATAGTGAAAAACCTGAAAAAGAAATAAAAAAGAAATTCAATTTACAATAGCCACAACTAAAATTACATATCTAGAATTTACCAAAGTGAAAGGTCTCTGTAATAAAAACTATAAAACACTGATGAAATAAATTGAAGAGGACACCAAAAATGGAAAAATATTTTATGTTGATAGATTGGAAGAATCAATATTGTTAACATGTCCATACTACTCAAAGCGATCCTAAAGATTCAATGCAATCCCTAACAAAGTACCAATGGTATTTTTCACAGAAACAGAAAAAAAAAAATCCTAAAATTTATATGAAACCACAAAAACCCAGAATAGCCAAGCTCTCCTGAGCAAAAGGAAAAAAACTGAAAAAAATCACATTACCTAACTTCATATTATACTTCAGATCTATATAACCAAAACAGCATGGTAGTGGCATAAAAACAGATACATAGACTAGTGGTACAGAATGGAGAACCCAGAAGGAAATTCACACACTTACAGTAAACCCACTTTCAAGAAATTTGCCAAGAACATACACTGGGGAATAGACAGTCTTTTCAATTAATGGTTCTGGGAAAACTGGATCTCCATATAGAGAAGAATGAAACTACACCCCTGTCTCTCTTCATATATAGAAATCAAATCAAAATGGATTAAAAACTAAAATCTGAGACTGCAAACTATAAAACTACTACAAGAAAACATTGGGGAAAAATCTCCAAGACATTGGTCTCGGCAAGGTTTCTTGAGCAATACCCCACAAGCACAGGCAACCAACCAAAAATGAAAAAATGGGATCACATTAAGGTTAAAACTTTATGTACAACAAAGTAAACAATCAACATGTTAAAGAGACAACCAACAGAATGGGAGAAAATATTTGAAACCTACCAATCTGACAAAGGATTAATAAATGTAATATATGAAAAGCTCAAACAACCCTATAGAAATAAATCTAATAATATGATTTTTAAAATGAGCAAAATATTTGAATACACATTTCTCAAAGAAGACATAGAAATGGCAAATAAGCATATTAAAAGTTGGTCAACATAATTGATCATCAGCGAAATGCAAATCAAAACGACAATGAGATATTATCTTTCCCCAGTTAAAATGGCTTATATCCAAAAGACAGGTAATAACAAATGCTGGAGAGGATGTGCATAAAAGAGAATCCTCATACACCATTGGGTGGAATGTAAATTAATATGAGCACTATGGAGAATAGTTTGGAAGTTCCTCAAAAAACTAAAAATAGAGCTACCATATGATTCAGCAATCACACTGCTGTGTATATACCCAGAAGAAAGAAAACCAGTATCTCGAAGTGATATCTGTACTCCTGTTTGTTGCATCACTGTTCACAATAGCCAAGTTTTGAAAGCAACCTAAGTGTCCATTAACAGATGAATGTATAAAAAAAGTGGTACATATACACAATAGAGAACTATTTAGCCCAAAAAAGAATGAGATCCACTCATTTGGAACAACATGGATGGAACTGGAGATCATTATGTTAAGTGAAATAAGCCAGGCGCAGAAAGAAAAACATCACATATTCTCACTTATTTGTGGGATCCTAAAATCAAAACAATTAAACTCATGAACATAGACAGTAGAAGGTTGGTTACCAGAGTCTAGGAAAGGTAGTTGGGGGCTTGTGGGGAGGTGGGGTGGTTAATGGGTACAAAAAATAGAAAGAATGAATAAGACATACTATTTGATAGCACACCAGGTTGACTATAGTCAATAATAATTTAATTTTACATTTTAAAATAAGTGGAAGTATATAATTGGATTGTTTGTAACACAAAAGATAAATGCTTGAGGAGATGGATAGCCAATTTTCTATGATGTGATTATTATGCATTGCATACCTGTATCAGAACATGACATGTACCCCACAAATATGTATCTCTACAATATACACACAAAAATTGAAAATATTTTTAAATAAAATGAAACAGTTATTGAAAGTAAAAAAGGAAATAGTTCCCATATCACACACTTTAAGTTTTACATACATATTCTTATAATGGTAGAGAATAAAATCAGAATCAATTTTAGAATTCCAGGAGTGGTGTGTATTTATGTCCCCAATCCTCCTCTCCCATTCCACCCCGACTTCTGCCAGTGAGGTTAAAAATAGATGGTAATGTTAATGTGGTTCAGTGGACAGAATATGAATTTGGAGTCTGAATGATCTTGATTTAAATATGTAATAAAGAAAATGTGGTACATATATACAACGGAATATATCTGGATCTGATCTAGATTTGAATATTAGTCCTCCCACCAACTGGCTGTATCTTGGACAAGATAAATATTTTCAATCTTAGGTTTCTCACCTATAAGGAAAAATGATGAATTGAATAGGTGCTCAGTAATTATAAATTTCTATTCCAGATGTACCTATTATTGTGAGGTAGTTGTAGAAAAGAAATAATTTCTAAGGTATTATATTTTGCTTTGGACATAGTTTTAGTTTTTCATTTATTTTCTGGACATGTTTTATAAAAAGTAAACAGGGAAACCCTTAGATACCACGTGAAAATATGGGAGGATAGAGATTAGAGAATCAAATTGCTTAGCTAAAGATGTCTTATCTGTACACAGAAAGATCAATTTGGTCAGAAAAACAAAGGAATTTCCTAGCACATTATTAACTAAGTTCAAAATATTATTTAAAAGGAAAAAAAAACACCAGACTTTAATAAACTAGTTTGAAAAAGAAAAGTTATTAATTGGCTTAAAAATAAATATAGTCTACATCTGACATTTTAAAGACCATGATGGGCCAGGTGTGGTGGTGCGTGCCTGTAATCCCAGCACTTTGGTTGGCTGAGGAGGGTGGATCACCTGAGGTCAGGAGCTCAAGACCAGCCTGACAAACATGGTGAAACCCCGTCTCTACTATATAAAAAATTAGCCAGCATGGGGGCGCATGCCTGTAATCTCAGATACTTGGGAGGTTGAGGCAGGAGAATCACTTGAACCAGGGAGTCGGAGGTTGCAATAAGGCGAGATTGCGCAATTGCACTCCAGCCTGGGCAATAAGAGTGAAACTCTGTCTCAAAAAAAAAAAAAAAAATACCATGATGGATATTACTGGGAATGATTATATGTTTACATTTTTAAAACTTACTTCTTTTGATATGAAAGCCCATTGGTAGAAATGAGTTTTTCTTTTATTCAAAATAATCATAAGATCAATCTTGAAAACTTTGCTTAAGATGTATTTATGGGCCGGGCTCCGTGGCTCACACCTGTAATCTCAGCACTTTGGGAGGCCAAGGCAGGTGAATCACCTGAGGTCAGGAATTTGAGACCAGCCTGGCCAACATGGTGAAACCCTGTCTCTACTAAAAATGAGCTGGGCATGGTGGTAGGCACCTGTAATCCCAGCTACTCAGGAAGATGAGGCAGGAGAATCACTTGAACCTGGGAGGCAGAGGTTGCAGTAAGCCAAGATCGCACCACTGCACTCCAGCCTGAACAACAAGAGTGAAACTCCGTCTCAAAAAAAAAAGAGGATATTTTTATGGTGTACCTTAAATATAGTTTTATGTTACTTTCTTGGCGGAAAGTGTTTAGCTGAATAGAGATGGTAATAACAGAATGGGTCGTTTATTTAGTTTGTAGTACACCCTGGATATGTTTCTGAAATATCAAAAAGCTTTCAGTTAATCTGTAGGTGTAAGATGATTATAGAAGAAAACAGCTGTTACCTATCTTTTTCTCCCACTCACAGGAGTATTACAGTCAATTTTGTTTTCTTTCTATGCCTGATTGAGATGATTACTCAAAAAGTAGGTGCTAATGATGCAAGTTTAAACCAGGTACTGCTTCTCTCCAAGTAACTTTTCTCCAAGTGTATGATTTTAGATTTTGAAAGCTGCACATGCTCTAAGTGTCACAGATGATTTGTCTGAAATAACACTTTACCCACTTAAACTCTGGAGTTTTAATCTTGGGTGAAGAACAGATTCATAATTTCACTTGAAAAAATAAGACTTTTTTTAAGAATAGAGACTATTTTGACTTTTAGACTGGTGGAAAACTTTTTCAGAGATCTAAATAAACACTAAGCTAGCCCCTGGGATAAAATCTTCGCTGTAGCCCCTGGGATAAACGTATGATGAAGAACAGTGATAATAATGGGATGAATAAAGAGGTAACTGTCTTGAACTTTTTCACCTGCATAATTGAGGCATCGCTTAGGATTGTCTAGACATGTGGAAATAATCTTCAGTGTTAGGTTTTACTTCAATGTTGTTGCATATGTGTTTGACAGAGAAAGTTTGCACTGTAGCTACTTTTGATTTTTCAAGAATAATCTAAGCACCTTCACATTCTTCTCAGCCTTTGCATACCTATTGTCCACTTTACTGATGATTAGTATCTTCACCAGAAAGAAGATAAGAATGGAGAAACATGATTAAATTTAAATGTATAAATTCCATGTGTAGTTTCTTGAATACTTTAGAAATCAATGCCTTCCAACCTTGGCTGCAGATTATAATCAACTGGGGAGCTTAAAAAAGCTCTAATTCTCAGACTGCTCCCCAGTCCAATAAAATCAGATTTCTATTTGTGGGACCCAGACATCAGTAAATTTTAAAGTCTTCCAGGGAATCAACTGTGCAGCGAATTAAGAAACCCTGCTCTAAGTCTTTTGAAGATTTAAGAAAAGCTTAGGTCAGTTGCATTTCTAATGGCAAGTTCTTTTTTATTGCATTTTTACATGATTTCTAACTTATACGTTTATGACTGTTTCTAGTTTGATAATTTTAATTGAAATTGTTTCCAATGTTATACATTGCTCAAATGTCATCTTTTCAGAAAGGCCATCTCTGACCATCCTAAAATAGTCACCAACATACATTATCCTCTATCATCTTGCCTTATTTTATTTTTATTCATAGTACTCATTACTATATAACATTTGGTTAGGCATTAATCTCTTTATTGTTCATTCTCTGTCATCCCTGTCCTCTTCATTAGAATTTAAACTCCATAATGAAAAGCCTTCTGATTTGTTCAATACTACATCCTACATACCTGGAGCAGTGTCTGACACATAATAGATACTTAATAAGTATTTGTAGAATAAATAACAGTTAGTTTGCAGTTAATGTATTTCTTTCGTTGCTGGTAATTTGTGTTATCAATATAAAACCTCTAGTCTTACTTTGATTCAGAGAAGTGTAAGAAAATGTATTCTCAAACAGACCATTCATTCACTGAATATTGCATTAGTATTAGGTATAAATTAGTTCTTCTCTATTTTATATTACTAGTTGTGAAAAATATTCAGTTAGCAGCAAGTACATTCTTTCTATTTCAGCGGAGAAACAGAGATATATGTAATTTTTCATTGTCAGATCAAACAATTATCAAGTTGAAAAAAGTTTTTACATCTAAATTTCTGTAGTATTGGGTTAAATACGACTCTTGGAGAGACGAGAAAAAGAGTTTGAAGGTAACTTGGTGATGAAATACTATACATTTTAATATATCAAATATATACATTTACTATATCAACATTTTTATTCGTGCTGTGAGTCAAAGGTGGGTTTCTTTCTTTTGTATTAAATATAAGTTAATTTATACTTTGATAGTACATATGTTCTGAGATTTTTATATTTAACACATGTAACAAATGCCATAATATTATTTACCATCAGATGGCATAGTGAGCCAAACTGCCTTTTTCAAGATTGCTTCAACGAGATTTCTCATATTGCATGTGTATTAGTCCATTTTCATACTGCTGTGAAGAAATACTCTGATTATTCAGAGTGATCAGGTCAGGCCTTTGCTGTTTCAACTCAGCTACATAGAAACCGCCAATGACTCATAGCTTATTACAGTGTCTTTTTGATACCCTGCTTAACTTAAGACTATAGCAGCCACCAATAAACTTGTGAAGGCTTCTGCTGACATACTCTTGGGCACTTCCTTGTAACTAATGGTCTCCCATGGTGTACAATCTTTGGTACGCATTTAAAAAAAATTATTTTCAAGTTAGCTTATAAGACATTCATATTTTCTCTTTCATATGTTATTATTGAAGGAAATTATGTATTTTACCCCAAAATACACTACTTTGACATATTTTGAGATGGTGGTTAGGAGAGCCAGCAAATAGAAGTAATCTTCCTTGATTTTAGAGGGGGATTTGCATCTGTAGAGAATCTGTACTAATGCAGCCACATTTTTTTCTGAGGTTTCCCTTTATCTAGGAAAGATCAACTGAGTTTGAAACATTTAAATGTCTGAAGAAGCATTTGCCATCTATTCTGAGGGCTGCTACCTCTGTGCTTTCATCTACATAAGAATCATTTTGCTAGGCAAACCTCCTCTTCTTTTCATCTCATAATGTGTCTTACCACTATAACTGGATTTACTGTCTTAACCAGTATTTGGTCATACTCTCAGACCCCATTCTTTCTGTAACTTCAAGATTGTACATAAGCTGCTGAACCCCACTGGAAAGTTGGAGTGTCAGGACCCAGAAACTGATACCCCAAAATATGGCACTATAACATGCTAAACTGATGATGAAGCCTGAAAGTCTTGCTGACCCTGACATACCCACTGGTCTCTCCCACAGCACAGGATGAAATTGTTTTCTGAAATTCCTTTATCTGTCTGAAGTCTGGACCTACCAAGGAAAATAATTGTTTTTCTTCTCCCCTGTGAGTTATCTTATTGTCTATTGCAGAAAAGAAGACCAATTATATAACCACACCAAAACAGACCCGTTTAAAAGATATATCTATAAGGATTATTCAATTTCCGAAGAGAACTATTTGTGTACCCTGATCTACTCATTCTCCCTAGTAATCATTTATTGCCCCTCAACACAATTCCTCTTCTCATCTTTTCCATAACCTGTTTTTCCAGGATCCAAGCCTCCATTCTTTTTTATTTTATTTTATTTTATTTTATTTTATTTTATTTTATTTTATTTTATTTTATTTTGTTTTGTTTTATTTTATTTGAGATGGAGTCTCCTGGGTCACCCAGGCCGGAGTACAGAGGCATGATGTTGGCTCACTGCAACCTCTGTCTCCCAGGTTTAAGTGATTCTCATGCTTCAGCCTCCCCCATAGCTGGCACTACCGGCGGGCGCCACCACACACAGCTAAATTTTTTTGGTATTTTCAATAGATACAAGTTTTCACCATGTTGGCTACGCTGGTCTGGAACTCCTGACCTCAAGTGATTAGCCCACCTTGGCCTCCCAAAGTTCTGGGATTACAGGCTTGAGCCATGGTGCCCAGGCCATGCCCATTCTTTTTTATTTCAATAGCTTTAGGATATATGTGGTTTTTGGTTATATGGATGAATTGTATAGTGGTGAAGTCTGAGATTTTAGTGCACCCATCAACTGAGTAGTGTACACTGCGCCCAATATGTAGGTTTTTTTTTAATCTATCACCCCACTCCCACCCACTCTTTTTTTGAGTTTCTAATGTCCATTATACCACTCTGCATGGTTTTGTGTACTCTTAGCTTAGCTCCCACTGATAGGTCAGAACATACAGTATTTTGTTTTCCATTCTTGAGTTACTTCACTTAGAATAATGGCCTCCAATTTCATCCAAATTGCTGCAAAAGACATTATTTTGCACTTTTTTATGCCAAGCCCCAATTCTTTCAGTAACTTCAAGATGGTATATAAGCTTCTGAATCCCATTAGGGGGCTGGGAGATAATAACTATTGTTCTCCCCCATGTGCACATTCATAAATTTGTGCGCCTTTTTCCCAGTTAATCTGCCACTTGTAAGTTGATTTTTTAGTGAAACTTCAGAGAGTAAAGAGGAAGTTTTCCCGTGACCCTGACTGTTTTGGCACTGTGCACAGTATACCAAAGCTCTGCTCTTCCTGAAATCGCAGTGAATGGAACCCAGAATCTAATAAGCCAGAAGAAGTGTAAGAATTTCTTACCAAGCACATGGTAGAAATCACTGTTATTCTCTTTATTTTCTGCAAAATTTTATATAATGGGAGAACAAAATTAGTGTAAGTAGTCTTGGATGTAGCAACTCTGGTGCACTTTATGGTATGAATTTTCCTACCCTTGATCCCTTCTTTCCCAGAAATAGTATTTTCCTTTGACTTTGTCTTTTCTGTGTTATTCTGTCATAAAGAGGATAGAGCATTTCTTTAATAATTAATGATGTTGAGCACCTTTTCATATGTCTATTTGTCATTTGTATATCTTTTATGAAATGTCTATTCAAATTTTTGCCCTTTTGTTTGATCAGATTATTGGATTTTTACCTATAGAGTTGCTTGAGCTCCTTAAATATTATGGTTATTAATTCCTGGTCAGATGGGTAGCTTGCAAATATTTTATCCCATTTTGTGAATGTCTCTTCACTTTGTTGATTGTATATTTTGCTCTGCAGAAGCTTTTTAACTTAATGTGATCACATCTGTCAATCTTTGCTTTGATTACCTGCACTTGCATATTACTCAACAAATTTTTGCCCAGACCAATGTCGTGAAGATTTTTCCCAATGTTTTCTTGTAGTAGTTTTATGATTTGAGGTCTTAAATTTAAGCCCTTAATCTATTTTGATTTGATTTTTATATATGGTAAGAGATAGGGGTCTAGTTTAATTCTTTTGAATACAGATAACTAGTTTTCCCTGTAACATTTATTGAAGAAACTGTTTTTCCCCAGCATGTGTTCTTGGCATCTTTGTAAAAAATTAGTTGATTGTAGGTATGTGGATTTGTTTCTGGGTTCTCTATAGTTTTCCATTCATCGATGTGTCTGCTTTTATGCTAGTATCATGCTCTTTTGGTTACTATAGCTCTGTAGCATAATTTGAAGTCAGGTAAGGTGATCTTCCAGTTTTGTTCATTTTGTTCAGGGTAGCTTTGGCTATTCCAGGCATTTGATGTTTCCATATAAATTGCATGATTTTTTTTTCGATTTCCATGAAGAATGTCATTGATATTTTAATAGGGATTGCATTAAATCTGCAGATTGCTTTGGATAGTATGGACATTTTACCAATAGTGATTTTCCCAATCCATGAACATAGAATATTTTTTAAATTTTTTGTTGTCTCCTTCAGTTTTACAATTTTCATTAAGAGATCTTTCACTCTGGTTAATTCCTAGGTATTACATTTTACTTGTGACTATTGTTTTTCACTTATATTTTACACTTTTCACTGCTGGCATATAGAAATGCTACTGGTTTTTGTATATTGATTTTGTATCCTGAAACTTCACTGAAATTGATCAGTTCTTATAATTTTCTAGTGGAATTTTTAGGTTTTTCCAAATGTAAAAGCATATCATCTGCAAACAGGGATAATTTGACTTCTTCCTTTTTAGTTTGGGTGCACTTTATATCTTTCTCTTGTATGGTTGCTCCAGCTAGGACTCCCAGTACTATGTTGAATAACAGTGGTGACACAGGGCATCCATGTTGTCTTCCAGATGTTATATAAAAGGCTTTCAGTTTTTCTCCATTCAGTATGATACTATTTGTGGGTCTGTTGTAAATGGCCTTAATTATGTTGAGGCAAATTTCTTCTATATCCAGTTTTTTGAGGGTTTTTATTATGAAGCAATGTTCAATTTTATCAACTTTGTTCAGAATCAATTGAAATGATCTTCAATCTCTCGGTTTGATGTATCATATTAATTTGTGTATGTTCAAACATCTTTGCATCCCAAGATTAAATCCTACTTTAACCCTGGTCATGACAAATAATCTTCGTAATGTATTGTTGAATTTCATTTGCTAGTATTTTGGTGAGGATTTTTGGATCAATACTCATAAGAGATATTGGCCTATAGTTTTCTTCTTCTTTTTTTTTGATGTGTCTTTTTCTGGTTTCAGTATCAGGGTAATTACTGAACTCATAGGATGTGTTTGGAATTATTCCCTCCTCTATTTTTTAGAATAGCTCGAGTTTGATTGATATTAGATCTTCTTTAAATGTTTGGATTAATTAAGCAGTGAAACCGTCAGGTCCTGAGCTTTTCTTTGCTGGGAGACTTTTTATTATGGCTTTGATCTCATTACTTGATATTGGTCTGTTCAGGTTTTGGATTTCTTCCTGGTTGAATCTTAGTAGCTTGCAGGTCCAGGAATTTGTCCATTTTTTTTTTATATATTTTCTATTTTACTGGCATATATTTGCTCATAGTAGCCACTAATAATCCTTTAAATTACTGTAGTATCAGTTGTAATGTCTTCTTTTTAATTTCTGATTTTGTTTGGATCTTCTTTTTTTTCTTAGTAAGTCTGACTAAAGCTTTGTCAATTTTGTTTAACTTTTTGAATAAGCAACTTTTTGTTCATTGATCTTTTGTATTTTATTTCATTTCAATTTTATTTATGCTCTGATTTTTATTATTTATTTTCTTCTACTTAATTTGAGTTTGGTTTGCTCTTGCTTTTCTAGTTCCTTAAGATGCCTCATTAGATTTTATATTTAAAGCTTTTTCTCTTTTTTGATGTAAGCACTTATTGCTGTAAACTCCCCTATGATCACTGCTTTTACTGTAGGCCATAGGTTTTGGTCTGCTGTGGTTTCATTATCATGTGTTTAAAAATTTTTTGATTTTCTTCTTTATTTATTGACCCACTTTTTGTTCAGGAGCATATTATTAATTTCATATTGTATTAGTCTGTTCTCATGCTGCTAATAAAGACATCCTCAAGACTGGGTAATTTACAAAGGAAAGAGGTTTAATTGACTCACGGTTCCACATGGCTCAGGAGGCCTCATAATCATGGTGGAAGGCAAAGAGGAGCAAAGCCACATCTTACATGGTGGCAGTCAAGACAGCATGTGCAGGAGACCTCCCCTTTATAAAACCATCAGATCTCATGAGACTTATTCACTATCATGAGAATAGCATGGGAAAACCCTGCTTCCACGATTCAGTTACCTCTCACCAGGAGTCTCCCATGACACATGAAGATTATGTGAACTACAATTCAAGATGAGATTTGGGTGCGGACACAAACAAACCATATCAGATGTATTTGTGTAAGTTCCCAAATTTCTTTTCTTAGGGATTTCTAGTTTTATTTCATTCTGTTTAGAGAAATTGTTGGATATTATTTCAATATTTTGACTGTTCTAAGACTTGTTTTGTGACTTAACATATGGTTTATCCTGGAGAATAATCCATACGCTGAGGAAAAGAATGTGTGTTCTGCAGCCATTGGATGAAGTGTTCTATGCATATTCTTTAGATTCACTTGATTTATAGCACAAATTAAGTCCAATGTTTATTTGTTGATTTTCTGTCTGAAGAATCTGTCTAATGTTGAATGTGAGGTGTTGGTGTCTCTAGCTATTATTGTATTGGGGCCTATCTCCCTCTGTAGCCCTAAAAATACATTATATATATATTTAAAATTGAAATATTTTCTTGCTGAATTGATTCCTTTATCATTAT